>NC_000019.10:28490874-29115874 GCF_000001405.40 Homo sapiens
GAAAGAAGCGCTGGAAAAGCTGTAGACACAGCTGCAGATAGCAGGAGTTCACAGCCCTGGCCTTGTATTAGAATCACCTGGGAAGGTTTTAAAAAATGTACTCATATCGGCAGGGCCCGGTGGCTCACACCTGTAATCCCAGCACTTTGGGAGGCCAAGGCGGGCGGATCACTTGAGGTCAGGAGTTCAAGACCAGCCTGGCCCAACATGGTGAAACCCCGTCTCTACTGAAAATACAAAATTAGCTGGGCGTGGTGGTGCATGCCTGTAATCCCAGCTACTTGGGAGGCCGAGGCAGGAGAATCACTTGAACCTGGGAGGTGGAGGTTGCAGTGAGCCGAGATTGAGCCATTGCACTCCAGCCTGGGCAACAAGAGGAAAACTCCATCTCAAAAAAAAAAAATACTTATATCTAATGATTTATTATATACAACACAAAGAATACAGTGATAAAAAACTTGATAAATTAGATTATATCAAAAGTCACATCAAATAGACATTAATAAAATCAGAATATCTGGGGTTGGGGAGTGGTTTGGTTAAAGGCCCCAGGTGCTTCTAAGGTGCAGCCAAGCTGGCGAACCACTGGGCTAGGCCCCTGCCCAAAAAGATCTGACCTGACTGGCTGGGGAGAAGCTTGGGGGCTTTGAATCTCCCCAGGTAGCTCTGATGGGAGGTGTCTGAGAACCCCTGGAGAGAGATGCTGAAGCTGCTGCCTCCACATCCATCCCACCACTCCCTCTTTGAGTAGCATCAGGGCAGTGTGGGTAGCTCAAGTCAGCTTGGGGGCTGTGCCTCATTGTGTTAAAGGTGGTCCCATTATGTAGACAGTGACCACCCCAGGAGTGAGCCAGTGACATACCAGCAGTGCATTGCCAAAGACTTTGGGGAAAGTTTTTTTCTCATTCTTAAGAAAGAACAAGAAGCCATGTTTGCTTCCCTATTAAACATTATATTAAGTGAAATAAGCCAGGCACAAAAAGACACAGTTCACATATTCTATATAATTTGTGGGAGCTAAAAATTAATTCAATTGAACTCGTGGAGATAGACGAAGGATGGTTACCAGAGGCTGGGATGGATAGTGGGAAAGGTAGGGGGTGGGAGATGGGGATGGTTAATGGGTACAAAATATAGTTAGATACCACGAATGAGGTCTAGTATTTGATAGCACGACAGGGTGACTATAGTCAGCAATAATTTCTTGTACATTCAGAATAACTAAGAGAGCACAACGGGAATGTTCACAACACAAAGAAATCATGAATGCTTGAAGGGATGGATGGCTGCCCCATTTCCCTGTGATCCGTGCACACTGCACATCTGTGTCAGAGTATCTCATGTATCCCACAAATATATGCACCTCCTAGGTACCCACAAATATCAAAAATAGATGTGACTGAAGGAGCTTGTAGCACAGGTGACACTGATGGGAAAAATAAGTCTTGGGAAGAAGCCAACACTATGGCTGCAGAAAACAGAGAACACAGGGGCCCTTGATGCTGTAATCAAGCTGCCTGGTCCTGAAACTCTCACTGCCTCTGCTGCCACATATGTGAGCCACTAGATTTGCATCCTATTTAAGCCAGTTTGAGTTGATTTTTCTATTACTGCCCTCAAGTGACACAGGCAGTCATGGAAGGTGCCTGTGAGAAAGTTCAACACCAGAACCAAGTAAGACCAATGGATGGAAATGATCCAGCCCTGTGAAAGCCTCACAGAAGGGATTTGAGCATGAGGAATGGAACCCATCCAGAAATAAGAAGACGCTTGGTGCATTGATGAAACAGGAAAAAATGTCATCGTTAACAATTCCAAGAGCTGGCCTGGCCAGTCACAGAATGCGACTCTGAGCAGGGAAATATCAGACACATTAAAGGGCATAAAGGTCACTCAAGTGAGTCACCCAGTATTACTGAGGAGCACTCCACATGGCACAAAAGAGGGCAGAAGTCCAGAGAGTAGTCCTGTTCTTGGGATGCAAATGGTGTCACTGGAAGAAGACGGGCGTGCTGCCTATAACAAGGGCGGGTCAGAGCTGTGATGACATTCGACCCCTCAGGTTGGTCCCGGGCAGCACACTCTGATGATTAAATCAGGAACAGGCAGGCAGAGGGGTGTGTGTGTTTCAGAGAAAGCTGGTGATTTGCTAACCAAAAATGACAAGGAGAAAAAAATCAGAATTCTTATAGCACATAAAGGACATTAAACATGGAGAGACTTTATTCTTCTAGAGCATTCATTTAAAGCTCATGCCTGCAGTCCTGAGTGTTTCCCTTCATCAAACAAGGATCAAGAAGAGAGGAAATATGGTCTTCAAAGTAAAAAAAAAAAAAAAAAAATGTAAAGGGTCGTTTCTGAAATTAGCCTGGAATGTTTCATTGCTTTACAGGGAGAGAGCAGCCTCCAAGAAGCTTAGCAGCATCTGCCTCTTGTCTGAGCTTCTATGTCAGTTTCTCCCAGGGCAGATTTTATTAAATAAACAGCAAAGAGTCCGGGCTCCTGAGCGGCTCAGAAACTCTTGCATCTTTGAGGAGCTTGCATATGCTCACGCCACTCTGGAAAACCAGGTAGAGAGGCACTTTTCAGGGAGTCCCCAGGGTGCTGAAGCAAGAAGGGCAATAATTTGGTTTTCTTTAAAATATATATATATGAGACATAGTTTCACCAGGCTGGAGTGCGATGGCGTGATCTCGGCTCACTGCAACTTCTATCTCCAAGGTTCAAGTGATTCTCCTGCCTCAGCCTCCTGAGTAACTGGGATTACAGGTGTGTGCCACTACACCTGGCTAATTTTTGTATTTTTAGTAGAGATGGGGTTTCACCATGTTGATCAGGCTGGTCTTGAACTCCTGACCTCCAGTGATGCGCCCGCCTCAGCCTTCCAAAGTGCTGGGATTACAGGTGTGAACCACCATGCCCGGCCAAAAAATTGAGGTAAAATCTTCCTATATAATTTGCCATCTTTATTTTTAAGTGTACAGTTTAGTGCTCATAAATATTTATAATGAGGGTAATGATTTGAAGAGAAATTCA
This sequence comes from Homo sapiens, assembly GCF_000001405.40. Classification (NCBI taxonomy): domain Eukaryota; kingdom Metazoa; phylum Chordata; class Mammalia; order Primates; family Hominidae; genus Homo; species Homo sapiens. Next base: position 28,493,911 of record NC_000019.10, read on the forward strand.
GGACTCCCAGGCCCTCTGTGTTCCTGCTGACTGAGACAGGATCTGAAGCAAGGCTCGAATCTCTCTGCGATCAGTTTTCTTGTTAATAGAGTTGAGATGCACTTGTCCCTCTGCTTCCTCCCAGGGGCACAAAGGAATTACTGGCCTGGAGAGACTTGGAAACACACAAGGAGCGGCGCTGATGGGAGGAGCTGGTTTAGAATAAGGCAGAGACGGAACAAAGAAGGATCTTTCCTGGGGTAGAGGGAGGGTGGTGGGAGGACAATGGGGAGTGTGGGGTTGGGATTCTTTCCAAATGCTCAAAAGAGACTCAAAATAGACTCAGTCCATTCATCTCCTTTATGAAAACCCTACAATATCAATGGGATGATTGCTATGAGTAAAAATTAGGAAAACTAAGAGATTCAGTATTGGTCAAGGCTTATCAGCAGTCTTAATTGCTTTAATTTTAGTCAATAGACATCATCTTCTTGTATAAGGCAACGCTTTTGTCCTGGTGACTGGCAGGCCTGGTACACTAAATGCCTTAGCAAAGCAAGCTGGGCCCCTTGGTCATTACCATTGCAAACATCTGCACGTTCCCTCCAATGCTCCCTTGCAACCCTGCTAAAAATAAAATCGTCTTTTAATAACCTCAAGAGCCCACCACTGTCTCCTCTCTGGAATGTTCACTGAGGACCCCAGTAAGAAATGGAAATTGCCTCGAATGCTCTCTCCTCTGCCTTGACAGTGCTGCTGCCGGCCACGCACTCTGTTGGGGGAAGGGCAGTGTTGATCAGAAAGCGAGCTCCTTGACTGACGTTATCTCCTCCTGGGCAGAAACCAATTTCAGCAAGAACTTTGTAATTTGGAATTCAAGGATGTAAGATGCATTCAGGGAACCATTTTCCCCCTACAAATTACAGTTTGTCATTTAAGAGGTTTAATATCACAAAAAGGGCCTGCTTCTGCCTTTTTAAAAAAATTTTAAAAAATGCCACACCGATGCTCTCAGAACAGAGGCTTAGGAATGAGAAGAATGGCCTGTACTTCAAACAAACCCATTGTTCCTTACTAGAGGCAGAAGAATAATGTCAGAAAAAATAGTTATTTATTCAGCAAGCTCTTGAAGTGCTCAGGCAGAGTGGTGGACCCCAATGCCTGGCATATAGCACGTGGATCCCAATGCCTGGCAATAACCACGTGAAGGAAGGAAGAAGGGGAGGGAAGGAGGCAGGGAAGAAGAAATACGCAGACACTGTGTGGTAGGAATTCCAAGACATAGTACATTATTTTATCCAAACACAAACACAGTATTTAATCAAGATTTTCCCATGATGCACTGGGGCAAGACAATCATGTGGGGGGAGGAGCCCAGGCAGCAAATGTCTAGAATGAGAAGAACTGGGCCACAGGCCAGGCTCTCAAGTCAGAGTCATGCTGAAACCTGCTCCCTTTCTTTCTTTCTTTTTTTTCTATTTTTTATTATACTTTAAGTTCTAGGGTACATGTGCACAACGTGCAGGTTTGTTACATATGTATACATGTGCCATGTTGGTGTGCTGCACCCATTAATTTGTCATTTACATTAGGTATATCTCCTAATGCTATCCCTCCCCCCTCCCCCAACCCCATGACAGGCCCCAGTGTGTGATGTTCCCCATCCTGTGTCCGAGTGTTCTATTGTTCAATTTCCACCTATGAGTGAGAACACACGGTGTTTGGTTTTCTGTCCTTGTGATAGTTTGCTGAGAATGATGGTTTCCAGCTTCATCCATGTCCCTACAAAGGACATGAACTCATCCTTTTTTTATGGCTGCATAGTATTCCATGGTGTATATGTGCCACATTTTCTTAATCCAGTCTATCATTGATGGAAATTTGGATTGGTTCCAAGTCTTTGCTATTGTGAATAGTGCCGCAATAAACATATGTGTGCATGTGTCTTTATAGAAGCATGATTTATAATCCTTTGAGTATATACCCAGTACAAAAATTAATTCAAGATGGATTAAAGACTTAAATGTTAGACCTAAAACCATAAAACCCTAGAAGAAAACCTAGGCAATACCATTCAGGACATAGGCATGGGCAAGGACTTCATGTCTAAAACACCAAAAACAATGGCAACAAAAGCCAAAATTGACAAATGGGATCTAATTAAACTAAAAAGCTTCTGCACAGCAAAAGAAACTATCATCAGAGTGAACAGGCAACCTACAGAATGGGAGAAAATTTTTGCAACCTACTCATCTGACAAAGGGCTAATATCCAGAATCTACAATGAACTCAAACAAATTTACAAGAAAAAAAAATAACCCCATCAAAAAGTGGGCAAAGGATATGAACAGATACTTCTCAAAAGAAGACATTTATGCAGCCAACAGACACATGAAAAAATGCTCATCATCACTGGACATCAGAGAAATGCAAATCAAAACCACAATGAGATACCATCTCACACCAGTTAGAATGGCGATCATTAAAAAGTCAGGAAACAACAGGTGCTGGAGAGGATGTGGAGAAATAGGAACACTTTTACACTGTTGGTGAGACTGTAAACTAGTTCAACCATTGTGGAAGACAGTGTCATGATTCCTCAAGGATCTAGAACTAGAAATACCATTTGACCCAGCAATCCCATTACCGGGTATATTCCCTTTCTTATCAGTTGTATGACAATAGGCAAACTGCTTTATCTCTCTGAACCTCGTTTTCTTCATTTAGAAAACAGAGCTTATGCCTATTTTGGAAGACATTGTTAATTCACTCAAGACCCAGCCAAATGCAGTGGCTCACGCCTGTAATCCCAGCGCTATGGGAGGCTGAGGTGGGAGGATTGCTTGAGGCCAGGAGTCTGAGACTCATCTGGGCAAAAAAGTGAGACCCCAATGCTACAAAAAATTAGCCAGTTGTAGTGGAGTGCACCTGTGGTTCCAGCTTCTCAGGAGGCTGAGGCAGAAATATTGCTGGAGCCTGGGAGGTTGAGGCTGCAGTGAGCTGTGATAGCACCACTGCTCCCCAGCCTGGGAGACAGAGTGAGACCATCTCAAAAAAAAAAAAAAAGAAAGAAAAGCCATTCCTAGCCCTCTTTCTTTCTTGTCTTTCTCAGCTTTAAAGAGCAGAACACTCAGTGCCCCATTTCCAAGTGTGATGATGAGGGCAGTCGGCAATGGGGCCTACGAGAAAGCCATCATGTTCTTGGTAAAGGGAAGATGTTGGTTTGGTCTCCTGAAAAGCAAGGCTTCTGAGAGCAGAGGCCACGTTTTCTCCTGTGGGACCCCAACTTGCCAAACCCAGGGCTGAAAGTGTGGCTGGTGCTCATGGAAAACCCAACTTGAAATCAGGAATGGCCGGACCTGCCTTGAGCTGTATATGTTGCAGTCACCTTTGAATACAAAGGCCAAAAAAATTCTCTGTGGTTGGCTTTGGAGAGGTTGTCAGGAAGAGCTGTAAGAAAGTGATGATTCACAGCAAAGAAAACAATGGATGAAATAAAAAGGCAGCCTGCAAATAGGGAAAAACACATCTGCAAAATATCAGATAGGAGGTTCATATGCAAGATTTGTTAAAAACTCATACAACTCTGCCGGTGCGGTGGCTCATGCCTATAATGCCAGCCTTTGGGAGGCTGAGGCGGGTGAATCACGAGGTCAGGAGTTTGAGACTAGCCTGGCCAACATGGTGAAACCCTGTCTCTACTAAAAATACAAAAAATTACCTGGGTGTAGTCGCAGGTGCCTGTAATCCCAGCTACTCGGGAGGCTGAGGCAGAATTGCTTGAACCCAGGAGGCGGAGGTTGCAGTGAGCTGAGATGGCGCCACTGTACTCTAGCCTAGGCAACAGAGTGAGACTCCATCTCAAAAACAAAAACAAACAAAAAAAACCCCACAAAAAACCTCATGCAACTCAATAGCAAGAAAACGTGTAACCCAATTAACAAATGTGCAAAGGACTTGAATAGGCATTTCTCCAAAGATGAAATGAAAATGACCAACATCATTAGGAAAAAGCAAATCAAAACCACTATGAGAAAACACCTCCCACCTGTCAGGGTGGCTACAATAAAAAAACCAGTGATAACAAGTGGTGGTGAGGGTGTGGAGAATGGGAACCCTTGTACACTGTTGATAGGAGTGTCAATTGGCAAAGCAACTATGGAAAACAGTATGAAGGCTCCAGACAAAATTAAAAATAGCACTACCATCTGACCCAGCAGTCCCACTTCTGGGTACATACTCAAAGGAGATGAAATCACCATCTCGTCAAGGCATCTGCACTCCCATGCTCACTGCGGCACTTCACAGCAGCCAAGGTACGTACACGCCCTAGGGGTCTATCAATGGACAAATAAAGAAACCATGGTGTGTGTACAAAACAAAATGTTACTCAGCCTTAAAAAAGACGGAGATCCTGCCACTTGCCATAACAGGGATAGGCTTGGAGGACATTATGATAAGTGAAATAAGTCAGACACAGAAAGATAAATAATGCATAACTTCACTTCTATGTGAAATCTTAAAAAAAAGGTTACATATATACACACGTATATACACACGTATATATACACACATGTATATATACACGTATATACACACATGTATATATACACGCATATACACACATGTATATATACACGTATATACACACATGTATATATATACACGTATACATATATGTACACGTGTGTATATATACACACATATATACACATATATACACACACACATATATACTATATATACATATATATATACACATACACACAGAGAGAGAGAGAGAGAGAGAATAAAACAGTGGTTAGCAGGGTCAGGATAGGGGAGCAGGAGGAAACAGAGACATAGCTCAAAGGCTCCCACATAGCAAATATGCAGGATGAACAAGTCTAAAGATGGAATGCACAGCAGGAGGGCTGTGGCTGATAACAGTGGATCCTCTTCTTTGCTAAATGAGAAGATTATAACTGCTTTTGCCACAGGGGGAGGCAGATGCCTTAAAAAAATAAAATGATTATTGACAAAGTGATAAATAATAAGAGTGAAGGAAATTTGATGATTAAGTTTGCAAAGGGGAAATAAAACAATTTGTCCAGCACTACACCATAGCAAAACAATGTGTTTAAAATATAAAACAAAATAAAACTGGGTCAGATGTATTTATTTTTTGTTGTTGCTATTGTTTTTAATTTAAAATTCAGCCACTCTCTCAAGGGCCTGCTCATGATGAAAAATACATTCCAGTTTTTACAGCTGCCATAAGACCTCATAAGAGCAGTGGGGTAATTTCAAGGGACTTCTCTTGAACTACAGGGGGGCCCTTGGCTCTATGTTTAGTGAAGTCTTGCAGGAGACTTGATGATAAAAACCACACCTGTGGACAATTCCTTCTCTAGGTCCCATGCTAGGACAGAGCTTACTCCTCCAGCCCCTACTGGCGGTCCACTCTCCAAGCTGCCATTCCTTTACCCAGGACACTCACAGATACAACTCCAACCCACACCTTGGGTGAGACATGTCTTGGGCTAAAGCGCGAGCTATTATTCAGAACCCCAGGACTGAGAACCCTTCACAGTACAAATGTGAGGTTGTTTTTTTCTTCCTTCCTTTTTTTTTTTTTTTTTTTTTTTTTTGAGACAGGGTTTCACTCTGTCACCTAGGCTGAGTGCAGTGCCATGCTCATAGCTCACTGCAGCCTCAGCCTTCTGGGCTGAAGTGATCCTCCCACCTTAGCTTCCTAAACAGCTAGGACTACAGGCATGCACCATTATGCCCAGCAAATTTTTAAATTATTATTATTATTTGTAGAGACAGAGTCTTGCTATGTTGTCCAGCCTGGTCTCAAACTCCTGGCCTCAAGTGATCCTCCTGCCTCAGCCTCTCAAAGTGCTGGGATTACAGGTGTGAGGCACCACACCTGGCCTGATTTTTTTCTTTTAGTTAGCATCAAGTGTTCATTCTGGTCCCCAAAGTTCAGCAAATGTATAAATACTGAGCAGCAGTGTGCCCATGCCCCTCTCCCTGGTCAGCCTTTACAACACTGAACACGTGTGTTATGCTCCCAAAAACCCCTCCTTAAGAATGGGAATATGCAAGGGAAACACAACACTAAACCTCTTTTGTTAGCATTCCTGATAAATTCGCACTTATTACTCCAGTGAAAATTGTCTGTATGCAGAGAAAGTGCTTTAAACACAGCAGATTGGTCAGCCTCTGGTCCCCTCTGGCTCCTACAAACTTTCCAATCCTTTTACTTTGAAGCTGGGTCACTGCAGTGAGGTGCGTGTTGTTGTTCTGCAGAATCCAGTTGCATTTCATCACAGAGCTTTCATAAGAATCCATTTATCAAATTATTCCTTCGAAAACTGGAGTGGCACAGATCAAACCAACTGAGGAGCTGCGTGACACTTTAAGTCCCGATGTCAGTGCTGCCCAAATACAAGCTAGATTATCAAGTGCTTTTCAAGAACACTTTAATGCCTTGTTCTCATGAACTCTGACAGTCTGACGATTAGGATTAAAATGGGTCATTTGTAGGAATTGCATAAGGGCCGGAAGTTACAGCCCTTTCAGAAAGCACTTCTGCCAGCCCTCCCACCAGGAGTCAGGGGTGGCCCAGGATGGATGGGTGTGTCAGCTGGGCTCTGGAAGCTCACTGTGGCACCCTGTCTGCAGCAGATGTCTGTGGGGGCCCCACTTGCACCCCCTTGGTTCCTGGCATCTGCATTTCTGCTGACCAGAGGGCCAACAGCCTGAATGCACTTCTTTTCCTGCAGGCTTGCTTCTGTCCCTGGAACCCACTCTGCCCATAGATGTGGCAGGCCAGAAATGCCAGGGAATTCAGCTCTCCAGGAGTGACCCTTGGCCAATGGCTGACAGAAGCTAACGAGGTGTGCCCCAGATCTCTCATTCATTCGTGGGTAACCCTGAGTCCTGAGTGTAAGTTCCCCCAGAGTGGCTAACTCCAGTGGCCCCTGGCTGACTGGGTAGTTACTCACCTTCTGCTGCTGTCTTCCCCTCCATGCCTCGCTTCCACACTCCCCTATCTGTGCTTCCTGGGTTCACTTCCCAAGTAAACCACTTGCACTCACATCCTGGCCTCGGGGTCGGCTTCCAGGGGAACCCAGACTAAGACACTGCTATCCTTGCTGAGATTTAAGACGGAGCGCACATCTCCCAGGCTAGGGAGGGAACACCCAAAGCCACCGCTTTCCCAGAGACTCTGACCCAGCTGGGACCATTACCAATGTGCATCACTTGACCCTAGATGTGAAATCAAGAGCCGGAAGAAGCCATCACAGCAGACACAGCAGTGGCCACCCCATGAGTTTCCAGAAGCTCTCATGTGTGCTCCAAGGACTGGAGTTGAACAAATGGGAGGAGGAAGAATGAATTGTTTTCCTGCTGTATCTCCTTCTACAGGCAGCTTTCCGCTGGCTGTTGTCCCTCTTGTCATCTTCTGTAGGCTTAGAGAGAAAATCACAAGGCAAGAGAGAGGATCTTGCAAGCATAGAGCTGTGAGGTGTGATGAAATTGTCAAGTTCCTGTGAGCCCGCGTGTGAGAATAAAGGAAACTTGCATCTTTGTGGGTGACAGAAACACCAGTTCTGTTAGCAGAGGCCTCCCCAGGAAATTCAGTGTCTGTAATTCTCTTATTGTGAGAAGATAAATAGCATTCTTATTTTGTGAATTTGAACCCATCAAAGTTTTGTAGTTGAGAATGCCACATTCATGTCCATCCAAGGAGCATTCCCTGACTCTCCACAGTAGGGCTGGCCTGTGCTGAGAGTGGGACACAGGGAAAGAACACATAGTCCCGGCCTCTTCAGTAGCAAACAGAAGAGAGACATACACCAAGAAAAAATGGCATGAAATGACATTCGCCACAGTGAAAAAGCAATGGGCCATGAAATATGGGGCACAGATTCAGTCACTGAAATCGGGGAGGTTCCAGAAGCGAGTGACATCGAAGCTGAGTGTTGAGGGAGAACTGTTAGCAGAAGAAGGGGCATGAGCAGACAACATTCCAGGCACCATCAAAAAGGCAGAGAAGCAAGAAGAAGAGCTCAAAGTTTAAAGAACATCATCTTATTCCAAATAATTGAGAAAATGTTGCTGTTCACGCAAGTGCAAATGATGTGGCTATTTTAATGTATGTTCACATTTAACAGTGTTTTCTTTTTTGTATTAAGTAAAATACAGGACTCAGTAGACAACCCTGATGCTCCATCCTTAAGCTTCAAGTGAGCCTCCCCAGAGCTGAGAGCTGCAGGGTACAGGAAGTGGGGGATGCCATGTGGAGGTGAGTAGGGGAGGAGGAAGTGAAGGGCGGGAGCAGGCAAGGGAAGTCAGAGATGAGGGGCATGGTGAGTTGCGGAGTGTGAGAGGTGATGCAGGGAGCAGCAAGAGATGGAAATAGGAGGGTGGGGATGACCTGTTTATGTTTTCTTAATGCAATTGGTTTGGGGACCATCACAAAACATACAACTTGTCAAACTGCCCAAGGCCCTCCAGCTCTCTCCCTCTCTCTCTCCTCTCTTCCTGTAACATGCACACAGACATTCACCACAAGGAGCTGTATTCCTGGATGATCAACCAAATGGACTGTCTAGGGCCTGTCATTACATTTCCATGACTGTCTCTAAATCACTTTGTCCTGATTTCAGAACCAAGGCGGTAACCTCCCAACCCAATTTCCTTGAATCTTACCAAGGTGATGGTGAATTAGTGTTGATAGTAAATAAAGTCAGAGCTTTGAGACATTATTGAAGAAAAGACACAGGAAAATAAAAACAATAACATTAATTAGCTCCAAGTCAGTATAATTTCCTATCTAAAATAATAAAGAGGCTTTAAAGAAAATAACCACTAAAGCCTATCTTTGTGCCAAAAAGTCCACAGAGCCTTATCTTCTCACAAAGGCCCCTCCAAAGGTCATCAACCTTATTCCCATTTTGGAGAGACCTCAGCCTCTGGAATTGCTGCAAGAAAAGTATGACTGCCCCGAAGGACTGAAGCATTCAGATTTCATAAAAAACATCTGTTTGCCTTTTATGGCTGGTTTTACAGAAGATGGAGATGTTAGTAAATATTCCATTTCTTAAAAAATGTCAGTAATTTTAGTGACTTTGTCCCTCAGTAACACATGAAAAGTGAATGGATGATGCAAATCTTGAAAAGATAAACATCAGTATTTACATAAGGAGCGTTACCCAACGAATTGAGTGGAGCACAGAGGGGATTCTTTCTAAGTAATAAGAGACTGTCCTGAACCTCAAAACACTTCCAGTATTTGTGGAGACAAAATTCACAACAAAGAACACAGAATCTCACATGGCGTCTTGTGGGGTGGGCTGGAAAATGGTGAGAGCCCACGTGTTCTCCAGGAGGAGCAAGGCATGTATACTTAGAGGACTTTACAGTTTACAGATGACTTTCATTTTTCACGATCGCATTTAACCCCCCACAACAAGCAGGCAAGCAGTCTTCTGTTCTACACAAAGCTAAGAGGGGCCCAAGGCTGTGCAGCACTAGGAACAATTCTGGAACTTGAAACCGAAGTCTTCTAGGTCCAGCCCTGAGCGCTTTCTCCAGAAACTCTGCAACAGACCTCCAAGGTAACACCACACTGCTCTCACCACTCGGCACAGTGACCATCCTTAAACGAATGGATGAGCACTCAGAAGAATGAATGAGTGAACCCTGCCCCCACGGCCCTCTGGCTCACTCCACTCTCCTCATTCTCTAATCCCTAAAACTCCAGGCTTTTCACTATTCAGTGGCCGCAGGAAGACTCCGGGTTTTTCATATTTTATGCATACAGCTCCTCAGAGGGTCGCTTTCTAATAAAAGCACTGAGCATTGCAGAGAAAAATCTTTCTTTCTAATCAGGAGAAAAGGGCTTTCAAGGTCCGAGGCTGAAATCTGCGTTGTGAACGTTCAGAAATGAAATGCATGTTTCATTTGCAACTTTTGAAAAGGTCTGTGAGGATGCATTTGGCCTAGGTTTAAACGGAAAATGCCTTCATACTTTAATATTTACAACATAAAATTAATTAGTTTTTCTTTGATGAAACTTGAATCATTCAGCTTTCAGAAGCCAATTTAGCATTTCCATTTTGTTCTCTTCTACACACAAACATGCACACACACATATATGTGTGCTTACATATACATGCATACACAGTCACATCTGTATGCATCACATATATTCACGTGCACACCTACACACCTGCACATATGTACAGTCACACTTCATTCTTCTCATGCACAGACTGATTTAGTCAACACAGAAGAGTAGAAGGAATCAGTATTGGACTGCGCCGCCTGCTGTGTTTTAATATTCAACTATTTAATTCCAACTCTTAATGTACTTCCCCCTTGCTATTCTGCTGATGTTTCACTTTTAGAGACTCCACTCTGCTGAATCATTGTACCACAGAATTCTGAGTTGGGGCAGCTTAAGGCCACCTGAGGCTACTTCCCCTCTAAAGCATGAATCCTCTCCCAACAGTAACCAGACCAAGAAGTTCAGACTCTTTGGGATGCATCCAGGAATAGAGAACTTGCGCCCTGCTGAAGAAGTCTCATTCTTTTTCTCATGTCTCCTGACTGCAAAGGTCTTCAGGTCATAAAATTCAAGTCCTGTTTCTGCTTCTGACCCGTGGATTACCACAGACACATCAGATTCTGTTCTAAGCCCTAGGTTTAGCAAGAGGGTATTGGAACAACTGATCTTTAAGGTCCAACTAAGACGTTTTAATAATGCAGACACTTAAAATATCCTGCCTTATTTGGAGCCAAAAATCTCCTTCCTTACAGTGTCCACCCCCTGGTCCAAGCTCTGACCTCTGGGATTATACCTTCATCCTTGTGTAAGTGAGTGATAGCTGCACCATTTCCTCCAGGCGGGACTCCCCGGCTCTCTGCAAAGCTGTGTCCTGGGTACCTCTTGTGCCTGCCTCCCATCATTGTGGTCCACCTTTCACTCCAGCCGTTGCTGTGGCAACCAGCTTGTGAGGGTGGAGCCCAACAGCTCCTCATCTCAGCTGCACTATATTCCTCCCACCTTCTGCTCTAGAGGTAGCTCACCTTCTGATGCTCCATTGTGGAGTCTACAGGCCAGCCTGGACCAGAGGGACCAAACATCTGGGTGTTTTCAGGATTGAGGGGATTTTGGGGTTGCAGCAGGGCTTTTAGTTTGAAAATCAGGACAGTCCCAGGTCAAGTGGGACAAGTTGGTCACCCCAGCATGGGTTTAGGAGGGCCTTAACATCCACGGAATGACCCTCAGCAATGGGGGGCTCCAGGAGCTGGCAGCTGACCGCTCCCCTCCTCCTGCCCTGGACAGACTTGGTGGGTGCATTCTATACATACAGCTCCTCAGAGGGTCATGGAAGCATGAGGCCCCATTGCCCACAGTGGTGATTAATTTGGTAACTCCCCAATTAGAAAAGGCTTTTCCACCTATCTTGTTTTGTGCTCCTCAGTCCCCCCATGTCTGTTTTCTAGAATAGGATCTCACAATGAATGAACTACACACAAGTTCAGCTTTGGGTTCAGCTTTGGGAGGGGATTCCAGGCTCTGGCAGGCACCTGGGAAATTTGGATAATGAAAATGTCACAGGGTTGCACGTTTTGGATGCTGGACTTCTCATCCTAAGGTCCAGATGGCATTCTTCTAGAGTGAAGATCATGAGAAAGGGTCTTGGTTTCTTGACAGCTTCTCAGTATTCTTGCTTGCACATCAAGACAGCCAGGTTACTGCAGAAAATCATTTCTGTAGTTGTTGGTTCATTTTCTCAAAATACGGGATTTGGGGGTTACGTCTGAGAACCACACAGGGGATCTTGCCTCTGATCAAAATCAAATCAAAACACCTCCTGTGGTGACAGAGCAGGCATTTTATTTCCTGACAATATTTCTCCCATCTGATTCAATTTCAGCAAAGGAAATTTAAGTAGATGCAGGTGAAAGAATTGAGAACTGAGAGCTACCTGACTTGTGTTCCTCAGTAAAAAACAAACAAACAAACTGAAATATGTTTAACGGAAGAGGGGGAGAAGCCCACTACCCTCTTACACATATTCTGAGTCAAGTCGAGCTTTTCTGGGGACAGGATGAGGAAACCAGGTGACTGAGTATTTCTCCAGTACTCATCATGTGGCTTCTGCAGCACATTACACAAAGCATCTTACTTTATTCCTTAGAATGACCCCAAGGTGACCTTTGCCCTTGTGACCCCATTTTATGGCTGGAGAAACTGAGAGTCAGGAAGATGAGGGAATTTCACCAACATCACATAACTAGTCATCTGCAGACTGGGGCTCAAATCTGGGCAGTTCCAGCTCCAAAGTCTATAACCCTAACCAGTGCACTGTCTGGCCTCTCTAGAGAAGTAGAGTTCAGACAGGGTCAGGGGGCCCCTTTGTGGTATCATCCCCCTTCACCACATCTGCCCTTCTATGTCATTACTTGAGCTCTTTCCTCTAAGGAGAATTCCTTTCCTACCCACCCCCACCACCCCTCACCCCAGCCCCCTGCCCCACAGCTCCGGCTGTGAAAACCCTGCCAGTCCTTCTCGGCCCAGATCATGCCCCCCCGACCAAAGCTTCTTCAGCTACGTGCTGGGCAGCATCCCTTCCGCCACTGAATTCCCATAGTTGTTCACTATCGATGCTATGTAAATGCACACATCAAATACTTAATGAACACTTACTATGCACCAGGCCCTGCACTAAGCATTTTACACAGATGATCTCTACATCAACTCTATCTCAAGTTACTATTATCTTTCCTATTTTATAACTGAGGAAAACACCACCCAGAGAGGTTAAGTATGATGGGGCCCACTCTTTCACTCCCTTCTAGACTCCAGGCTAGAGAAAGGAGTGTCCACAGTGACACAGGCCACCAATGCAGTTTGTTGGCCAAAGGTGCTGCAGCACAATAAGTTTTCACATCAGCCTTGATGTCCAAAGCTTTTTACTGGCCCCTTGGTACTGCAAACTTTCCTCCTGGATCTTCCTCCCACTATGTCTAGCTTCAGCCTTCAATCAACAGAAATGTATTGAGTGCCTGCTACATTCTAGGTGCTGTTTCAGGTGCCCAGAAGGTTCTTTTTATTGGGAGATAGACATGATAGATAGGTATAAAAGAACATAGAAAGATACCAAGACCTACCACCAGCTTCTGTTTTGTTTGTTTGTTTTTGCTTAAGATAAATTATCCAGAACTTGATAAGAGACATCTGAATCTTTCTTTCCACAATCTATTAGGACCCAGGCATTTTAAAATTTTATTTATTAATTATTTTTTTAGAGATGGAGTCCTCTCTGTTGCCCAAGCTAGAGTGCAGTGACGTGATCTCAGCTCACTGCAACCTCCGCCTCCCAAGTTCGAGTGATTCTCCTGCCTCAGCCTCTGTAGTAGCTGGGATTACAGGTGTGTACCACCACGCCCGGCTAATTTTTAGTAGAGACAGGGTTTTGCCACGTTGGCCAAGGTGGTCTCAAACTCCTGACCTCAAGTGATCTGCCTGCCTTGGCCTCCCAAAATGTTGGGATTACAGGCGTGAGCCACCACGCCTGGACATTTTACGATTTTATAAAACTGTTAAGGTGCAACAAATAATTTTCTGTCTAGTAGTGACAATAACTTCCAAGGGTGGGATTTTATTGCCCTGCCTGGTATTAACCAGTTTTGATCTAATTTCATACTTCTATCTTAGCATTTATTTTTTCCCTGCTGACATTAAAATCCCAGTTCCTCATATTTCTCTTGTGAACTTGGCTTGTCATTAATGAATTAAATAAAATGAAGAGATATTTGAAAGTTGCAGCTACCAGGATAAAGTTGCTCTTGTCAGACCTGGATAAAATAGAGCCAGGAAGGCATAAAAAAGGAGGGAGGGAGGGTATGCTTTCCTGTCTGAGATGAGAACTGTTCCAAGGACTGTCTGAAAACCCCACAGGAAATCCCTCATGTCCTTCACACATCTCCAGCTCTGCACGGCTTGCATGTTTCTCACGTGTGCACGTATTTCTATGACAAGGTTTATCACTAGACAGTCTTTAGGACCATGGCAATTCAGATAAGATGCTCTCAAAGAACACCTGCTCAGGAATGGCATCTCCACCAACAAATTCATGCCAACTCAGGCATTGAGCCTCCGGCACCCATGAATTCTGTTTCTACACAGTGTAGGTAAACTTCCCCCTTCTGCCAATAAAGCCGCTCTTTACCCTTCCCTCAGCAGATATATCCGGGGCTTGCCACAGTGCAACCTGGATTACAATCCTCTTCTTTACTTTTTCTTTTGGAGATGGGGTTTTGCTCTGTTGCCCTGGCAATCATAGCTCACTGTAGCCTCAAACTCGTCAGCTTAAGTGATTCTCCTGCCTCAGCCTCCAGAGTATCTAGGACTACAGGCATGCACCACTATACCCAGCAATTTTTTAATTTTTTTTTTCGTAGAGACTGGGTCTTGCTATGTTGTCCAGGCTGGTCTGAAGCTCTTGGCCTCAAGCAATCTACCTTGGCCTCTCAAAGTGCTGGGATTACAGGTGTGGGCTATTGTGCCCAGACATCTTTTCTAATCACTGAATAAATTCAACATATTTGGACGTATTTTTCTCTGATGTCTTTTTTTAGGTTGACAAATGCATACTACAACCATATGGGAATTATGTTTTTTTAAATTTTTAATATCCTATTTGACAATCATATTCAGAGAATTAAAATGATTGATGTAATCATGAGTCAATGAGTGGTCCCTCTAGAATGTGTGGTCAGGAAAGACTTTTCAGAAGAGGGGCATGTGAGCTAAAGGCCAAAAACAACTGGGCCTGCGAAAATGAGGACAAGGTTATTTCAGGTGGAGAGAACAGCTAAGCAAAGGACTAAAGCAGCTGGCATGTTCAGTGGCAACCTGATAAATGCTTAGCAGCTGGCTGGGTCAGGGGAGCCCTGATCTGTGGTGTTTGCCCATTTCTGTGGCGTAAATACTCCCAGGATTTTGAGCGATGATGCAAGGTCACTGAGTTTGGAGTTGGAAAGCAGTGAAAATGAGCCAATCTGAGCTGGTTCCAGCACACCTCTTGGTCTGTTCCAAGAAAAGAAATAAAGCCAGAAGAGCAGAGGAGACAAAGGAGACAGTTGCAGGAGATGAGGTCAAAGAAGCAGGCAGGAGGCTGATCTTGGAAGGAGCCTAGACTGCATTCCAATTATAACAAGAAGCCACGCGGAAGGTGTTAAAGCACAGAGTGACACTCCCTCTTCCTTTCTACCTTCTTGGTGTTTTTCTCAAGAGGAAACAAAGGCAGAATAAGGAGTAGCGCAAATCCTCTCCTCGTCTTACGCATCAGCAGTGAACACGTCCTTGGCGTCTCACCTCCTACCTCCTGAGGCATAGCAACAAACACCATGACACAGCAACAAACATCATGGCACATCATTTTCCAGTTTTTCTCAATAGTGAGCACTCAATTGTTTTTGAGAGCAGGTAAGTAAATTCATTCTCTTAAGACTATACAGAAAAGTAACTGTTAAGTAAAATTGTTTTAAAATGGCCTTTACTGTTTCAAACTGTTAAAAATGGTCACAGAGGTAATTTAATGCCTTTTAAAAGGCAATTGCTGTCAGCCACAGCTGGTTGACTGCCTGCACACTGAAGCTGCTGGAAGAGAAAGACGACAGCCGTTGTGGTAATAACATGCTGCCAAGAGAGGTGACTTCGTCCATCTCAGGCGCAGAGCTGAAGGTGGATGCTGGGGAAGGGAGACCTGTTGCTGAAGCTGTTGGAGAGCTTCTTGCCTCTGTGGCTTATCCCATTTAATCTAGTGGGCTATTGGCTCAGGCACCAGGGGGCCTAAGGAATGGCTATAACCTTTCTTCTGAGTTTCACCCTAAATTGGGCGCTAGAGCGGCAGCCACAGAAAATGCCCTTTCCAGTGTGCCTCGTACTTTCTTCTCCCAACTGCGATCTCCTCAAGGGAAATGTTAAAGAAAAAGTTAGTCAGTGCTACTTGTAAAGCATGGTAGGTAAGACTTTATTTAGGACCATTGCAATAGGTATGGGATGCATGGGCAAGTAAGAATTTATGGCCAAGGAGAAGCATAAGGGTCAGCAGATGGAAAATTACATCGGGGTGAGGGAGGTTCTGGGTAAACTGACCTAACAGTTTCTTACTGAGGCATGGTGGGGGGTGATCCTACATCACCTGGGGGATGGCAGAGGATGAGGAGCCTGATCAGATATCAAGGGCGATCAGATATTGATGGTGGTGGGTGCTACCCTGACTTAGCAGGGATCTTTGCTAAAACTAGATCTTACAAGGCAGTGCATGAGTGAGCCCAGCAGAATATTCAGAAGCCGGACTAAACTGGCACAGCAAAGAATCTTTGTCAGAGGAGCCACATATGATTTATTCCTATACCCCCCACAGTGCCCAATGCGTGCTTGGTCAATAATGGATTTTCATTAAATGTCCATCCACCAGCAAGCAAATTTCACTGGATATTCCATATGTGCCTGGCACTAGATTAATTGACAGGGACTTGGAGATAAACAAGATACCACACCACCATCAAATGAACAGCAACAGTCAGAAGACAGAGAAATGAGGGGGCACACAGAGAGAAATAGAGGCAGAGAGAGCTAGAGGTAAAGGAAATAATACACCCTAAGGGTTCTACAAAGGATCTAACAGGGTTAACAGGTTTATAAAGACATCAACAATCAGAGAAAGAGAGCCAAAGAGATCTATAGAAACAGTGGGTGCTGAAATATCAGTTAATTAAAAGGTTATGGCCATGGCAAGGAAATAGTAATGGCTGCTTTAAATTTTTCCAGGTAACACTGTCTTGGCTGTGCCTAATAGTATAGAAATTCAGCAGGGCTGGGCACGGTGGCTTATGCCTGTAATCCCAGCACTTTGGGAGGCTGAGGCAGGCAGATCATGAGGTCAGGAGATTGAGACCATCCTGGCCAACATGGTGAAACCGCATCTCTACTAAAAATACAAAAATTAGCTGGGCATGGTGGTGCGCACCTGTAGTCCCAGCTACTCTGGAGGCTGAGGCAGGAGAATCGCTTGAACCTGGAAGGCAGAGGTTGCAGTGAGCCAAGATCGCGCCACTGCGCTCCAGTCTGGTGACAGAGCAAGACTCCATCTCAAAAAAAATCAGAAATTCAGCAGCCTAAATCACGTGTGGGAGCAATCCCAGAATGGTTTTCTGATGAGTGTTCAGGGTGGCTGTCACCCTGTACAGACTCTGAGGACCCAAAGTGCCATCAGCCCGCATGTGATGTGAGTAGGGATGTACGGGGATCAGGTGCTAAATGGAGTCCTGGCTCAAATATGTCTCACAGTGGAGTGGGTCCCCATGGCAGTCATTGCTCCAGCTCTTGAATTTATCATTGGAATGGCCAAACAATGGCTGCAGAACCCAAGAATTTGTTTCTTGACTTACGGAATAAAAGCTATCACAATAGGAACAACCAAATGGAAGCCTCTGAAGATGCCCCTTATCCTTTAATCCTGACCTGAAGAATAAATCAAACACACCACATCCTAAGGAGAGTGAAGACAGGTGCCACTTCCAAAGACATAAGGGATGCAGGAGCAATGGTCTCCGTTTAACTCACAAGTCTAACCTCTTCAAAAATAAGATAGGCCATAGAAGACAACAGCAAACTACTACACATTTGAGCAAGTAGTACCCCTACTCACAGCTACGCTGGGTGTTTGTTTTTACTAGAACATATGAATGCATACACATGTGGAATGCAGCTACTGATTTGGCATATGCATTATTTTAATACCCACCACAAAAGAGATTCAGAAACAGTTAGCATTCTTATGGATGGACAACAGTAGACATTTACAGGCTGTTAACCCTGCTCTCCATTATAATATAACCAGAAGGGACAGTCCAAAGAACTTCACACTGGTGCACTATGTTGATGACATCATGTTAATCAGACCTATGGACAAGAAGAGCAAATATTCTATATGTTTCATTAAGAAACACACTAGAAGGTGGGAGAGCAACCTGCAAAACCTTAGGGTCCTGCCATTTTGGTGAAGCTGCCTTTTGGGACCAGTAGTCTGGGGTTTTCTCAAACATCACTTAAAAAGTAAAGGACAAGTTATTGCTTAGCGGTAGCACCTTCTACCATTAAGAACAAAGCACATTAACTGGAGGTCTCTACAGGTTTTAGAGTAACACAAACCACGCCTGGCAATACTCTGACCCATTTATTAGGTGACATGGAAACTATTAGTTTTGAGTGGGCCCAGAGCAGTAAAGGCCCTGCAGAAGGTTTAGACTGCAGTGGAAATAGCTCTGCTTGGACTATAACCTGGAAGAATCCATGCGACCAAAGGCATTTGTGTTAGGAAAAGTGTGTAGTAGATGAGTTGCAGTGCAGACCCTTGTAGTTCCAGAAAAAGGCTGTGCCATCCACAGCAAAGAACTATGGGCCACTCAAAGCGAACTCCTGACATCCTGCTGGGCCCTGGCGGAATGAGTGTCTGACCATGGGACATCAAGAGCTTCAGGGAAGAGCTATGTAGATGGACACATGAGGGTGGGCATGGAGTGTGAGGATCTTAGTGTTGTAAGTTAACCCTCACTAGAAAGCATCCACTGCTGTGACAAGGAACCAAGTGGATAGAATGATCCAGCTAGTAGATGTCAGCCAGCCTCTGGCCCTGGCTACTGCTGCTCTTGTGAAGTGGGTTCATGAGTGACACAGTAGTGGAGGCAGAGATGGTGGCAAAGAATGAGGCTAACATGACCCAACATCATGGGGTCCCTCTCCCCAAGGCTGATTCAGCCACAGCTACTGATTGGTGTCTAACTACAGCCACAGAAGGTGGGTGTCTCACTAACCAGTCACTTGCAGGCAAGTTGATTATATTGAACCTCTTCTACACTGAAGGGACTGTGAGTCATCTTCACTAGAAATGGCATATATCTATGAATATGGGTTTGTTTTTTCTGTCCACAGGCCCTCAGCCAGTCCTGCAATCCTAGGGCTCCTAGAGTGTCTGTAGATCTACTCTATGCATTCTGTGACAGGATTCCACATAGCATCACCTCAGACCAAAGGGTCCACTTTACAGCAAGAAAAACATAGAGGCGGGCACACAGCCATGGCATCCACTGGTCCTACCATGTGCCACACCACACAGGAACTGCTGGGGGATAAGCAATGGGATAGCCTATTGAAGACATAGCTGAAGAACCAGCTTAGAGATGACACTCTGCAAAGAGAGTGGCACCCTTTAAAATGTGGTATACACTTTGAACAAAGGGCCATTATATGATGCTCGGTCCCCAAGAGGCAGAATGCTTGGGTCAGGAGAGTGGAGGCTAGCCACTGAAACCAATGGAAGTGCCAGCCTCACCAAGAGACAGGGAGATTCTGAAAGCCTGATGGAGAAGGTGGATGATGAGTATGAGGCATGGCTTCAGGAGTGGCAACAGTGGAGGGCTATGGTTTGTCCCTATTTCTCTTCTTATGAGTTTCCCCAGAAATGGTGATCAACCAGAAGCCTGGAGAAGCTGTGTGCCAAGGAGGAGTACTTGAAATATATATACGCTGGTGATTCTGATCTCCAAGGATAAAGTTAAAATTCCCAAGAACTTTTATAAAAGTAAAAGTTCAGGTTACCTTAAAAAGAATAAAAATCTGACTGCCATCAAACTGCTCATTTGCAACATGGTATTCTGGAAATAATAAAACTTTGTCTTCCAACTTTTTATGGAAAATTATTTTTACTGATTGATTGATTGAGACAGGGTCTCCCTCTGTTGCCCAGGCTGCCATGCAGTGGTGCAATCACAGCTCATTACAGCCTTTACCTCTCAGGTTCAAGTGGTCCTCCCACCTCAGCCTCTTGAGTAGCTGGGACCACAGGTGCACAGCACTACACCTGGCTCATTTTTTTTTGTTTTGTAGAGATGAAAATTTTTATGTTGCCCAGGCTTATCTCAAACTTGGATTCAAGCAATCCGTCCTCCTCAGCCTCCCAAAGTACTGAGATTATAGGCATGAGCTACTGTACCTGGCTGGGAAATTATTTTTAGCCCAGAATTCTATATCCAATATCAAGAATAAGGTTAAAAATAAACATATTAAACTCATAAAAATATCATAAATTCACCTTCTATGGGAAAATAAATTACTGAAGGATGTTCTCTGCCCCTCAAGTTCTGGGACCTCAGCAAAAGCAGCAGGAAAAGGCTGGCATCATCGGGACACACCTTCCCTCAGGTGTCTGTGGCTCCTACCAGCCCAGGCTGGGGCTTCTGCAGGGCTGTCAGCCACAACCTCTACTGTGGGCCCTCCATGTGACCCCTCCACATAAGCTAGTTTGATTCCATGGGTGAGCATCCCAAGATAACAAGCATATAGGCATGGCCTTTCACGGTCTGGGCTCAGAGGTCACATAGCATCACGTCTGCTGCACTCTGCTGATCAAGGCAGTCACCAAGACCCAGCCAGGGTCAGGGAGAGAACATGGTGTAGCTGTAAAAGCATGGGGGTTGGCAGACATTGTTGCAGTCATTTTTAGAAAATATGACCTGCCACGGCAGTGAGCAAGGGCACCAGTGACATCCATGGTCAAATCCAAGTAACTCTCAGTGGTGTGACTGTGAGACATAATGCAATTGACAAGAATGAGAATTTTTAAAGCTTTGGCCTATATAAAAAATTAAAAAATGAATGAAATATAGAACTAAGATTCCAGGTTATTTCAAAATAATGTGGATGTTAGGAGTAGAGGTGGAAAGGAGAGTATAATGTGTGCTAAGTGTCTTGTTCATTTGAAGTAGTTACAGGTAGAAATTAATTCTGGACTTTAAATTATGACTATATTCACATGGATTAGTAAAATGTTTAAAACTCTTGTATAATACTTTGGCATTAAAAATAATAACTTTAAGGCCAACCATTAGAAGACTAGACATAAGATGTAATTTCTAAAACAGTAAAATAATGGAAGTGACAAAAAACAATAAAACAAGAAGAAGATATTTTAAGGCCAAAACATGAAATAAGATGGTAGTAATTATGTAAACACATCATTAGTCACAAATGTGAATTTAATCTCCTTTTTAAAGAGAGAAATTTTTAAATTGGAATGTTTTAAATTCAGCTGTATGTTATTTACAAAAAAGCATGCCTAAATTTGGAAAAAAAAAAAAAAAGAGAGAGAGGAAAATTTGAAAATAAAAAAATAAATGAAGATATACCAGGGAAATGCTAACTAAAAGAAAGCAGAAATGTCAATAGCAATAGTAGTCAAAATGGACTTCAAAGTGAGAGGCATTAAATGCATTAAATAGGAATGAGACATATTTATATTATAAAAATTACAGTTGCCTCCAAAATATAACAATCATTAACCTTTATGAACAGAGCAATATTATATTGGTATTTATAGAGTTAAAACTCCTGGAAACATAAGAGAAACTGACAAACCACAATCTTGGCGAGAGATTTTAAAACCTCTCCAAGAAATTAAGATACCAACTAGATGAAAAAAAATTAAGCCATAGAGGACATAAATAGTTATTGTACTTTCATATAAACTTCCAGTTTCTAATTTAATTAACTATATAGTTGCATTGCTAATATGAATTGTTCTCAGTAAAAAGGCTGCACAATGTTTTCAAATACCTGTTGGATTTTTTTTGTTTGTTTGTTTATTTACCAAACCAGGGTATTTAGCATATACATTACCTCCTACAGTTATTATTTATTTGTTGTGAGAACATTCAGAATTGTCTCTTCTTGCCTTTTTAGAGTATACAACAGAGAAATGTTAACCACAGTCACCCTCCTGTGTAATAGAACGCCAGAACTTATTCCTCCTATCTAACTGTAACTTCGTACTCACTGACCAACCTCTCCCTGTTTCCAGTGGAACAACCTTTAACTACCCTTTTATTAGTCAAAATAAATAAATAAATAAGTTGCCAAAAGTCAAAAATCACACAGGTCACATTCAGTGATCCAATAAAAATAAGTTTCGCAAACACCTCGTTTCGAAATTAAAGCAACTCTAAATATATCTTAGTTTAATGTGAATATCAAAACTGAAATTACATCTCTTGCCTGAGACCTAAAATAGTAAAACACATGGAAGAACACAGCAGGATGGTGGCTACCATGGCATTGAAGGAATGTGATGTGGGGAGTTGTTGTTCAACAAGGATAAAATCAGGTTTTTTTGTTTTGTTTTGCTTTGTTTTGAGACAGAGTCTTGTTCTGTCCCCCAGGCTGGAGTGCAGTGGCATGATCTTGGCTCACTGCAACCTCTGCTTTCCGGGTTCAAGCGATTCTCCTGCCTCAGCCTCCTGAGTTGCTGGGATTACAGACACATGCCACCATGCCCGGCTAATATTTGTATTTTTAGTAGAGATGGGCTTCTGCCATGTTGGCCAGGCTGGCTCCTGACCTCAGGTGACCCTCCCACCTCGGCCTCCCAAAGTGCTGGGATTACAGGTGTGAGCCACTGCACCCAGCCAAGATCAGTTTTAAGATGAGTAAGCTCCAGAGATCTGCTATACAATGCAGCCCCTGTGGTTAAAAATAATTTAAAGGGTAGATTTCATATTAAGCGTTCTTACCACAAAAGTGGGTGGAAACACAAGGCAACTCTGAGAAGTGATGGAGATGTTTATTACCTTGACTGTGGTGAGGGTAGCATGATATAGACACATGTCCAAACTCACTGAAGTGTATGCATTAATTATGTGCAGTTTTTTGATACACCAATTATACCTCAATAAAGCTGGGACAAAAAATTTGCTTACACTAAAATTACAAAGTAAATAGAAATAAATGTCAGTGAGAGTACTAAAGGTAGTTACTTTTTTTGGTCACTTTTATTCTTTTAGTATTTTAGAAATTACATCTTATGTCTAGTCTTCTAATGGTTGGCCTTAAAATTATTTCTTTAAATGACGAAGTATATGGATGTCACCAAAGCCATATTTGATGCCAATTTTGGTCACATTTGCATTTATTAGCACACATGAAAGACCAAAAATAGAATAAGAATTATACTCAAGAAGGTAAATGTAAATACATCCTTAAAAAGTAGAAATTTAATAAAAATACAGCAGAAATCAGAAAATTCTTTTAAATGAATACTAACTCATAACCAAATGTGTCATCCTGAGAATGTAAGAACATGGCAACATTAGGAAATTTATGCAAAAAAAAATACACTATATAGAAAAGGGGATGCCACGTGGTCAGCTCAAGAGGCAGAAACACATTCTGTTCCCCCCCTCCCCCAATATTTTATTATCCAGGAAAAAATTTAAACTTTCTTAACTTGATAAAAGGTAGCTTTCAAAACCTACAATAAATAACATACTTAGAGTGGCAGCATTAGAAATCTATTAAACCCAATATACAGTAACTATCATCTTAACTATCCAGCATTATTCCAGAGGTCCTGGAAAACTCCAGAAAATGAAAACAAGAAATTCTATTAATATTCAAAAGGAAGGCAGGCTGGGCGCGGTGGCTCATGCCTGTAATTCTAGCATTTTGGGAGGCTGAGGCAGGCGGATCACTTGCGGTCAGGAGTTTGAGACCAGCCTGGCCAACATGGTGAAACCTCATTTCTACTAAAAAAAAAATACAAAAAAACTTAGCCGGGCATGGTGGCACGCACCTGTAATCCCAGCTACTCAGGAGGCTGAGGCAGGAGAATTGCTTGAACCCGAGAGGTGGAGGTTGCAGTGAGCCAAGATTGTCCCACTGCACTCCAGCCTGGGTGACAGAGCGAGACGCTGTCTCAAAAAAAAAAAAAAAAAAAAAAAGAAAAAAAATATGTATTCAATAGGAAGAAATAAAACCTAATCTACTGATTATAAACATGATTGTTTATACAAAAAATAATCAGCTAAAAATTGTTAGAATCTATGAGTTTAGTAAGGTGGCCAAATAAAACAACATTCCCAAACCAATAGGTTTCCTGCACACCAGTAGTAATCAATTAGAAAAAGTTGAATTTCAGTATTTATAGTTTTCTAGGAATTAGTCTATTTCTTCTAAGTTGTAGACATTATGAATATAGCATCATCCTTTTCATGACTGAAGGATCTGTAGAGATATTTCCTGCTTTATCTGGACATTGGTGATCTGTGTCTTTTTTTCTATTGTGTCAGCCTTGAAAAAGATAAAAAGAAATTGACCAGGAGATTTGTCAATTTTACTGATTTTTTTTAAAAAGAACTGCCTTTTAAATTTTATTGATGTTCTCTCATTGTTCACCTGTTTTCAATTTTATAATTGAAAACATCTTTAAAAAGCAGAAATGTATGGTATCTTTCTCATTTCTATCTGTTTGCTTTGAGTTTACGTTGTTCTTCTTTTTCTAGGTTTTTCGTGGAAAGCCTCTGAAACGTCTACCTGGAGCTCTCTGTGTAGTTGTATGGATACCTCCCCAGGTGTGCCTCTCTGAGAGGACAGGTCTGCCTTGAGCTATAAACATGGCATTTGTCGGCCAGGCGCAGTGGCTCAAGCCTGTAATCCCAGCACTTTGGGAGGCCAAGGCGGGTGGATCACAAGGTCAGCAGTTTGAGACCAGCCTGACCAACATGGTGAAACCCCATCTCTACTAAAAATACAAAAAAATTAGCTGGGCGTGGTGGCGGGCACCTGTAGTCCCAGCTACTCGGGAGGCTGAGGCAGGAAGAATGGCGTGAACCCCAGAGGTGGAGCTTGCAGTGAGCTGAGATTGCACCACCGCACTCCAGCCTGGGCAACAGAGCGAGACTCCGTCTCAGAGAAAAAAAAAAAAAAGGAAAAACAACCCTGGCATTTGTCAGCATGCATGCTGTTGAAAGCTGTGGGATTAGATGAGGTGATAAGGTGCAATTGTGTAGGCAGGGCCCAGGACAAAGCTGCAGTGTTTTAAGGTCTGGAGAAGAAAATCCAGCAAAGGGGACTGAGGGATGGCAGGAGCGAGGAGGAAGAGAATCAGTCAGAAATAATGTCACTTTGGGAGGCAAGGCGGGCAGATCACCTGAAGTCAGGAGTTTGAGACCAGCCTCGCCAACATGATGAAACCCCATCTCTACTAAAAATACAAAAATTAGCCAGGTGTGGTGGCAGGTGCCTATAATCCCAGCTACTCGTGAGGCTGAGGTGGGAGAATCACTTGAACCTGGGAGGCGGAGGTTGCAGCGAGCCAAGTTTGCACCATTGCACTCCAGCCTGGGCGACAGAGTGAGACTCCATCTCAAAAAAAGAGAGGAAAAAAAAAGGTCAAAAGAGCAGCACTTTTCAGAAGGAAAACATGGACAACTGTGCCATGCTGATGAGAGATCAAACAAGATGAAGTCCTAAATGGTTCACTGGAAGCAGCAACGTGGAAGCCCCTGGTGACTTTGACATGAGCAGTTTCACTGGAGTGTGGCAGACAGAATCTGACTGAGGAGCTGGGGGTCAGGGCGGGAGGGGGTGCTCAGCAGGCAAGGGTGTCACATTTGTTAATGAAGACGGTGTCACATTTGTTAATGAAGATGTTCTCTCCTTTGAATGAGATGATGCATTTAGTGTGTAACAGTGTCCGGCTCACAGTCGGGCCTTGCTAACACTTTGCTTTCACTCACTTCCTTATCTTTCATTCACTGACCAGAAAGGTTAATGGTGGCTGTTCCTCTTTTGAAAAGCGGATTGGGAACACCAGCATAGCTATTTTGACACTGGGATTTCTGTTAGAAAAGTAGATGTGACTTATTCCCTTTGGGTGGAACTCCTTTTCTAGAAAGGGAGGCAACACACATGTTGGGTAAATCTCAGTTTCTAGAGTCAGGCTGCCATAAGTTAAATCTCAGTTCCGCCCCCGAGACATGTAGCTATGGGGATTTTACATGAACTCCCGAGTCTCAGTTTTCTCACCATCAACCATTCATCAGAATAGTGCCTACCTCACCAATGCACACCTTAAGCACCTGGCGCCTCTGTTAGCTACCATTTAAGTTGAGAATTTCCCTGTGAGGTTTTTTCAGAGGAGGTTCCTTCTACAATAAACCACCAAGTACTTGGTCCCCTTTTGCAGAAATCCATCCACACCATGTGTAAACACAGGGGCTGGGAACTTGCATGGTAAACCAGGTCAGCCAAACACGGATTAACAATGCCAGGCCCATTTCACCTGCAAAGTATCAGCGACTCTTCAATCGGCAGGTCCCCAGCTGCCTTGCAGCACAGCCAGGGCCTAGCATAGCGCTGCCTCCTTCCCTTTCACTTGTCCTCAGGAATCCCCGGAGATCCAGGGTGAGGCTCCTTTAGTCTAATGAGAAGGAGGCATTCTGACTTTTTAGGTTATTTTCTCTTCCCAGCCCCTGGCAGATGGAAAAAGAAAACAAAACAAAACAAAACAAAAAAACAAACAAAAAAAACCCCGCCACAATAATTGCTGCTTGCATGAATGACCTCAATACGGGAAGAGTGCTGAGCGCCTAAGTCCTTGCACTGCTGCCAGGCCTGGCGTCATCATGATTAACACAGCAATCACCGGCCAGGGAGCCGGGCCGCTCTGCCTACCAGACACCCTGACTGGGTGACTTACGGCTTTATATTTTTAAATTGGCCTCTCTAGCACCGTCTGATAAATCAACACACAAGTCATTAAATGGTTCATTATCCCAGTAATATGATTCATTCTTTGTGCCAAGAAATGCAGGAGATGTCAGGAAACTTAAAAATATCTCATTTGAAGCCATGAGTGCCCATCTACATAACAGATTAACTGGATGAGAGAGAGTGGTTGGACATGGAGGTCAAAGAGAAGACTCAGCAGGTGGTGGTCTTACCTGCAGCAGTCCTTTACCTCCTGCTGAAAAATGTAAGTCACACTCTCACTAGGCAGGCTCTGTGCTGGCCACACTTTCTCCCTCATAGGCTCAGAAGGCGGTCATGCTGGCTGCAGGCACCTGCTAGAGAATTCACAGCCGAGGGCACTCAGCTAGGGTCATTCCTATAGGAAGAACACCAAGTCCAGAAGATGACGGGGCCATGTGCTATGGAAGAAAGAGCACTCGGTCCCAGTTCTGCCACCAGGTCTGAAACTCTGGGTACATTGCTTGAAATGAAATCACAATACTTTGTTGTCATCATCTGTCAAACAAGAAAGTCATTCTCCACATTTTTTCAAGTTCTTTCTAGCTCTAAGATTCTATGACTCTAGTGTGTTGGAGGAGAAGAGAGGAAGGCAGAGTTGAGAGCTTGGTCAGAGCTGAGTTCCAATGTATCTGATATGTGGATTATGTAGGAGACTCTTCCACCAAATCTACATACACTATTTTGCATGAAGGTTGCTAATTTATGTTGATTGTGTCAGTGATGGCTCCTTTAGTAGAAAGAAGAAAAAAAATCTAAATGAAACTGGCTTAAGCACTAAGGACATTTATTTGTTTGTGTATTCTGCAACCTCTGAATGTTTGCTTTGGTCTCCATTACAACACCTGGGACTAGAAGAGTCCCTAGACTCATGGAACTTAATTCTAGTTGGGGAAATAGATAATAAACAAAACATATGTAACTATATTATCTAATGTCAGGTAATGACAAATGCAATGAAGACAAACAAACAGGACAGGTGAATAGAGAGATCCTTTTTTACACAGAATGGTGATGGAAGGTCTCTTTAAGGCAATTAATAGCTGATACAATGTTGGTAAATAAAGGTATGACAAGAAGACTATGAGACCTTCAGAGAAGATTCCTGCCAGGAAGCACGACTACCAAGAGCACAGATATGTGGTTAAGCATACCAGGCGAACCCAGTGAACTAGATTTCTGTGGAGGATGGAAGGAACCAGCATGGTCCACCCTGTTGGGGAGCTCAGAATGGAGCTGACAGTGTTGGCTGAGAAGTTTGGAAGGGTTCCTATGACAGGGCCACATGTTGCTGTAACCAAGAGCTCAGCATCTGCCAAGGACTCAAGTGAATCTTCAGGCAGATTTCTACAGCCCCCACTTGCTCAGCTCCCTCTTCTCCAGTGGCCTCCCTCACAAACTCCAACAGTCCACAACCCTGATCTCTAAATACTCGGCTTAGTGAGATCAATGCTTTTGTTGAGTTTCTACCTCTCTGCATTTCAGAAAAAAACCCCAAAAAAACAAACAAAAAAAACGGCCCAAGAAAGAAAGCTGGGACCCCCTTTTTAGAGGCACGTGAACCAGAACAACTCCATCTTGAATAGGAGCTGGGTAAAATAAGGCTGAAACCTACTGGGCTTCATTCCCAGATGGTTACGGCATTCTAAGTCACAGGATGAGATAAGAGGTCGGCACAAGATACAGGTAATAAAGACCTTGCTGATAAAACAGGTTTCAGTAAGGAAGCCGGCTAAATCCTCCCAAAACCAAGATGGCCACAAGAGTGACTCTGGCCATCCTCACTGCTACACTCCCACCAGCAACATGACAGTTTACAAATACCATGGCAACGTTGGGAAGTTACCTTATATGGTCTAAAAAGGGGATGCAGGAATAATCCACCCCTTCTTTAGCATATCATCAAGAAATAACCATAAACATGGGCAACCAGCAGCCCTCAGGGCTGCTCTGTCTATGGAGTAGCCATTCTTTTATTGCTTTACTTTCTTAATAAACTTGCTTTCACTTTGCACTGCAGACTCAACCTAAATTCTTTCTTGCGTGAGATCCAAGAACCCTCTCTTGGGGTCTGGATTGGGACCCGTTTCCTGTAACATATTTCTCCGTCCTGCAACATATTTCTGGCCACCATGAACGTATGATACTGAGAAAACCCCCCCGACTTGGAGGAAATGGACTGCGGCACTGATTGGATGACTTCGGGTAAGTGGGTGGGGCACCCAAGTAAAGAATGGGATTGGGTTAGAGGCCCAACTTAGGGGAGTTAGTCTCTCCTAAGACAGAGTGGGTTAGAAGCCCCTCTTAATAAAAGGCAGAATGCTTGACGGACCTTGGGTTAGAGGCCCAACTTAGGAGGGTTAGAGTCCCTTCTAAGATGTATGGGGTTAGAGGCCCCTCTCAGTAAAGTCCCTCTTGGCTAAAACCAGGTTTGGCACCGCAGGTTATGCTCTTTGTATTAATCTGCCTCGTACTGTTTGCTGACGGCTGTGTGTGGGTGACAGGGTTAGGCATGTACAGGATTGTGGGACATGGGGAGCTTTTTCCTCCCTAAAAGGGGAAACTTGAGCACTAATAGGATTGCTGGAAAAGATCCATTGGCTACTGACAAGCAGCCGCCTGAACTTTTCAGTGTCGCTGCAATGGGTGGGTCTTTCTCTGGCCTCCCCAAGCATTTCTCGCCTTCCCCACCCTGCCCCAGGCAATGCTTTTCTCTCTCTCCTTTCCCTTTCCCATCTGTTCTGTTACTCAGGGTGACCATCTTGCCCAGAGACCACGTGTTGAAACTCCAATTTGGAGGCTGGATTAAAGGTGACGGGGTCCACCCATCTGGGGGCAAATTTAAGCCCTGCCAGTTTGACATTGCATGCTAAGCAGAGTGGCTAATGTCTATGTTTTATCACATGTATTTTGCTCTGGCCAGAACGAAAACAATAATTTTCCTTTATGATGCAGCTTGGCCCCCAGGGCGATGGTGCCGCAAGCTGGATTACTAGGGGCGCTCAGGGAAAGGGAATCCAGAAGCCTGGCACGCCAGCAAAAGGGCAAGAATTTCTTACCAGTCAGATTTCTGGCTTCTCTCTGTGCAAACAGTTGATGTATGGAAAAAAAACAAAATCAGTATTTATCTCCTCTGTAAAGTTTTGATTAATGCGAAAAAGAATTCTAAGGCTAGTCTTAACCTAGTGTGTTTGGTGCTATGAATTTGTTTTTCTGTGTCAAGGGGTACTTCAGGATAAAACACAGGCTTAGAACACCTGTCAGTCCGCTTTTCAAGATGACCCAGCAGCTGGTCATAACAAACTTGGCTGCAGGTCCCTGAAACAAACAAACAGACAAAAAAACTGGATGAAGTCTCCACCTTGTTTTATGTCCTTGGGAGCTTGACGTTTTAATCACGTGGTGATACCTTTTCTTGGTCTCTTCCTTGTCCCTTCCAGGGACAGGAATTTTAGGGTTCATGTAATAGCTCTAAAAAATCATACTGAATAAAATCATATTAAATAAAAGTCTTTGCAAACTCAAAATTAACTACTCTAGACTCCTTCTGGGAAAGAAAATGGAGACTGCCCCTTGCTGTAGCTCAGTAGCTAGGGTTTTGCACTTTCGCAGTGGTGGTCCGGGTTCAATTTTTCATGTAGGAAGTTATTTCTGGTTTAGTATCTGTGTGACCTTGTCTATTCTCTTGTGCTTCGCAGACTGTCTTAAATTTTCCTTTCTCTAAGGACATGGGAGGTTACCTGTGGTAAAGTTCAAAAGCTAGAAATATCAGCTATTTGGCATTAGAAATTTTAAAAGGACATTATTAAAGAGTGCTACGGTTAAAATCAATTTAATTAAAAGCAGATAGATTCCTCTCAAAATCAAAGGCTATTTTGTTTTGCATTGTTATCGACAGTTTTGAGTTTTGGGGGTATCAGAAATTACTTTACATTATGAGAGAGCTTTGGTGTGTAATAACTATGTAGGAAATATACTTTAAGGGATGGCTAATAGTAGTTATGGAAGGATACTTGACTCTTTGCACACTTGGATCAGAGAAGCATGCTCTTGGCCACCTGAAAGATGATTAAACATCCCCACCCCACACTGGGGGACGAGACTCCCATAAGGGATAGTCTAATTACAAAATAGGCTGATTGGCTTTGGGTTGCCTTGCAATGAAATGCAGGAGAGAAGCACTGCATTGTCTTCTCCCGAAATATTTCCCTCCTTTTGGGGATCCAGGAACCGGTATAAAATGACACTCTTAATTTGGGGGATCTGTCTTTGCCTTCAGCTGCTTATTTGGCCCTAGAAATGCATGCTTTCCTGGCCCTGTTCCTCCAAGGGCTCCACCCTGAAGCCAGTAATCCAGTTAAGAAAGGTGGTTCACACCTGTAATCCTAGTACTTTGGGAGGCCCAGGCAGGTTGATCACGAGGTCAGGAGTTCGAGATCAGACTGGCCAATATGCTTAAACCTGTCTCTACTAAAAATACAAAATTTAGCCGGGCATGGTGGTGGGTGTCTGTAATCCCAGCTACTCAGGAGGCTGAGGCAGGAGAATCACTTGAACCTGGGAGGCGGAGGTTGCAGTGTGATGAGATTGCCCCATTGCACCACAGCCTGGGCAATAGCGTGAGACTCCATCTCAAAAAAAGAAGGAAGGAAGGAAGGAAGGAAGGAAGGAAGGAAGGAAGGAAAGAAGGAAGGATGGAAGGGAGAAAATGGCAAATGAAAAATCTTACAAGTGCTGAATCTTCTGTCTGTGGATTTATATATGTTGCATGTTTATAGATAAAAGAGCTCTAATTAACTGGCTTAGAAAAATAGGCACTTAAATATTTTGTCAGAAAAACAGGAACTTTAATGCCTTTTTGTTCATGTGACTTTAGTAATCTTTTGGAAATAATGACAGTTCTAAAAATTATTAGTAAAATAAAATGTCTTTAAAAATGTAGACATTTGGTCTAAATTAACGTCAAATATCAGATTTGCTAAATGCTTTAAGGTCAAATTGTTTTTCTGACTTTTGAAAATTGTTCAATTTGGCTGGGCCCAGTGGCTCACGCCTGTAATCCCAGCACTTTGGGAGGCTGAGGCAGGTGGATCATCTGAGGTCAGGAGTTCGAGACCAGCCTGACCAACATGGTGAAACCCTGTCTCTACTAAGAATACAAAAATTAGCTGGGCCTGGTGGCAGGTGCCTGTAATCTCAGCTACTTGGGAGGCTGAGGCAGGAGAATCGCTTGAACCCGGGAGGTGGAGGTTGTGGTGAGTGGAGATTGCACCATTGCATTTCAGCCTGGGTGACAGAGCAAGGTTCCAACTCAAAAAAAATATAAATAAATAAATAAAAGAAAAAAGAAAAATGTTCAATTTACCTACTTTAAAGTCATTAGCTTCTAGATAAGGGCTGGGACATGTGGAATTAGCCATACTCCCTAGCTATACAAACAAGATTATAAAGAAAGAGATTTTACATAAGAAGGGATCTCACATGGTAAATTCTTGTCCTAAAGTAAAATAACTGGTTGTTTAAAAGGAGGGATGTTTAAGGCAAGTCAGAAAGTCCAAGAATGACTCAGATGGTCTGTGTAAGTCGTGAAAGGAACTGTGAAAGGGAATTTATGCAAGAAATGTACAATCCAAAGGTTCTTAGGCCTCCTAAATCCTTCATAAAATGCCACTATGACTCTTACTTAAGTAAGAGTAAGGCCTGGGGACATTTGGAATTAGCCACACTCCCTAGCTGTGCTAGAGAGTCAGCTCTTATCTGCACTTTTGCCTGGTGTGTCCTAGGCAGGCTACACACTAGTACACAATTAAAATCTCGAATTTACCAAGGTTTTCACCAAAAATAAAAGTTGCTAAGAGTTAACATTATAACATGTAATTAAGACTACTGAAGAAACAGTTTTACATGCAAGGTGTGTAAGAAAAGCAAAATGTGTTTTTGGTTAAAAAAAAAAAAAGATTATAAGAAGTCATGGGAATGTGGTTTTTTTTCTGCCTAAAATGTTAAAGGATTGTT
The DNA here is from genome assembly GCF_000001405.40 of Homo sapiens. Taxonomy (NCBI): domain Eukaryota; kingdom Metazoa; phylum Chordata; class Mammalia; order Primates; family Hominidae; genus Homo; species Homo sapiens. The sequence goes on from NC_000019.10 coordinate 28,526,564, forward strand.
TTAAGTAAGAAAAAAAAATTTTTTTAAACTAGTTGTGGAAGGTTTATAAAAATTAATTGTAAGAGATTCTGTGTTTGAACATATTGGCTAAAGTTAAAGGAATATTATTCACTAAACATTGGAATAAAAGCACAATGGGTTTTTCTGCTCTTTCACAAAAAATGTAAAGAGTTATAAAAGGTTTATAAGAATCTTTCCTTATGGTTAAACATTAAAATTGGGTAAATATGTCTATAAGGTTTTATATAAAAATTGGATTTAACATTAATAGTACATTAAAATAAAGGTAAAATTTGGCTTAATTGATGTAAAATTCATACAGGAAGCATTATCAAATGTAAAATGGTGTTTTTCTTTCTTTAGATATTTGCATAAATGTGTTATTGGCATATGTTCCAAAGTTATGGAAAACTTCTATAATTCTAATATAACTTAGTGTATGTTATTAATAATTATAATTGTTATGTAAAATTCTGTGTACCACATAGGTAACCAAATTTCCTGATCAATTATGGCTTTAATGGTGGCTGTCCTCAAACTTTTTATCATCCACAGGCAATTGCTGTCTTGTTTTAATCCCCTTTAAAAGATGGTTTGTAATCAACTATAAAACCCTGGCAGGTGTTAAATACAAGTTTTTCTAATAACTTTGGAAATTGTAATATTAAAATAAAGAAAACAACATTCAAAACTCTCATAAAAAGCTAAAATGTTTACAAATATCAAATACAACAGAAATTAACAGAACCAATAGGAAACTGAAGTAATCTTTTCAACTTTGCTTAAAACACTGCTAATCCTTTGTTTTGTTTTTCAGAGTCAAAAAAAAAACTTTTTTAAGCTATTTACAGCTTATAACAATTGAGTAAAGTATACTGCTGTGAAAAAAAAATGGAAACATATTTTTCTCTACCTAATTTTTCCAAAATTTAGGAACTAGTTGTAAGTATGCTTAACTTATGGCAATATAATTATTTGTATAAGTGCAATAAAAATCTGTTTTCTTTTGTAACAAGACACAATTGAAGAAACTGGTCATTTTACCAAGGCTTTAACTGGAATGGTGTGTTTTCCCTTAAGAAATTAAACTTAACTTGTAGAGCCAATAAAAGCCTCATGGGAAACTGGCCTCATACCTTGCCTACAACAGTGCCTGTACAGGGTTTCTGACCTGTGGTAAGTAAAGAATGCCACTTTCTAACAGGTCCAGAAGCCACAAGTTATCTTGGGACCTCAAGAGGAAAGAAATTTACCAAACTCATAGGTATTTGATGGTACAAACCCATGGATAAGCTTGGCCTTAAAAGCCTTATCTAAAATTCCTTCTATGGAACAGAATTCCATCAAAGCCAATTTAAAAAGAACCTATGTGAAAAATAATTATTCTTGCTGCACTTTATACAAATAATCAGGCCAAGTATAATAAAGCAAATTGGTCTTACCATAATTTGCATTTAGCAAAAATGGGAAACTGGAGAGAGAAATATTTTGTTTCAAAAACTATGGTATACTTGTTATTAAATTCTAGTCTCATCAGTCATTTTGAAGTTTGTTTCTGCAATAAGCAGGCTAACTCTTCTTCTTCCGGTGAACCAACCAGTGATGTCTGACTGTTGCTCAGAAGAAACAAGAGGGATGGGCAATGTAAAAATCTGGATTAGTATTCTAATTCTGGGCACATTACAATCAGCTAGCAACCCCATACCAGCTTAGTTCCAACAGTTGCCCAATTCATGAAAAGCCTTCTAATTTAGTTTACTTGGAATAACTTTACTTATTTTGCTTCACTCTTGTGGAATATATTGCTGTTATACTCTGTGTAGGAATATAAAAAAAGCTTACTAAATGTTTTCTTAAACACTTATTAATCTTCCAGATATCACCTCTTGTCAAAACTCAAGAGTCATAAATGGCCCTCACCATACTGATGTTTTCTAACTGAGCTCCTCTCTACCCTGAACACAATAGACCCTAACAGGCAGAAATATCATCACCCCTATTCAGCCTGAAGAAGTTACAGAAAATGAATCTTCATACCTCTGCGACCCTTAGGATTAAGGGTTCTCTTATAAAAGGGAAGGGGGAAATGTCAGAGGTTTGTGAACCAGAACAACTCCATCTTGAATAGGAGCTGGGTAAAATGAGACTGAAACCTACTGGGCTGCATTCCCAGATGGTTAAGGCATTCTAAGTCACAGGATGAGACAGGAGGTCGGCACAAAGTACAGGTCATAAAGACCTTGCCTATAAAACAGATTGCAGTAAAGAAGACGGCTAAATCCTACCAAAACCAAGATGGCCACAAGAGTGACCTCTGGTCGTCCTCACTACTACACTCCCATCAGCGCTAAGACAGCTTACAAATGCCATGGCAACATCAGGAAGTTACCCTATGTGGTCTAAAAAGGGAAGGCATGAATAATCCACCCCTTATTTAGCATACCATCAAGAAATAACCATAAAAATGGGCAGCTAGCAGCCCTCAGGGCTGCTCTGTCTATGTACTCGTAACCCATTCTTTTATTCCTTCACTTTCTTAATAAACCTGCTTTCACTCTGCACTGCGGACTTGCCCTAAATTCTTTCTTGTGCGAGATCCAAGAACCCTCTCTTGGGGTCTGGATTGGGAGTCCTTTCCTGTATATCTCTGTTCTGTAACACCTTGAGGCTCATTTTGTGTGTTTCCTTTCTCTCAACAATCACAGTTCTGCACTGTGTAATGTTCAGTGTCTGAAAACACCTGCTTCATGTTTGTCTAATTTAATAGTAGTTTTCTGTGGGAATGAAAGTCTAGTACTAGTTACACTGTCATGGCCAAAACTGAGGGCCTTTTGGGTGTCTTCTAATACCCTTGATTCTTATTGGCAGCTGCCTACTCTGAGTAAATGCCCAACAAAATACGAAACAGCTCAGCTTCATGTCTTCCAACCAACCTCAGAAAAAAGATAAAGTCTGATTTAAATTTCATATCAAAAGCAATATTTCAACTATTTAAAGCTACAATAAATATACAACCATACGGAAATCTGTAACCAAATATAAAACCCTCTAAACTAAAACATTTAACACAGCAGAGACCACCAATGTAACACTGGGTTAATTCATTTTTGTGTAAAACCTGTAATAAAGTGTACCACCACATTTATGTTTAATTTAAGAGCCTCTTTACTCCAGAAGTATAAGGGGCCCAAATCAGAAAACCTATTGATATAATTTACCACATTAACAAACCAGGAAATTATATGGTTATTTCAATAGGAAAAGAAACAGTATTCAATAAAATTCAATCTATACACATAATAAAACATATATTACAATAAGAAAAGTAAAAATGAAAAGCTTAATGAAAGATATTTAATTTAAAAGCCACAGAAAACATCATATGTAACAGTGAAATTTAAAAATCATTCTCATTAAAGTCATGCTCAACACTAAGGTGTCAAGTGTCTCTGCTTGTATTCAACATGTCATTCACCATTTTTTTTTTCCCTGTGGTATCTCTTGACCTGGTCTCAAGGCAGCCAGAACTCCAGAAACACAATAAGCATTGATAAAAAGATCTCGAAGAGAAGCCCTCTAGTTCAGGCTCAAGAAGAGGAAAAGGGGTCTCCTGTTAATACAAGTTGTGGCAGCCAGAACCCACAGCGCTGGGAACTCAAAGAAAGAAGAGCCTTCCTCTTCAGTGAAAAGAGCTACTGTCCAAAGGGGGTGAGGCAAGTTCCTGTTGATTTTTCCTCTCTGCCCCCTACTCTCTCCAGATACACACTGGTTGGCCTTGGATATAGACATAGTTCCAGAAAGAAAGTGCAAAAGCAAAGTAAATAAAACTTCAGGTTTTTGGCTAGAGGACTAAAAAAGGAGAATCCCAGTACCAAGACTGCAGAAAAGGAGGAGCTTGGGAAACAATACCATTAAGGTGTTTATGAACTCCTGAAATCAACCTCAAGTTTAGCATTCAGGTTCTGATTCAAAGCAGCCTACAAAGACATTGAGAACTAAACTAAGAGACCATGACCCATGTCCCAGATTGACCACCAGAGGGTACACATGTAGGACAAATTTAAATAGGACTGCAAAGGCTGTTAAAAGTAAACTAATATAGAGACTTTATCCCAGAGAAGGCCACTCAGAATTTACAATCTAAGCCCAATCAGGTCAATTGGCTGCTAAAACAAAAATGTCAATATTCTCCACAGGGTATATACAAGACCCAGTCCTGTAGTACACAATATTGAAAATGTCCAGAATATAATACCAAATTACATGGCACATGAAGAACCAATGAAATTACAAATTGCATGAGAAAAGACAACCAACGGATGACAACAGTCAGATATTGGAACTCATCCAACAGTAAACCTTTCCAACTGATGCTAAATTTGTCTGACAAAGGCTTTGATAATTATCCCACTAGTAAGGGTAAACGTATTTATTTTTATTTTTAATTTTTTGAGACAGAGTCTGGCTCTGTTGCCTAGGCTGGAGTGGAGTGCATGATCTCTGCTCACAGCAACCTCTGTCTTCTGGGCTCAAGCCATCCTCTCACTTCAGCCTCATGAGTAGCTGGGACTGTAGACAGATACCACCATGCCCAGCTAACTTTGGTTCTATGTATGTATGTATGTATGTATGTATGTATGTATGTATGTATGTATGTATCTATCTATCTATCTATCTATCTAGTAGAAATGGGGTTTCACCACATTGCCTGGGTTGGTCTTAAACTCCTGGCTCAGGCAATCCACTTGCCTAGGCCTCCCAAAGTGCACGGAATAAAGGCATGAGCCACAGCACCTGGCCTAAGCATCTTTAAAATAAATCAGGTAATAGAAAGTCTCAGCCCAAAATAGAGCCAAACATACATAAATGTATATACAATACACAAAAGAACCAAATATAAAATCCAGAACTAAAACATACAATGAATAAAATGTTAAAACTCATTAGGTGTACTCAATAGCATAATTGAGATGACAGAGTGAAAAGTTCACTGGAACTTGAGGATAGATCAATAGAAATATTCAACCTTAAAAACTAAGAAAAGATTGATTAAAAATTAATCTGGGCTGGGTGCGATGGCTCATGCCTATAATCCAGCACTTTGGCAGGCTGAGGCAGGAGGATCACCTGAGTTCAGGAGTTCGAGACCAGCCTGGCCAACATGGTGAAACACTGTCTCTACTAAAAATACAAAAATTAGCTGGGTGTGGTGGTGGGCACCTGTAATCCCAGCTACTCAGGAGGCTGAGGAATGAGAATCGCTTGAACCTGGAAGGCAGAGGTTGCAGTGAGCTGAGATTGTGCCACTGCATTCCAGCCTGGACAACAGAGCAAGACTCTGTCTCAAAACAAAACAAAACAAATTAATCTGTGGGATAAAATAGAAATGCCTAGCATTTGTTTCATCTGAGTCGTAGAAAGAAATAATAAAGACTGCAGTGGAGACATAATATTTAAAGAAATAATGTATAGAAACTCTTCAAGTTTGGGGGAAAAAATAAACCTACAGATTCAAGAAGCTCAGAAAATTGCAAACAGCGAAAACACAAATAAATCAATGCAAAGACATATTACAATCAAACTTTGAAAATAAAGACAAAGAAAAAATCTTAAAAGCAGCCAGACAAAAAAAGATGCATTGCTTAAAAAAGGAAAACAGTACACAAGACAGTGGATTTCTCATCAAAAATTTCTGATACCAAAATAATAATAATAAAAAAATTTCAACCAAGAATTCTAGGTCCAAGAAAAATACTCTTCAGAAATGTACATCAAAACCACAATAAGATACCACTTCACATCTACTAGGATGGCTATAATAAAAAAGAGACAATAACAAATGTTTGCGAGCAGGTGAAGAAATTGAAACCCTTACACATTGCTCATAGGAATATAAAATGATGCAGCTGCTTTGGAAAACAGTTTGGCAGCTCCTAAAAAAATTAAATATAGAGTTCCATATGCCCCAACAATTCTACTTCTAGGTATAGACCCAAGATAATTGAAAACACATATTTACACAAAAACTTATACATGAATATTCATAGCAGCACTATTCATAATAGCCAAAAGATACAAACACTCCAACTATCAATCAATTGATGAGTAGATAAATATAATATGTTATATCCATACAATGAAATGCTATTCTGCTGTAAAAAATACTTAAGTTCTGATACATGCTAATATGGATAAAACTCAAAGAAATTGTGCAAAGTGAAAGAAGCCAGAAAGAAACCGCCACATATTCTATGATTTCAGTTGTAGGCAATGTCCAGAATAGACAGATTCATAGAGACAGAAAGATTATTGATGGCTAGGGGCTAGGTAGAAAAGAAGAATGAACTGCTAATGTATACAGGGATTTTACGGGTGGTGGTGGTGATATAAAGGTTCTAGCTTTAGGTAATGGTGATAGTTGCACAACTTTGAGAATATGCAAAAAAAAAAAAATAAAAAACAAATTGTGTACTTTAAAAAGGTACATTTTATGGTATGTGAAGTATGTTTCCAAAAAAAAGGAGAATAAAGAAGTTCTCATTTAAAGTAAAACCAAGAGAATTCATTGTCAGTGGACCTGCTCTAAGAGAATTGCTAAAGTAGTCACTAGACACAAAGGAAATGGTACCAGAAAGAAACTTCAGAGCAGAAATTTTAAAAAAGCAAAAGAAATTTAAAATATACGAAAAAATTGAGTAAACTATTCTTCTGTTGAATTCTTTAAAATATGTTATGTTTCAAAGTAAAACAATATTTTTAAATGAAATTTCAAAGTATGTAGATGCAATACGTAATAAACATATAGGCCGGGCGCGGTGGCTCACGCCTGTAATCCCAGCACTTTGGGAGGCCGAGGTGGGCGGATCATGAGGTCAGGAGATCGAGACCATCCTGGCTAACACGGTGAAACCCCATCTCTACTGAAAATACAAAAAATTAGCCGGGCGTGGTGGTGGGCACCTGTAGTCCCAGCTACTCGGGAGGCTGAGGCAGGAGAATGGCGTGAACCCGGGAGGTGGAGCTTGCAGCGAGCCGAGATGGCACCGCTGCACTCCAGCCTGGGTGACAGAGTGAGACTCCGTTTCAAAAAAAAAAAAAAAAATCATATAAGAAATTACAACATAAAGGGGGAAGAAGGAACCTATAGAGAGGTAAGATTTCAAAACACATGATACAGTAAAATACTGATTCTGTGTAGATAGTGAACATTTAAATGAAAATATTGTAATTACTAGGGCTACCACTTTTTTTAATTTAAAAAAAGTACGTACACAATGAGATGTATTCAAAAACACAAGATATAGAATTGAATTAAAAATTATTAAATAAGCCGGGCACAGTGGCTCGCACCTGTAATCCCAGCACTTTGGAAGGCAGAGGCGGGCTGAGGTCAAGAACTCAAGACCAGCCTGGCCAACATGGTGAAACCCCGTCTCTACTAAAAATACAAAAATTAGCTGGGCGTGTTGGCGCCCACCTGTAGTGCCAGCTACTCAGGAAGCTGAGGCAGGAGAATCGCTTGAGCCAGGGAGACGGAGGTTGCAGTGAGCCAAGATTGCACCACTGCACTCCAGCCTGGCCGACAGAGCAAGACTCTGTCTAAAAAAAAAAAAAAAAATTATTAAATAACCCAAAAGAAGGCAGGAATGGGAACACACAGGGATGATAAACAGAGGAACAAGGAGATACAAAGAATAAAATGATAGAACTACATTCAAACACATCAACAATTACATTACAGGTAAATGATCTAAATGCACCAAATAAAGAGATTGTCAGAACAAGTTTTTAAAAATACATAATCCAATTATATACTCTCTATAAAAATTCTGCTTCAAGCATAAAGATATCAGTACATTAAAATTAGGAGAAAAGATACAAAATGCAAACACTAACCAAAAGAAAGCTCAAGTGGTTATATTAATATCAGACAAAGTAGACTTCAGAGCAAACAAATTTAGCAGGATATCATACAATAATAAAAGAGTTCATTTATAAGAATTACATAAAAACCCTAAATGTATATGGAAGCTAAAAACAAACCTTCAAAATATAAAAACTGAAAATTAATTTTTGGACAAATTGGACTACATCAAAATTAAAAACTTTAACTCTGAAACAACACTGCTAAGAGAGTAAAAAGAAAGGCTACAGATTGGGAGAAAATATGCGCAAATCACATATCCAACATAAGACTTGCATTCAGAATCTAAAAGGAAATTTTTTAATTCAACAATAAGTAAGCAAACAACCAAATTAAAAAATGGGCAAAAGAGGTGAACAGACACTTTACCAAACAGTATTTAAGGAGAGCAAATGAGCACATGAAAAGATATTTAACATCGTTAGTCATTATGAAAATGCAAATTAAAACCTTGTTGAAATGCAATTACACACATAAATAAAAATAACGACAATGTCAAGTGAGAGTGACCATGCAGAACAGTTGGAACTGCAAACATTGCTGTGGGAATGCAAAATGGTTCAGCCACTCTGGGAAACAGCAAGTTTCTTATAAAGTGAAACACACACTTACCATATGACAGAACGTCAATTCTACTCCTGAGTACTTAGAGAAATATAAATTTATGTTCATTCTAAAACTGGTACAGGAATGTTGATAGAGGCTCTGTTTATAATTGCCCACTGGAAACAACCCAGATGTTCTTCAAGGGATGAATGGTTACATAAATGAGCCAAAGATGGCCTCTGTGTTTTGGCCCCTATGTTTATTGTAGGTTGAGACCAGTTAGCTCAAAATCCTGCCCAAACCAAACTCAAATTTGTACATACCGAGTTATTTATAAAATTGCCTGAACAAGCAAATTTTTAGCTATTTAGAGCTTTCCTGCTTTGCATACTCCAAGAAACCTCACCCAACAGCTGTTACCTACTGATAAATAGGGCCTTGCAGTTATAAAACCCAAAATTCCTGCTGCCTTTGGTTTGCCTGACCCAAGACTTCCTGCTGTGCTGCTGTGAGACACCCTTGAGATACATACATAAGCCCCATATTCAACCCTCCCTCCAGAGTTCTCTTGCCTTATTCCCTTTCTCATTGGTGGTCTCATTAGACTGTCTCATGCAACCCTGTCTTACTGCCACTCAATAAAGTTGTGTGTTACTGCCTCTCATTGTCATATGTTTTTCCTAGCTCAGTCCCCAAATCCCTAAAACCCTTAGGTGAATACATAAGCAAACTTTAGTACATCCACACAATGAAACACTACTTAGCACTAAAAAGCAACAAACTATTGATACACGTAGCAATCTGAATGCTCAGTAAATGAGGCCAGAATCAAAGTTGATACTACAGATTTCATTTATATAACAGTTTCCAAAAGACTACAGTGATAGAAAACAGATAACTGATTGTCAGGGATTCGGAATGGAGGTGAGTGTGACTTACAATGGAACAGAATCAGGAAAGTTTTGGGGATGATAGAACTATTCTGAATTCTGACTATGGTGGTGTTTACACATGTGTTAATATGCATGTATCTGTATACCAATATACCAAAAGGGCCAATCATGCATATTAACAACATACATATGTTAATATAACAGTTAATATAACAGTATATATATAACAGTATTACTATAACAGTTAATATAACAGTAACAACATACGTGTGTTAATATGCATGCATCTGTATACCAATACCAAAAGGGCCAATTCTACTGTATGCTAATTTTGTTTTGTTTTTTTTTTGAGATAGAGTCTCTCTCTGTCGCCCAGGCTGGGAATTTATAAAATTGACTGATTAAACCAGAAAGAATAACATTGTATTATATCATTTATTATGTGGATAGATAACAAAATATATACAATGATAGCATAAAGGACTGTAAGAGGAGAGTAGTTTTACTGTTAGAAGTTTCTTGCATTGTATAAGTAGTGGCACAGTATGTACTCTAAGTAGACTATGGTAAGTATATGTGTATATAAATACTTAGAAAAATCTCTAAAATATACAATGAAGTTAAGCTAAATATCAGTGGATAAATTAAAATGAAACACTAAAAATATCTGATTAATCCATGTGACGGCAAGAAAGGAAGAACAAAGGAAAAAAATAGTTGGGATGACTAAAAAAACAAATAGCAATATGATAGATATACTTAAACCCAGCCATACCAATAATTACATTAAATGTAAATGTACTAAACATTCCTATTAAGATGCAGTAATAGTCACACTAGATATTAAAAGCAATATCCAACCATATGCTACCTATAAGAGGCATACTTTATATATAAAACTGCAGATTGTTTGAGAGTACTAAGATGCAAATAAATATTCCACACAAAGAGCAAGCCTAAGAAAAACAACTATTTGTTTGAATAACATTATTAGCCAATTTTACTGGGTTAACAATAAACATTGCATCCATACACTATAAATATGTAACTTGTTTATGTGCACATGAAACATATATTTTAGATACAATATGCTGGGACACAAAATAAGTCTCAATGTTTTTAAAGGATTGAGATCTTACATAGTAGGTTCTCTGACCACAACAGAATTAAATTAGAAATCAATAAAAATAACATGCCTGGAATTATGCAAAATATTTAGAAATTAAACAACTACTACCTAATGCATAGGTCAAAAAAAAAATCTCAAAGGAAATTGTCAAGAACCATGAAGGGTCTGAGTTCGTATTCTGTTTGCAAGCTAACAAGTTTGCCTGCCACAATTTCACAGATGGTGGCAGAGGACACAAAACTCCTGAGTCAGAGGTAAAGAAATTAATTGTCCATAGCACAGCAAGCAGCATGAGTTTCGTATTTACCCAAGTCCCTCTTACCCCTCCAGTCCCAGTGAGAGATGTGGAGCTGCCCAGATAAATGCTATACACACAGTAGTTTTGTATCACATTTAAAGAACCCTAAGCTAGGAAATTCAGTAGGCAAATCTGTCCAACATTTTCTCCAGAGGGAGATATTATCTTTATTACGTTAGGCAGCAAACAAGTCTTCTCTCTACTCCAGAGAAGTGCTGTCTCTATTTTCTAATGATATTTGTTATTCAACCTCCTTGAAATGTAGCCTAAAACTAAAGTTGCCAGTGCCAATATGTGTAAGACAAAGAAGAATTCTGTCTAAATGGAAATAATAAAATATTTTGAACTGAATGCTAAAAAATTAGGCATATAAAAATCTGTGAGATGCAGGTAAAGCAGTTTTTTGAGGAAAATGTATAGCTTTAAATGTTTAAAAGCAAAGTAGACTTAAAAACAATTATCTAAGCTTCCACTTTAAAAAGCTAGAGAAAGAAAAGCAAAGTATGCCCAAAATAAGTAGAACACTTTTTTAATATTTTACCTGAAGTGATATACATTTAGAAAAAAATAGTACGTTGAAGGACGAAAATAATAAAAATATGGCAAAAATCAATAAATAGAAAACAAGCAGTAAAGTCAATAAAACTAAGAGCTGGATCTTTTCAAAGATGAATAAAATTGATAAACCCAAGTGAAACAAATAAAGAAAAAGAGAGAGAAAACACAAATACCAACATTGTCAGTGAAAGAAGGGGATATCATTAACACAACTTACCAAAACTAAAACAAAAGAGATAAAAAATCTAATAGCCCAATATCTATTAAAGAAGCAGAATACATTATCAAAATAACTTATCATAAAGAAAACTCCAGGCTCACATTGTTTTATTAATGAAATCTATCAAGCATTTAAAGAAGAAATAGTGCTAATCTTACCCAAACACTTTGAAAAATAGTAAAGGAGGGAATATGTTATATGGACCAGCATAAGTTTTGACATAAAACTTGACAAGGTAATTACAAAACAAAACAAAACAAAACAAAACAAAACAAAACAAAACAACAAAAACTACAGACCAATGGTCTCTCATGACTATAGTTAAAAAAGTCTTTTTTTTCTTTTAAACAACAAAGAAGCCTATTTATTGAGGGGGAAAAAAGAGACAGATAGGTTATAGATGTTGTTATACATTATATCTTATAATTTACATTTTGCTTTCATAGGTCACAGAAAGATGTATAAAAACACCAAAAGCAATGGCAACAAAAGCCAAAATTGACAAATGGGATCTAATTAAACTAAAGAGCTTCTGCACAGCAAAAGAAACTACCATCAGAGTGAACAGGCAACTTACAGAATGGGAGAACATTTTTGCAATCTACTCATCTGACAAAGGGCTAATATCCAGAATCTACAATGAACTCAAACAAATTTACAAGAAAAAAACAAACAACCCCATCAAAAAGTGGGCGAAGGATATGAACAGACACTTCTCAAAAGAAGACATTTATGCAGCCAAAAAACACAAGAACAAATGCTCATCATCACTGGCCATCAGAGAAATGCAAATCAAAACCACAATGAGATACCACCATCTCACACCAGTTAGAATGGCGATCATTAAAAAGTCAGGAAACAACAGGTGCTGGAGAGGATGTGGAGAAATAGGAACACTTTTACACTGTTGGTGGGACTGTAAACTAGTTCAGCCATTGTGGAAGTCAGTGTGGCGATTCCTCAGGGATCTAGAACTAGAAATACCATTTGACCCAGCCATCCCATTACTGGGTATATACCCAAAGGATTATAAATCATGCTGCTATAAAGACACATGCACACGTATGTTTATACAGGCACTATTCACAATAGCAAAGACTTGGAACCAACTTAAATGTCCAACAACGATAGACTGGATTAAGAAAATGTGGCACATATACACCATGGAATACTATGCAGCCATAAAAATGATGAGTTCATGTCCTTTGTAGGGACATGGATGAAACTGGAAATCGTCATTCTCAGGAAACTATCGCAAGGACAAAAAACCAAACGCCGTGTGTTCTCACTCATAGGTGGGAATTGAACAATGAGAACACATGGACACAAGAAGGGGAACATCACACACTGGGGACTGTTGTGGGGTGGGGGGAGGGGGGAGGGATAGCATTAGGAGATATACCTAATGCTAAATGACCAGTTAATGGGTGCAGTACACCAACATGGCACATGTATACATATGTAACAAACCTGCACGTTGTGCACATGTACCCTAAAACTTAAAGTATAATAATAATAATAACAAAAAGAGTAATCTATAGAGCAATGAACATTACAGATTGTGTGCTGAATCAGGAAAGAGTTTGCTTTGGACTATAGTTAAAAAAGTCTTAAGCAAAATATTAGAAAATAAAATCTAGTGATATTTTAAAAAGTATAATGACCAACTATGATTACTCCAGAAATACAAGATTGGTTTAACATTTAAAAATCAACCAATGTCAAAATTCAACACATTTTTAAAAAGCTTTCAGAAAACTGGGACTAGAATGCAACTTTCTTAACCTTATAAAGAGTATCTGAGAAAAACCTACAGCTAAGTCATTTTTAAAGGTGAAACATTAAATACTGCCCCTTTAAGAATAAAAAAGTCAAGATATCCACTCTCATTATTCTTATTCAACATTGTCTTGAAAATCCTATCTACTTCAGTAAGGCAAATAAATAAAACAAAAATGCATAAAAATTGAAAAGAACAAAGTAAAACTGTTTTTATTCATAGACTTGATTGTTTCCATAGAAAATTTAAATAATCTACACAAATATTTAGCATGATCACATGATACAAGGTCGATATAAAAAATGTATTTCTGTGTACTAGCAGCAAACAATTAAACATTTCATTTATAAAATTTATAAAATGAACACTTCATTTATAAAAATTTCATTTATAATAACATCATAAAATATAAATATATGAGAGTAAATTTAACAAAAGACATGCAAGACCACTGAAAACGGAAAACATTGATGAGAGAAAGTAAGAAAAATTTAAAGAGATATGAAATAGTCATTGATTAGAAGACTCAATATTTTATTTTTTTTATTTTTTTGAGATGGAGTCTTGCTCTGTTGCTCAGGTTGGAGTGCAGTGGCATGATCTCCACTCACTGCAACCTCCGCCTCCCAGGTTCAAGCAATTCTCCTGCCTCAGCCTCTGGAGTAGCTAGGATTACAGGTGCGCACCACCATGCTGGGCTAATTTTTCTATTTTTAGTAGAGATGGTGTTTCACCATGTTGGCCAGATTGGTCTCAAACTCCCGACCTCAGGTGATCCGTCTGCATCGGCCTCCCAAAGTGCTGGGATTACAGGCTTGAGCCACCACGCCCAGCCAGAAGACTCAATATTATGAATATGTCAGTTTCCTATAAATTGATCTATATAGTTCATACAATACAAATCAGAATTTCAATAAGAACTTTAATAGAAATTACAAGTTAGGCCTAAAATTTATATCGAAATAAAAATAACCGACAATCATCAGAACAACTTTTAATGAGGAGGAAAAAATTGGAGAAGTCTCACTAACTGATTTCAACATTTACCATAAAACATATAGTAAATAAGACAATGTGATACTGGCATAAGAATAGACAAATAGATAACAGAAAAGAGGAGGGAATCCAGAAGGAGTTCTACACATGTTTGATTCATTCGGTTTTCAACAAGCTGCCAAGGTAATTCAATAGGCAGGGAGTTGATGGCAGCCCTCCTTGGAGACCACCGACCACAGCTCTTCTGCAGTGAGCAGAGTGGGAGACACCCTGGTCTTGGAGGCCAGTGCACAAGCCCCTGGGGCTGCTTCCACTTGAGAAGAGGAGACCAGTTCTAGGCCTTAGGGAGAAAAGCTCTCTCTGCCTTGCCTACTTCTCTGCCTTGCTTTTCTCTGAAACAGTATGTCTCCATCTTTGAGTGGTTACTGGGCCTGAGTCCATAAAGAGGGAAAAGACAGGCTCAGGCTACATTTGGTAATAGAAGCCCTCCCAGCAGTCCTGCCTCGATCACCAGAGGATGACTTTCGGGTTGGGGCCTAATGCTACTACAGAACTCACATTTGGTGTATCTTCCAAGCTCCCAAGAACCCAAAGCTTCCAAGAACACAAAGCAGGGGCTGTGCTGGAGCAGGGTTCTAGCATTAGGAGGTCCTAGGTCTCAGCTAGATGCTACTAGGACCTCAACATATCTGGGCTTCTGAAAATGGATGTGTTTGCAGGGACCGTTTCTGTTCTGCAAGGTGGTTTGATGGGGTGAGATGGAATATGGCTGCACTGCGTTGGCAGGGGAAAGCAAAGGGAAGCCTGGCTTTCCTCCTCCTGACCCAGAGCAAAGGCTAGGGGCTGGGCCACCTCAAACACTGTGTGCATAGCAGCCTCCCTGGATCTCAGCTAGGGGTATTCTGCACCCCCCAGGGGACTCTGGCAATGTGCACAGATCGTTCTAATTGTTACAACCGGGAGAATGCTACTGCATCTAGTGGATAGGGGCCAGGGACACTGCTTAACATCCTCTAGTACACAGCATGGTTCCTCACAACAAAGAATTGTTCAGTTCAAAATGCCAGTAGTGCTGAGGTGGAAATGTGCCCTGAATAACCTTCAATTTCCCCTTTTGGAAAATGTGATACATGTATGCGACAGAATACTAGTCAGACATAAAAAAGAATGAAATAATATCTTTTGCAGCTACTTGGATGGAAATGGGGGTTATTATCCTGAGTAACTCAGGAATACAAAACCAAACCAAATCCTGCATGTCCTCACTTATAAGCGGGAGCTAAGCTATGGGTACACAAAGGCAGATGGGTATGATGGACATGGGAGACTCAGAAGGGGGAGGGTGGGAGAGGTCAGAGATAAAAACTACCTATGGGGTATGCTACATTATTTGGGTGACAGTGCACTAAAAGAACACACTTTACTGCTATACAATTTATCCATGTAACCATAAAACACCTGTACCCCTAAAAGCTATTGAAATAAAATTTAAAAAAGAAAAATGTTTTAAAAATTCCCCTTTTGCCCTTACATAGCTACAGGGAAGCTACTTAGAAGCGGAGGAAAGGACCCTACATTAGAAGTGTGTTTACACGTTTAGCTAAATGACCAGGAAGGCTCATGAAGGCAGCCTGATTACTACTTCATCTCAATGCAAGGCTCTTTTGCTTGTTTCCATTTTACTATTCCCTCGGTCTTTGAACGTTGTTTCTGCTCTCCCATGACAGGCAGCACACGATTGCAGTAGGTTTTCATCTTTGTTTATTACCATTTCCCCTACACCCTCACCGATTTCCCTCCCCTATTAAAAGATCTGGTTCTCTATGAGAAGCACAAGCCAGGCTAGGGCTGCATTAATAATTGATTTTCTACTTCTCTCTCAGCAAGCTATGGTGTTTGACTTTGAGGAGTGGCTTTTTATAAAGCCACAGTGTCCTTCCAGCACAATTTTGAGTTGCAATGATCTTTGGTAGGTGATTTCTTTTTTCTCTTATTGTTTAGCTATTAGCAGAGTAATAATGATCATAACATTTTCATCCTTTCAGATCTCGTACAGGGGATGACACCTGTGAAAGGGCCTTGAGCTTCTCTGATGACATCTTTGTAATTTTTTTGAGCTCCACCACAGCAGCTCCAGCTGCTCATTAACCCGCCACTGGTAATGAGGTTTCACTGATGCCTCTGGGGAGTCTGATTTGTCAGGGGGCAGCAAACTGTGGCCTGGACGACATGAGCTACGCCCCGTCCTTCCCCTGATGTGACAATGCTGACATTTTCATGGCTGAGATGGCTTGCGGCTCTCTCCCCAAGCCTGCACTGGATTCTTGTCACTCACCTGCATCATTCCAAACCATGCCCCATGCCCAGCACTGATTAAACACATTAGGCTACATTCATTCCTGAGAATACCATACAGACATTAGATATGACAAAGCATATCTACACTAGTAAGGCAGTAAAATAACCAAGGTCTATGAAGTGCAACAGAAAATTGCCTAACAACATGCACAGATGATCTCACTGAACCATATTACCTACCATTCATATATTACCACAGGCACAGAGAGCACCTGGAGAAACACAGTAGCAACTGCTCACAGTGACTACCCCGGGGTTGGGAAGGAAGGGGGGAAAGTTACAAGGAACTTTCCTCTTCTGGGTTTTGTGGGGTTTTTTTGTTTTTTGCTTTTTTTTTTTTTTTTTGAGATGGAGGTTTTCTTTGAGATGGTGCAACCTCGGCTCACTGCAACCTCTGCTTCCTGGGTTCAAGTGATTCTTCTCCCTCAGCCTCCCAAGTAGCTGGGATTACAGGCGCCCACCACCATGCCCAGCTAATTTTCTGTATTTTTAGTACAGACGGCGTTTTACCATGTTGGCCAGGCTGGTCTTGAACTCCTGACCTCAGTTGATCCACCCGCGTGAGCCTCCCAAAGTGCTGGGATGACAGGCGGGAACCACTGCACCCGGCCTTCTACTGGGTTTTGTAATGAGCATGTTTGTGGTGGAAATGTGTCAACTGCCTGTCCAGAGACAGTTGTGGTGGCTCACGCCTGTAATCCCAGTAACTTGGGAGGGTGAGGTGAGAGATCGTTTGAGCTCAGGAGTTTGAGACCAGCCTGAGCAATGTAGTAAGACACTGTCTCTACAGCTAAAAGAATAAATGAGTACATAAATAAAGAAATAAGCTGAATTCTGAGGAGGCTTTTACTCTCCATAAGACCACCTGAAGTCAACCCTAGCCCTCAAGCTGTTCAGCTACAGCAGCCAATACTTTCTGTTCCCTGAATCCACTTTGGCTGGGATTTCTTTCATTGGTGGTCACTGGTTTCACTAGGATTCCTTATATCCTGTTTCTTTGTTCCAGGCTCAGAACAAGGAGCACCTCCTCCTGGAAGCTTTTCCCCAAGGATCACTCCTAACGACTATGCCTATGCCCCTCAATTTGGCCCCACAAGATGAGCGGCTTCATGTTAGCCTCAGTTTCATTCACACAGATATGGTTTGTCTGGAAGAAACCAAATCTTTAAGGATAAGAGGTAATAATTAGCATAACAGAGAACATCTATTAGAAGCTTCCTAAGGGTCAAGCAATGAACTAAATGTTTTACATGGATAATTTTATTTCATTTTTATAACATCCTTAGGAGGTAGATATCATTAGTTTCCTTGTCTGTAAATAAGATAGTAAGTCCGAGAGATGGTAAATGGCACAATTACCTTTTTTATCGTGCTGCTCAGCAATGACCATTCCTTTCAGAAGGACCACCATGCCCCTCCTCTGTAAGCTGTTGCTGGAACTGACTGCCCCACAAGTTTAGAGGCAGAGCTTACAACCCTAGCCTGGCCAATCAATGACCCCCTTCCCCCAGTGACATATGATTGGCTCAGGTGGACATAGAATTGAAGTCAGTCCATTCAGAGTGGATCTCAGAACATTGCTAGAAAGGCTAGATTTGTGCCCAGAAGTAAATGCTGCAAAAAAAAAAAAAAATGCTAATGGCCATTTTGCATTTTGCATGACAAATGTCAGGAATTGGACAGTTCTTTAAGAAGCAAAGTCATCAAATGGAGAGAGATTCCATTCTGTCATACCATTTGAGCCATGGATCAAGCTATATCTTAAACCACATCTAGCCCTAAACTGTTCAGTTGCCTGAGACCCTCTGATAGGCACCAGCCCCCTTGGAGGCCTTTCTTTTATTTGACCTTTTGTGGATGGAAGCTGGGATGGGGGTGGGCAGGAGCCCAGTGACTATGTAAGCACAGGACTGGCTATAGAAATGGAATGAAATAGCCCTAAAGGATTCTTTATGAAGATTATGGAAGAGAAGTATATAAAAGAATTAGGAAGCAGAACAACAAAACCGTAAACAAAGATAGAAATACAGCTGGGCGCGGTGGCTCACACCTGTAATCCCAACACTTTGGGAGGCCGAGGCGGGCGGATCATGAGGTCAGGAGATCGAGACAAGCCTGGCCAACATGGTGAAACCCCGTCTCTACTAAAATACAAAAATAAAATAAAATAAAATCAAAATAAGCCAGGCGTGGTGGCGCCACCTGTAGTCTCAGCTACTCAGGAGGCTGAGGCAGGGGAATCACTTGAACCCGGGAGGTGGAGGCTGCAGTGAGCTGAGATCGTGCCACTGCACTCCAGCCTGGCAACAGAGCGAGATCAGTCTAAAAAAAAAAAAGATAGAAAAACAATCCTCCCCATGGACCTTAAACACAGGCCACATGCTCATGCTTCACACACATGACTGTGTGCACACACATATCACACAGTTCTCACTCTATCCCTCCTCCCTCCCTTCTCCCCTCTCTTTGTTTGAAAGTACCCAAAGGCCTTCTAACCATTTCCTTCATTTCACACGCAGATGATTTTATAATCTCATCTAAAAACTGTTGATATGAAACATAACAACAGAAATACAAACAGTGAATCTTGATGAGGTGAAAACAAGGTGAGAACAATAAAATAGCCAAACTGGAGAAGACTTTGATTCCAGCACAAACCCTTGATGCAGAAGATCTTACAGCCTTCAGTTAAATAACCTGTGTGGTTCTGAGGACACAGAGTACCATGAGGACGTGGACAATGATCTAGCCAGTCTGTGAAGGGCTCAGCTGTCACCCACCCAGAGACGCCATTAAGAGACCTGCTTTCAGGCGGCTGCAGGGAGCTCTGGACTGGGCTCCAGCCTGTGCCCCAACAGGCTTTAGCCACGCAAACTTAAACACACCTTAGAGCGTGTCTACAAAGGAAACCTGAGGTGACTGTTCATATAATTCTCTCCTGGAAGATGAACACGCTCCAAGCACACTGACCTGAATCACCCCCAGGCCCCTTTCACCTCATTAGGCCTTGAAGGAAACTGCAATCCTCAGCTGCTCCCACCTCACAGAAGCCTGTTACAGGGACTGGTACAAAAACAGAGAAGCGGCTTGGTCCGGAGAGCTCCTCTGCACAGGGCTGATAAAGGGAATCCAGGAGGCCACACATGACCTTTCCCCCAGGTCCTGCAACAAGAATAGTTTTTGAATCTGATCGTTGCAGCCAAAGTCAGGACACAGCAGAACAGCATCCCTCCCTTCCCACTCCCTGGCTTTGCTATGAGCTACAATATCGCACCTTTCCAAAGAAAAGGATATTGGTCATCCAGGGGAAGAAAAATGGAAATCTCAAGGAAAGTATTTCTCCAGAATTATCATTTCCTCTCTATCTAGTAAGCATCTTCTGTCCTGCACGCACGTGTACCAGCGGCCACGCTCTTCTCCTCAACACATATTCTCTTGGCTTCTGGGCCCTGTGCTCTTCCTTCCAGCTCTCTGGTCAGGCTTTCTCAGTCCATCCCTGGCTCCTCTTCCCCTCCCTGACCCTCACACCTGCTGTGGTCAGGGCCTCGTTCTGAGCCTTCCTCTCACGGCACACACCCTCCTCCATTGCCCTCCAAGTCATCTCCTTCTATAAGGCCTCTCTTCTAAGCTTATTATGTTCAAATAAGTGGTCTCCCTCAGCACTGGCATGTCGTGGGAAAACCACTGGGCTGGAACTCAAAAGACGTGCATGTGAGCCCAGATCCCCTGATATACACTGTGAAACCCAGAGAAAACTCACCTGCCCTGTGATGATCCAAACTGTCTTCTGTAAACTGATGCCAGGCCACAGGATTGTGTGAGGATAGTGACATCACATGGCTGGGTCCTTCGTAAAAGAAAAAGGCCAGCCCTGTGGGGGCTACTCTTTGCGGTGCCAGGTAGTGGGCCAGCAGCCCCTGATGAGGGAGGTCAGCTGCGGCCCTGTCCTGGGCAGGGGACATTCTGTGAACCAAGTGTTACAAGTTACCGTCACTACTGAAAGACTCCCCACCCTCCTCTTCCAAATAATTCTGAAAACATTTTGAAACAAATGATTTTGGAAGATAAAATATTTATGCAAAGAAGATATTTTAAAACCCCTTTCAGGCCAATTTTCTAAAATATTTCTCACGGGAAAAAATGCCTTTTGAGAAAGTTTCAGGCAAGATAGAGCTTGGACATAGGCTGTCTGTGCTAGAAGGTTCTTCATAGAAACCCTGTGAGCTGCAGAAGTCTCGATGTTAAACAAATAATTTTCCAGAAAACCCCATAACGTTAAATGGGTTAATGTGAGCACTAAAGGTATGCCAGGGTCCCTGGACCCCTCCTGCTTGCCCACTTCCTCACTCCTTTAGTTCTGGGAATCCCTGGGGAATTCTTGGTTTGGGCAAATGAAGTTTGCAAACATTGCTCTAACTTACTCTCTCCTTTGTTGAGTTAAGAAAGGAGAGACGACCAGCCAGGAACTGTGGCTCACGCCTGTAATCCCAGCACTTTGGGAGGCCAAGGTGGGAGGATCACGAGGTCAGGACCAGCCTGACCAATATGATGAAACCCCATCTCTGCTAAAAATACAAAAATTAGCTGGGTGTGGTGGCGTGTGCCTGTAGTCCCAGCTACACGGGAGGCTGAGGCAGAAGAATCGCTTGAACCCAGGAGGCGAAGTTTGCAGTGAGCAGGGATCGTGCCACTGCACTCCAGCCTGGGTGACAGAGTGAGACTCTGTCTCAAAAAAAAAAAAAAAAAAAAAAAAGAAAGAAAGGAGAGACGAGAAGGAAGGTGTGTCCGTGGCCATATCGACAGTGGCTCAGAACAGATCAGCTGCATCCTGGGCCACCAAGCTCACATGCTACCTGCTGGGGCAGCTGTAGGACCTCTAGCATGACAGTCACCTATGGACTTCTGGCAGGAGTGATGCCCATCTGTGACCCCAAATGCTTCTCAGTCCTCAAGGGACAGTGTTTGTTTAATGGCACAGGACACTCATGGATAGAGGGCAGAACCCAAGATTTTTGCTCAGAAGCAACAGAAAGAGAGGCTAGAGATTTATATGGAAGATGAGGACCAACTAAAACAACAGGAACCCCAAAGAACCAGACTCAGAAAAAGGCCACAGCCTTGTCAGGGTGCCAGAGATGCAGGGAATGACCTCCAACTCCTTCTTCTATCCTCTAATGACCCCTACTCAAATGCAAAGTTCTTGAGTCATAAGTTCGTCTCTATGCAGAGAGAAAACCTTGACTGACCATCCCACCAAGAAGGAAACCTTTAAATGTATTATGGAGTTGATGTATTTTTCTTTTCTTTTTTTTTTTTTTTTTTTTGAGTTGGAGTCTTACTCTGTCACCTAGGCTGGAGTGTGGTGGCATGATCTCGGCTCACTGCGACCTGCAACCTCCACCTCCCAGGTTCAAGTGACTTGACTGTCTCAGCCTCCTGAGTGGCTGGGACTACAGGTGTGCACCACCACGCCCCACTAATTTTTATATTTTCTAGTAGAGATGGGGTGTCACCATGTTGGCCAGGCTGGTCTCAAACTCCTGACCTCAACTGATCTGCCTGCCTTGGCCTCCCAAAGTGCTGGAATTAAGATGTGAGCCACTGCACCTGGCCATTATTTTTCACACTTACATATTAAAAAGTGCAATGGGGCTAGGAATGGAGGCTCACAACTGTATTCTCTGCACTTTGGGAGGCCAAGGTGGGAAGGTCACTTGAGCTCAGGAGTTCGAATCCAGGCTAAGCAACAAAAGGAGACCACGTCTCTACAAGAAAAAAAAAAAATCAGCTAGATGTGGTAGCATGTGCCTGCAATCCCAGTTACTTTTGCCTCCTTTATCAGAATGTTTCAGGCAAACATGCACTTGGCCATCGGAAATATTCCAATAATTTTCTGGTAGTTAACTTTCTTAAATTTCTTAACAGCCAGGAAACTTCTTTACTTTATTCTAATAATTTTCCCGTTGCTACAACCTGATAGTTAAGGAAGTTCAAATACCTTCTGGAATCTAGGAATCCATTTTTGCCTCAGTAGATGTAATGACTGCATGAAACTGTTGGCGAATGACATTCTCTGAGTGTGGACTCCACGTCAATGCTGTTCCAGGTGCTTTGCCCATGTTGACTCCATGAATCCACTCAACATGCTGGTTTCTTATCCTCATTTTGCAGATGAGGGAACTGAGGCACAGAGTGTAAGTCACTTGCCCACAGTCCCAGAGGATGTAAATGGCAGAGGCAGGATTCAAGCCTGACAGTCTTGGCTCTGGAGCCTTCGTGCTTAGCCACTCTTTATCCCCAAATCGCTGTCAACCAAGGTGAGCAGCGACCAAAATTTGACAAGCCTGAAACCACTGCTTGTTGCCCCCGACCTAGGACCAGCTAGACCACAGTTACTGCTGCTCTGAAGACAACACTGTCACTTCACACCTGCTCAGGGCCCTTCTTGGCACTGATGAATAAACCCAGCCTGGGGTCCGAGAAATGGGCAGTGCAGCTCTGAAGACACGCCCGAAGTTCTCTGTCCCGAGGGAGGACCTGGAGCCGCTGTCCCAGAAGCGTGTTCCTGATGGAAGGCACTCATAGGCTCTCTGCAGGGGAGACCTGCCAGTTCTGTTTTTATTGATTTTCACTTTGCAAAAAAGCCTCTTAAATCAAATCAAACTCACTAGGAAATGTGGGAGGTTGCAGGCGCACTGCCCTTTGTTTGTCTCTAGTGCTTTAAAGGTGTGTCCTTTCTTCTAAGTGGCTCAGGAGGCCAAAAGCTGTCCTGAAAGCATACCTCAACTTCCTGCCTTCACCTCTGTCAACCTTAAGGCAATTCTTGATGCATTTGATGTTGTTGTTTCCTGCCAGCCACAAGTCCATGAACTCCTAGGACTCTAAGACAAACAGTGCTGCTGCTGCATTTCTTTCCTTGGCTGTCTGCCCTCTCTGCTGCAGTCTAACCTGAGGGGGAAAGGGATTTGTGGTTCCAAAGACAGGGTCCAACTGAAGGAAAAGGCATCCCAAGCAGAGGGGTCAGCATGGTCGCCTGAGATGCATGCCTGGGTTCCTGGCCCTCTCCTTGGCATCCTAAGCAGAGGGGTCAGCATGGTCACCTAAGATGCGTGCCCAGGTTCCTGGCCCTCTCCTCGGCATGGTCGCCTGAGATGCATGCCCGGGTTCCTGGCCCTCTCCTCGGCATCCTAAGCAGAGGGGTCAGCATGGTCGCCTAAGATGCGTGCCCAGATTCCTGGCCCTCTCCTTGGCATGGTCGCCTGAGATGTGTGCCCGGGTCCCTGGCCCTCTCCTCGGCGTCCCAAGCAGAGGGGTCAGCATGGTCGCCTGAGATGTGTGCCCGGGTCCCTGGCCCTCTCCTCGGCGTCCCAAGCAGAGGGGTCAGCATGGTCGCCTGAGATGTGTGCCCGGGTTCCTGGCCCTCTCCCCGGTGTCCTTTAGTGCTGAAATGTCACTTACTCAGAAAGGTCTTTTCTAGATTTCCACTGTAAGCCAAAAATAAAATTCTGAGCCCCTCAAATGACCGAATGTATCTCCCTTTTGACCAAGGGAATCCCAGAGAAATCTGGAAAACTAGTCCAGGCCATGATGGAAAAAGGGCATCAGACATGCCTAGCTTTGGAGTTTAGGTATAACCGACAAGCATGAACACTGAAACAGAGATATTAAGACTGACAAAATAGACTGCAGCAATAAGACACTGAATTCCGACCTGACTGTGGCAGAGCATCGCATGACAGATAACAGATATCAAAGTTTCTTACCCCCAAAAATGTTTCTCTGACATAGTCTGAAATGTTCCTGAAAAGCTGTCTCTTGTGGGGGAAATTTGCATTCTGTAGAGAATCTCCTTCCCTTAGTAGGTTTTTTTTTTTTTTGGAGAGTCTGACACCTTTTTTTTTTTAGACAGTGTCTCACTCTTGTTGCCCAGGCTGGAGTGCAATGGCACAATCTCTGCTCACTGCAACCTCTGCCTCCTGGGTTCAAGTGATTCTCCTGCCTCAGTCTTCCAAGTAGCTTCAATTACAGGTGCCCGCCACCACGTCCAGCTAATTTTTTATATTTTTAGTAGAGACGGGGTTTCATCATGTTGGCCAGGCTGGTCTCAAACTCCTACCTCAGGTGATCCAGCCGCCTCAGCCTCCCAAACTGCTGGGATTACAGGCGTGAGCCACCGTGCCCGGCCCAAGTCTGATATCTTTTAATGTCCAATAAGAGAAATTTACCATCTATTCTCTGTGATGGCTGCTACCTGGAGGCTTAATCCACATGACAAGAACCTGGGCTTTCACAACCCCCTTATTTATATTTGAGCATTTATTTCTGCTGACCTCAAACTCTTCAGGCAAGGCTTAATTCTTTCAACCAATTGCCAACCAGGAATCTTTGACTCCACCTATGACCTGGAAGCCCCTGGCTTCCAAAAGTCCACCTTTCCAGGCCAAACAATGTGTATCTTCCATGTATTGACTTATGTCTTTGCCTGTAACTTCTATCTCCCTAAAACGTATAAAACCAAGCTGTAACACAGCCATCTTGTGCACATGTTCTCAGGACCTCCTGAGGCTGTGTCCAAAGCCCCTGGGCCTTAACCTTTTGGTAAAATAAACCTCTAAATTGATTGAGACCTGTCTCAGTTACTTTCTGGTTTTCACACTCAAAAAATGCCGTATCTTTATGATCTTAAGGTAAGTAAAAATATTTAAACAGGGCACACACATGAAACATATAAGACAAACTCGACAAACTGGTCTATATTAAAAATAAGAACTTCTGTTTATCGAAAGAGATCATTAGGAGAGTGCAAACAGCAAGCATGAGAGCAGAGTGTATACTCATTATACACATGGCAACAAAGGCCTCAGGGCCAGAATGTGTCAACCAGAAATAATAACATCCTCCCCATGTACCTCAAATTCCATGATGAATGTGGACAGATTTTGAAACCTACAAAATGCTTCATCAGTATAAGGAATGACATGCTTGGTCTTCTTGGTGGGTCACTGCAACAGTCCCAGATGGAGCCGAGGCAGTCTCTCCCTTTCGCATGGCAAAACCAGGGATCGCCACCCTCCCACCTATGCCCATTACCTACAAGATGCCACCCAGGGTCCTTGGCATGTCTTTTACAGACCTTCATCCTTTAGTCCTTGCTGTCATCTCTCCCCTTATCCTCACCATTGGCCCCATCCATGCTGAGCTCCAGCCCCCCTGAGTTGCTTTGCCCCGATTACACCACACTCATTAACATCCCTGGGCCTTCCGCAAGCTCTTTCCTCTTCCCAAGATACTCTTTCCTCCCTGCACTGGCAAGCCACCACACTCAGCTGAGGATTTCAGGGGTTCAACACCACAGCTGCTTTGTGGCCTGCTTTAGAGAACCATACAGACAGGGACTGTATACCAAACACGTCAGCCCCACTCCTTGGTCTTGGGAATGGATACAAAGAAAGCAGAGATGCCACCGAAAGAAAGGAAAAAAAAAATAAAAAAAGCCTGGCAGGGAAGTTCCAGATGATGTTGTGTGAGAGGGTGGTCTCTCAGAATAATCCCAGCAGACGCACATGCACTTCCTGCCTTTCCTATGAGACTTCCCTGTGAGACTGTGACACAGCCCCGAATCCTGGCTTTGGCAGCTGACAGACATGGGTCCAAGTCCAAGCTCTGCCAGTTACTAGATAAATGACCTTGAGCAAATTACTCCAGCTCCCTCAGTTTCCCCATCGATCACTTGGGGTAACAAAGCCAACCCTGCCACTACAGACATCAGACTAAGCCACTCTTGTGGTTTGAAGATGGTGAGGGGAATCTGTTGGATTCTAGTTGAGCACGCTGATGACTCATCAGTTCAAATATCACGTGGCTTTCCTATTTCCCGTGTCAGTTGCAGGGCCTCTAAAATGGCTGTGACTTCCATCATATGCCCCATTCGTGGCTGTCCCCAGGCACTGGAAACACCCTACCTTCATCTGCTGTGCCAGGCATGCCGGCCTCCCCCAGGCTTTTCAGAGACTCTGAAGATTTCCCAGGCATGAACACCTTGCACATCCCAGACACAGCCCATTGCTTGCAGCAGATGTAGCATCAAACACCCTTTGTGATTCTGAGGATCATAAAAAACATTACCCAAAAAGTTTCCTTTTAAATACCAATGGTTTTCTCTGCCATGCCACCCAGATTTCAACCGTATGCAGCTTCATGCTAAGAGCTTCACTGAAAGTAAATGAAAGGGACAGCTTTAGAGTTGGCTGAAGACTGTTTGTTTGAAGGGAGACTGTATAAGCTGGTATAATGTTTAATTCTGGATGTCTGGTGGAGAGATCTCTTAGTAGCTATGGGAAGAAAAAATAGATAGGTATTTAAGGGTTTTGAACTTGGGAACAGAGTGGAGATAAACGGGCAAATGTGCTTTGGATAAGTCCAAAGTGACATGTTTGAATACACACACACACACACACAAACACACACACACACACAAAGTTATACTGAAGATTATAGCTGAAGATTCCTAAACAAGTCTAAAGCAAGCCTTTCTTAAAGAAGTGTACAGTTGGGATATATAACTGCTATAACAAAACTCAAGATTTCAACAGCTTAACACAATAAAAAATGGTATCCCTCCTCAGATCACAGTGGTTGAGCCACTCTCCTGGACAGCCCTCCTCCATGTGATGACACAAGTGCCCAAGTTCCTTCTGTCTTGCAGTTCTGCCTTGCTTGGACCTTCCACATCTACCCCATGAACCCACTGGAAAGGGAAGGCAAATGAGAGTTTGGGAGGTTCCATATGCAGGGCCTACGGGAGCCCATGACACTTCTGCCCACATTTCACAGACCCCATCTCACGGCAGCAGTCAGACATGAGTCCCCTGTGTACCTGGGCTTGGTGAACACATAACCGTCTCCGTCACTAGAATCACTAGAAGCATTCAAGCTACCAAAAATATTTCCCTTATCATTTGATGTCTAACCTTCACTGACCTTTTAACAAACCTGTTGAACATCTGCCCTGGGCCAAGCATGTTAGGGCAGGAGACCAGAGAAACACATGTGCATGTGAGAAGGGGCGGCACAGGAGTTTGGGGCCCAGGCTCTGAAGTTGGAATCCACAGGCTCAAATTCTGCCTCCATCCCTTTTTAAGCAAAATAATACCATGGGCAATCAATCTAATCTCTCTGTGTCTCTATTTTCTCATGGGTTTAGTGGAGACAATAGTGTTTATATCACAGATGATGGTGAGAACCAAACAGGAAAATACAAACAGGGTGTAAGCCCTGCCCAGAACTCCACAGTCCTACCTCCTCCTCCTGAGACCAAGGGATCCCCGCAGGTGGTGAGGGGTTTGCATGTTTGTTTTACCTTTAAAGGTGGGGAAGAAAAGCTTCCTCCAGGATGCTGGGCTATCCTAGAGACAGCTGGGCCAGGCCCTCCTAAGGCCAGCATGCAAAGGCCACAGTGAGGGGCCCTGTGTAAGTCACATATATCCAACTGGTTACCAGTTACCAACCAGTTATTATACCCCCAATCCACAGGCTTAGAAGCCCTGCTACCATTACCTGGAGAAGACTGCCCTACCCTGCTCCTCTCCACATGGGTGTCAGCCAGGATGCCCTGGCCCTGCCTCTCCTACAGCTTCTCTCCCCATGCCAGAAGCAGGCAGCCTGTAAATGTTAAGGCTCATCTTAGGATAGAGCTGCCCAGGTGGGCAACCGGCAGGACAGGCTTTCCCCTCAAGGACGAAGACAGCCTGGGAGGAAGGAATGGCAGCCATTCTCCTGCCTGCCTGGCCCAGGAAGCCCTGTGGTAGGAACCCACATAGACAAACTGAGTTCTCCTGTGGTTTTTCTCTGTCCATCAGGGAAAATGCCATTTTAGTTATTGTTGTTATCCACGCTATTAGCATAGGAAAAGGATAACATTTTTAACAATAACAACCACATGTAAAGCACTTTATAATTTTCAAATGATTTATGCCAGCATAGCGGCTTCATTCCTTGAAGCAAGATGTAACAGGCTGGGAATTTATGCACCAGACATTTTAAGTTTCCTCAGCAGAGGTGTCAGTGACTTGCCCAGGGGCCCTGGACAGAACTGCAAATAAGGGCTGCTGACTCTTCTGACCAAGGGCGGAATCAGGGCCAGAAGGGATATTTGGCCTCAGTATGGACTACTTCATCAGACAAATTTTTTCTGGTCCTTATATCCTTTCCACTCTCAGCACAGCTGTCCCTCAAGATCACAGATAAAAGGCACTGTCAACGCACTATTAGACACCAGGGGAGAAGTCAGTGCAAGAAGGTCAGGAATGAGGCTCTGGGGTCAAAGTAAATCAGGCCAAAGGACAATAGACATTGAACCTACCACCCTACCCGCTTCCCATCCCAAACGGATAATGAGAAAGTTGAATTAGGATAACCCTGGGTTCCTGATTCCAGCCAAACCTCGATCCCTTAACTCAGCCAAGTGCTACACTGAGTGCCAGGGACAGGGGCATAAGAGGACTGGGGGAGGCCTCAGCCCTGCCCCCAGGGAACTTGCAGTCTAGCACCGACTTTCTATTCCTGTGTCTATCATCAACGTTCCTCCCCAAATTTCCACAAACATCCAATCAAAATGTGCTAAGCTGTAAAACCTTAAGTAGAAATTTGCTCCTAATAGAGTCTGGAAATTTTGATATTGCCCTCAGCGCAGTCAGGCAGGAAATAGGAGGCTACATGGAGATGGAAGGTGGCTTGTGCGAGTTAACTAAGGAGCCGACTTGGCGCTTCTGATTTTCTGCAGGGACAAAACATCAGGTATCAGGGACCTTTAGATACACATGAGAGAAACCCTACCCCAAGGTGGGCCTTGCTGCCTCCTACAACGGAGGAGCCTGGAGGCATGCCGGCTTCAGGCACAGTGGGATGGAAGAGCATGTGTGTGTTTCAGGGAAGCCTCCTCTGTCTCTCCTCCCCATTGGCTCCCCTCTGAAGCAGACCCTCCTCAGTGGTGGCAGCAACTCCAGGGCACCCAACCTGTGCTGTTCCAGCAAAGTAGAAAAAAAACAAGAGTTTCTCTCCTAGAATTCCCAGCAAAACCTGGTGGCATCTTATTGGTCATAACTGGGTCATGTGCTAACTCCAGAATCAATCAAGGAGGGCAAGGGAGTGGGATGTGAGGACTGCCTCACACCCACCAGCCAGGCTCCCACTTCCCAGAACCTGAGAAGGGGTCACATGATCCAGACACAAGGAACAGTGTGGTCTCCCAGGGACCTCAGAGGTGCCTGAGCAGAGGCCACATGTCAGATATGTGGTGCTTACCCAAGGGGCAGGGTCTTCACCCATTCTAATGTGTAATCCTCTGAGTGCAAGGACTCTCTGAAAGTCTTGGCACACATCCAAAACCTTTCAGGGTTGTTGTAAAGAACCATTACAGCTGCAGGCAGCAAAACCCCTGAAAGAGGGCACATGGCAGGTTGGCAGCTCCCCTCCTATTCCTCTCCAGAGCAGGAACCCCATTTCATCTTCCAATGGAAGAGAATGCTGCAGGACCCCCATCTCCCCCCACAGCCTTCCCTGCTTATCAAACACATCATACAGCCATCTCTAAAAAGTCCACAAAACCCAATACACATCCAAGAAAATAATAATTAGATATCTGAATGCTGGGCTGAGTCTAAATGAGTCACATAGGTCTTGTTTGCATCACACAAAATAAAGTTAACTGTCTCAAAATAGAGAGGAAGAAAAAAAAAAGTTTGTGACATCTTTTCTTCTGGCAGCAGCCAAATATGATGAGCAAGTAATAAAACAATTCCATTTAAATTGCACCTGCTCTCAACTCCCTCGCCCTCTGTGCAAAGCAGATTACATTGTCTTGTTTTTTTTTTCTAAATCAATGCCCTGACTATAATGATGTTATGGAGTATTAATTAATCCTGATGATCACTGGGAGCCTAATCCTTAAGGCTGCTGGAGTTGGACCATTTCCTCCTATCCTGAAGGCCAAGTCCTTGCAAGAAGTCAAAGCCCATTGAAAGGATTAAATCAATTGTTGAAGCAGTGAGATGGTGGGGTTCACCAATTTTCTTTTCATGGAGGAAGATTCTGGAGAGAGGTAGTGAAACAGATGAGTCCTGGCCAGAAGGCCCCCAATTGCTAAACGTTAGCATGCAACTTTCTTTGGAACTCAGAACAAACAATCTCTCTCAACAGTTCTCTGCAATATATCTCTGCACGGCCCTTCAGCAATATATCAAGTGATTTCTCAGTGTGTTTTAAAAATAATTGAATCCAGGCATATTTTCACTTCAGTCTCAAAGTCTCATGGTAATCTCAACACAAATGCCAGATCAAGTCTAACATGAATGATTGCTGAATCTATTTTTTGTCATTATTTAAAATAATATTTGACAGCACCTTGCTGGGTGAGGAAAGGCATACATAGATATTTGGCTACCTCTGGTAAGTACACATTAGATATACAGGTGCTCAATCATTTTGCTGGGAGTTTCAACTGGCATAATGCTTTTGACGGCCACTTGGCAAATGCCAGCATTTTAAAATGCATTAACCCTTTGACCTGGTACCTTTGTTTCAAGAAATTTATACCCCAGATATTCTTGTAGGTATGCAGAAAAATAGTCTATACAAGGATATTTACTGTAACATCAATGTCTGCAGAGGCAAAAGACAAAGCATCCTAAATACCCATTACTGGGGGAGGTGTTAAATAAATCATAGTGCATCTAAACAATAATATATTTTACAGACATTAGAAACAAACAGTCTGCTTTGTATGTATGGATTTAGAACAAATTCTAAGATGTGCAACTAAATAAAACAGCAGGGTAAATAACTGTGTATAGGATGCTATCATTTGTCATGGGGAAAAGAAGGTAACTCATATACATTTATGCTTGTCAATATAGAGACAGTCTCTGAAAAGATTCACTAGGAACTATTTACTTGTGAAATCTTTGTCTTCTGATGGAGAAAGTAAAGAGACCCGGGGACTTGATCCAGGAAGATTTGCTTTTCACTCTATACCCTCATGTGCAGTGTGAGCTACCTGTTGAAAAGCCTAATTTAAACAAAGTAAAACAAACATAAAAATTACTGTTTTATTGAAAAATATCAATACATGTTCACTATAGAGAAATAATAAAATAGAGATAAACAAAAGAAAAGAAAAATTGGCCAAAGAGAATCCTTTCATATCCTTCCAGGCATGATTCCAAAAATTCTGAAAATGGTTTCATACTCTTCCAAAACTATTTCTATGCACTTTTAAACAAAAAGGGGATTATACTGGTAATAACATGTTTACATTATAGTTTTATTAAGAGAATTAAACAAGTGAGTAAAGATATAAACATGCTATTATCTGCTCCACACTGTCCTAAGTGACATAAATATAAACATACATATTTATAAGTATAAATGTATAACAGTAATTGGCTTTGTAAATTTTTTTCGCTTAAAACATTGCAAACAACTTTTAATGTTAGTAAATATTCATCTAAAACATCATTTTTAAGCGAATAAACTTTATTTTTCAGAGGAGTTTCAGGTTTATAGGAAAATCAAGAGGAAAATACAGTCTTCATATACCCCCTGTCTCCACACACACAACCTCCTCACTATCAAAATTCCCCACCATAGGGGTGCATCTGTGTTAATTGATGGACCTACACTGACACATCATTATCACCTAAAGTCCATGTTTACATTAGGGTTTCTCTTGGTGGTGTACATTCTGTGGGTTTTGACAAAAGTATGATGACATGTATCCACCACTGTAGTATCACACAGAATAGTTACACTGCCCTAAAAATCCTGGGTTCGTCTATTCATTCTTCCCTCCCTCCTAACTCCTGGATATCACTGATCTTTTTACTGACTCCAGAGTTTTTTCTTTTTCAGAATATCATATAGTTAAGTGATGCAGTATGTTGCCTTTTCAGATTTGCCTTTTTCATTTAGTAATGTGCATTCTCTTAGTAATATTCACTTAGTAATATCCACGCCTTTTCATGGTCTGATAGCTCATTTCATTTTGGCACCGAATAATATTCCATTTTCTGAATGTACCACACAGTTTATTTGTCCATTCACCTACTGAAGGACATTCTTGATTGCTTCCATGTTTCAGCGATTATGAATAAAGCTGCTATAAACATCCATGTACAATTTTTTGTTTGAATGTAAGTTTCTATCTCCCTTGGGCAAATACCAAGCAGTATGATTGCTGAATTATAGGTTTTGTTTTATAAGAAACTGTCAATCTGTCTTCCAAAGTAGCTGTACACTTTGCATTCCAACCAGCAATGAATGAGAATTCTGGTTGTTCCATGTAATCACCAGAATTTGTTGATGTCAGTGTTTTCAATTTTGGCCCTCCTAACAGGTGGGCAGTGGTATCTCAATGTTTTAGCTTGAAATTCTCTAGTAACATATAATATTGAACATCTTTTTATATGATTACTTGCCATCTGTAAATATTACTGGGTGAGATGTCTATTCAGGTCATTTTCCTAGGTTTAAATTGGCTGTTACTTTTTTTATTATTGAATTTTAAGAGTTTTTTGTATATTTTGGATAAAAGTCCTTTATGAGATATGTCTTTTGATAATATTTTCTATCTATGGCTTGGCTTCTCATTCTCTTTACATTGTCTTCCATAGAGCAGAAGTTTTTAATTTTAATCAAGCTCAAGTTATCAATTATTTCTTTCATGGATCATACCTTCAGTGTCATATCTAAAAAGCCATCACCATACCCAAGCTTACCTAGATATTCTCCTATGTTATTTTCTATGAGTTTTATAATTTTGTGTTTTACATTTAGGTTTATAATCCATTTTAATTTTTGTGAAGGGTGTAAGCAGATAGTGTCCAGATTCATTTCTTTTGCATGTGGATGTATAATTGTTCCAGCACCAATTGTTGAAAAGACTATCTTGACTCCACTGTATTGTCTTTGCTTCGTCAAAGATCAATTGATTCTATTTATGTGGGTCTATTTCTGGGCTATTTTTTCTGTTGATCTACTTGTCTATTCTTTTACCAAACCATACTGTCTTAATTACTGTAGCTTTACACTAAGTCTTGAATCCAGAGAGATGGCCTCCATATTACTTTAAAATCAGTTTGTTGATATCCAGAGAATAACTTGTTGAGATTTTTATCCAAATTTCATTTAATCTATATATGAGTTGGGAAGAACTGACATCTTGACAATGTTGACTCTTTTCATTCATAAATATGGAATATCTCTCCATTTATTTAGCTCTTTGATATCTTTCATGAGTCTTGTAATTTTTCTTGTATAGATCTTATACATATTTTGTTGGATTTTTCCTAAGTATTTTCAATTTTCAGGGTACTAATGTAAATGGCACTGTGTTTTTAATTTCAAATTTTACTTGTTCATTGCTGGTATATAGAAATGCAATTGACTTTTGCATATTAACCTTGAATCCTGAAACCTTACTATAATTGCTTATTCCAAGAGTATTCTTGCCAAATCTTTTAGATTTTTCTACGGAGAGGATTATACTCTGCAAACAAAGACAGCTGTATTTTTTTTTCTTACCAATGTGTATTGTATACTTTTTGTGTTTTTTTTTCCTGTCTTATGTTTAGCTGCACTTTCAGTACAATGTTAAAAAAAAGGTGGTAACATTCTTTGCCTTGTTCCTGATCCTACAGGAAAAATTTTGAGTTTCTCACCACTAGGTGGGCTGTATTTCTTTTACTCGTTTAGTGGTTGTCCTAGAGTTTTCGATATACATTTACGACTACTCCAAGCCTACTTTCTGATAACTCTGTAGCACTTCACAAAGTGCAGGTGCTTTATAATAACAAAATATTCTTAATTCCTCCCTCTACCCCTTGATACACATTTTGTAGTTGTCTCACAGTTTTTAGACACTCTGTTCTGTTTTTTTTTTTTTTCCTCAGTCTTTTTTTTCTGTTTGCTTTTGAGTTTTGGCAGTTTCTACTGTTATATACTCAAACTCAAAGAATCTTTCCTCAGCTTATATTATCCATCTGTTCTTGCATGTTATGTACTTTTTCATTAATACCCTTAGCATATTACTTATGTACATATTTGTAAAGTTCCTGGGCTGATAATTCCAACACTCTTGCCATACCAGACTCTGATTCTGGTGCTTGCTCAGTTTCTTCAAACCGTGTTTTTGCCTTGTCGTATGCCCTGTAATTTTTGTTGCAAGGTGGACATGGTATACTTGGTACAGGAACTGAGGTGCACAGATGTTTAGTACTGCAATGGCAAGGTGTGTGGAGAGAAAAACATCCTGTGATAAAGTCAGCTTTTCACTTGTTATTAGAACAAAGTGGAGACTTCTGAGCTCCAACCTGCCAGACAATAAACCAGAAGTCTGAAAAGCAGCATTTTAAATTTACATACTATACTTTATCCCCTTCTTTTATGTGTAATGTAATTCTTTTTTCTTTTAAACAAATTTAAAGACCAACTAAAGATTTCAAGCTGACCTACTTGAATTTGCTTCACCTCTTATTTTCCGCTCTTGTTTTTCTTAGGTATAGCTGATTTGATTTTGCTTCTGAAGTCTGACTTTAGAGCTGGAGACTTAATTTGGATACTGGGCTAACAAGCTTTACAAAGGAGTTAGAGGATTCAGCTAGCAGCCATTGAAATTCAATATATCTTGTCTTTCTGAATTCCCATAAAATACTTTAATGTTCCATTGATTGCCAACTCAACTGTTTTAACCAGTACCTAGGACCTACTTGGCAGACAGTCAGTTTTGCAAGATATTATGCCATTTAATTGCATGATAATATTACATTCATGATGGTAATATAAATGAGGCAGTAAAAAGCAGTTGTGAATAATTAAATGTCAAGGACTAAGAAAATACATTGGATGACACTGAAGCATGGTATAACTTTAGAAAGACACCCTTCAATTTCGAACACAGGCAGGCAGCGTATTTAATGAGCAGAACCTATATTCTTGTTAAGTTTCACTGCTAGAACCAAACCTATTTTTTCATAAAGGTTCACCAGTCTTTAGATTCTGCTAAAACTCAGTTGGAGAATTTCTTTTCACAGCTTCTACTGTCTAAGGTTTCACAATATAAGAAATATAAAGTTTCTCCTCTTCTAAAGTTGGAAAGTTTTATATAAGAATTTTCTTGCGTCTCCATTTTCCTCCTCTACTGATCACAACTCCCTCCTGCTACCTCATGTCCTTTGGTTCCCGGGCAGGGGAATTCTTCAGAAAATAATCCTTCCAATCACTCTCTGTCCTTTTCCCCTCAGGTCTAGATAAGACAAGCCCCCTCAGGAAGCCAGGACAAAGACGTGGGAGAAAGGCAGGTAGAGTGGTCAAGAAATGTTCTTTTCAGGCAGGAATTGGGGTCCTCAGCCTATCTTGGCAGAGACTCCAGCAAGAAAAATATCTAATTCATTCATCCAATTAAGTGGCTCTTAAGCACCTGCATAGGTTAAGAGCTGGAACAGAAGTGGAAGGGCAAAGATAAATACCTTCCATCCGATTTAGCAGAGAGGAAAAGCAAGGATCCAGGGAGTGAGGCAATAAAAAGGAGGAATCTCTAATTGCCAGGACTCCTCTTTGAGCAGTCAGAGCCCTGTTTTTTGTGGGGATATGCTCTGATGTGCTGCTTGAGGTTGGTGTAGGAATGAGGGTGACTCTGAAGGATCACAAGACTGACTTCCAGTGGGGTCAGGGTGAGCAAGATGGAGGCAGAAGCTCAAGTGAGGATAACTGTAACCTCCAGTATAGAAGAGAGAGGAGTCAGCCAAGGTAGTGCCTGCTGGGAAAGAGAAGAGAGAAAAACAAGCCCACTCACCTCCAGGAGGCTGGCCTAGCAGGGATTCAGAGCACAGAGACCCAAGACATGGCTGCATTGGTAGGCCCTCCTATGTGACAACCCTCCTCTTAGTTTCCACAAAATATCTTTGTATGAGTGTTTTCTTTTAGGAAACCACAAAATAGAATTAGATATAAACTCAAACAACTGCAAGTTTTAGTCAACTTGGGTTGCTCTAACAAAATGCCACAGACTGGGTGGCTTATAAATAACAGGAATTTATTTTTCACAGTTCTGGGGGCTGGGAAGTTCAAGATCACGGCGCCAGCCGACCCAGTGTGTGGTGAGGGCTGCTTCCTGGTTGGCAGCTTCCTGTCTTCATTGTGCTCCCACATGGTAGAGAGCAGAAGGAGCAGCTCTCTGGCTTCTTCTCATAAGGGCACTCATCCCATGCATGGGGGCTTTGCCCTTGTGACCTAATTACTTCCCAGAGGCACCACCTCCAAATACCATCACACTGGGGGTTGGGATTTCAACGTATAAAGTTTGGGGGAAACATAAACATTCAGTCCGCAACACAATACAAAGAGAATCATAAGAGTCACGAGAAACAGGCAGATAAAGAGACAGGCTACAAGAATTCAGGGGGCAAAGTGGTCATTTCCAGATGGAAGTTAAAGACAGCCTTCACAGAAGTGGCATTGAAGAACAGAGGAGTTTCGAGGCTAGGCAAGGGGAGGGTGTCAGCACTAGGAAGGGAATGCCAGGCATGGGGAAGGGTGTCAGCAAAGGCATCGAGGTAGGAAAGTGCAGACCTGGGCAGGTACCAGCTAGGGGTCAGGTGGTTTTGCACCAGCTCCTTCTGCCCCTTCCCGCAATTTCTGTGGAACAAGGTAATGGTCTATTGGCTTTGCACAGCTAAGGCAGATTCTCAGGTTATTCAGATATATCCTCCAGAAGGAATGTAATTAGGGGACAGAAAGGCACTGGGTAACTTTAATCTTTCTAAAGAGCTGCCCGTCCCTCCCTGGAGCCAACAGCTCATTTTTATTCCTCAACTACTTGGCTCCCAGAACTGATTGCTGATTCCGGCTGTTTGGCAGAGGGCGATTGTGCATGTCCTGGGAGTGCTGGCCAGCTTCCATTTATTAATGGAGACTAAACTTACCCCTGTCTACCTCCTCTCCCACTTCACAGAGAAAAGTTTTCTCAGTCTCTGCCACACACGCCACTGCTTTCAGAGCCCAAGACAGGGCTGCACCTTAAGATGAATTGGATTCTCACTAAACCACCACACTCTGTGATCACCTGTGGAGATCTTTGTTGAGGAATCCTGGGTTCCTGCAGCAGCCAAAGAACCAGCACCGATACCTAAATGTGCATAGTCATTGACATGCTTCATTTTTTATCAAATGAGACTAGCGGGTCTCACACCTCTCCCACTTTCTCAGCAGCCTCTCCTCTTTCCTAATCCAGTGCCCTTCCACACTCTGCAGTGGCACCTACCCAGTTCCACTGATAGCCCCAGACGCAGCATACTTGAGAATAAAGAGCAGGCCTAAAAGAACTGCGATCTGGTCGCTGTTTCTTTCCTTGCTGTATGACCTTGGGTGGGGCAACTAACCTTTCCGAGCCTCCGTTAGTTCATCTGTAAAATGTAAATAGAATGCAAAGTTATTATTTCATACCTCCCTTACAAGAAGCTTTTTCAACCGTGACACTTTCAGCATTTGGGGCCAGATAATTCTTCATCATGCGTGGCTGTCCTGTGCATGGGCTATTTAGCAGCACTGCTGGCCAGCAGCACCCCCTGAATTGCAGCCATTAAAGATGTTCTCAGGCATTGCCAAATGTCCCCTAGGGGGTAAAGTCACCCCCAGTTGAGAACCACTGTCTTACAACCACCTTGTGAGCCAGGTAGAATAAAGGGTAGAACATGTCCAGGTTTGGCAGGACAGACATTTGGGAATCAAAGAGAATGCTCTGGCAGTGGTGACATCCTACCCCACATGGCCCAGGGAGGGGGGTTCTACTGATAAAAAGCAGATCCAGGAAAGAGATACATGTGAGAGATGACAAGGGTTTTGAAACCAGTTAAGATTTTCTTTAGCAGAAAAGACAAAGGTCTTTGTCTTTTCACCTAAGGGCAAACCCTCTTCATTACTGTGAATATTAACCTTCTTCCAAAGACTCTGTCAGTCGAGTCTCACCAGAGGAGTAGACATTTCTCTTATTAACAAGACCTTGGCCCTGTTTCCTGCAAAATAATAACTGTAGCACCATTTGCCTAAGGAAAGAAAAGATGGTCTTGCCTTGAAGGAGCTTCCCATAATAAACTATTGAAGCTAAAATTTCTACTAATACTATATTGTTGTGTTATAGTATAATTTCAAAAAGATAAAAATTTGACTTTTATGCAAATATATGATAAATATGTGTCAAAGATTTTACTTAACTCATTAAGAGGCAACCAGCAAGACATCAAAACTCTATCAAATGAGAATCTGAGGAAGAGGGTATTTTAGGCAACTTAAAAGAACATTAGGATGAGTGCTACATGAGATGCAAAACTAGGTAATGCTCTCAGGGCCAGTACCCATAACCATTGGGGTTATCTGTTCTTTATTTTTTTCTTAGGGACAGGGTCTCTCTCCATTAGCCAGGCTGCAGTGCAGTGGTGTCATCATAGTTTACTGCAGCCTCAAACTCCTGGGCTCAAGCGATCCTTCTGCCTCAGCCTCCCAAATAGCAGGCACACAACACCACACCCAGCTAATTTTTAATTGTTATTTTTGTAGAAATGAGCTCTCACCATCTTGCCCAGGCTGGTCTCTAACTCCTGGGCTCAAGTGATCCTCCTGCCTTGGCCTCCTAAAGTGCTGGGATTACAGGCGCGAGCCACTGTACCTGGCCAGGGTCATCCTTTCTACCATTTAGAAATTATTTGTATCTCAACCAGACCAAAATCTATAGGTTCACTTCTGCCCTGTGGAACTGTAAAGTAGCCCTGTCAGTAGAAAATCAATGAGAGGTGTCAATCCAGCACCCCCCAGAAAGAACGCCCAGCAATCCCTTATTTCTAAGTTTGGGCTAATTCTTCTAATAGTTACATGAATATTGAATGCTGCCCTCCCAGGCCCTGGGCGAATCACCTCTGCCTCTGCCTTCAATAATTAAAGTCTAGGAGAGCAACAGACACACAAAAGTTAATCACAATTATGTTGCCAGATAAAAATATACATTATCCCATCTGGAATTTTTACACATTCCTGGTGAAAATCTACGTTGGTACAACTCTTTAGCAGAACAAGATATATATATATATATATATATATATATATATGAATGACAGGGTCTTGCTCTGTTACCCAGGGTGGAGTGCAGTGGTGCAATCATAGCTCATTGCAGCCTCAAACTTAAATTTTTTCTGTAGAGATGGGGTCTTGCTATGTTGTGTAGGCTGGTTTTGAACTCCCGGGCTCAAGCAATCCTCCCACCTCAGTGTTCTAAACTGCTGGGATTACAGGCATGGGCCACCATGCTTGGCCATACTTCTTTTTTTTTAATAGTATTTTTTTGTAATGTTTAATTTTTGTGGCTACATAGTAGGTGTATATTTTTATGAGATACGTGAGATATTTTGATACAAGCATGCAGTGCATCACAATCCCATCAGGGTAAATGGGGTATCCATCTCCTCAGCATTTATCATTGCTTTGTGTTATAAACATTCCAATTACACTCTTCTAGTTATGTTTAAATATAAAACAAATTATTTTTGATTATAGTCCCCCTGTTGTGCTGTCAAATACTAGCTGCTATTCATTTTATCTGACCATATTTCTGTACCTATTAACCATCCTCACTTGCCCCGCCAAGTAATAATTATTAATGGAGGGCAGGGCCCTGGCCCTCACCTCATGAGCTGTGAAAACAACATAAGTCACTGTCAGAGTTGATGCAACAAGAAATGTAGAGGCTTAAATATATAAAAGTAGTCAAATATAAAAACTAAACATAATAATAGGAATAGCACACAGAAAGGAGGAGAGAGGTACTTAAAATGCCATCTGTTGATACACTGGGGTACCAAGACATGTCTAAGAAAATTATATTTTATGTTGTATTTTGGAGGTAACCTCCAGCAATCAGAATAGAAATGGCTAGAAAGGCTGTCTGCAGGGTGGGCTTGTGAATAGCAAGGAGGGGATGCCCTGGCTATAGCAGGACACACAGGAAGCATGCTCATGTTTGGCTGCAGGAGTGTGGGAGGCTCCAGTGAGCAGCTGCATCTCAGGTAAGGCCCAGAGACTGATGGGAGATTGCTAGTTTGTCAACTGGACAGTTGGAGGAAAAGCTTTCAAGGTAGAAGGAACAGAATGTGCAGCAGCCCAGAGCAAGAAAGAGTAAGATGTTCAAGGCTGGGAGATGGGGCCAGGCAGGTATGGGCTGGACCACAGAGGCCTTATGTGATGTACAACAAAGTGTACAAAGTGTAATTTTACCCTGTAGGCATGGGACACCAAACAAATGTAATTATTTTTGTTGTATATCTTATTTTGCAGGAATGGATATAACGTCAGGAAACTGAGACACAAGAATACCCAGTCTCATGGAGGAGACAGAGCAGAGATGTTTATATATCTTCTGTCCTCACTTGCCATTTCTCAGGACTTATCACCCTATATGCTAGATACTAGGACCACAATCTGAATAAAATACAGTCCTTGCTTCTCAGAGACTCACATTCTAGCAAAAAAATAATTTTTAACAGGAGAGTTAATAGCAGTACCAGTGATTTAAAACAAACAAACAAATAAACAGACAAATAAAAACACCACCAGGCAGTTCACAATGAGAAGCAGAATGAAGCAGCAAGAGCCCAAGACACAAGACATGGGTGGGACTGACAGCAGGCCCCTAGATGCAGGGTGGGCTTCCTGGAAGAGGAAGGCCTTGCAAGATAGTCAAATACAGTCTAGTGCAGACAGGACCAGGGCTTCCAAGCCAGAGGCATGGCATGGGCAATGGCATTGGTCTATAGGACTCAACTTCCATCCCTCATCCCCAATTTCTCCTTCCCGCTTTCCAGAGCTTCTATAACCAGGCTTGATGGGATGACATTGTAAGACTTAATGGAGGCTTCTTCCAGGCCTTCAACTTTCTTGAATTTTCTGTCTGGATCATGTCTACCCTGAGGGCAGTGCAAAGAGTCAGTTCCTGACCTCTGAGCTTCTAGAACACCTTTTTTGTTTCTAAAACAGAGATCTTTCAGAGAAACGGCTGCTTGAGAATCAAGAACTAAGGCAGCAGAACGAGCACAGGTCTGAGGAGCATATGCTTTCCAGATCCTCCTGCACAGAGACAGGTGGTTCGAAAATAATAAAATGAAACGGAAATTAGAAAGAAACACCTCTTGAGTGGAAGAAGGGCAGATATTTTATCTAGAATTAAAATAGGTAAGCTTTAGGGTGAGTGTCTGAGGGTAAAAAGAGCCAGAACCCTTCTTATTCTGAGATCAAAACCCTGGGTGAAGCCGGGCACAGGGGCTCATGCCTGTCATCACAGCCGATCTGGGAGGCTGAGGTGGGCAGATCACCTGAGGTGAAGAGTTCGAGACCAGTCTGGCCAACATGGTGAAACCTCATATCTACTAAAAAACAAAAATATTAGCTGGGTGTAGTGGTGGGTGCCTGTAATCCCAGCTACTTGGGAGGCTGAGGCAGGAGAATTGCTTGAATTACTCCCAGGAGGCAGAGGTTGCAGTGAGCTGAGATTGCGCCACTGCACTCCAGCCGGGGTGACAGAGTGAGACTCCGTCTCAAAACAAACAAACAAACAAACACCCTCCCCCCAAAAAAACCCTGGGTGATAAGGGAAGTCCATAGGACCCCCCAGAAGTTTAGGAAACCTGACAGCATAGGCGACCTGAGCTTCCACTTTTGGGGTTGCAGATGCCAGAGCCTGCAGGCCCCCCATAGAGGCTTCATGAAGCTGGCTGGGCAGAGGGGGCTGTCTAGGCAGGTACCCCTTGCTAAGGCCCCCTGGAGAAAGAGAGAGATGGGGAACAGGCCAGGGAAACTTGAGAAGTTCTGAAGTTATGGAGAGGACACAGAAGTTCTGTTGGGCGGACCCAACAGAAACCGAGGCCCATACAGGAGATGCCAGCCCAAGTGTCAGACCCACTCTCATCTCAGGTGACAGTGCCACTTGCTCGTTCCTGACCTCCCTCCCTTACTCCTGCCCCACCCTGCAGCCTGCACCATCCACACCTGAGCTGCTCACAGTGATTCCCTGGGGGAGCCACAGAATTCTAAACAAGTTGAGGGATCAGAAGGAAGGAAGTTTAAGCTTCAAGATTCCCTGAGTCTACCTCACTGGGTACAATTAAATTTTAGGTAAAATGTGAGGATGGAAAACGAATTCTGGTTATAAAGAAAATTCCTTTTTTTTTTTTTGCATGCCCAACTTCCAGGCCCATGAAATCTTCACCTGTTAGGTACGAAGGTCTCTTAAATTGTGCTTTCACAATTCAGCCTCCAGCCCGGGGCCAAAATCAATTGCACTTTGGAAACTCCTGGGGTGGCTTTTATAAGATAAACCAATGCCAGGACCCATTCCAGATCAATTAAGTCAAGATTTCTGGGAAAGGGGCTCAGGAAATGTGTACTTTTTAATTAAAAACTCCCCAGTTTATTATAATGAACTATCAAAATTGATAACCAGTCTCCAACCCCAAATCCAAAACCAATGCTCCGCTGAAGTCCGTAAACTGGGCAGGCTGCCCTGGAGGCCCACTGCCCAGTGCTGCTGTTTGCAGGATTTACGGCTCCATCCTCCAGGAGTCTCTGGAGCACAGGGTAGCTCTGGTGTCACTGCTCTCCCATTTACAGCTGTCCGTCATTGCTTCTCCGCCTTCCCAGGTGCAGCCGTGATCACAGCAGGGCCCTCACAACCTGCCCCTTCCTCTATGCAATGTCTCTCATGGAAGCTTTCAAATTCTTGTAGCATTCTGACCCCTGAATTTATTGTCTATTGATTGCATGGGATTCATTACTTTCTATTGACTGCTCATGCTGCTGGTATTGTGGATAAATGCTAATTCCTCAATAATTTATACCATATGTGGATCATCCAAGGCAAAAAACACTCTTTTTCTCCCTTTTATAGATTTTGTTCATTTCCTTCTGGGGAACATCATGATCCACATGAAATCCGGAAAATGAATATGTCAAATTATTTTGATTTGCAGCCAGGCTGACAATGCAGCCTCGGCTTCCCATTGACACCATTATTGGATGGTAACTCAAGGAAAATTGGGGCCTTTAAGGAGATGAGCCAAGAAGTGGGGTGCTGTCCCCAAGATAGGGGCATCAGGCAGGGTTGAGATAGCCTTGAGTCTCCCAGCAAGCCCCCAGCCCTCTAGGCAGTTTCTGTTCTCACCCCACAGGCCCAGCTTTCTCTGTGCTGGAAATTAGAAAGGCAGTGAACAGAAAAGTTTTCTTTGCCCTAATAATAAAGACCCCCCAAAACCTGTGTTCTCATGTCCAAAATCCTTTCCCACAAACCAAGCTTAAAGAATACCTTTTTTAAAAAAATGGTAATAAACAGAAAGTCACGGTTTAGAGTACAGGCTCCAAAAAAGTCTACCTGGGTCTAAATCCTGGCTTCTATGTGAGCTGGGACACATTACTTCACCTTTCCACCTTTATTTCCTCAACTTTAAGTCGAGGATGCTATGGAAACGAGAAATGACCCACCTTAGCACAGCTTACCTAGGAGATAGTGAACCTGAATTCTATCCTCCCCAGCTTGAGCTGCGGAAGGGCCATGAACTCTGAGCATCCTGGAGTTCTAGACTCTGTACTGCACTTGTCTACAGTTGCTCTCCTGGGCAATGCCCATGGATTTTGTTTAAACCAATGATGTTCAGACATATGGACTTATTCCATCTAATTCAGAGTGCTGGTTTCCAATCCCTAATCAACAGAACTGCCATGAACTATATGCCCTTCTCTCCCAGCATTTCAAAACCACAGCTTTTCCCTCTTAGCAAACTGCTTGGTAAATTTCTTCATTGGTTTGTATTTCCTTCCTAACTCCCAGAGTTCAGAAATCAAGCTGCTTTGTTTCTGGGTGGTCTTTGTTTTCATCATTGACAATAGCAGCAGTACTTCTGCAAAGGAGGTTGAAAGAATTAAAT
The DNA here is from genome assembly GCF_000001405.40 of Homo sapiens. Taxonomy (NCBI): domain Eukaryota; kingdom Metazoa; phylum Chordata; class Mammalia; order Primates; family Hominidae; genus Homo; species Homo sapiens. The sequence goes on from NC_000019.10 coordinate 28,571,276, forward strand.
AATGCATACGAAATGCTTAGCACAGTACCTGAAATAAGGTAGGGCTCCTCTCAGTGTTACTCATGAGCCTGGCATAAAGTAGTGTCTCATGTCTCAACAAATATTTATTGAATAAATAAAAATAGTCGTCTTTCTTTCTTTCTTTCTCTTTCTTTCTTTCTTTCTTTCTTTCTTTCTTTCTTTCTTTCTTTCTTTCTTTCCTTTCTTTCTCTCTCTCTCTCTCTCTCTCTGTCTCTCCTTCTCTCTTTCTCTCTTTCTCTCTTTCTTTCTTTCTTTCTTTTCTCTTTCTTTTTTTGAGACAGAGTTTCGCTCTTGTCTCCCAGGCTGGAGTGCAACGGCATGATCTTGGCTCACTGAAACCTCTGCCTCCTGGGTTCAAGTGATTCTCCTGCCTCAGCCTAGGAGTAGCTAGTATTACCGGCGTGCATCACCATGCCTGGCTAATTTTTGTATTTCTAGTACAGACAGGGTTTCATTATGTTGGCCAGGCTGGTCTGGCACTCCTGACCTCAGGTGATCCACCTGCTTCGGCCTCCCAAAGTGCTGGGATTACAGGCGTGAGCCACCGTGCCTGGCCTTTGTTTTTTTTCTTTTTTGAGACAGGGTCTTGCTCTGTGACCCAGACTAAAGTGCAGTGGTGCAACCATGGCTCACTGCAGTCTTGACCTCCCGTGCTTAAGCAATTCTCCCACCTCAGCTTCCTGAGCAGCTGGAACTACAGGCACACATCACCACACCTGGCTAAATTTTCAATTAATTAATTTAGTTTTCGTAGAGATTGGATCTCACAAGGTTGCTGAAGTTTATCTCAAATTCCTGAGCTCAAGCAATAGTCCAGCCTCAGCTTCCCAAAGTGCTGGGATTACAGGAGAGAGCCACTGTGCCTGGATAATGAAGGTAGTCTTTTATGCATTTCACATCCATTATCTCATTCGAATCTCCTCCAAAACTTAATGAAACAGGTTATATAGATAAGAAAAATGGAGGCTCAGAGGCCGAAGTGGCTTGCCCATAATTGCATATGTAACTGGGGTTGATTTAGAACTCAAGTGTGCACCCCAAGCTCCAGATGTAAGGTGCTCTCTCCTTCACAGAGCACTATGACTTCAGGTGGGGGCAAGTATGGGAGCAAGATCACGGTGCTCACATGGCACTTCCACACTCTGCTTTCCCTCCATCCCTTCCCTTCCTTTCCTTTTCCTCTCATCTGTCAAAATCTCCCTTATCTACCTTCCCCTCTCCCATTTTCCCTCTGATACCAGTTTCACCATGGGGAAAATGGGGGACTGGACAGATAATTTCCAAAGGGACCATCACCCTCTTTGACAGGACATAAGTTCTTGAGGTGTGGGTGGCTGATACCCAGGTGCCTTTCCTGGAAGCAGACAAAGTAGGTGACCTGGGAACACAAAAGACCCTGAATCCTCAAAGGTGATGCTAGAAGGTGCATTGGGCTGAGGAAAAAGAAAAGAGAGACTGAGGGCAAGAAAGAGGAAAGCTAAGCAGCAGGAGGTGCAGAGGTTAAGAGCAAGGGCTTTAGACCAGACAACACAGGTTCAAAACCCAGCCCTGCCACTTATTTGCAGTGTGACCTTGAACAAGTCACTAAACCTCTCTGTGCCTTAAGGTTTTTATTGGTAAAATGGAAATGATGATGATAACAGTACCCAGCTCATAAGGCTATCGTGGAGGTAAAAGGAGGTCATACAGGTAAAGGACAGAATAGTGTCTGGCACTCAACTGACGTCTATTTTTATTATTTCAAGTTTGCTCATGGCAGTGCTTTCCTGTCAATGATGCAATTCACTGCTTTTATCTGCAAAAAGAAAAGACTGCCAGGCATGCCCACACATTCAAGCCCCCAAGAATCCAACCCTTGACCATCTCTCCAGCTTCCATATCTTCACCTTATACAGCCCCCTCTCTGCTTCCTCGAGCCCTCAAACCTGGCTCTTGTTCTCTCTGGAGCTCAAGCCAGTTCCCCGATGTTAGTTCCTGTCTCCCTTCAGGTCTCAACTTCTCAGACAGGCTTTGCCTGACTCCCATAGCACCTTGACTCCCATGGCATCAGACTAAATGGCATCTTCCTGCATGAAAATGCAAACTCCAGAAGGACAGACAACCTGCGAGGCATGGTAACCTATGCAATAGTTTGGGGCTGAGTTGTTTTTGTATGTTTCTTCTTAAGGAACACACATTGACATGCTTGCACACCCATAGGGCATGTCTGAAGGATGCACAAGGACCGGAAGCAGAAACTGCACTAGGAATCACCTACTTTTCACCATAAGCCCTAGGTGCCATTTAAATTACATGTCATGGAGAATTAGTACTTAATCAAAGCAAATCCACAAATCCACATTAAAAAAAATTAAATTTGGAAGGCCAGGGTTGGTGGCTCATGCCTGTAATCCCAGCACTTTGGGAGGCCGAGGCGGGAGGATCACCTGAGGTCAGGAATTCAAGACCAGCCTGGCCAACATGGTGAAATCCCATCTCTACTAAACATACAAATATTAGTCGGGCGTGGTGGTGGGCACCTGTAATCCCAGCTACTGGGGAGGCTGAGGCAGGAGAATCACTTGAACCCAGGAGGGGGAGTTTGGAGTATGCCAATATTGCACCATTGCACTCCAGCCTGGGTGACAGAGCAAGACTCCATGTCGAAATAAAATAAAATAAAATAAAATAAAATAAAATAAAATAAAATAAAACAAAACAAAGTAAAATTTGGAAACTATGATCCTTCAAACAGGATAACAGTGGCAAAGGAATTTTTACACAATTGGTCAATAAAGAACAGAACAAAGAGACCAGAAAAAGACGTAGCAAGAGTTGCCTTGGTGTTCACACTGCAGCAGTCACCCAGATCCTTGCAAGCAGGCTGTTCCCAACTTCCTGACAACTAGCATTGCTCAGGCGATGCTTCTGTGCCTAACCTGCAGCAGCCACGGGACACACTAGTACACACTTGGCCAGGCACAAAATGGCCTCAAAGTCTCCAACCACAACACTAGAACCTTAAGACAAAGCAGTGTTGATACAGTTTCAGTCTGCATCCCCACTCAAACCTCATATTGAGTTGTAATCTCTAGTGTTGGAGGTGGAGGCTGGTGGGAGGTGATTGGATCTTGGGGGTGGTAGCTAGTGGTTTAGCACCATTCCCCTACTGCTGTCTCATGATAGAGTTCTCATGAAATCTGGTTGTCCAAAGCATGTGGAACCTTCCCCTTCGCTCTCTCCCTTCCTCCTGCTCCTTCCATGTAAGACGGGCCGGCTTCCCCTTTGCCTTTCACCTTGACTGTAAGTCTCCTGAGGCCTCCTCAGCCATGCTTCCTATACAGCATGCATAACTATGAGCCAATTAAATACCTTTTTTTTTAAATAAATTACCCAGTCCCCGGTCGTTCTTTATGGCAGTGTGAGAATAAACTAATATATATCTTTAAAATTCCAAAAGACAATTCTAGAATTCTATATACAACCAACCTATCAAACAAATATTAGGGTAGACTTAAGATTCTTTCAGAAATTAAATGCCTCCAAATATGCACAAATGAGACACGCCTCCTGAGCAAGCTAGCAGAGCTTGTGCTCCCCAGAATGAGGGGGTAATCTATGAAAAGGTAAGACATAAGGTTCAGGAAACATAGAATCTAGCAAAGGAGACAGGTGAAAGAAATTTTAGACGCCCGTCTTTTGTCTTAGCTTAGAGTCCCCCAAAGCAGACTCTGAGACAAGAACTCATGGGCAGGCAGTTAAATTTAGAGGCAATCCCAAGAATCTCAATGAAGGCATGCGGACGTAAGATGAGCAAGCAAGAACGGCCAGTGAGTGGCTGACAGTGCACAGGTTCCCACTGTGGGGAGTGAGTGGGTGACAGTGAACAGGTTCCCACTGTGGTGAATGAGTGGGTGACAGTGAACAGGTTCCTACTGTGGGGAGTGAGTGGGTGACAGTGAACAGGTTCTCACTGTGGTGAGGGGGTGACAGTGAACAGGTTCCCACTGTGGGGAGTGAGCGGGTGACAGTGAACAGGTTCCCACTGTGGTGAATGAGTGGGTGACAGTGAACAGGTTCCCACTGTGGTGAATGAGTGGGTGACAGTGAACAGGTTCTCACTGTGGTGAGTGGGTGACAGTGAACAGGTTCCCACTGTGGGGAGTGAGTGGGTGACAGTGAACAGGTTCTCACTGTGGTGAATGAGTGGGTGACAGTGAACAGGTTCTCACTGTGGTGAGTGGGTGACAATGAACAGGTTCCCACTGTGGTGAGTGGGTGACAGTGAACAGGTTCCCACTGTGGGGAGTGAGTGGGTGACAGTGAACAGGTTCCCACTGTGGTGAGTGGGTGACAGTGAACAGGTTCCCACTGTGGGGAGTGAGTGGGTGACAGTGAACAGGTTCCCACTGTGGTGAATGAGTGGATGACAGTGAACAGGTTCCCACTGTGTTGAGTGGGTGACAGTGAACAGGTTCCCACTGTGATGAATGAGTGGGTGACAGTGAACAGGTTCTCACTGTGGTGAGGGGGTGACAGTGAACAGGTTTCCACTGTGGGGAGTGAGTGGGTGACAGTGAACAGGTTCCCACTGTGGTGAGTGGGTGACAGTGAACATGTTCCCACTGTGGTGAATGAGTGGGTGACAGTGAACAGGTTCTCACTCTGGTGAATGAATGGTTGACAGTGAACAGGTTATAACTGTGATGAATGAGTGGGTGACAGTGAACAGATTACCACTGTGGTGACTGGCTAAGTCCTGCTGGGAACCTGCTATATGAGGCCATTTCTGCATTGCTATAAAGCAATACCTGAAGCTGGGTCATTTATAAGGTGAGAGGTTTATTTGGCTCATGGTTCTGCAGTCTGTGCTGGAAACATGGTGCCAGGATTTGCTTCTGGTGAGGCCCCAGGAAGCTTCCACTCATGGTGGAAAGCAAAAGGGGAGCAGGTGTCCCACCTGGTGGGAGTGGAATCATGAGGGTGGGGAGGTGTCACACACTTTTAAACAGCGAGATCTCATGAGCACTCACTCATTATTGCGAGGAGGGCACCAAGAGGATGGTGCTAAACCATTCATGAGAAATCCATCCCCATGATCCAATCACCTCCCACCAGGCCTCACCTCCAATACTGGGGGTTACATTTCAACATGAGATCTGGGGGAACAAATACTCAAACTACTGAACATTTAAGAACTCCGTAGAACACACTTCAGAATTATCCTGACAAGGTACCAAGGGCCAAGGAATCTGGATTCAAACCCTCACAATATGTCTGGGGGCTATCGCCACCCATTCCCATCCTTTATTGACTGAGGATTACTCTCTTAACCTCCCAGCCTTTTTGGGCTGAGCCCCATGGGCCACAGGCCATAAGCATTAATGGCAGAAAAAGTGCTCTGACAGACACAAGTGTTCAAGATAGGATGGCATCAGTAAGCATGGAAACTGCTGGTGGCCTCTGGTGTGTGCCAAGGGGATATGGGTGGTGCACTGGCAGCATCTGCTGCATCTGATAAAATGCAAGCTCCTGAGGATGGGCCTACACTACTCCAGCATCCAGCACAATGCAGTCACTTAGTCCTGGGTGGATGCTTGGATGGATGGATGGATGGATGGATGGATGGACAGTTGGATGGATGGACGGATGGATGGATGGATGGATGGATGGACAAATAAGCAAAAGAACATAGTTGAAAATAGGATGAACAGTAGGTGCCTGGGAAAGAAGGAAGTTGAAAATGGAGTTTGACCTTCAGGCACACCAAACTAATTGTCTTTATAATTTTGAGACAATTTTGCTAAACACGTGCCGCCCCACCCCACCCCTCACACACAGCTTCAAAGGTGATGGGGACACTAAGCCCCAAGCCATGCCACAAGCTTCACTCACTGTTGGCCTCTGTCCACTCACTTTAAGGCCATATTTTGGTTAGAAACTTTCTGTGGCAATGCTTGCATAAATCATATTAAATATATTCTTTGCTCAATGGTACTGTGCACCAGGGTAGCTAGCTGTGCCAAGACAGCTGCTAAATTAGAATGCTCTTAAATCAGCCGCAGATGCCTAAATGTTTATAGCTTTGAAGTTCCCCCAGCCATGACTCCTCCTTCTCCTCCCACCAGCCTGATCTTTATGATGCTTTTTAAAGCCAGCTGCAGGGTAAGCAATGTTTGAAACTCAGCACAGGGACAGAGGGCAGCTGTGCACATGTGGGGTCAACCACAACCCCAAGGTGAGTCCAGCCCCGGCCTGTGAAGGATGGCAGGAAAATGAGGGAAAGGATTCTTTCTCACAGCAGAGTCATGGAGAGTCACAGCAGAATAGGCCCCAGGGGATATCCAGGTCTAGAATTCTCCAGCTTTTTCTCACCCAAGGCCCTGAGCTCAAACACAACCTTAAGTAGAAAACATAAACAAATGTACCAACAGGGTGGAATGAAAAGTGATTTTGTTTATTTTCAAAAAAAGCGCCAGCAGCTTCTCAGGCTGGGTGGAAGAATGTCACCTTAGAGCAGGTCTCTCTGAGAAGTGTCATGTGAGCGGCCCCCTCTGGCATGCAGTGGAAGGTGGGGGCACCAGCAAAAGTGGGATAGGACATTTGGTGGCATCGTGCCCCCGGAGCGGAAGGGGAGGAGTGGGGGAGGAGGACACATTTGCAAAGGAGCCAAGGAACCTCCAGGAAGGAAAAGCATCAAGACCAACTCTTCCTTCTGGAGCTCTGACATGACGAGAAACTCTGGGGGGTTTGGATGGTCCTCACTGAGCCTCAGGGCCCCAGAAGAGAACCGCAAATGAGCTGAGTCCAGATTAGCGGTGGGGTGGGAGGATCAGTTCTAGGACATCAGGAAAAGAAGGCCACCTGGGCCCAGTGTTTTCTCTCTGAGAGGAGGAAGCATGGCAGTGACTGACAGGAGACTCCTGCTGCCGCCTTAGACTCTAAATGATGCTGGGTTAGGCCATCGGGAAGCACTGGGCTTCCCTGCCAGGCTAGACAGGTAAATGCTCAGAAATGAAGAGGAAAGAACTGCACCTGCACCTCAGGCTGATGGGTTACGCTAAACAGATGCAAGAGACCAGGTGGGATGGCTCACGCCTGCAATCCCAGCACTTTGGGAGGTTGAAGTGGGAGGATCGCTTGAGGCCAGGAGTTTAAGAGCAGCCGGGACAACATAGCAAGACCCCATATCTACAAATTTTTTTTTTTAAAAAGAGATGGGTGTGAGGGCAGGCACCTGTAGTCCCAGCTATTCAGAAGACTAAGGTTGGACGACTGCTCGAACCCAAGGCTGAGACTGCAGTGAAGTGTAATCGTGCCCCACTACACCCCTGCCTGGGCAACAAAGACAGAACCCAGCTCTAAAAACAAATAGCAAGCAAACAAACAAACAAACAAAAAACCCAACAGAGGCGAGGCTGAGTGTAGAAGAAGCAGACTTTGCCAAGTTAGCTTTAAGTTGGAACCCGAAGTCTAAAGGCAGAGGTTGCTCACTGGCACTGGTCATGTCACTGTTAGATGCCCACAAAGTATAGACACTTGGAAGAAAATAGGTTTTACTACTGGAGACCCTCCCCATGCACGTGGTGGAATGCATAAGGGTTCCAGTTCTTCCCCTTTCCTGTGTCCACATTTTTGCATCAAATCTGCCTAGGGGCAAAAGGAAATTCCCTGATGTTGGATGCAGTCACATGACTTGTTCTGGCCAATGAGACACTGGCAAGCATGGCCCACATGCTACACTTGTATGGTGCGGCTTCTCAGCCTGTGCCTCTACCATCACCTGGGAAGGGAGAGACTTAGAGAAGAGCTGCCCTGCCAGAACTCAGTGCCAGCCACGTGAACTGCAGGAACCAGTGGCTGGGGTTTCGAGCCAGTGGCTTTTGGGTTGCTTTGCTATGTAGCATTTCTGTGGCAATAGCTAATACAAAAATTCAAGAAGAAATGGGCAGACCAGTCGGCACTCCAGGGAGCACTGTCGCCTCTCTCAGCTGAAACAATGGGCTGTCCTGGAGCAGCTGGCAGCCCTCTCCTGAGGGCAGAACCATTAGGATGGTGTCTCCCAGGCCCTGCCCTTAACCCTGCTCCTCATCTCTGCCCCCTCTCCCCCAACCCCAGCCCCAGAATCCCTGTGGGCCACACCATCTGTGCACCCTCTTCTGGATATTGATCCATCCCCAAGGTCCCTGTTATTCCAGAGACTAGGCTGGAATTGCAGCTGCTTCCTCAGGGTATTCTAGCAGAAGATAATGGAAAAAACCCAACTTGATTCTCTAGGATATGGGTGTTATTAATGTTCTCCTGAAAGCAGAACTGAGCTGAGGACTTGGGTATAGTTGGTTTCTTTAGAATTTGATCCCAGGAAGCTGGAATAAGAAGTGCAGAGGGTGAGGAAGGAAAGGGAGAGAAGCTACGGTGGGTCTGCTGGGTTCGTTGCCACTGTGGGAAACTGAGGCTCCATCCTGCCGGGGACTGTCTGGGGAGCTGTAGAGAAAACACCTCAGACTCATCCCTCTAAGATATGGGAGGCTGGGGCATTTACCCACAGGTCCTATCCCCATGGAGAGCTGCTGTCCCTGGTATATCAATTACCTCCCACCAACCACAGCCATTCCCACCCTGCACCTGCCCTTGAGGGCTGAGTAAGTACACAGTTTGGAGAAATCCCTGAGAACCACTGAGAGCCTGGATGGCCTGAGGTGAGAAGCTTGCAGCCTGCAAATGAAGGCAGAGACAGGGCAGGAGGCAGCATGGGCACCAACTGGGGCTGCTACACTGAGGGCCCATAAGACAAGTATGTTAACTTTGCACTGTGATCTTGCTAGACCTTCACAGCAAACCCTGTCTTACGGGTAAAGAAACAGGCTCCAAGCAGTGAGTGACTTCACCAAGGCCAGCTAGCAAGTGATGACTTTTGTCCCCAAAGCCCTGGCAGCCAGATTCTGAATCCATTGTTCTTACCCTTGGCCTCAGGGCTTTCCCATTAACTAATTAATTTACTCAACAAATATTAATTATGATGTAGACACTGTGGTAGGTGATATGGAGGATTGCCGAGTACAGTTGTACAATTTGTGCACTGTGAAAAAATACCATATCTAGGTCACACCACAACAGCATAAAATGCTGTATTTATTATTCTAATTTTCTAGCAGATGGTAATAATGTGCCTTGTTCTAAAAAAAGTGTACTAAAACAATGTTCCAGTAGATATATGAAGAGTCCTGAGGAAGGGCCCTTGTCCACTTTGCAGAAAGGCACCATCTGGGCTCCTGGCAGCCCTGTGATCAGGGGAGTACAGTGTAAGAGTGAAACAGACACAGTTCCTGCTCTCATCAAAACTGTGGATTAGCCAGAGAGCCCCATGTCCGACTAAACATGCCGCAATTTGTATTTATGCATATATTTATATATACCGTGGATGAAAAGAACCTAGTAGTCTTTGCTCAGAAAGCCTTTCCTGGCCTATCTCCCTGGAAGAAAGAAGAATGAGAAGAAACTACTCAGGCAAAAAGTGAGAGAGAGTGTTTCATCAGGAAGAGGGAACAGCAGGGGTTCAGGCAGGAGGGAGCTAGATATGTCTAGGGAGCTTTTGGAAGGAGCCAGGAAAGGAGTGAGTTCAAGCGGGGGCGAGGGAAGAGGCAGACAGGGCAGGACACGCAGGGCCCTTAGAACAAGGTACGTGACTGAGGGCATGGGAAGCCACAGGAGGGTTAGAAGCAGCCTCATGGCACTAGCATCTGTACCACCATTTTTTTTTTTTTTTTGAGACAGGGTCTCATTCTGTCGCCCAGATTGGAGTGCAGTGGCACGATCTTGGCTCACCGCAACCTCCGCCTCCCAGGCTCAAGTGATTCTCCTGCCTCAGCTTCCTGAGTAGCTGGCACTACAGGTGGGCGCCAACACGCCCAGCTAATTTTTGTATTTTTAGTAGAGACGGGGTTTCACCATGTTGGCCAGGTTGGTGTTGAACTCCTGACCTCAAATGATCCAAAGTGCTGGGATTACAAGCGTCAGTCACCACACCTGGCCATGCACCAGCTTTTTTTCAAAGCAGCCTGACCTGCTAATTTGCAGGATAAGAGGGAAGCTGAAACAAGGCAAATTAGCAAATAGAAGAGACTTTTTTTTTCCCCTGGGGTAAGAAAGGGCCCTGTTCTTGAGTTCCATGCATTCCACCAGCTCTGTGGAGAGTCAGCAGTGGTGGGCAAAGTAGCAGGCGTGACAGGTAAGCAGTCAGTCTGGGAGAAAATTGGAGGGAAAGCGGCGGTGGTGTTGACTATTGTGTATGGGAGAAGAGATAGAGAAAGCTAACTAGGTGATGGGAGATCTCACCAACTGCAATTTCAGCTGTCCACAGCACCCTGAAGGCTGCAAAACCACTGAATTATGCCGAGAAACTGAAGGAAGGAGACCACAGGGGGTTCACACCCTCAGGTGATGAATCTACTTCTAGCCCTGAATTTTTTTGTTTTCTAACTGCTATTCAGAGTGGAGTCTGGAAAACTCCCATTTGCAATACTGAGATGCACCGCACACCCAAATAATACCTGGAGCAGGCACAGAGCAAGAGCTGAGTTGTTAGTGCCCAGCTCCCCTCACCTCACTTGGTCTCAGAAGAACTCTGGGAGGTGGCGATTCTCTACCAACGATGGAACTGAGGCGTGGGGGTAGGGTCATTTTCTAGGATGACACAGCCAGTGAGTGTTCCAGTTGGGATCTGTGTCAGTCCAGCAGGTAAGCTCTTGGGTAAACACTATATGACCCCCCGCCCTCACCACCCCCAGGCCTCCCCCTTAGTCTTCTCCGAATTCCAGCTTAAGTCATTCCTATTGTCTTCTACTGGAGCTTTTTCATCTCATCGCAGGTACATAAAATCGCCTTCCCTCTTCTGTCACAATTTGCCCTCCTCTCTTGGATTCAAAGGTCTCCCCTAGGAAACCTTCCCTGATCCTGTGTGATGGGGCTGTCCGCATAGTTCCACATGTGACTGTGTGTACACGCATGTGCATCTGAAGTAACATGCCCATTTTTCATGAACTGAGACTCAAGGAAGTCAAATGCAAAACAAGTGGCTGGCATGGTGGCTCGCACATGTGATCCCAGCACTTTGGGAGGCTGAGGGGAGCGGATCACTTGAGGCCAGGAGTTCTAGATTAGACTGGCCAACATGGCAAAAACCCTCTCTACTTAAAACACAAAAGATTGGCTGGGCCATGGTCGTGCGCATCTGTAGCCCTAGCTATTTGGGTGGCTGAGATACAAAAATCACTTGAACCCGGGAGGCAGAGGTTGCAATGAACTGAGATCCTGCCACCGCACTCCAGCCTGGGCAACACAGCAAGACACTGACTCCAACAAAACAAAACAAAATAAAACAAAAAAACCAAGTAAGAATCCACAAAGAAACATCCATGAAATTAAAAACAAAATGCAATTCTCATTGAGATGGAGTGTTTCTAAGACAGTAGGACCTTATGTCTTGTGGAAAAAAAAAGACTCAGGACCCCAATGCATTCTGCCATAAGGAAAAAATTAAGGTGAAAGCTGAGACAGGCAATAAGTTGCCTCTGCATTTGTTCCTGAGCAGAGCTACAGAAAAAAGGTTAAAGATGAGCTTTTCTTATGTAAACTGCTGATTTACTGAGCGAGAGAGGACTTGTGACTGACTACTCCCTGCACTACTCCTCCTTTTCCCTTGCCACATGTAGATTCAGTAACGTGACCATGCTCTTCCTTTTGGCTCTCCAGCCTGCTCTTCCCCTTTAAATAGTGAAGCCCTCAGGGTTATCTTTGGAGAAGGCACAGAGCACAGACTGTTTTTGGGATTCTGTATTCCTTTCTTCCAGGCATGTCCTTAACCTTGGCAAAATAAACTTCTAAATTGATTGAGAACTGCCTCAGATACTTTTGTTTGTCTGCCCTCCACTCTCCCACCGTATGGACATTTGAGAAATCAATCCCAATGAAATAAATACAGGCTGCTGTAATTGTGGCAGTTCATTAGGAATATAGAATTTTTTTAAGGCTTCAAGGCCAAATACCTGCTGATATAGTCAATAGCAAATACTAATAACTGCATGCAGAGAACAGCAGTGACAGACCAGGCAACTGCGATATACATGAAGGCATATTCCTCATGAATATTCAAGGCCTTCTTCTAGGAAGAATTAGGCACATGGTTGCCTGACTGGGTAAACAGGTGATCAGCGTTTGCAGCAGATCCGATGTAAAAATATGGCAGCTGATGTCAGCATTGAGGCCATATGCCAGAAAACAGTATGGGGAAGTCTTCCTGGTAAAAAAGCACCTCTGAAGATCAAAATGGCCCCCTAAGTGACAGCCCTGAGCAGTCATTTTGATATTTGTCCATAACAAAGTGGGGAATGTCAACCAAATGGCCTGAAGGTAATGGCAAACAGGCATAAAGGACGCAGCTTCCAGGCCTGGCAGGAGCCAGGAGGCCCAGGTCTGAGTCTTGCTTCTGTCAAAACCCTTTTCATCTCCTGCCCTCCTTCTAAGGCCACTGCCACCTCTGATGTTCCATGATTCATGCGTGGAGGAAATGCACACTCCTCTTCCGTAATGCTAATGCGGCTTCTGGCTGTGTGGACCGTGCACCAGATGTTGTGCTAAGCGCTTCACAGTGGAGCACACTGCTCTGACCTCGGGCTCCAGCTCGGTGTGGAAGATGCGGTTCCACTCTCTTATTTGATCTTCACATCAAGAAACAAGTCTATTATTCAAATTAACATTCAAGATGCTTATAGTAAAATGGAATGGCATAAACTCTGCAAGGATAAACAGCCATCTCCTTGCTCTCTTGGAGCAATTCAACGGGCCTCACAGGGGAAGAGGCCACCAGCTGCTTACTGACTTTGCTTGGCTCAGCACCATGTGCACAGGTATTGCCCTATAGCACTGCACAAACAAAGCCTGTATGCTATACTGGTGGTGACTGAAGGGATTTTTCGAGGCCTGATTTAGCAACCGGCATTATACCACTAGGCCTGGCATTTCATTCCAGGTCGGGGTCTGCAAACACCTTCAGGGGCAGTTAAGGCATGACTGGCTAATCCACCTGGAGGGTCACAGCTATGACTGCCTCACCTTTTCTAAACAGGCCAACAGTGGTGTGTATGAGGACAACACTCCCCCAAAGCTGTACCCTTACACACACACACACACACACACACACACACACACACACTTATACACACACGCACACAGTAATACACACACTCATACACACATGCACACACAAGCTCATATGGTACATACCTTGAGAGAAACTGTTCTTGACAAATCACTACTACCTCCTACCATCAATGAACTTGAGTCCTCACAACTAGGAGGAATGGAACCCCAGCCCACTGGGAAAGGTAGAAACTGAATATTAGAGCAGCAAGTAATTTGGAATAATCTTATGACTCATTAAACCTTCAAAACTTAAAGAGATGTTTATTTTACACTCCACCTAAAATTCAGCAGTTAGCACACCTTCCATCCCCTTCCTCGTGGGCAGGACAGCACAGCTAATCAGCACTCGGCTCTTGCCTCTGGGTGAACTAAATCTGTCTTCAGTCACAACGGACCTAAGCTTAATGAGTTCCATCTGGTCTTCGTGGAAAGCCACCTGCACCACACAAAAAGGCAGGGAAGTTTCCCTGGGAAGGCATTGGGACCTGAGGCTGGGGGGACCTCTGGGGCTGGCACCAACCCTCAGGTGGCCTTGATCTGGAGGAGACAGCACTGTCTCAGGGCTTGTAGGGGCACCACGTGGGCTCCTGACCATGCCATCCCTCACGTGAGCTCCATTCTGTTCCATTAGAAGCCTCTCTAGATGCCCAGCTCTCCAGTAGCCATCTTGACTTTCCCCTCTCCTCAGCTCCTAGACTGGTAGCCCATTGGAGAATTAGCTTGTGTTTCTAGCTGGTGCCAGGAAGATATCTGGGTCACCTTTGGGGGAAGTGATTGCAGGGTGGTGCAGGATATTCCTGGGGGGACTCGTTGCAAGGGTACTGCCTGAGGAAGCATCTCTGCTCCTTTGCAGACCACCTTAGGTGCAGCCAGGCGCCACCCTAGAGGAGAGAAGCATTATCATAGTTTCATTGGAAGAAGAAGTTTCCAGTGACGTTGGTTGCCCCTTATCCCACATCAGTCCTTTTGTGTCTGGAAGGCTTGGACCCATTGCAGGAACATGCTCTCCTATATATGGAGGGTGTGGAATGCCCAAGGGGCTTTGGGAGTGGTCCATGGTGGACCTGGGACTGGGTAGTGGGTGGGGAACAAGGTTCTGAGGTAACTGAAGCCCAGACCTCTAGGCAGAGAGGCTGCTCAGGGGAACGGCTGTGGGCATGATGAGACCCATCACTATCTCATGTTCTCAGCCTCCATCACCGCTGTCAACCCTGTCCCCAGCTCCAGACTGCTTCTCTGTTTCCAACACTCAGCTCCCTCCATAACCTCCTGTTAACTTATGCCTCAGTCTCTCTCTAAAACTCAGAGTACTCTCCCTAAAACATCTTTCCCTTTAGCACTGCCAGGCTGGAAACTTCAGGGGCTGCTCACTGATGCCCAGACGAACTCCACATGCCTTGGTCCTCTGCAATCCAGGTGCCCTCTGCTCCCACCGCCCTGCCAGTGCCTCTGCCCTGCCCCTTCCTATGCAGAACTTGTCACAGCCCAGCCCTGGGCCCACCACCTCCATGAAGCCTTCCTGGCCTCACCACTCCAGCCTACACCACTTCTCCCTCCCTAGGGCCTGTCCCCTGCACCCTTCCCTTGTTCCTGCCTCTTGATAACACTTCCGGGAGCATGTCATTATCACATGTCTTTGATTCTAAGACTCACATTTTTTTACACGTCAACCTCTCTGAAACAGGGATGCAGCAGTAAAAAGGAGGCCCACCATGACTAGCTCCATGTATGCCAAGCTCACTCTGGGACAAATTTTGTTTCTGGTTTAAAGCAAGGATGACCACAGCAGGGGTCAGTGATGTCTCCTGGCCTGAAGCAGCTTTAGGCTGCAACTCTCCTAAATGGCTCTGAGGGGGACCCTGCACAAGCCACCAGCCCCTCAAAGGGACAGCAGGGAGACATTGATGTGTCTCCTCTTCTCATCCTCTATTGTTTCTGGAGACAAAAGAAGCCCTTGAAATATTTATTGGAGTAATAAAATGTCATTTAATTCCTTGAGCCTAAGGAAGAGTGGATGAAGACCTGTTCCCAGGGGTTGTCCCTGAGCCTCCCCCCGGGACATGCCAAAGCTGCCTCAGATAAATTCTCTTAAAAGTGGAAAATGTCTCTGCCTGAGGCTGCAGAGTGATCGCTAATGGAAGAGGCCTCACCTGCTTCCTGTCACCACCAAAAGGTTCGTGATTTTGACAGCTCAGCCCTGGGGAGGAGCTGGATTCAGGCCGGGCTGCCAGTCCCTCGCATGCTAGATGTGCTCAGATGTGTCCCTGGCGATTAGTGTCACAGCAGGCAGGGGCATGAGTGTCTCCAGGAAAGGGCCCTTCCCCCTGCATGTATCAGGAGAAGTAGGACTGGACGCCAGATACAGCAAAACAAGCCAAGAAGCCAGGCCTGGGAGCACCATGGCCGTTAGATGCGGGCTCTTCCAGCTGGACAGACCGGCAGTTCTGGATCTTAACTTCAGGCGAGTGAGGCTTAGGGGAGCAGGCTGGCTCCAGGTCATGCAGGAGCAGGGCCACTGGCCCTTTACCCTGTGGGGTTAGGAAAGCTCAATATTGGAAACGGGGCCCAGAGGAGACAGCATCCAGGGGCTGTTCATGGAGACCACAAATCCGGCCTCGGGTAACAACACCCTCTCTGCGAAGAACAGAACCCACCTACCCAGGAGCCCTACAGCCAATTCCAATAGCAAATAGAAACCAGCATCATCAGAAAGGGCCAAAGGGTGAGGAAACAGCCACTTTCACTTGAGGTAGTCAGGAAGGCTTCAAGGAGGATTTTCAGTGCACAGAGTACAGGATGAGGAGAGTGAGTTTTCCAGGAGGAGCACGTGGCAAGAGCCAGGGCCCCATGATACGATGTCCCCAGCCCTGTGATATGATGTCCCCAGGGGTCCCCACCAGCCCAGCAGCCACTGGGGAAATATCTGCAGGTGCATCAGGGCCTTGGGGAGGCAGCAAGGTGGGAAAGATCAAATGGAGACCATGCTTGTTTGGCACCCACAGCCCATCTCAAAGTCCTTGCTGGAATGCTTCCCAAGACACCCATCAGTCTTCCAGAAAGTTCTCCCTCATGTCTATCAGCAAAAATCTTACACTTTGTCCTCATAGGTTTTCAGGGGCCTGAGGCCACTTTCTAGAATAAAAACTGAATAGATGCAAAACACAGTGGTGTATTTATTTTATGTTCACCTTTTATAAGTATTTTCAAATACATGTAAGTATCAGAGTATAATGAACCCTTTTATACCCATTACTCAATGTCAATAATTACCAACATTTTGACAGCCCTGTTTCATCTGTTATTCCCACCTCCATCGCCTTGAGGTATATTTAAAATTCAGCAAATAAAGACAGTTTTTAAGACCAAAAATAGGAAAAAAATGATCTATATAGCTGATGCTTACATGCTAGTTACAGAATTTGTAAAAATGGGTATGCATTCATGGTGTGCCTGAGGCAGTGCACGCCGAGAATGGAACGTCAATCTGAGCTGCTGGGTAAACATCTTCTTACTCTCCATCAGAGCATCCGTGAAACTGCCGCAGAGAGATGTGCATCATCTGAGTGTGGAGCCCTGCAGGGATGGGACCCTCATGGCTGGGACAGACCCTGCCCCAGCCAGCCCCCAAGTGCAGCCAGGACCACAGCTGGGGTGGGAGGACAGGGGCTGAAAGGGAAGTGGCAGTGCTTGTGACATTAGAACCCTCCTGGGCTGTCACTGAAAAACTCCTCCTTCCAGCTCTCCCTGCCCCTGCCAGCTCACTTGCATGGTACAGAACTTGGCTATTAGAGTCAACGCACCAATCGAGCCTTTCATCCAGTGGCCTGCAGACACTGGCATGGCAACAGAAGAAAAAACTGTGAAAGTCTCATTCGACTTGTCTTCCTTCTGTTTTGAAGGGAAAAAGAAAATGTGTCCTGGCAGTCATCATTACTGACTTGGTGAAATATCGTCTTTAATCTTAAGATCTGAACAACCCCTGTAGGTGGGCATTTTTGTTTTCTGTCTTCCCACAAGCAATTAGAAGTTTCTGCTAAGATAGTTAATTCCCTTTTTATTTTCACTCAAATACTCTTAACAGAATCATGCAGACTCCACATTGTCTAATTAGAGAGCATTTACAATGGTATCATGAGATTATAAAACAAATGTGTGATGAAATGTGTGTGAAAATCAGAGCACGGTGAGGCCTCAGAGTGGTGTGTGTATAGACAGTGCCAGCTTAGATGCGTATTTCCAAGGGGTCGTTGCCACCTAGCCCCTCCTGGAAGAAGCCAATGCAAAAGAAAGCTAACCCCCAAAATGTAGGGGGTTAGTGGTCCTGAGGACCCTGGAGCCAGGGAGAACAATGGCTTCCGTCTCATTACATCTTGGCCCTTCCTGCACATCCCATGCAACCCAAAAAGTTACCAAGACAGGTCTCAGTAAATTCAGAGGTTTATTTTGCCAAGGTTGAGGACGCACCTGGGAAGAAGAAACACAAGTCCCAGTAGGATTTGTGACCTGTGCTTTTTCAGGATGGTTTTGAGGACTTCAATATTTAAAGGGGAAAGAGCGATAGAAGAGAGGGAGGGATGAAAAAAGGGGGGAGGGTAGGCAGTGAGGCCAGTGGTTGTGTGCTCATGAGGCTTTGCTTAGTGCTCAGTGAATCTACATTTTACATGTGAAAAGATGGGTAGAGAAACAGTCAATTATCCACATTTTACATAAGATAAAGTAAGCATGTAGGCCGTGCCTCACACCTGTAATCCCAGCGCTTTGGGAAGCCAAGGAGGGAGAGTCTCCTGGGGGCAGAGGATCACTTGATGTCAGGAGTTTGAGACCAGCTGGGGCAACATAGTGAGACTCCAACTCTATTTATTTAAAAAAAATCATTAATAAATAATTTTAAACATTTAAAAATAATAGGAAGAGAAAGTAAGCATGTGAAATTACAGCTGTCTGCCTGGGAACATAAAAAAGAAGGCAGAATAGGTGACTCAGCTCCCAAGCTTAACTTGTCCTTTGGCATAGTGAATTTGGAGTCCCCAAAATCTACTTTCTTTCACATCCACATACCCCTTCCTGAAGACCCAGCCCCAGGCTCAGACACACCCGCTGGGACCCTGATCGTGGAGTAAGCACATGTGCCCCTGGACTCCCAGCCTGCCTGGCGCCGCCTGCCTCTCCATCCTCCTTTCCTGCTGCTCTTGTCTCGCTTATGCTCTAGGTTTGCACTGCACTGGGCCCATCTCTCTCCCTTTCAACAGCCAAGCCCTCTCCCATGGAGGGGGAGCTCCAGATCTTCAGGACACACTCCCCTGTTTTGGGGCTGACTTCTTGTCTTTCTGTATTTGGCTGAAATGTTGCCTCCTCAGACAGGCCACCTGTCAGCTTTTGTCATTCTCTGCCCCATTCTGAGTTACCTCCACAGCGCTCCCCATCATCTCTGTTTTCTCTGCTTTCACACATTCTGTATTCCACACTAAAATGGAGGCTGTGTGGAGAAGGGACCATGCTCATCTTACTCAGGCTTTGAGCCCTAGCACCGGGAAACCACAGGGCCCGGTACACAGGAGACACAAGGTGAAAACATGAAATGAACGAGCAAATGAATGAAAGCACAAACAGAGTGGAGGCCCCTTTGGGAGACTGCCACAGCCCCACAGGGGAGCACGCTGCAGGTGGGAAAGCCCCTTTGGGAGACTGCCACAGCCCCGCAGGGGAGCACGCTGCAGGTGGGAAAGCCCCTTTGGGAGACTGCCACAGCCCCGCAGGGGAGCACGCTGCAGGTGGCAAAGCCCCTTTGGGAGACTGCCACAGCCCCGCAGGGGAGCACGCTGCAGGTGGGAAAGGCTGCCCAACACTTGATGTGATCCTGTCTGGCGCTAGAATTAGTGAATAAAATTCAATTCAATTCAGAAAACCTTTACTGAGGCTTATTGGGGCCTGGGTGGTTAGAACTTGTGCAAGCTGTTATGGATCCAAGATCTCCTCTACGTAGGAACTGGAGCTTCGTAAGGCCCCTGACCAAGCCACAGAGAAGATTCTATCTTGGCTCTCTCCCTCCCCTTGGCTATTCTTTCTCTGATTCTTTTACAGCAGTTTCTCAACCTTGGCAGGATTGAGGCTTGGGGCCAGATAATTCTTTGTGGTGGGGTCTGTTGCACTGTACCTTGTAGGATGGTCACCAGCATCTGTGGTCTCCACTCACTAAATGGCAATAGCACTCCCATCTCCAGTGGTGACAACCAAAGATGTCTCCAACTATTGCCAAATATCCCCTGGGGCAAAACTCTCTTGAGAACCTCTGCATTACAGACTTTTCAACTCCTGATTTCTAAACATCAGAATGAACAAGACTCATGCAGATGGGTTTTAAAACCTTGAAATTGGATGAGATTCACCGGGCAGTGAGCGTAGACAAAGAAGAGTGTGAGGAGAGGTGACTCCTGTATACATATCTCCATTCTGGGCCTCTTCCCTTGTCACAACCAAACTGAGGCCCACTTGCCTGATGTGGTGCCCACAGCGAGGTTTTTGCCGTGATAGAAAAAAAGGTGCTTACTTGCAGGGTGCCAGGTGAAGACAACCAGGCAGCTATTGCTCAAATCCTGGCCTCCCTGACGGCTTGCAGGCGAGGGTTTTTAAAGGCAGGGTAAATTTCAGGAAAGAAGCTACAGGCAAAATAAAAAATCAAATACACCATGGAGGTTTTACATTGGTTAAAGCTTAAAAAGGTAATGTACCTTGAAGTAGGGGGCTTATAGGTTGTAGGTAGAGTCAAAGATTTTCTGATTTTGTAATTGGCTAAGGAAGAGAAGCTTTGTTGACAAATTTTGGGTTACTGGAAACATGTTAACTGGCTAAGAGTGATTTTCTTTAAGCCCCCCAGGAACAAACAAAGCAATGAAGCTTAGTTCTCACTTCCCCCTTGTGTGCATCTGGACTCGTTAGGTGGGGTCGGCACCTCTGAAGGACAACTCAGGGATACAGGTTAAGGAGCAGCCTTTAGTTTCTATAGTGAAACCAAACATCTCTGGAGCTTTAACTTCCTGGGCTACCGTTTTAGGCTACGATATACTTTTATTTTAACAAGTTGCTTATTTACTCCTGGGGCTTCTTTCACATCCACATACCCCTTCCTGAAGACCCAGCCCCAGGCTAGGTGTCTGAAATTTCTCTTGAAATAACTCAGGATTTTCCTTTATTTCCATGCTTAGGGTCTGCAGGCCCCTAAAAGAAGGGGTCCCTGCTTCATCTCACCCTGAACTCCAAGATCACATATCCGACATCCAAGCTGGCATCCCCACTTGATTTGCATCTCAAGCTCAGCGCTCCCACTGCTGAGCTCCTAATCCTCCTCTGCTCTCCTCGCCATCTCTCCTGGTCTCAGTCAACAGCAACTTCATCCCCAACTGCTCAGGCCAAGAGCCCTGTGGTCACACTTGACTCCTCTTTCTACTCTCAACACAACTATCCCATCACCAAGTAACCCATGGGCTCTGGCTGCAAAACTTCATTTATTCCCCCCAGAGTTGCCACCCTGGGTCAGGCCCAGTGATGGCTCATCAATGTCATTTCACGGCCACCTAACAGGTTCCCAGACTTTGAAGTGGCTGGGTCTCCAGGCGGCAGCTGCAAGGGAACTCCTAAAACACAGAGGAAACCATGCCACTCCCGCCTGTCAACCCTCTATCAGCTTCCCTTTACACCTACAAGGACATGCACACTCCTGGCCAGGGCCCGGAGGCCCTGTGTGATCTTCACCCTGCCTGCTGCCTGACACACTGGCCCTGTGCTCTCCCACTTTGCTCCTCAGTGTCCAGTACCTGCTGCTCCTCCTGCCAGGCTCCATCCTTCCAAAGATAGCCAGGTGCTTGCTCTCTTCCTTCCAGTGTCTGCTCAAATGGCAGCTCATCAGGAAGGCCTTCCCTGGCTACGTTACATAAAAAGCAACTTGCTGGGCTCCCTCACCCCCAGCTGACTTAACCAGCCTAACTGTTCACCATCGGACTATCCTGAACTCACTGGTGTATGTGTGATGCCTCTTGCAATAGGATGTGAGCTCCATGAGGGCAGGGACTGTATTGTGTTCACTCCCGTATCTCCAGCACTTGGAAAACAGTAGGCACTCGGTCAGGATTTGTTGATGAGATGGTCTTTTGCTTTACATACCTTGACGGAATACAACCTTCACAAGGCACTGGTCAACACCATTACAATGCCTCCAGCCTGTCTCAGAGACTCACCCACAGTTATGCTATCCTCTCCAATACCATATGAATTCTGTCTCCACCTGTCCAGGAGGGGCTTCTGGGGAATATTGTCTAGAATCTGATCTGTTTTTTTGATATTCTTGATTGATAATACTGCTAATTAATTCTGGATATGTCCAATTATTCCAGATTTTCCAGTACTCACCATAACTTATACCCAACATTATGCCTTGAAGATTCCAAATTTCCCCAATTTTATATGTCATACAGGGGAGACGGGGTTGTTTGAGGCACAGCCATAAATCACTATCGATAAGGAAATGCAAGATGAGTAGAACAAGTGTTTTTAAACTCTCGTTAGGCTCCATGGTCAGGCAGGACTAGGCGGTGTTGCATGCAACTAACAAACATCCCTTAGCACAGGGGTGCTTTGGTCTCCTATACTCATATCCAAAACCCACCCACATGTTGACTTCACTGCTGGAATCTGTAAAAGGTTGGTTCGTATCTCTGTAAGATACTGATGGCCAGGTGGCCAGCACAGGTGGGATGGCCCTAACCTGCCCACCTTTGTGGCCATAGTTGCTTGTTATTATATCAAGTTCCAATGGACAGATTTAACCCATAAAGGTTGACCAAAGGCAAGCAGGTCATGAGGTGCAAAATATGTTAAATACAAGTCTTTCCAGTGTTTCAGGGCTTTAAGGAGATGGTTAATTCAACAGAATATCAGTCAGCAGAAAATCAGTCCTTTCCTTTCAGGGAGAGTCACAAAAGGATACTGTAATGGATGACCTGGAAGGCCCATGGGAGAAACTATGGCCATAGCCTCCCAACTCTTCAGAGAATTTGGAAAGGAATTTTAAAAAGGAATAGCACATGAGTCAAAGTCATCTCCTTAGGGACTGGTCTATAATGTCCCTAATGATGGTTGGTTTCTTTAGAGTTCACCTTTCAAGAAACCTTTCCCCCACCACTATCACCATCACCACCAGTAAAAGGGGTTCACCTGCACATCCCCAACTTGCAATCCACAGAATGCACCTACCACCCCTTGACAGTGAAGCCTCTTCACCTTACTTGAAGAAGGATTCTCCTTTTGTAGAAGCCCCGCTATTAACCTCTCACATAAGGAACCCAGAGACTGTTCAAAACAGGGGTTGGCAAACTACAGCCCATGCATCAAACCCAAGGCTCTGCCTGTTTCCATGCATAAGTTCTACTGGATCACAGCCACACCCATTCTTCTACCCACTGCCCATGGCTGCTTCCTGCTAGGACAGCAAAGACCTGGGGCCCACACCATCTAAGACACTTACTACCCGATCCTTTATGAAAAAAATGTACCAATCCTTGTCTTAGAGCAGTCAGCCAAATCAACAGACACAAGAATGCCATTGTAAAAACACACAGCCACGCAGGACTGCTGTCCTGTCACCCACTTCCACAGTTAGCACACAGAGGAGAGTAGGCAAAGAAGTTTTGCCCATCAGCATTGTGGCAGATGCTGTGTGCCCCACAGCGTCCCCTGACTCCCACCTCTAGAATTGAAAGTTGCTTTCTGCAAACACCCTAGACTCTGCCTGAAATTTTTTTCTGGCCAAACGAGGCAAGCTGAAAGCTGCCCCACAAGGCTGATCTTCATCATAGATACATGGGTAGTTGGTGGATAAATACCTTAGCTCCTTCACTCTTCAGTTGGGCTAACACAGGTACCTCCAAAAAAATTCCTTTTTTGTTTAAACTAATTCAAACTGGCTTTGTAGCCCTTGTAATTTAAGAGTCCCAACTAATCTCAGTGAGCTTTTCCACAGCATCTTCTCCAGGAATTGATCAGGGACCAAGATGCCCAACACAGAGTCACTGGGCGCTCAGGGCTCTGCTGGGACAGAAACCCCAGGTAGGCCCGTTGAGCACCATGACAGTCAATACGCCTTGGCTCAAGAGAACAATGCTGGCCTCCCTACTCCCACCATTCAACCAGAGGCTCACACTTGATGGCAAGTCTCTGTGGCTTCTGGGGCTACGATGAGAAATGACTTCTGTCCTCCAGGAGCCTGCATGACCTGCCTCTGCCTCTCTCCATGCTTGAGGCTGCCCCAGCCTCCCCACTCATAACTCTGCAGACTCACTGCCTTTCTTCCATTTCTTTCACCAGGCCAGGACTTTGCTCTCCTGGGGGACTTTGCAGTTGCTCTTCCTTCTGCCTGGAACATAGTCCCTAAGATTTTTAAATTGCTGGCTCATTATGGTCATTCAGTACTCAGCAAAAATGTCACTTCCTCAGAAAGGTCTTCCTTGACTACCCTGTCTAAAGTGGGGCTGTCACTCCTGCCCCCACACTCTAACACATCACTCTGTTTTACCTTCCAATTAGCACTTGCTACTGTGAGTTCATCCTGCTTATATGTGTGCTTATATTATCGGCCTCTAACACAGCTCATGCTCCCGAAGAGCAGGGACTTGTCTCTTATTTACTACTGTTGCCCCCAGCACCAAGAGAGCACATTATAGGTGCTACATCAATGTGTGTTGGGTAGATGAGTGAGTAAATGAGTGGATAGAAGGAAAGAGGGAGGAAGAAAGGAAGGAAAAAAGAAAGGAAGGGAGGGAGGGAGGAAGGGAGAATAGAAATAAGATTGATTCCTCTCCAGAACTGCCCAGATCTTACAGCTTGGGGCTGGGTTGGTCACCACTTGAGCCAGAAATGTTTTCCCATAAAATACGTATCAATGAGAAATGTATTAAGCTGCAAAAGTCAACTACAATAGCTAAAATATATGAGATTCTTTTTCTTTTTTTTTCTTTTTGAGACAGAGTTTTGCTCTTTTTGCCCAGGCTGGAGTGCAATGGTGTGATCTCAGCTCCCTGCAACCTCTGCCTCCCAGATTCAAGCAATTCTCCTGCCTCAGCCTCCCGAGTCGCTGGGATTACAGCTGCCTGCCACCACATCCGGCTAATTTTGTATTTTTAGTAGAGATGGGTTTCACCATGTTGGCCAGGCTGGTCTCGACTCCTGACCTCAGATGATCCATCCACCGCAGCCTCCCAAAGTGCTGGGATTACAGGCTTGGGTCACCGTGCCCAGCCTATTTTTCTTACATAATAAGTGTCATGTTAGGCAGTTGCTAGCATCAGTTTAGCTGTTTAATGGTGTCATCAGAGACCCAAGCTCCTTTCCACTTCATTATCTTTAGTGTGGTGGCTCTCCCAGATGTGTCTTGCCTCATGGTCACAGGATGGCTGCTGCAGCTCAAACATCACATTTACACACAAGCAGAAAGAAGAGGAAGAGGTGATGACAGCTTTACCTATCTAATTCCTTTCAGGAAAGCAAAAGCTTTTGCTGAAACCTTCCACCAACCACATTATATCACATTAGAACCAGATCCCATGACATAGCTACAAGGAATTCTGGGAAACTGACTATATATCCCTTTCAGCCCCGATAGCAGAGAAGCAGGTGAGAAACAGGGGGTTGGAAACAGGTGTTCTGTTGAACCAAATTCTAGTTTGTCACTGAGCATATCCCCAGCAGCCATGACAACTGAAAGAGGGAGGACAGGAAACATCCAGTACTGACCAAGGAGGGTTAACAAGGCCACCAGAGAGAAATGTTTCTCACACCGATTCCAGCCACATCGACAACTTACAATGCAGTGAGAGTGTGCTGAACACAATGATTTGGGAAAACACACCCCAGGAGTACTGAAACCAAGTTGTTCTTATTTCAGTAATCTGTGGGCTTCATAATTAAATGAGATGAAATAATAATGGTGGGAAAATGTGTCAGTTTTTTTTTTTTTTTTTTTTAGAAAGGCTAAATAACTCACTACATTTAGTTAGGAAGTTGTTACAAGCTGTTAATTATTTTCAGACTAGGTAAAAGAAACAAACCTGGGAGATGTGTCTGGTGTGTTAACACATATTATTTACCCCGAGGTGACATTTTAATAGCAGGGAAAACACGGGCGGTCTCCCAGCCCTGTGCACATTTTGCCACAAGCCGCTGTGAGCGCATAAATCCTAGCTCTGTCAACAGTAATGAGGCCCAGAGAGCAGGCACCTGCTGGGGCCCTGAAATTTTTTCTGAGGAAAATGTACATAATTAAGGAATTGTGAGCACTCACCTCTGATTTATTATTAAAACAACACACCTAGGGCCACATTTGCTCCCTGACTCGTCGGTGCTAAACAGACAAGTGATTAAACATCAGCCTCACAGGGGGTCCCCCACACTCTCCCTGCAAGCTTTCCACATCCGGGCCCCTGTTCCCAGAGAAGGAAAAGAAGGTGCGTAGCAGCACGGCAGTGAGGGTGGGAAGTGCGTGCTGGGAGGCCTCTGCTGGCCCAGCTCTCAGAAGAGCAGGGCTCACGGTTAACAACACTGACTGAGATGGGCCACACTGGATTCAGAGTCCATCTCTACCATCTAATTCCTGTGTGCTGTTCTACTTCCGAATCTCAGTTTCCTCACTGGTAAAATAGAGTGGACAATGGCTCCTGCTTTATAAGGTTGCAGTAAGGATTAGATATAGCCCTGGGCAGAGTTTCCAGCAAACAGTCATTGCTCCTGGTCACAGGATGGCTGCCAAAACAGCTAACATATCCACATTCAAGGCAGGAAGGGCGAGAAGTGGGTGACACTAGCCGTATCTGTGCTATTAAATCTACCCAACCCCTTGCCAACAGCAGTAGGAACTGCTATGAGCTTTTCTGTGCTCCCTAAGGCCTAGGCAGTTTCTTCATGGTTTCTTCTATATCCTCCACCTATGAAGATTCTGTTCCTAAACCCACTGTCTCCTGCAGGAAGCCATCCCTGACCAAATGGGAGCTCGGTACTATGTCAACCTCAGTGAGAGCTACCACAGTGTATCTTCAAATCACAGTCTCTGTGGACACATAGTGGGAGGAGATGGCAAGCACCCACCAGGGGGGCCTTTCCCCAGTACTTTGTTATGATGCCTAATAGATGCCATGAAAAGACACCAGAGCGCCAGTGTAAAAGCAAGCCCACGTGCCAGGTGGAGGAGGTCATCATGGACTGCTCTATCGCCAGAGCCAGCTCCCCACGAAGGAAGGAGGGTGCCCCACCCTGCCCGACACTGAAGCCAGGCTGCTCCTCACAGTGTGTGGCTGGCAAGTGGGAGCTGGGGAGATTGGCAATGCATCAGAAAGAGTCTAGACGAGGGCACTGCTTCTGACAGAAATCGCTCCCAGGATGCTCTAGACAAGGGCACTGCTTCTGATGGGAATGGTTCCCTGGATGTTCACCTGGGTAAGGGCTCACAAAGGCTTCTCCATCTCTACCTGGGGCTCAGGGTTGGTGTGAGACAGAGAAAAACGCATGAGGCCTGATCCTCAGGGTATTGCTCCGTGGTAGCTGCGTGGCTCATCTCACACTGGGTAGCCCAGGAGGTGAGTGCTCTCTGAGCTGGCAGGACACAAAGGTGGCCCTTCAAAGGCTGGGAAGTGAGGGAGGGCTGCTAGGGACAGGAGGGACTGGAGGGACAGTGATTCCAAAAGGCAGGAGGAGGGCTAGGGAACGGAGGTAAACATGGGCAGGCTGGGTCCATAACACTGGATTTCCTCAACTCTAAGACATCAATTTGGGGATGATCTTTCAAAACTCATGCAAACTCTCCCTTAAATGACACAAGGGTAAAGTGCATCTTAATTCCAGAATCTCCTGATGTGGGGGTGGAGTCGAGAGTGGCCACACCTGCATCAGGCACTTCTTGTCCCCATCTCTGGTGCACGTGTGCCCTCATCTCATCTTCACAGCCACCCTATGAGGGACACCATTGCCAGTTCTATTTTACACGAGGAAGCTGGAAATTGGGGCTTGGTGATTTGGTCAAGGCCTTCTGTAGCCCTCGCTAGCTGGAGTTCCTGCAAGGCTCATGGGAGGCAGGGGCTGTGGATGGGGCAGGTCCAGTTGAGGGAAGAAGAAAGGTAGTTGCCCAGGCCCTGGCCATCATCATCACCCACCTGTCTCCTCCTCCACTCAGCAATCAGGGCAACCTGCCTTCCCTTTGCACTTGAAGTGAAATCCAAGCACCTTGCACAACTGAAAAGTTCTTATCCCACACGGCCTGGGCCGCTCCCCACCATGTCCTTTCTCTCTTGAAAAGAAAGGACTCAGCCTCTAGTCATTCAGCCCATGGCCTGCTGACCTTCCAATTACAGTAACATTAGTCTCCTCTATTTCCTTCTTAGCTCTCTGAAATTGCCTGTTTCATTTTTGTTTGCTTGTTGGCTCCCTCTGGCCACACACACACTGGAATGTGAGCCCCACCACAGCAGGGGCTTTTGTCTTTTTCTCACTGTTGTACACCTTGTGTTCTCCAAATGCAAAAGTCCACCCCACCCCCAGGGGGTAGCATGCCTTAACTTTGAAAACGTCACCCAAACCAGGGGGCCCAGTGGGACCTAAGTCAGAAGCAAACAGAGCTGAGCAGTGTCCCAGAGGCTCGTCCTGGCCTGTGCAGATGACCCATCTCTAAGCCCTTCTTCCCTGAGAATGAGACGCTTCCTAAGTGCTCCTTTCCTCCCTCTGCTCTGCAACTTCAGACCCAGTTCTTCTCTGTCTTGTCCTGTTAGGAGTGGAGCTCAGGTGCCTCTCCATGTCCATTTGTCTTACCACATCAGAGGCAGCCTCTTCATCAGCGATGGCATCCCAAGGCCGCTCAGCATTCCCAGAGTGATAGAAACTACTAGAAAAGTAGTTCCAGAACCTTCTTTCAGTGGAAAGCCATTGGAAGCTTGTGACCCTTTCAGGACATCAGTTAACATGTGCTTAGAGAGGCCTGGCCTGGCTCACCTTGGGGTTTATGAGAGAAGATGTAGTCCTGCCTTTGGAGAAGTCGGTCTCCTTAGAAAACCAAGACTGGTGCTTGCACAGCTACTAAAGATGCATTCAGAATTATGTTGCCTTTAAGGCTAAATTGTGAAATAAAAACAGCAGGTGGCTGAAGAGTTCACAAGCCACGGCGGGCTGGAATTGCCAGGAAGGGCTTCTCGGAGGAGGTGGGAGAGCACACAGCCTCAGCCCTCACAGACTTACAAGGATGAATTCTCTGGGAGAGGAAGGTGCTTCTGAGAGCATAATTGAAGTCTTGATGATGTTGAGGTTTTTCCAACTCGCCCATAGGTTTTTTGTTGTTGTTGTTTTATTTTCTAATACATTTTACAACTGCTACACATGTCGAAGTCAGAGATGAAAACTTACATTTCCCAATTAATGCCACTAAAACGTCATTCTGACAGTTCCATCAGGCATCTACAGTTTCAAGCCCCTCCCAGCTTCGGGGAGCTGGGAGAGAAGGGCAGGAGCATAGCCCACTCCCATGCCTTAACTGGCCCCAAGGATGGGTGGGGTTTGCAAACCATAATCAGAAGTGGAGAGACAGGAGTGCTTCCCGGGAGAAGGAACTCAATGGGTAAGGAAGGTTCCACAGATGGAAATGCATAAGGAATTCACGGGAATCTTACTGAACATACATGGAAGCAGCAATTCCTATTCACCAAGAGCCCTGTTGCAGGTGCTGGGGGAGAAGCCCCCACTGCTGCAGCTGTGTCACCGCACAGCGTTTTTCTCTAATTCCTCTGCAAATGCAGAGGCTCCGTCCTAAGATTACTACTCACTGTGATTACAGACAAAAACTCTAATGTGCATTCGACACTTGAAACCCTTTATTTCATCAGATCTTCAAAACAGCCCCATAAGGAGCAGAATCTATAAGCTGAAGAGACTGAGGCTCAGAGAAATTGGGTGGTTTGCCCTGGGTCACACAGCCAGCAAAAGCACTGGACTCTGCCTGGCATTCTTCTCTTCCAGCCCCCTCACTACGCTCCCCGCAGAGGCCTCATCCCGCTATTCTACCTGCAGTCCTCACCAGTGTACACACTGAATCCAAGTATCAGACTGAGGAAGTAATCTTTTTTTATGCAGTGTTTCCCCATTACAAAGTGATATTGCCTTGTCTTTTCATATTCCATTTTCCCTCAAAGCTCTATCATTAAGGAATATGTTCTGACTTATCCAGTAAAGTGTTTAACCTTTTTTAATGTTTTATTGATTCTTAAAGCTTCGGTTCCCCCAGAAGATCCTGATTGCTACATTAACAATGTCATTGATATTCTTTTAACAGGCCCTCTGCAACATAAAATGCAGCATGGGAAAGATGAGCCCCAACGACCTGTTAATCAATGAGCTAGTCTTGCATCCACCTGCTGCACGTAGCAGGAGAATGGGTGGTGAGAAGATCGACTCTCAGGTTCCGGCAGGGGCTGTGACATCCAAGGCCAGACAGCTGGGCTGCCCGAGTGTGGAGCAAATGCCCCCTTTGGAGGCAGTTGGTGGAAGAGGAAAGCATTTTTCTCCAGGCTGCTCCCTCCAACCCCTTACAACCAACCTGGTTTTCACAAAGCCAAATTCAGCTTCAAGGGCAGCCATGCATTACCCTTTCAGCAGAGTTGAGATATAAAGTCCCAATACTTTTTTTTCCTGAGACAGGGTCTCACTTGTCACCCAGGCTGTAGTGCAGTGGCACAATCACAGCCCTCTGAGGTGCAAGCGATCCTCCCACCTCAGCCTCCTGAGCATCTGGAGCTATAGGTGTGTGCCACCATGCCTGGCTTTTTTATTTTTTGTAGAGACAGGGTTTCACCATGTTGCCCAGACCAGTCTCAATCTCCTGGCTCAAGTGATCCTCCTGATTTAGCCTCCCAAAGTGCTGGGACTACAGACATGAGCCACCACACCCAGTCAAGTCCAAAATCTTTAGCAAGGCATGCAGGCCCTCATGTCCTGGCTTCCACTCCACCTGGCAGCCTCATCTTTCTTCACTCACCCTTCTCTGACATCTATGCTGCAACCACACCCACCTACCAGGATTAGGGTAAGGCAAGGGAAGCACTCGCCTCAGGGGCAAAATTAAAAGGGGCAACAAAAAACTCAGTGATCAAGACAAATGTTATTTTAATGCAATATTTTTTAAAAAATCAAAATCAGTGCAAAAGATCCATGGTTAACAGATACCAGAAGTTAAAATAAAGACATGATCTGCCCTGCACTCACATGTTCCAGCCTCACCTGCCACAGTCGAATCCTGGCCCCACCTACTCCTTCTGGTTTACCAAACTGTACTCTTTCTCACCTCCTGTGCCACTTTCCCTACCTAGAAGACTCCCCTGTAAATCATCCTTCAGGCATGAGCTGTGATGTCACCCTTTTCAGGCAAGTCTTCCTTGACATTCACAATAACTACCCACACACGCACATGCACACACCTGGGACTCAAGCCCCTACTCTGTGCTCCCGTAACACCCTCCTAGTATTCACTATATGCGATCACAATTGCCTGGCTGTCTCCCTGACCCATCTGTAAGCTCCATGAAAGTGGAGGCTGAACCTCTACTGTTGCTGTCACCACTGTTTCCAGAGCTGGTGGCAATGGTTGGGATTATGGCTGCAGCGACAGCTCCTCTGAAGGCTGCCTGCACCAAGTCAGGCTGGGCCCACACGGAGACAGATCCCTGGGAAGTCTTGATGGGCTGGGGACCTCATGCAGGCTGCTGGCTCCTCCACCTGAAACCGCATCTACAGATGCTGTGAGATTAGGGTTGATGGACCTGAAACACTGAAGGAGACACTGACAGACATCCAGGAAACACAGAAGTTTGGGTCCCGACGTGAGAGAGACAGCAGCCCAAAGGACCAGGTGTCATTTTCAGGGACAGGTCAGGGACGGCTATTTTTTTTTTGCCAGCCTTTCTCTGGGTGGTCTGTGCCTGTCCATTTATTCTTGCTGGGATATTTTCTGTCTCGCAGTGGTAGTGGTGAGGCAGTCGTGACAAGGAGCCTGGCTGGGTGGGGGGAGACAGAGTCAGATGCAGGTAGACCAGCAGGCCTTGTGCATTCCCCGCTTCCCCAGCCCACCTCCCTCCCACTCCTCAGGTTTGGGTGATTACAGCCAAGGATGACAGCTCTTGAAACGGAGAGGGACTAGGACAAAAGTGCCGAGACTTTAATAAGATAAGGTGGGAAGTCAAAGGGAGAATGGGGCTGATAAGCCTGGGCCATCTCTACCACAAAGCACCACCCCTTCTCCTCCTAAATCGCCTGCCCCTAGTCCTCCTACCAACCCCTTGCTAAATTTACCAGAAGAGACATGAGCTAGGGCTTGGGCTTTAGCCCAATATATACTCCATGGTATTCACTTAGCAGCCAAGGTGGCTGATTACCCCAGGGAAATATGAACTCTGGGAGGAAAGATAACGAGACACCGAAGGATGTTCCTCCATAAAAGAAAGAGTATGACACCCAACAACCTGCACTCCACTGACAAAGACTCTCTCCTCAGCCAATCTCCAGCCAGGCTCCTCTGAACCCTCTTCTCGTCCAGGCCTCAACCAAACGCTCACAGGGTTTCTTTTTTCTTTTCTTTTCTTTCTTTTTTTTTTTCTGGGGATGGAGTCTTGCTCTGTCCCCCAGGCTGGAGTGCAATGGCATGATCTCGGCTCACTGCAACCTCTGTCTCCCGAGTTCAAGCGATTCTCCTGCCTTAGCCTCCCCAGTAGCTGGGATTACAGGCACCCACCACCATGCATGGCTAATTTTTGTATTTTTAGTAGAGATGGGGTTTTGCCACATTGGCCAGGCTGGTCTCGAACTCCTGACCTCAGGTGATCCTCCAGCCTTGGCCTCCCAAAGTGCTGTGATTATAAGTGTGAGCCACTGCGCCCAGCCTGTTCACAGGGTTTCTAACAGCTCAAGGCCATATCCCTAGGATGACCCTGGGCCCACTTAAAGTGCCCACCTGAGAAAACTCAAGGCTGCCAAAAAGATTTACTGTTTTTTTCAGCCAACACCTGAAGACAATATAGAGTCTCTGTCTCCCGCTCTCTGAGGAAGGACAGGATCCTACCTCAGTAACTGCCAGCCTCAGCCACAGGTGACCTAGTTGCATTTACACAGTCTGCATTTTTCACTTCCCTAACTCTGCTAAGCTTCTGCTTTCCCATCCCTATGCCCTCTCTGTCTCTTAAAACACCTGTTCCCCTCTGCACAAATCAAAGAATCATTCAGTTCTTGCGGAACTCTTTTCCCTACTGCAATAGTTATTGCTGATTAAAATCTGGCCTCACCACTTTAATCAGTGTCCAGCTTTGTTTATCGTTGATATTCAGAATAATTTATGACAAGCATAATAAATAAACACAAAAACATGAAAGGCTACTGACTAAGCCATTATAAACAAGATCTAATTAGAAATTTGGAGAATGGAAATGAGAATGATGGAAATATAGAGCTCAATAGACGGGCTGATGGTAGAGTAGAGGGGCAGTGAGTCAGAAGGCCATGTGTTTCTTCAAAATAAGACCCATTGATCAGCATCCCCTGGGAACTCACCCCAGACCGCCTGAGTTAGATTGTGCCTTTAACACTACTCCCGGGTGAAGTGTATGCACAGTAAAGTCTGAGAAGCAGTGATATGGTTCTCAGCCTTGACTGCATACTGGAGGGATCTGGGAGCTTTAAAAAGTACTTACACTTTGGTCCTTACTGTCAGAGAGCTTCTGAGTAAGTAGCTTGGGGTATGAAACTGTAAACGTTCCCCTGGTCATTTTAACGTGCAGCCAAGTTTGAGAACCACTGACTTAGACTCTTAGAAAAGGGATAGGGATGCAAAATGTAAAAATTACAGGATGTGGGGCACAGAATTAGAAGAATCAACATATATAGGACAGAAGTCCTACCTGGAGAGACAAAAGAAAAAGGAGAAGAGGGAATACTTTCTGCAAAAAAAAAAAATGACTGAAAATTTCCAAGAATAAAGGAAATGTTCAAGACCGTATGATGATATATTGAAAGAACTCATAGAGTGCCAATAAGGAAAGATTTTTAAAAATTCACACAGAAAAATATAGGCTGAGTGTGGTGGCTCACGTCTATAATCCCAGCACTCTGGGAGGCCAAGGTGGGAGGATCGCTTGAAGCCAAGAGTTTAAGAAATATTACATTGATATTTGGGAATATTAAGGACAAAGAGAAACCTTTAAAACTTCAGAGTGAAGAGGTAGATACCAAGACAGGAAAAAGAACTAAATGACAGATGTCTCAAC
Source organism: Homo sapiens (assembly GCF_000001405.40). NCBI lineage: Eukaryota > Metazoa > Chordata > Mammalia > Primates > Hominidae > Homo > Homo sapiens. The sequence continues at coordinate 28,604,803 of NC_000019.10, forward strand.
AGCCACACCCAAATGTCATTTTGGTCTTTTCATATATTTAAAGTAGTGAAGAGAAAAAAAAATTAACTCAGCATTTCTTATCCAGTTAAACTATCATTTAAAAATGAGGGTGGAATATCCACAGTGGTACAAGGCCTCAGAGGGTTTGCCATAAAAGACCACCTCTGAACCACCTGTGTCAGTCCGGGTCCATGGGTGAAACAGAGCTGGAAGCTCAAGTGCTGCAGTGGGGAAATGGAGGAGAAAGATCAGGCAGGGGCGGCAGGGGAGCAGCTCACAGACTGTTCCTTCGGCCCAGGCTCCAATATGGCTCAGCACAGTGCTGTTGCTGATGCCGGCTTTATTTAAATATGTGAGATTTGATTCATTATGGATTTTGCATTAATTTTGATTTTTCAATATTATTTGTCTTTGATTGCTCAGTTTTTTGATACCCCCTTAAATTTTGCTCCTGAGGCAAATGCCCCACCCACCTGACCCTCTAGGCCTCTACGATAGGGATATTTGCAAAAAAACCACCTCAGTTAATCAATGCTCCAACCCAGGCACCATCCAGGTTCATGGTTCTTCTCTGGTTGTGAAAATTAAAAACCGGGCCACCACCCACTTCTCAGCCTTATCCCCAGCCAGCCAGCAGAGCATTGTAGAATGTGAGCTTGCATTGTGAACACTCTGAAAATGTAGGCCAGAGAACCTTCTGGCTGGAGATGGCTCCTGCTGCGAGAAGGGAATATGACAGATAGCATAAGATATTACAGTAATTTTACTGACAAAGCACTAAGCATATCACAAAAGAAGTTCAAAATCAATTCATCTGCTTCCAAGCAGAAGCGAGTCTAACAGGCAGTGAAGCATCATCTTGATAATGTAGTTGTTCCAAAAGAAGAAGGAATTAACCAGGCTACCCTAAATGTGTCTGTATGACATGCTTTTTTGTTTCTGTTACCCTGATAAGGACTTAAAATTCCATTTGTATGGAAATAAACTAAGCTTCCGAAGTTATCTTCCTGTTCCGGGGAGTTATCTCAGGAGGTTTGCTGCAGAATTTTTCTCTGACTAAATGGGATCTTAGGCTCAGAGGCTGCAAGGTTTCAGCTTTTGTTGTTAAATAGTAAAGCACACTCTACTTCCAGCCACTACAACTGTGCTTCTTTAAGGGCGGTATCCATTAAGGTTGTTTGATTACAAACAAAGAAAACTGGCTCTAAGCAACTTGCTATCCTTCCAACAAGTTCTTTTTCTACTTAATATTAACTAAAGAATCAGCTGAGCAGGTTAAAATTAGAATGGGAACCGTGCAGCGCATTGGGTGGTAGAAAATAGTTGACAACTCTCTCAGAGTTTATTCATTCCAACAATAGAACCCGCTGCAACCATTCTTTTCTGCATTCTCTACAATTTTTTCATTTTTTTTTTAGTATGATGTTTTGCTATCTAGCATTCTCCCCTCAAGACTGAAAGTCCCAAGAAAATGAGTCCAATTGTCCATGCTTGAGTCATATGCCCATGCTAGGGTGACAATCTCACCAAGATGTTCCTTAGTGAGTGAGGAAAGTTTGCCAAAGAGACATGGCAGTGCTGTTCCAAGAAAAGAAAGAGCTGGGTGCTGGGTGGGCAAGGACCACAGAGGAACTAAGAAGAGAGGCTATTTCTCCTACTGTCCCATCTCCAAAGAAAAGGAGGAAGTAAAAACCGAAAAATAACAGACTGATTGGCGCCAGTGGCCAGGCCTGTAGGTTAAAGATTAAACCCCACCCAAACCGCTTGTGCTATCTATAGATCACAGACAACGGTATGAAGAAATACTTGCATTGCTCACCACCCCCACCTAGTCACGTACCCCATGCTTGCTGGATCTATCATGACCCTTTCACGTGGACCCCTTAGAGTCGTAAGCCCTTAAAAGGGCCAGGAACTCTTTCTTCGGGGAGCTTGGTTCTTGAGATGCAAGTCTGTCGACGCTCCCAGCAGAATAAAGCCTCTTCCTTCTTTAACCTGGTGTCTGAAGGGTTTTGTCTGTGGCTTGTCCTGCTACATTTCTTGGTTTCCTGACCGGGAAGTGAGGTGATTAAGGGACAGTGGAGGCAGCCCCTTAGGCGGCTTAGCCTTGCCCTGCGGAGCATCCCTGTGGGGTACTCCGGCCAGCTTGAGCAATGTGGATCCTGAGAGTGCTCCTGGGTAGGCATTTGCCCCAGTGGAATGCCTCATCAGAGTGGTGCATGGCAGGCCCCCACGGAGGATCAACACAGGGGCTGAACACTGGGAAGGAACTGGCACGTGGAGTCCGGACATCTGGAATATGGTAGGACCGGTCCCAGGAACTTACCCACCCCATTTGAGTGGAAGCATGGCCTGATCACCCATGGTGTGCCCTTATTGGCACTTTGGTCTCAGTTTTGATTTTGATTTGGCTCGGCTTGTTTGAAAAAAAGGAAAGTGAAAGTGAGTGAATGCTTGTTTGGGATGGGCAACAGATAGACAGTGGTTGCCGTCCGAAGTGAGTGTTGAGCCCTGAGCTGCAGTTCCGTAGGATACCTCGTACAGCTAAGTGGCGGTTCGTGCTGGTGCCTGGTACCAGCCTGCCTAAGAGGATCTGAGATTCCCGCAAGGGAAGTGGCCAGTGTCAGGCGAGGCAAGTGAGTGACCCCTTTACCCTTTCCCTTCTTGTGTTGTGAGCATTGTTTTTGTCTGGCGGGGGTGAGGGTGGTGGAGATGGGTGAGACGCAAAGTAAGCCCACTCCATTAGGAACTATGTTAAAGAATTTCAAAAAAGGTTTTAATGGAGATTATGGGGTTAATATGACCCCAGGAAAACTTAGGACCTTGTGTGAGATAGATTGGCCAGCATTAGAAGTGGGTTGGCCATCAGAAGGAAGCCTAGACAGGTCCCTTGTTTCAAAGGTATGGCACAAGGTAACTGGTAAGCCAGGATACCCAGCCCAGTTTCCATACATAGACACTTGGTTACAGCTGGTTTTAGGCCCCCCATGGTGGTTAAGAGGACAGGCAGCAGCAGTACTAATGGCAAAGGGACAGACAGCCAAGGAAGAATCCTGCTCCACCCGCCAAGGGAAGTTGGCTCCTAAAGTCCTGTCCGACCCAACATCAGAGAATTCATGGCAAGAAATGGTGCCAGTAGCCCCCCTCTTTCACCAAGAAGGAAGGCCTCCCCCTCCTGAGTCCACTGAGCCTGAGCTTCCACAAGACCTACGTACCCCTAGGCCACCCAGAGTAGAAAAGAAAGGATGCGAGACCTTGGGAGAAACCCCTCGGTTGGCAGCCCGTTTGAGGTCTAGAACTGGGATACAAACGTCCCTGAGAGAGCAATGGTATACTGGGGTAGACAAGGATGGGCATATGGTGGAAAGGCATGCCTTTGTGTACCAACCCTTCAACGCTGCCGATCTCCTCAATTGGAAAAACAATACCCCATCCTATACTGAAAAACCTCAAGCTATAATTGATTTGCTCCAAACTATTATCCAGACCCACAACACTACTTGGGCTGATTGCCACCAGTTGCTCATGTACCTCTTTAACATGGATGAAAGGCGAAGGGTGCTCCAAGCAGCAACTAAGTGGCTAGAGGAACATGTTCCGGCTGATTACCAAAACCCCAAGAGTATGTGAGGATCCAATTACCAGGAACAGATCCCCAGTGGGACTCAAATGAAAGACAGGGTATGCAAAGGCTAAACTGGTACAGGGAAGCCCTTCTGGAAGGGTTAAAAAAAGGGAGCTCAAAAAAAGGGAGCTCAGAAGGCCACAAATGTTAACAAAGTCTCTGAGGTCATTCAAGGAAAAGATGAGAGTCCTGCACAATTTTACGAGAGACTATGTGAGGCCTATTGTAGGTGTACTCCCTTTGATCCCGACAGCCCTGAAAATCAGCGCATGATTAGCATGACTTTAGTTAGTCGAAGTGCAGAAGACATTAGAAGAAAACTACAGAAACAGGCTGGGTTTGCAGGCATGAACACTTCAGTTATTGGAGATAGCCAACCAGGTGTTCGTGAATAGAGATGTGGTAAGCTGCAGAGAGAACCGCAGAGAGAGCGAACGCCAAGCCTGGTGAAATACCAACCTGCTAGCCGCAGCTATTAGAGGGGTCCCCCCAAAGGGGCGAGAGAAGGGGGCCCCGGGAAAAATACCCAGTCTGGCCATCCACGTTTGCAGTGTAACCAGTGTGCTTACTATAAGGAAATAGAATATTGGAAGGACAAGTGCCCCCAGTTGAAAGGGAAACAAGGTGGCTCTGAGCAGGAGGCCTCAGACAAGGATGAAGGGACCTTGTTCAATCTGGCAGGAGGGTTACCGGACTGAGGGGGACCGGGCTCATGTGCCCCCAAAGAGCCCATGGTCAGGATGACAGTCGGGGGCAAGGACATTGGGTTTCTTGTCGATACTGGTGCTGAACACTCAGTAGTAACCACCCCCGTCACCCCCTTATCCAAAAAGACTATTGATATAATTGGAGCCACAGGGATTTCAGCAAAGAAACCTTTCTGTTTCCCTCGGACCTGCACTGTGGAGGGGCATAAGGTAATTCACCAGTTCCTGTACATGCCTGACTGCCCCTTGCCTTTACTGGGAAGGGACCTACTTAGCAAGCTGAGAGTCACTATCTCTTTTATAAAGCACAGCTCTTTACAGCTAAAGTTACCTAGAATGGGAGTCATCATGGCCCTTATAGTTCCTTGGGAGGAGGAATGGAGACTCTTCTTATCTGAGCCAGGCCAAGAGATAGGACAAGCTCTGGCTAAGCGGTGACGAACAGTGTGGGTGGAAGATAACCCTCCAGGGTTGGCAATCAACCAGGCCCCCATACTCATAGAATTAAGTCTGGGGCCCAGCTGGTCAGGCAAAAGCAGTACCAGGTCCCCAGAGAAGCCCTTAAGGGCATACAGGTCCATCTCAAGTGCCTGAGGGCCTTTGGAATTATAGTCCTTTGTCAGTCTCCATGGAACACTCCCCTCCTACCTGTTCCCAAGCCAGGGACCAAGGACTACAGGCCAGTACAGGATTTGCGCATGGTCAACCAAGTTACAGTGACTTTGCATCCAATGGTACCTAACCCGTACACATTGTTGGGGTTGCTGCCAGCTGAGGACAGCTGGTTCACCTGCTTGGACCTAAAAGATGCTTTCTTTAGCATCACACTAGCCCCTCAGAGCCAAAAACTGTTTGCCTTTCAGTGGGAGGATCCAGGGTCAGGCGTCACCACTCTGTACACTGGGACCCAGCTCCCCCAAGGGTTCAAGAACTCCCCCACCATCTTCGGGGAGGCACTGGCTTGAGACTTCCAGAAGTTTCCTGCCAGAGACCTAGGCAGTCAGGTGCACCAAGGGAATGGATACCCTGTTTCGGCACCTGGAGGACTGTGGGTATAAGGTGTCCAAGAAGAAAGCTCAGATCTGCAGACAGCAGGTACGTTACCTGGGATTTACTACCCAACAGGGAGAGCGCAGCCTGGGATCACAAAGAAAGCAAGTCATCTGCAACCTGCTGGAGCCTAAGACCAGAAGGCAGGTGAGAGAATTCTTAGGAGCTGTAGGGTTCTGCAGCTCCTAAGAGCTGTGGATCCCAAAGTTTGTGGATCTCAAATTTTGCAGTATTGGCTAATCCCCTGTACGGACTCACAAAGAGAGGAGATAAGGAAACTTTCAAATGGGGGTCCCAACAGCAACGAGCTTTTCATGAGTTAAAAGAGAAACTCATGTCAGCCCCAGCCCTGGGGCTACCTGACCTAACAAAAACTTTCACACTGTATGTGTCAGAAAGAAAAAATGACAGTTGGAGTTTTAACCCAGATGGTGGGGCCCTGGCCAAGACCGGTAGCCTACCTCTCCAAACAGCTAGATGGAGTTTCTAAGGGTTGGCCCCCATGCTTAAGAGCCTTGGCAGCAACTGTCCTGCTAGGACAAGAGGCAGATAAGCTAACTCTTGGGCAAAACCTAAACATAAAGGCCCCCCCATGCTGTGGTAACACTAATGAACACCAAAGGTCATCATTGGCTAACAAATGCCAGACTGACTAGGTACCAAAGCTTGCTCTGTGAGAATCTCTGCATAACCATTGAAGTTTGCAACACCCTGAACCCCGCCACCTTGCTCCCAGTGTCAGAGAGCCCAGTTGAACATAACTGTGTAGAGGTGTTGGACTCAGTTTATTCTAGCAGGCCCGACTTCCGAGACCATCCTTGGATGTCACTAGACTGGGAGCTGTACGTGGACGGGAGCAACTTTGTCAACTCACAAGGAGAGAGGTGTGTGGGATATGCAGTGGTAACCCTGGATGCTGTCATTGAAGCCAAATCGTTGCCCCAGGGCACTTCAGCCCAGAAGGCCGAACTCATTGCTTTAATTCGGGCCTCAGAGCTAAGTGAAGGTAAGACTGTAAACATTTACACTGACTCTCAGTATGCCTTTTTAACTCTCCAAGTGCATGGGGCATTATACAAGGAAAAAGGCCTATTGAACTCTGGGGGAAAAGACGTAAAATATTAGCAAGGGATCCTGCAATTATTAGAGGCAGTTTGGAAGCCCCAAAAGGTGGCAGTCATGCACTGCAGAGGACGCCAGTGAGCTTCCACCTTGATCACCTTGGGGAACTCCTGAGCTGACTCAGGGGCTCAAAAAGCAGCATCCACCCCCTCCCGGGCATCAGTCACAGCCCCCCTGCTCCCTCAGGCACCTGACCTTGTACCTACTTACTCTAAAGAAGAGAAGGACTTTCTCCAGGCAGAGGGAGGGCAGGTGATAGAAGAGGGATGGATCCGGTTATCAGACGGAAGAATAGCTGTGCCACAACTGCTAGGAGCCGCAGTTGTACTGGCTGTGCATGAGACCACCCACCTAGGCCAAGAGTCACTTGAAAAGTTGTTAGGCCAGTACTTCTACATCTTGCATCTGTCAGCCCTGGCCAAAACAGTGGTGTAGCAGTGTCACCTGCCGGCAGCACAATGCTAGGCAAGGTCCAACTGTCCCACCCGGCATACAAGTTTATGGAGCAGCCCCCCTTTGAAGATCTCCAAGTAAACTTCACCAAGATGCCCAAATGTGGAGGTAACAAGTATTTGCTAGTTCTAATGTGTACATACTCTGGGTAGGTGGAGGCCTATCCAACATGGACCAAGAAAGCTCGTGAAGTAACCCGTGTGCTTCTCCGAGATCTCATCCCTAGGTTTGGACTGCCCTTACAAATCGGCTCAGACAACCGGCTGGCGTTTGTGGCTGACTTGGTACAGAAGAGAGCAAAGGTATTGGGATCACATGGAAACTACATACTACCTACTGACCACAAAGTTCTGGAAACGTGGAGTGGATGAATCAGACTATCAAAAATAGTTTAGGTAAAGTGTGTCAAGAAACAGGATTAAAGTGGGTACAAGGTCTCCCTATGGTATTAAGATTAGATGTACCCCTTCTAAAAGAACAGGATATTCCCCTTATGAAATATTATACCATAGGCCCCCTCCCATACTACAGGGACTCCGAGGCACTCCTCGAGGGCTAGGTGAAATTGAGTTACAGAGATAGCTACAGGCTTTAGGAAAAATTACACAAACAATTTCAGCCTGGGTAAATGAGAAGTGCCCTGTTAGCTTATTCTTCCCAGTTTACCCTTTCTCTCCAGGTGATCGGGTGTGGATCAAGGATTGGAACGTAGCCCCCTTGCGGCCATGGTGGAAAAGACCCCAGACCATCATCTTGACCACTCCTACAGTTGTAAAGGTAGAGGGAATCCCAGCCTGGATCCACCACAGCCATGTAAAACCTGCAGCACCTGAGACCTGGGAAGCAAGACCAAGCCCAGACAACCCTTGCAAAGTGACTCTGAAGAAGACGACAAACCCTTCTCCAGTCACACCCGGAAGCTGACTGGTCCACGCATGGCCAAAGCATAAGGAAACTCACCATGAGACTCATTTTCCTTAAATTTTGAACTTGTACAGTAAGGACTTCAACTGACCTTCCTCAGACTGAGGACTGTACCCAGTGTATACATCAAGTCACTGAGGTAGGACAAAAGGTTGTTGCAGTCCTATTATTTTATAGTTGTTATGAGTGTACCGGGACTCTAAAAGGAACTTGTTTGTATAATGCTACTCTATACAAGGTATGTAGCCCAGGAAGTTACCAGCCTGATGTGTGTTATAACCCATCTGAGCCCCCTATGACTACCGTTTTTGAAATAAGATTGAGGACTGGCAGCTGGGGAAAAGCTGATATGAGTAAATAACTGGAACAGAAGAGAAAGGAGCCCCAAAAAAATTATCTTAAAATTTGATGCCTGTGCAGCAATCAACAGTGACCTGTATGGAAATAGGATAAGATGTGGCTCTCTAGATTGGGAAAGGGGCTATATAGTAGAAAATAAGTATGTTTGTCATGACTTAGGAATGTGTAGTGATGAATGTAGTTACTGGTCCTGTGTCATTTAGGCCACCTGGAAAAAAAGATAAGAGGGACCCTGTCCACCTTCAAAAAGGAAAGAGTAACTCTTCCTGCACTAGTGGTCATTGTAACCCATTAGAACTACTAATTACCAATCTCCTTGATCCCTGTTGGAAAACAGGAGAGTACGTAACTCTAGGAATTGAGGGAACTGGACTGGATCTCCGAGTAAATATTTTAATCCAAGGGGAGGTCCACAGGTGCTTTCCCAAACCAGTGTTTCAGACCTTTTACGATGAATTGAATCTGCCAGCACCAGAGCTTCCACACACACACACACACACACACACACACACACACACACACACACAAAGACAAAGAACTTGTTTCTCCAGTTATTAGGAAATGTAGCTCATTCCCTCAATGTTACTTCCTGTTATGTATGTGGGGGAACCACTATGGGAGACCAATGGCCTTGGGAAGCCCGGGAATTGGTGCCTACTGATCCAGTTCCTGACATAATTCCAGTCCAGAAGGCCCAAATTAGCAACTTCTGGGTCCTGAAAACCTTGATTATTGGATAATACTGCATAGCTAGAGAAGGAAAAGACTTCACCATCCTTGTAGGAAGGCTCAATTGTCTAGGACAGAAGCTGTATAACAGCACAACAGGGACAGTCACCTGGTGGGGTCTAAACCATACTGAAAAGAATCCCTTCAGTAAAATTCCTAAATTACAGACTGCTTAGGTCCATCCAGAATCTCATCGAGACCGGACGGCTCCCTCTGGACTATACTGGATATGTAGACACAGAGCCTACACTCCGTCACCTGATCAATGGGGAAGTAGTTGTGTCATTGGCACCATTAAGCCATCCCTTTTCCTATTGCCCGTAAAAACAGGTGAGCTCCTAGGTTTCCCTGTCTATGCCTGAGAAAAGAGGAGCATATCTATAGGAAATTGGAAAGATGATGAGTGGCCCCCCAAAAGGATCATACAGTACTATAGGCCTGCCACACGAGCACAAGACGGCTCGTGGGGATACCGAACCCCCATCTACATGCTCAACCAGATCATACGGTTACAGGCCATATTAGAAATAATCGCTAATGAAACTGGCAGAGCTTTGACTCTTTTAGTCCAGCAGGAAACCCAAATGAGAAATGCCATCTATCAGAATAGATTGGCCTTAGACTATTTGCTGGCAACTGAAGGAGGAGTCTGTGGAAAATTCAACTTGACCAATTGCTGTCTACAAATAGATGATCAAGGACAAGTAGTTGAAAATATAGAGACATGACAAAGCCAGCACATGTGCCCATGCAGATTTGGCATAGGTTTGATCCTGGATCTTTGTTTGGAAAATGGTTTCCAGCTCTAGGAGGATTTAAAACTCTTGTAATAGGCATAATAATAGTGTTAGGACCTGCATGTTACTCCCCTGTATGTTACACATATTTCTCCAGTTACTAAGAGGCTTCGTTACCATCTTAGTTCATCAAAACACCTCAGCACAAGTATACATGAATCACTATTAATCTGTCTCACAGGAAGATCTAGATAGTGAGGATGAGAATGAGAACTCCCACTAGTGAGTGAGGTTCTCAAAGGGGGAAATGAGGAGAGAGGCTATTTCTCCTACTGTCCTGTCTCCAAAGAAAAGGAGAAAGTAAAAACTGAAAAATAACAGACTGATTGGCGCCACTGGCCAGGCCTGTAGGTTAAAGATTAACCCCCACCCCAACCGCTTGTGCTATCCATAGATCACAGACAATGGTATGAAGAAATACTTGCCTTCCTCACCACCCCTACCTAGTCATGCAGACAATGGTATGGAGAAATACTTGCCTTGGTCACCACCCCATCTAGTCGCGTACCCCATGCTTGCTCAATCTATCACAACTTTTTCACGTGGACCCCTTAGAGTTGTAAGCCCTTAAAAGGGCCAGGAACCCTTTCTTCAGGGAGCTCGGTTCTTGAGATACAAATCTGCCAATGCTCCCAGCCGAATAAAGCCTCTTCCTTCTTTAACCCGGTGTCTGAAGGGTTTTGTCTGTGGCTCGTCCTGCTACAGAACCAATTCTTCTCAAGTCAGATCCACACTTTTATGAACACTGAAGTTCTGAAGTTTCCCAACAACAAAATGTTTGGAAAATGCACTTTGTACAGTGTCTGATACAACACGCAAAATCTTATCATCTTCACCATCATCAGCTAATGTTATTACTTAGAAAATCTGGCCGAGTATTAATAAAGGTGGGGTGTTTACTGTGGGAAAGTGAAGGCTGTCTTGAAATGGCTTTTTTCTCAATAGAAGAAATAAAAAAGGGTGGCTGAGAGTGGTGGCTCATGCCTGTAATCCCAGTACTTTGGGAAGCCAAAGAGGGTGGACCCCTTGAGCTCAGGGGTTCAAGATCAGCCTGGACAACATGGCGAAACCCCATCTTTACAAAAAAATACACAAATTAGCTTGGTGTGGTGGCTTGTGCCCATAGTCCCAGCTACTCATGGGGCTGAAGTGGGAGGAATGCTTGAGCCCAGGAGGGGATCAAGAGGTTGCAGTAAGCCAAGATTGTGCCACTCCACTCCACCCTGGGCAACACATTTAGACTCAGTCTAAAAAAAAAAAGAAAAGAAAAGAAAGAAAGAAAATACAAAAGCGATGAAACTGGTTATTGTTGGTATCCGCTTCTAGAGAGCCCTGGATTCCTGCTGCAGCCTGTGGGTCACTGCCCCGCCACACAAAGGACCATGTATCCATTAGGCAAGATGGGCACACACTTAGGGGCACACAAGATTTTTTAAATTAGAAGAAAAAAAATGAATGTTTAAATTGAAGAAAATGCATAATGGTATATATTTGTCTTTATACCAAAGCAGTTGCAAAATTTAACCACAAAAGTCATAATGTAGCCCCAAGTCACCCCCCACCCACCGTGGAATTTGTATGCTCTGTACAGGAGAGCAAGGGCTAACTTTACTCCCATTCCTGACCAATGATCTTCCTCCAGCTCACATGGGACCTTGCTGAATCATCCCCAGTGCTTTTCTCTGAAGTGGGATCTAAAGTTGTTCACAAATTCTGCATTCTTTTCTTTTCTAAAAACTCTACTTCTGTGACAGACTACAAATCCTGCACTCTTTATTCAATAAATATTAATTTAGTATTTAGTATTACACATGCAGACGCTCTGCAAAATACTGGGACAAAATTGGCCAAGACAGGCTTAGTTTTTGTGCTTATGGAGATTAAAGTCAAATTGTAGAAACATGTAATCAATGTGCTTATCTTACTGGGCTGTAATTACTTAGTAAGTAGAGGAATATATATCTATGTCTAAGATTTTCTACATTTACACTGATCATAGCATATATAACCTACCCCCTGAACTTGACATTTGCACACACACACACAAACACACAGAGTTCAGACAAATATGTTGTCTCTTCTTCTGTAACTTTTCCCCCAAATGCCTATCCTAACTACCCCCATGAAGTCCCCTGATAAAAACCCTTATTCAAACAAGTCCAGAAGACAGAATTCTCATTGGGACCCCCAAGAACAGAGGAAAGAATAGATGAATGGATGGTGTTAAATTAATATGTTAAGACCCTACCCCCCAGATGGATGGTATTAAGACAGTGGGTCTTTAGGAATTAATTAGGTCATGAGGGTGAAACTTTCATGATGAGGTAGTGCCCTATAAGAAGAGACATGCAACAGCTTCCTCTCCACAATGTAAGAAAACCTGGACCCTGCTGGCACACTAATCTTGGACTTCTCAGACTCCAGAACTGTGAAATGTTTGTTTAAGCCACCCAATCTATAAGGTACTTTTGTTACAGCCGCCCAAACAAACTGAGACAAATGGATGGATGGATGGATGGATGAATAATAGACTGAATAGAGGAATAAGAGGTGGACGGGTGGAGGGAAGAAATAACAAGGATGAAAGAAGATGAACAGAGAGATCGAGGAGTGGATGCCTAGATAAATACATACATAAAAGAATAAAAAGAAGATAGAAAATGAAAGAAAAAAATGAATAACTAGAAAGATGGATAAATTAATATACATATAGAACTTTGACAGTAGGGATAAATAAATGGGTAGAATCCCAGCACTTTGGGAGGCCGAGACGGGCAGATCACGAGGTCAGGAGATCGAGACCATCCTGGCTAACATGGTGAAACCCCATCTCTACTAAAAATGCAAAAAATTAGCCAGGCGTAGTGGCGGGCGCCTGTAGCCCCAGCTACTTGGGAGGCTGAGGCAGGAGAATGGCGTGAACCTGGGAGGCAGAGCTTGCAGTGAGCCGAGACTGCACCACTGCACTCCAGCCTGGGCGACAGAGCCAGACTCCATCTCAAAAATAAATAAATAAATAAGTAAAAAAATGGGTAGATGGAAGGAGAAAGCAAGAACTGATTTGGGGAAAAAGGGAATGAAGGGATGTGTGAATATATATATTATTTAAAAAATTATAGAGAATTCAGTAAGCATGAACATAAGGGTGAAATGAGTAAATGGATGAATAGATGGACAATTAGATAAATGAACATAGTGATGGGCTACTAAATGGGCAGATGGAAGAATCAAGTAATGCGGTAAGAAGGGATAGATGTAGGGAAAGTCGAGCTGATATTTGGAAGGGCAGATATATAGATGAATAGGAGGGTGATGCAAGATAGATACACTGATGACTGAATGGATAAATGAACACACAAATAATGGGTGGCCAAAGTAACACGGTAGAAATAGACGGAGTTTCATTTGGTCAGGTACAGGGAATGGTAGATTTGTGGGTACATGAATTTATGAGTGGATTGCATGAATAACTGGATGAGTGGATAGATCAATGGATGATGAATTGGTGAATGAAGATTCAATAAACAGGTGGGCATATGAGCATATATGAGAAGATACTGTATTTAATGTGATATACTAGAATGTGGAACACAAAGTGTTATGTTATAGCTTGGCCTAATCCTGCTTTCAACTCTTTGGGGTCTGACTGCCTCAGAAAACATCTGAGGTAATTAGCTCTGTAAAACCTTGAAAGCAGATGTTCATTTGGACTGCAGTGACACAGGAAGATTTTATAGGGAGGGTGGCATATTCACCAAAGTGAAGAAAACATGGGGCTGAAGGGAGCTGAGGGCCCCATCTTTTCCTCCTCAGGATGAAGAAGTCCTCACCTCCTATTTCTCTGAGACAATTTGTCTGGCAGAGATTATCACTGACAAATTGTTTGTTGTTAATTAAATAACAAAACAGGTGGGGTGGGAAGATATTCTGCAAGTTCTCAGATATTCCCTTTTTGGTTGTGGCACATATGTATGTATTCATCCAGTTAGATTCCTGTTTAGAAGGGCCTGCTCTGTGCCAGGTCCTGGGCATGTCCCCATGTGGATGACAGGAAAGAGTAAGACAATCACTGCACTGCACTGAGTCCCAGAGCCTCTACACCTAGCAGCCACATGACCCTGGGCATGCTCCCTATCTCATGTCATTGTCATAGCAACCCCATGAAGTAAGTACTACGACCATCCAGTTTCAAAGACGAGAAACCTCAGGCACAATGGGATTGGAACACATAAAACACTCCCTGTATAACAGGCGCTGTTTTAAGTGTCCAAAAACATTAGATTTTTTTGTTACTTGCTGTAGGTTACAAAATTCGTCCCAATCCCCCACTCTCTCCCTGACTTTGTGATTTTGTAATGTCACTGCAGCAATTCCCATCAAGAGATGGCATCTATCTCCTTAATTCTTGAATCAGATCTGACTTTAGCCAACAGAATGTGGGAGATGTGATGTTGTGCCAATTCCAAACCTAAGCCTCAAGGGACACTGAGGGTTTTTCTGTCTCTTGGACCCTGATGTTGCCATGTGAAAAAATTCAAGCTAGCTCCTAGAGGATGAAAGGTTTTATGGATGAGAACTCTGGACAACCAGTGACAAATAGCTAACTTCCAGACCTGGGAGTGAAAGCCTTCTAGACCAGTCAGTCCCCAGATGACCCTCAACTGACTACAACATGTAAGTGAGCCCATCTGAGATCAGCTAAGCTTTGCCCAGATAAGCAGAACTGCCCAACTGCTCTCCAGACTCGTGAGCTAGACTCATGGCTGTTGTTTTAAGCCACTGAGTTTGGAGTGATTTGGGAGACATGACAGGAACCTATAAAGGCCACATAAGTTTGAAAGAGAGATAAACTTAAAATGACCAAGATACGAATATATGGGAGCACAAAAAAAGGAAGGAATTCTCCTCCACAAGGGAATCAGTGAGGTTCCTGGAGAGGGTGAAGTTGGGATCAAGCCTTGAGAAAAGTAGAGTCAAGTTTCTGCCAGGAGTGTCTGCAGGGAAACCTAAGCGCCAAAAACCCACCCAAGAGCCTCAGACAAATAGGTGAGTCGGGCTTTCTCCCAGCCACCAGAATCAAGACTTGTGTAGGCAACAAGCTGGTCAGGACAAGCAGCACAACATCTCTACTTCGGGGCCAGACTGCTGGACATCAAGCTACAATCTAAAACACCCAGCCAGGGGCTACGCCCTCCATCTCCCTGCTTCTCTCACCCCTGCACTCACCAAATCCCTTATCCTCCCATACTCCCATCAGCATTCATAACAGCTCCTGTCAAGAGCCATGCGCTCCAGACTCAGGGAAATGCTCAAAGCCATGTTCAGTATCAAAATGAGACAGAAGAAATTATGTTTAATTCAACAAGGAAGCAACTGGCTTTGGAGATGAGATGCGGTGGGCAAGAAGACGGGGGTAGCTGCCAGCTGCAGTTACCACAAACAGGTGCTCTGTGTGCAGTATATACCATACACCAGCCACGGGGCTACTGACTCTCTGGGAAGGAACACACAGCCAGCTACTGAATGGGCAGCTGCAGAGGGAGCTAGGCATGATATCTAAACTGGCTTTGATCAAAAAGATATACATACTCATAGTTTAAGAATCAAGTACACTTACAAGACTTGCTACAAAAATAGCAGCCTTCTGCCTCTCTCTATTCCTCCCACCCTCAACTCCCAGAGACAACCACTTGCAACGTTTAGCTGATTCATCTGATATTACCTTGATATCTCTGAAATATAAAAAAGGACCAATATAGTGTGCTTTTAGTTTTAGGTATCATCTCTGATCTTCCATAATTGGAACATTCTTCTTTCACAGCTCCCCTGCCCCCACCATACCTTACTTTCCTTCCTGCCAGCTTTCCAACGTGAGTCTTCTTGAAAGAATCTCTCCAGACCATTCGACTTGCTCCAGTCTGGACCAATCACCCTCATATCTGGTGCACAGCTGTTGCCCTGGGGTCTCCCTTCATTCTCTACCTGAGAATTTCCTTCACAACTCTCTTCAGTTAGATATCCTGCATTTCCATTCTCTGTTTTTCACACTCCCCTGATTTAAACCCTACTTTTGGTGGAGCACATCTCCTAATAATTTGATATCAAAGAGTACATGAGACTTTAATGTCTAAGAAAGCCATTATTCAGTCCTTACATTTGCTTGATAGCTTGGCTGGATGAAGATTTCTAGGCTGAAAAGTATCGTCCTTCCAATCTTCCAAGGCATTAAACCAACACTGTCTTCTAGCTTCCAGTATTGCTGCTGAAATGTTTCAAGCCATTCTGTTTCCTGATCCTTTGTATATGACACATCTTTTTTTCCTTCCTGGAAGCTTCTAGTATCTTCCCTTTGTCCTTCGTATAATAAAATTTTATCATACAACAAAAAAGCTATAAAAAGAAACATTCAGAGAACAAGAAAGTATTGAACATTAAAAATTGTAGAACATGAATAAAAATTCCTACCGAAGTGTTGGATGACAAATATTTAAAAATCTACAATAAAGGTCAGGCACAGTGGCTCACACCTGTAAATCCCAGCACTTTGGGAGACTGAGGCAGGTGGATCGCCTGAGATCAGGAGTTCAAGACCAACCTGACCAACAAGGTGAAACCCCGTCTCTACTAAAAATACAAAAATTAGTTGGGCATGGTAGTAGGTGCCTGTGATCCCAGCTACTCGGGAGGCTGAGAATAGCTTGAACTAGGGAGGCAGAAGTTGGAGTGAGCCAAGATCGCACCATCGCACTCCAGGCTGGGCAACAGAGCAAGACTCCATCTCAAAAACAACAACAACAACAATAACAAAACAATAAAACAGAGAGGAAAGGCAATCTGAGGACACTTCTGGTTGTGCTGACTTCTTTCATGTAACAGGCTTTCCTCAGCTGTCTGGAGATCCTGAGCTGTCTGTGTAATTTAAGGTCAGGACACTAACACACTGATTGGAGGCTCAATCGCTTGATGAGATCTATCAACTATGGGCTTTACCAGAGAGGAGTCATGGGGCATTCCCTTAAAGAACCTCCAATATCAGTATCTCTGGGGAAACCCACCAAAAAGAGAGACCTAAAAATTTCTCTAAACCCCTGCCTATAGAGTACAGGCCTGGCAGTCAGCATCCTGGAAGCTGAGTGTGAGAAGAAAACCAGGGGTCATTCAATATAGAAATGTTTATATAACCCCATTTTCAGTACAGCATCCCTGCTGTCTTTCATGCCTAGTGTTTCATCCTCTCTGAGAAAATATACTTTCTGCTTTTTCAAGCCTCATCTTTACCTCCACTTCCAGAAGTACCTGGAAGTGCCAATTTCCGAGCCTTTAGTGGTTCTTCAGTGTAAATCAGGTTGCTTCTCAGCAGACCAGAGAAAGCTGACTCCTAAGCCAGAGTGGGGAGAAGCAATCAGTTCCCACTTGTCCATGTGCTTTTCAACTCCCCAAATTTCCACGTTTTTGTTTCCTCTCCCTTTTTATGAGTTTACACATATCTATATTTTAAATCTTCTTACTTTCTGTTTACGCTCAGAACTGCACTAATATGCTAGTTGATGTATACATTCAATGTTTACGCTCAGAACTGCACTAATATGCTAGTTGATGTACACATTCAATCAGCCATCTATACCTAGAACCTAAGCTGGCTTTCAACCACCAAAGAAATCCATACTTCCCTTTTAGTTTCCTAAGACCAACCAAATACCCTTCCTATGGAACCATAAAAGAGAGAAAAGTTCCCACAATATCTCACTCTGGGCCGTAGTAGATGATAATAGCTATTGTTTGGGACTGCCCAGCTCCATTCCCTTTCTGTGGTTGGGCATATAATCCACAAATAATCAATCATAGCATCTCATTACCCAGGGCAGTGATTGGCTCAGGAGTGGACATATGATTCAACCAAGACCAATCAACATCCTTTCCTGGGACAAATATACAGATGTTGGGAAGAGCAACTGCAATATAAAAAGAGTTTCTAAGATGAAAAGTTGTTAATTTGGGGCTGCCAGGGGCTATCTTTTCAACACATAGAAAACGTCTATCTATAATGAGGAAAAAATAAAGCCAAGCAGAGATGTGTGAGAGAGAAAGTGCGTCCAAAAGAGAGGCAAAGAGAATGCTGATGGCATGCAAAGAGCAAAAACAGAAAGAGAAGGGGATCTGGAATAAGATGAAAAGAATTTTGTAGCATGGACATGGAGACTGGAAACAGATTTTTTAGAATGGGAAACAGGGGAAGAAGCACAAAACTAACAACATGAAAATAGATGAAAGTATAAAACTCACTGTAAAGGTAAAAATGTAGTCAAATTCAGAATACTCTAACACTGCAATGGTGGTGGATACATAATTTTTAACTCTAGTGTAAAAATTTAAACACAAAAGTATTAAAATAACTATAGCTACAATAATTTGTCAATGGGTATGTGACATATAAAGGTGTAAATTGTGACATTAATATAAAATATTGGGGGAAGAGAAGTTAAAAGTACAAAGCTTTTGTATGAAATGAAAGTTAAATTGTTATCAGCTTAAAACATAATGTCTTAACTATAATATGATTTAGGTAAGCCTTGTGGTAAACACACACACACACACACACACACACACACACACAAAAATCTGACATAGATACACAAAAGATAAAGAGAAGGGATTGCCCCTACAAAAAGTCATATCACATAGGAAGACAGCGAGAGAGAAAGAATGGAACAAAGGAAGTACAAAATAGTAAAAAAAAAAAAAAAAAAAAAAAAAAAAAATGGCAATATTAAAATCTTACCCATCAAAAATTAGTTTATATGTAAATGGATTAAGTTCTCTGATATAAAAATACAGAGTGGCTGAATGAATTGAAAAACAAGATTCAGATAAATTCTGCTTAAAAGAGACAGTTTAGCTTTAAGGACTCAAAGACCTGACTTAGGCTTTCAGTCCATGCCTGAAAGGGATAGAAAAATATATTTGATGAAAATGATAGTCATGAAGTCCTTGCCCATGCCTATGGCCTCAATGGTATTGCCTAGGTTTTCTTCTAGGGTTTTTATGGTTTTTAGGTCTGACATTTAAGTCTTTAATCCATCTTGAATTAATTTTTGTATAAGGTGTAAGGAAGGGATCCAGTTTCAGCTTTCTACATATGGCTAGCCAGTTTTCCCAGCATCATTTATTAAATAGGGAATCCTTTCCCCATTCTTGTTTTTGTGAGGTTTGTCAAAGATCAGATGGTTGTAGATGTGTGGTGTTATTTCTGAGGGCTCTGTTCTGTTCCATTGGTTTATATCTCTGTTTTGGTACCAGTACCATGCTGCTTTGGTTACTATAGTATAGTTTGAAGTCAGGTAGCGTGGTGCCTCCAGCTTTGTTCTTTTTGCTTAGGACTGTCTTGGCAATGAGGGCTCTTTTTTGGTTCCATCTGAACTTTAAAGTAGTTTTTTCCAATTCTGTGAAGAAAGTCATTGGTAGCCTGATGGGGATGGCATTGAATCTATAAATTACCTTGGGCAGTATGGCCATTTTCACGACACTGATTCTTCCTACCCATGAGCATAAAATGTTCTTCCATTTGTTTGTGTCCTCCTTTATTTCGTTGAGCAGTGGTTTGCAGTTCTCCTTGAAGAGGTCCTTCACATCCCTTGTAAGTTGGATTCCTAGGTATTTTATTCTCTTTGTAGCAACTGTGAATGGGAGTTCACTCATGATCTGGCTCTCTGTTTGTCTGTTATTGGTGTATAGGAATGCTTGTGATTCCTGCACATTGATTTTGTATCCTGAGACTTTGCTGAAGTTGCTTATCAGCTTAAGGAGATTTGGGGCTGAGACAATGGGGTTTTCTAAATATACAATCATGTCATCTGCAAACAGAGACAATTTGCCTTCCTCACTTCCTAACTGAATACCCTTTATTTCTTTCTCTTGCCTGATTGCCCTGGCCAGAACTTCCAACACTATGTTGAACAGGAGTGGTGCGAGAGGGCATCCTTGTCTTGTGCCGGTTTTCAAAGGGAATGCTTCCAGTTTTTGCCCATTCAGTATGATATTGGCTATGGGTCTGTCATAAATAGCTCTTACTATTTTGAGATACGTTCCATCAATACCTAGTTTATTGAGTTTTTAGCATGAAGGCTGTTGAATTTTGTCAAAGGCCTTTTCTGTGTCTACTGAGATAATCATGTGGTTTTTGTCATTGGTTCTGCTTCTGTGATGGATTACATTTATTGATTTGCATATGTTGAACCAGCCTTGCATCCCAATGATAAAGCTGACTTAATCGTGTGGATAAGCTTTTTGATGTGCTTCTAGATTCGGTTTGTCAATATTTTATTGAGGATTTTCACATGGATGTTCATCAGGGATATTGGTCTAAAATTCTCTTTTTTTGTTGTGTCTCTGCCAGGCTTTCGTATCAGGATGATGCTGGCCTCATAAAATGAGTTAGGGAGGATTCCCTCTTTTTCTATTGATTGGAATAGTTTCAGAAGGAATGGTACCAGCTCCTCTCTGTACCTCTGGTAAAATTTGGCTGTGAATCTATCTGGTCCTGGACTTTTCTTGGTTGGTAGGCTATTGAGTATTGCCTCAATTTCAGAGCCTGTTATTGGTCTATTCAGAGATTCAACTTCTTCCTGGTTTAGTCTTGGGAAGGTGTAGGTGTCCAGGAATTTATTCATTTCTTCTGGATTTTCTAATTTATTTGCATAGAGGTGTTTATAGTATCCTCTGATGGTAGTTTGTATTTCTGTGGGATCGGTGGTGATATCCTCTTTACCATTTTTTATTGCATCTATTTGATTCTTCTCTCTTTTCTTCTTTATTAGTCTCACTAGCGGTCTATCAACTTTGCTGATCTTTTCAAAAAACCAGCTCCTGGATTCATTGATTCATTCAAAGATTTAAAGTGTCGACTTTAAATCTTTCCTGCTTTCTCTTGTGGGCATTTAGTGCTATAAATTTCCCTCTACGCACTGCTTTAAATGTGTCCCTGAGATTCTGCTACGTTGTGTCTTTGTTCTCATTAGTTTCAAAGAACATCTTTATTTCTGCCTTCATTTAGTTATTTAGCCAGTAATCATTCAGGAGCAGGTTGTTCAGTTTCCATGTAGTTGTGCGGTTTTGAGTGAGTTTCTTAATCCTGAGTTCTAATTTGATTGCACTGTGGTATGAGAGACAGTTTGTTGTGATTTCTGTTCTTTTACATTTGCTGAGGAGTGCTTTACTTCCAACTATGTGGTCAATTTTGGAATAAGTGTGATGTGGTGCTCAGAAGAACGTATACTGTGTTGATTTTGGGTGGAGAGATCTGTAGATGTCTATTAGATCCGCTTGGTGCAAGGACTTCATGACTAAAACACCAAAAGCAATGGCAACAAAAGCCAAAATAGACAAATGGGACCTAATTAAACTAAAGAGCTTCTGTACAGCAAAAGAAACTACCATCAGAGTGAACAGGAACATACAGAATGGGAGAAAATTTTTGCAATCTATCCATCTGACAAAGGGCTAATATCCAGAATCTACAAAGAAGTTAAACAAATTTACAAGAAAAAAAAACTGCATCAAAAAGTGGGCAAAGGATATGAACAGACACTTCTCAAAAGAAGACATTTATGCAGCCAACAGACACATGAAAAAATGCTCATCATCACTAGTCATCAGAGAAATGCAGATCAAACCCACAATGAGATACCATCTCACACCAGTTAGAATGGTGATCATTAAAAAGTCAGGAAACAACAGATGCTGGAGAGGAATTGGAGAAATAGGAACGCTTTTACACTGTTGGTGGGAGTATAAACTAGTTCAACCATTGTGGAAGACAGTGTGACGATTCCTCAAGGATCTAGAACTAGAAATACCATTTGACCCAGCCATCCCATTACCGGGTATATACCCAAAGGATTATAAATCATGCTAATATAAAGACACATGCACACATATGTTTATTGTGGCACTATGCACAATAGCAAAGACTGGAAACCAACCCAAATGTCCACCAATGATAGACTGGATTAAGAAAATATGGCACATATACACCATGGAATACTATGTAGCCATAAAAAAGGATGAGTTCATGTCCTTTGCAGGGACATAGATGAATCTGGAAACCATCATTCTGAGCAAACTATCACAAGGACAGAAAACCAAACACTGCATGTTCTCACTCATAGGTGGGAACTGAACAATGAGAACACTTGGACACAGAGCGGGGAACATCACACACTAGGGCCTGTCCTAGGGTAGAAGAGTAGGGGAGGAATAGCATTAGGAGAAATACCTAATGTAAATAATGATTTAATGTGTGCAGCAAACCAACATGGCACATGTATACCTATGTAACAAACCTGCACATTGTGCACATGTACCCTAGAACTTAAAGTATAATTAAAAAAAAAAAGAAAATGATAAACAAAAAAGAGCCAGGGTGGCTATTTTTATATCAGACAAAATAGACTTTAAGTAAAAGAAAATGTCACAAGAGACAGAGAAGGTCATTATATAATGATAAAGTGGTTAATTCATCAAGAGGATATATGAATTGCAAATATATATGCATATTGGGTGCACATTGGAGCACCTATTAAATAAACCAAATATTAATGGTTATAGAGGGAGAAATAGACAACAATACAGTAATAGTAGAGGATTCCCATTTTCTTTCTTTCTTCCTTTTTTTTTTTTTTTTTGAGAGAGTCTTGCTCTCTCAAGGTGGGAGTGCAGTGGTATCATTTCAGCTTACTGCAACCTCTGTGTTCCAGGTTCAAAGGATTCTCATGCTTCAGCCTCCCAAGGAGCTGGGATTACAGGCATGCACCACAAGGCCCAGCTAATTTTTGTATTTTTAGTAGAGACAGGGTTTCTCTATGTTGGCCAGGCTGGTCTCGAACTCCTGGCCTCAAGTAATCCATCTGCCTCGGCCTCCCAAAGTGCTGGGATTACAGGCGTGAGCCACTGCACCAAGCCAGTACTCCCACTTTCAACAATTTATAGATAATCCAGACAGAAAATAAATAAGGGAACAGTGGACTTGGGGGGCTAATGGGCCTAACAGACATATACAGAACACTCCACCCAACAGCAGAAAAATAGAAATTCTTTTTAAGTGCACATGAAAAAACATCCAGGACAAATCATATGTTAGGCTACAAAACAAGTTTTAACATATTAGAAAAGACTGAAATCATATCGATTTTCTTTTCCAACAAAATGGTATAAAACTGGAACTCAAGAACAGGGGGACAGTTGGAAAATTCACAAATATGTAGGAATTAAACAACACACATCTAAACAATCAACAGGTCAAAGAAGATGTCAAAAGGGAAAACAAAAAAAATCTTGAGATGAATGAAAATGAAAAAATAGCATATCAAAACTATATGGCATGCAGCTAAAACAGTTCTAAGAGGACAATTTATAGTGACCAACACCTACATAAAGAGAAAACATCTCAAATAAGCAACCTAACTTTACACTTTAAGGAATTAGAAAAAAAAGAGCAAACTAAGGCCCAGGTCAGCAGAAAGAAGGAATTAAAAATCAAAACAGAAACAAATAAATGAAAATAAAGACTAGGAAAATAATAGAAAACATTAAGGAAATTAAGACGTGTGTGTGTGTGTTTTTAAGAGATAAGCAGAATTGAGAAACCATTAGATAGACTAAGTAAAAAAAGAAAACTTTCAGATAAAAAAATCCTTAAAATTAATAAAATTATAAATGAAAGAGGAAACATTACAACTGATATGACAGAAATATAAAAGATTTCTAGAGATACTATGAACAATTATATGTCAACAAATTGGATAGCCTAGAGAAACAGATAAATTCCTAAAAACATACAACCTACCAAGACTGAATCATGAAAAAACAGAAAATCCAAACAGACCAATAATGAGTAAGGAAATTAATCAGTAATCAAAAATCTCCCAATAAAGACAAGCCCAGTAACTGACGGTTTTACTGGTGCACTCTACCAAACATTTAAGGAAGAATTAACACCAGTCCTTATCAAATTTTTATCTGAAAAACTGAATAGGAGGAAGCACTTCCAAATTCACTTTATTAGGCCAGCATTACCCTGATATTAAAGCCAGACATTATAAGAAGACTACTAATCAATATCCCTAATGAACATAGGTGTAAAAATCTTCCACAAAATACCAGCAAACTGAATTTACCAGTACATTAAAAGGATCATACATTATGATTGAGCAGGATTTATTCTTTGAATGAAAGGATGATTCAACATTCAACATACACAAATCAATAAATGGGAACCCACATTAGCAGAATAGAGGATATAAAACATATGATTATCGGCCGGGCGCGGTGGCTCACGCCTGTAATCCCAGCACTTTGGGAGGCCGAGGCGGGCGGATCACGAGGTCAGGAGATCGAGACCATCCCGGCTAAAATGGTGAAACCCCGTCTCTACTAAAAATACAAAAAATTAGCCGGGCGTAGTGGCGGGCGCCTGTAGTCCCAGCTACTTGGGAGGCTGAGGCAGGAGAATGGCGTGAACCCGGGAGGCGGAGCTTGCAGTGAGCCGAGATCCCGCCACTGCACTCCAGCCTGGGCGACAGAGCGAGACTCCGTCTGAAAAAAAAAAAAAAAAAAAAAAAAAAAAAAAAACATATGATTATCACAACAGATGCTAGAAAAAAAACTGACAAAATTCAACATCATTTCATGATAAAAACTCTCAACAAGTAACAACCATATACGACAAACCCACAGCTAACATGACACTCAACTGTGAAAAGTGGAAAGCTTTTCATCTAAGATCAGGAACAAGACAGGGTGCCCATTTGTATCACTTCCATTCAATCTAATACTGGAAATACTACTAAGAGCAATTAGGTAAGAAAAAGAAATAAATGGCATCCAAAGAGGAGAGAAGAAAGAAATTGTTTATGTTTGCTGATGATATGATCTTGTATATAGAAAACCCTAAACATGCCACCAAAAAACTGTTAAAACTAACAAATTCAGTGAAGTTGCAAGATACAAAATCTACATACAAAAATCAGTAGCAACTATATATACTAACAAGAAAGTACCTAAAAACAGAAATAAACAATTCAATTTACAATAGCATCAAAAATAAAATAATAAATTTAACCAAGGAGGTGAAAACACTGACAAAAAATTGAAGATGATATAAGTAAATGAAAAAATATATTTATGAATTGGAAGAATCAATATTGTTAAAATGGCCACATAATCAAAAGTAATCTACAGTTTGAATGCAATTCCTATCAAAATTCCAATGTCATTCTTCACAGAAAAAGTAAAAATAATCTTACAATTGGTATGAAGCCACAAAATAACACCAAATAGCCAAAGCAATCATGAGTGAGAAGAAAAAAGCTGGAAGCTTCCATATTGTTTAGAAGTTAGAAATGAAACAAAACAAAAAACAAAGTTGAAGGCATCACACTACCTGATCTCAAAAATATATTAGAAAGCTACGGTAATTAAAACAACATGGTACTGGCAGAAAAACAGAAACATAGAACAATGGAACAGAATAGACAGTCCAGAAATATATCCATATGTTTACAGCCAATCTTCAACAAAGGTATTAAGAATACACAATGGGGAAAACATAGTCTCTTCTTCAATAAATGGTATTGGTAAAACTGTATATCAATATGGAAAAGAATAAAATTGGATTATACCATATACAATAATAAACTCAAAATAAATTACTCAAATATAAGACCTGGAAATGCAAAATGACTAGAACATAGGAGAAAAGCTTCTTGACATTGGTGTGGGTAATGATATTTTGGATATGACACCAAAAGCACAGGCAGCAGAAACAAAAATAGACAAATAGGATTATATCAAGCTAAAAAGCTTCTTCACAGCAAAGGAAACAGTTAACAGAAGAGACAACCTACAGAATAGGAGAAAATATTTGCAAGCCGAATATTTGATAAAGGGTTAATTTCCAAAATATATGAAGAACTCAACTCAATAGCAAAAAACAAACAAAAAACAACCAAATAACTTTATTAAAAAACAGGCAAAGGGACCAGCTGCAGTGGCTCACATCTGTAATCCCAGCACTTTAGGAGGGCAAAACAGCAGGATCTGTTGAGCCCAGGAGTCTGACACCAGACTGAGCAAAATGATGAGAAACTGTCTTTTCAAAAAAAGAAAGAAAAAAATATTAGCTGGGTGTGGTGGAGCACGACTGTGGTCCCAGCTTCTCAGGAAGCTGAGGTGGAAGGATCACTTGAGCCTGGGAGGTCAAGACTGCAGTGAGCCAGGATTGTGCCACTGCAGTGCAGCCTGGTTGACAGAACAAGACCCTGTCTCACATATGTAAACACATGGATATATGTCTCAACATAA
Organism: Homo sapiens; assembly: GCF_000001405.40. Lineage (NCBI taxonomy): Eukaryota > Metazoa > Chordata > Mammalia > Primates > Hominidae > Homo > Homo sapiens. The sequence continues at coordinate 28,630,926 of NC_000019.10, forward strand.
AACAAACAAAAATCGGCAAAGGACCCAATAGACATAAAAATGGCCAACAGGTATATGAAAAAATGTTCAACATCACTAGTCATCGGGAAAATGAAAATTAAAACCACAGTGAGACACTACCTCACACTTGTTAGAATCGCTATTATCAAAAAGACAAAAAATTAGTATTGGCGAGAATGCCGAGAAAAAGGAATCCCTGTACTTTGTTGGCAGAAATGTAAATTAATACAGCCACTTTGTAAAACAGTAGTGACATTCCTAAAAAAAATAAGAATAGAACTACCATAGGATCCAGTTGTCTCACTTCCAAGTATTGTGAAAGTTGATTATAAAAATTGGGTCATTCTACTGAATGAAAACAGAGTTGAGAAGCCAGAGGGGGAAAACACTCAGGGTACATAACACCGCTCCAAGAATATAATTATTTGCAAGCCTGGCTGTGAAATTGCCTGTAGTAACCTGAAGCCAGTTTTATCTAATAGCTACTGACACAACCTGCTGCAAATCTAGGACTAGTTTTACCATCACCACCACTCACCAATCAGAGCTTTCTTGCTCCCCAGAACTTTACAAGTGCCACGAACTTTCTTGAAAAACAAATACATAACATTTCTCCTTGTTATAAAACTTCCGACCTTCTCTTTGTTCTTTGGATACACCAAAGACCACCCAGTCTGTGTATATCTTCCCAATTGCAATTTTTCCTAAACAAAACATGTTCATGTCAGAGATTCATCTCTATAGTTTATTTGACTTCAACAGTATATATCAAAAGGAAATGAAATTGGTATGTCAATAAAACATGTGCACTCTCATGTTCTTTGCAGCAGTATTCACAATAATCATGATATGGCATCAATCTAAGTGTCCATCAGTGGATGAGTGGATAGAGCACATGTGAGATTGAGATATATATATATATATACACACACACACACACACACACATATATATATACACACACATATATATACACACACACACATACATTTATGTATAATGGAATACTATTCAGCTTTTAAAAAAGGATAATTCTGTCACTTGTGAGAACATGGATGAACCTAGAGGAAGTTACGTTAAGTGAGATAAGCCAGGCACAGAAAGACAACTACCATGCGATTTCACTCAAATGAGGAATCAAAAAAGTTGTTGAGGTTTTAGTTCAAAATGGCTGACTAGAAGCAGCAAGCCCATGCCTCTCTCACAGACAGGAACCACAATGGCAAGTAAATCCTCACACTTCACATAGATCATCTTAAGAGAGCATGCTCGGATTCACCAGAGAACCAATGGGACCCAAGGAAAGCAGGGAACAGTGGAGCCAGGCAGCCTGCGGAGCTGGGACGGTGTGGAGTGAAGAGAGGCTCTTACTCCAAGGAAGGGGTGAATGAGGTGAGAGGCTCCGGGACCCACCTCTCCATCACAGACTTTTACAATCCTAGCCACAGGAGAGCCCCCATAATCCTCCTTAGGCCTCCAGCTGAACACAGAGCCACCCAGAAACTTTGCAGAGGCACCGCTCAAGCCCACCTGGAATCCCACAGTCAGCCTGGTGCCAGCTGCCATGCCAAGGAGGGAGGCGAGGCTCTTTGCACACCCCCAGGAGAGACAGCACAGCTGCTGTGCAGAGGAGCTGCCAGACCACACACCACACTACTCCCGGCCTCGGCTGCTTCCTGCGAAATGGGGCTTACCTGTTGCAGGCCCCCTGTACAGTTGACCCACCCCTGCAGAAACACTGGCCTTGGCTAGGTGTTTCTCTGAGACCCCGACTCCCAGGCCAGGGAGAGAGTGAGGAGGCCTGGGACCTCTGCATGACCCCAAGAACAAAATCCAGAACTGCTTCTGCAGGAGCAAAGTGTGAGTAGGTCATGTGCCCCCCAGGTGCCAATCTCCAGTGCCCTGAGGGGCCCTCCCTTCCCCCAGTGAAAGGCCACCTGGCTCCTGCCTGAGCATTTCCGCTGCAACCACAGCTCTTCTGAGAGCCCAGTCCCCACAGGCCTGTGCTGCCCTCAGGCTCCCACCACCTGGGCCTTCTGTCTGTCCCCTGCCTGAGGGTTCTATCAGCCTCTCAGGGACCAGCCAGCCCCTTCCCCATCACAGCCAGCTCCTGAAGTCTAGGGTGCCCCAACCCCAGTCCAGCCCCTTAACCCATTTATGCCTGAGGTTGCAATTTTTTAAATTTTTCCAATCAGACCTTGGCGATGATCTTGAGCAGTGGGATATAAATAAGTCCCACATGCTTAGTATTCCAGTAATGGAACACTAGGCATAAATGGGTTTTAAGGACCCATACTCTCTGTCCGGTAGGCCGTCTAAGGGCCTGAGAACTGGGGCGCTATGTAGACCAATCCAACAGTGCTGGCACCTAACCACTTTTCCCAGGGCCTGAGGTCAGGCCAGCCCAACCAGTTGACACCACCACAACTGATACCCATCCACAGGGGCTGAAAGGCAGAGTGTATCCCCTGGCCCTGACAATGCAACATCATTACCACATCAAAGGAAAGAGAGCCATACGCTGAAAAGGTTCTGCCCCAAAACCACTCCTGTGGAGAGTCTCAAGACAGGTGTGTTCCACAGCTCTCAACCCACTGTGGCTTGGATGTAGACAACAGTGAGGATCTGAACTGAGAGTCACGAGTTCCAGGACTGGTGTGATTGGGAATAGATCACTTTCCTGCCTATCTAGCGCATGGAGCTAGTGCAGCCCCTTCACCCGATGTAGAGACCTCAGCACATGTCACTGGGAGCTCCCAAAGCCATCTCCACAAGGCTTGGTGCCTATACTTGGCATTGGAGTATTTGTGGGCAAGCCAGGGGGTCCAGCTCTGCCCAGCTCTACCCACTCCCTGCTGAACAGAAAACTCAGGGCACCAGGCACTTCACTGTCCAGCCCATCACCAGAAGCAACAGAGAGCACCTCCCAGTAAACAAAGACCAAGTACCTACCCATCTGCTGTGCCACAAGCTGGCTCTTACCCGTCAGCGCCATCTACTGGCCTGCAGGTTGAACTGCACAGCCAAATATAAAGCCTGGCCAATGGAAGTGCGTGGGCTATAGAAGCAAAGCTTTAGCAACACAACGTACTCCACAGTCACTCCCTAGGGAAAGGGAGGGATGGAGAAAGAAAAAACAAATAAGAAAAAAAAAATCCCATCTGAACAAAAATAAATTCAAAAATAAGAGTGGTTTTCTGTGAGCAGCTGCTCCAGATGAGAAAGAATCAGCATAAGAATTCTGGCATCATGAAAAAATCTGAATGTTGTGACATGACTAAAGGATCATATTAGCTCTCTAGAAATATACCCTAACCAAAATGGAAACTGAGAACTGACAAAGAGTTCAAAGTATAAATTGCAAGGAAATTAAATGAGATTGAAGACAAGGTTGAAAACCAACACAAGAAACTATAAAAACAATCCAGGAAATGATGGGAAAGATAAATATATTTTAAAAAATGCAAAAGGACTTCTTGAAATAAAAAGCCTACTTAAGACATTTGAAAATATAGTTGAAAGCTTTAACAATGGATTACACCAGCAGAAGAAAGAATTTCAGAGCTTGAAGACTGATCATTGAAACTAATTTGTCAAAAGTAAAAATAATTTTGAAAACCAAAGCCAGAGAAACCATATTTCTCTGGTGAGAAATATGAATTATCTAAAGCAATAAAACCTATGACTTATTAGCATTCCTGAAAGAGAAAAAGTAAGCCACTGGAAAACATATTTGAAAATAACTCAAGAAAATTTTCTTAATTTTGCTGGAGAGTTGAACATCCAGATACAAAAAATTCAGAGAACATCTGTGGGATTCTATACAAGATGAACATCACCAAGGCATATGGTCTTCAGACTATGCTAAGTGAATGCTGAAGAAATAAAAAATATTAAAGGCAGCTACAGCAAAAACTCAAATCACCTAGAAAGGAAAATTGATCAAACACTGGACTTCTCAGCAGAAACCCTAGAAGCAAGAATAGATTGGAGGCCTATTTTTAGCCTCTTTAAATAAATGCAAACCAAGAATTTTACATTCTGCCATACTAAGCTTCATAAATGAAGAAGAAATAAAGTCTTCCCCAGACAAGCAAACACTAAGAGAATTTGTCACCACTAGACAGATCCTACAATACATGCTCAAAGGCGTTCTAAATATGGAAATGAAAGTACTATACTCACCATCAGAAAAAGATACCAAAGTACAAAGCTCACAGATCCTATAAAGCAATTACACAATTGAAACTCCAAAACAACTAGTTAATAACACAATGACAGGAGCAAAACCTCACATATCAACATTAACTTTCAATGTAAATGACCTAAATTGTACACTTAAAAGATACAGAGTGGCAAATTGGGTTATAAAAAAAATAAGATGCAACCATCTGCTGTCTAAAAAAGACCCACCTACTGGCTAAAGACACATTCAGACTCAAAGTAAAAGGGTAGAAAATGAGATCATGCAAATATCATGCAAACAGACACTAGAAACTCTTAAAAGGAAGGAGGGTGGAAGGGGAGTGAGGACTAAAATATTACCTGTTGGATACGGTGTTCAATATTTGGGTGATGGAAACACTAGAAGCCCAATTTCTATCATTATGCAGGCAATACCCTTGTAACAAACAAGCACATATACCACCAGTGTCAAAAATTAAAATTTTTTTAAATGAAATAAAATTTCAAACTCACAAAAGCAAAGAATGGTGTTTGCCAGGTACTGGGGATGGGGGAGCAAAATGAGATGTTGCTCAAAGTAAACAAAGTTTGGTAGACAGCATGAGTAAGTTCTGCAGATCTATTGCACCGAATGTACAATAATAATGTATACTTGGAAACTGCTAAGAGAATAGATCTTAAATGTTCTCACTGCAAAAAATGTGCTAGCTTGATTTAATATTTTCACAATGTATACTGTATCAAAACATCACATTGTACACTGTAAAGATATATAATTTTATTTGTCAATTATACCTTAATAAAATTGGCAGGGAGGGATGGGTGCAAGAAATAAAGGATATGAGCAAGAAATGAAAGGCATCTGTGCTGGGCTCGACTTTTCCAATGTATTCACTTGACACATCGGTGACAGTCTCATGTTCTGACTTTTCTGACACTGTAGTCTGGAAAAAACTATCCCCTATATGCAACACAGCCATTAAAACACACACACAGACACACATACACACACACACACACGCAGAGGAACTTAATACAGTAATATTCAATATCACCAACTTTGCCTGTTACCATGGTAACCAGCAGCATTAAGTCCTGCTGCTAAAATTTCAAGAGCAGATGACATGAACTATTTATGTATAATTGCATTTTATAAAGAGAAAGAACTTGTCTTTCATATAAAATATGACTCAGTCTCAGATGAGATGGGTGATTATATCACATTGCCGTCAGAACAAATGTAGCAAGTCCCTTGTCTCCACGCCCTCTACCCCAGTGCATGTTACTTCCATATGCAAGTGGAAAGCAAGATGGCAAACAAGGGTTAGCCTCCCACAGAAAGTGCCTGCCCTGATTTGAGCTGGCGTCACTGCAAAGACGCTCAGGGTTCAAGTATTCACTTCTCCAAATTGAGTTAAGGGGTTCTTTTTCATTTCTACTCTTACAAGCTTGTGCACCTGCTGTCTGTCCCCTGTGGTTGGCTTGTCTTGAGCCACAGCCACTTGTATAAGTCATCAGCATGGAGTGGACATAGACCAGGTCAAAAGCCTTCATCTTGTAGATAGAGATTGAGAGGGGTCATAACTAGATGTTTCTGGAGACAGGGTTGTGCTCAGTAGTGGCATCCATTCGCCAGCAATAGCACAGGCCTAAACTAGTTCAGCATTGGATCATGTTGATTTTTCCCTCATCCGGGGATTTTCTGCAGACATTCTAATGTCAATTTCGCAGACCATCATCCTTCCTGAGCCAAGCTATCAAGGAACAAAAAGAGTAGGTGTTACCTATGTGGTGACAGCTCCCACCCTTGAGCACTGAGCCTTGTTCCTGAGCATTGCAGCACTGTTCACAGCCAAGTGAACCGTCTTCAAGAAGCCTTCGTCACTCATGTGTTCAGGACCAGGAAAAAAGCTTATTCAATAACTAAGTAAGGTTATGTGATTATCTCTTTAATCATATCTTTAATAAGTTTTCTGGGAATGGTAGAGGTTTTAAATGAGAACGTATTCAACCAAATAACGTTGAGCTCCTTAAGGGAAGAAACAAATTCCATGTTTTATTCAAGGTGTGATTCCAATTCTGGGTACAGAGACCCCCACAAAAACGGCTCTGCTCTAATGTTTGTGGGATGGGTGGGAAGATGGACAACGCATGGATGAAAATTCCCAAACAGGAAAATATATCTTGAATGAAAGAATGAACGAAAATACTGGTTTTAGAAAGGAGGGACGGATGGAGAGATTATCAGGGCAGGGAAGATCCCGAAGGAAATGAGCAGGCTTTGCTGAAAGAGTTTCTTGGGCATGGGAAAGACCCAGATGGGGTTGGCCTGCCATTTACCCCTCTGCAGGAAATTCCTCCAGGCCACACCCCACCTTCTCTGATTTTCTCAGCTGCCGAACCTTGATTGAGCTGTGTTCCCTGTTACAATGCCAGAATTGAAAAAGAGAAAACAAATGAGAAAATAAATCACGATAATTTCCCCTGCCTTAACAAGACACTTGCATTCACGTACTGTGTGCCTAAGAAGGGCAGTTACCAGTGCAGTTCTGTAGTGAAAAGGTTTCTTGAGCCAGAGAAAGACCCAGAAATGGATCCTTGGTGGCCATCTGGACAAAGCCCTTAATCAGTCACCTATGATGCCCACTTGCTAGTCCTGCATCCAGGTTCATGGGAAGTCTGCAGCCATGACAGGCTCTGCCTGGGGTTGGCCCTCCACCAAAGAGCCTCCGGTCCCTGCCTCTTGGGGCACAGACCCCTACTGCCCCCAGCCTACTGACCTGCCCCAGGCCCCTGCAGTCTTTATCATCACCGCATCGTGCAGTTTGGGTGGCATCTGGTTCTAAAATGTTCCCAGGCTTCTGCCTTGCTTCTCAGGTGCACCAGTCTTTTCACACATGGGTGGGCTTCTCTGAAGCTGCTGCAGTTACTCCCAGTGGCCAAATCATTTCTTACTTCCCTTAATAAACAAGGCAACAGGGTTTTGATGAAAGAGTTTCTTCTTTGGAGGGCAGAACAGCTTCCTTGCCTTGATTAAAATGTTTGCCAGCTGTTTCTCATTCTGGTCTCAAGGTGGCTTAAATCTTCAGGAAAGTCAGACACTTCACTCACTGGTAATTATTTTTCCTTATTAAAAATCTATTTGCCTCCATGTGACCAACATGCTACTCTCCATCATGATGTTGAGCCATTCCCACCTCTTCCATCCATCTCCACTCCAATTTGGTTTTATCATCTGATCCCACCAGGTAAGAGAAAGCAATTAGCCCTCTGCCCTTGAAGTTTGACCCCGACAAGATTAATCCGGTTCCTCGGAGTGTCTGAGGACCTGGTGAAAACAAGCAGGGCCTTTTGTCAGGTCTCTCCTCACACCTGTGAAGGTCTCTGTTCATGACTATGGGGCATGACAGCATTCACAGCACAAAACACTTCATCAACATTCTAAGTATACCCTTGCAGCTCAAAATTGTCAGCACTTGAAGGTTTTCCTCTTCAGAGATGGTCTTATCACAACAGCACTGTGTGGTCATTCTCCTGAGTGCTGCTGCCCTGCAGATAGGTCCAAAGCCCAACTTGCAGAGTCACTTCTTCACGTTGCGGCCCAAGATGCACAGGACTTCTGAGGTGCTGAGGTTGAGGAAAGACCGGATACAAGAACACCTCAAGAATTTTGTACCCAGAGGGCAGAGCCCAGACATAAATGTTTTAAAAGAAAGACGATTTTCCATGATCTTGGAAATTTCTAGGTCAGACTGCTTTCACACCTATTTTGGAAAAGGGGCCTACTCCATCCCTGCATCAACCATAGCAAAGAAAGTCAACAAAGACCAAAAATATATCTGAATGAATGGGTTTTCATTCATTCTTTCAACAATTTATTGGTTGATTACTCTGCATCAGGCAAGGTTCTAGATGAAGGCACTAGAGCCTCTATTTAATCTGAATTTATCTTTTCAATACATGAGCCAAATTCTGCTGACTGGGAAGCACTAATGAGACAATTAAACAGAAGTCTAATCTAGAGTGACTGGGGCGGTGCTGGTTCACTTTGTTTAATCAGGGCAGGCTCTTTAAGGAAGCCCTTGAAGGCATACATGGGAGAGCCTGCTCTCCCTTGCTGGGCCTGGCCACCTCTACCCCATCCTCCTCTAAAAACAGCGTTTTCAAGATCAAAGAGGCTAAACTGACACCACTGTCAAAATCTAATTAAAACCTCTCTTCTTCTAGTAAAGATGTTAACACTGGATAAAGCAGATCTTCATCCCCAACAAAAAAAGAACTTGTTTTAATTAAACATCCAATTTTAAGTTGGTTTTATTGCTATTGTTGTGTTTTTGTTTCCATTTGTGCCAGACAGAGGACAGGAAGACTGTAATCTCTTACAAAACATACGAACATATGTCCTAGATGGCAAGATCCCTAGGCATCTTCCTCTGAAGTCCTCAGTCGCACTCTCACTCACAGACATCTGCTGGGGTGGAGGGACTGTCAAAAACTTTTTCAGGTAATCTGGTGAGATGTATTCAAAGACTTAAAAGTGTATCTTTTTTTTTTTTTGCACTTGTCTTTAATTATTTCCTTAATCTCTGGAAATGGAATTTATCTGCAGTGAGGTTCATTATAGTGCCATTTGCAAAGCTGAAAGGCTGGCAACAACCTAACTGTCCAGCCACAGGGGATAATGACGCATTCATCTACTGGGGCATGGGGCACGAGCCCATGAGAAGGTGACATGATTTACAAGAAATCTAGAATGTGCTGTTGAGTGAAATGGTATGGACCAGTATGATCGCATTGTCATTGATTTTTACCTGTACATTCATAAGCTCGAAGAAATCCAGACAGTTAAATCTCAAAATATTCAGAGGAGTGACATTGTGGAAGATTTTTATTTTCTCAGCAACATTTTCTTATTTTACAAACATCACATATATGACTTGAGTAATTTTTTAAAGTTAATGTTTAAAAGAGAACAAAATAGTTGCCCAGAGTAACCCTGTCTTTTAAGTATACCTCCTACCCCAAAGTGGGCAGTAACTGGCTTGTCTGGCACCCATGGGTGATCTTGTCTAAGCTTGCTGCCCTGTTCTTAGGGTCGGGGGCTACCTGGGTATTAACTTGAGTCTGTGGATTGCTGTGAAGTCATTGAGAAGGAACACAGGCCCTCCCAGAGTGCAGGCACACTTGACCATGCAGTGCCCACCCTGCCAGGACTCATGGGAGAACCAGCCATTCTGCTCAGCTCCCGGTTAGTCAGTCCCTTCCCCGCTCAATGTTTCCAAGCACCCACCCTCAGTGCATTTACTGAGAGTCCCCTGACCATCAGACAAGGACTGTCCACAGGCCGTGAGGGAGGGAGGGGCATCACCGAGGCTGCTGGGCCTGCTTTCACATTGCCTGTCCGTGGCATGGAGGTTCCTCCCTCCCTGATCCACCCCTTGTTCCCCTGCCCATGTGAACGCTGGGATTGGGCCTGAGAAAGAAGGAAAATTGCTTCGGCTTCCAAGACTAGCCTTTCTCATGTTTGTCTTGAGTGTATTTCTGAGCAGAAAAACAAGCTTCACAAACCTCATGACTCACCTTCATGTTTTCTGTATGCTTCCCTCTCCCCTGCCTTGTCTCACTGATCCCTTGAGGCTCTCCCTCCCCAGCCCACATTTACTCCATAGCTTCCAGTAGAGTTTTTCAGGTTCCCTGCAAAGTGCAAATATACACACAATTCTGTGAGTCAGGCAGTATCTTAAAGAGGTTCCATCACACCCGAAGGTTTGGAGTCACTAGCCTGTTTGTGACATGTCTTCAAGGATGAACGAAAGATTTGAACTCTTCAGCCTTAAAATAATAAATAAAACCTGAAAATGAAAAACCTCACCAAATTAAGCTTCTGCCCATTTTAGAAAACAAGGGCAACCACGGAGGAGATGACTCAGTTCTTAAAGACAAGGTTACCCAAATGGGTGCATTGTGGGATCCAAGAAGGATGCTTCTGAGCTTGTTGAGCTCAGCATCAGCACAGACATCTAGCTAGTCCGAGAACTCAGATAGGGACCAGGCTCTGTCCTGGTGGGTTAAATCTTAAATCTCTATGTAGCCCATTACTATCAGCAAATGGATCTTTATTTAAGCTCTGATCTTGTATTGTGTGTATATCCTTCTCCCCAGCTCTGAGCTCTCTGAGAGGACAGCCTACAGTTTTTCCATTTCTATCTCCAGGGCCTACTCCCAAAAGATGAACCTTCAACTGTCTACATTGCACGTCTGGGCCTTCAGCATCGCTGATGCGCCAGCTGGCACCAGCTTCAGCAGCCCAGCGCATCTGCTGTGCTTGCATCTGCCATGTCATCGTGGGGTCCTGGGCCCCTGAATGCAGCAGGCCAGCTTATGTGGTCCCATCCTCTGCATCTCTGTCTGCCTCTGCAGTGCAGACGGCTCTGAAGTCACACCAGCCTAACTTCCAGGCCCAGACCTCAGGGGGAGCCAGATTGCCATATCATTCCTGTATCCAGATCCAGATTTTTCCTGCTGCCTCTGTTCTTCCTAGGCCGCCCCTGTTATTCAGGCCATCTCGTCCCACTGCCAACATGAGCACCAAGAACTACATCATTCCATTGCTTTCAGCATTCCCTCCATCAATGGTGGCACCGTACACAGCTGTGTCTGTGTAAAACAAGAGTTCCCCTGCCTGAAGTATGTGGGGGGCCCTTTGCTGAAATATTTTAGCTCAGATTCTTTTAGAAGAAGTTTCACTCTTTTCCATGAGGACTTTTCTTTCATCCTCAGGCATCAAATGCCCGTTAGAAAGTTCTCAGTTTTGCCTGCATGTCAATGTTTCTAAACAGTCTCATTTTTATTCCTGTTGTTGTGAAATAAATGCCTTAATGTCCCCCTTGCCCATACTGACTGTTACAATCTGCCTGGCCATGCCTCGACCTTCCCAGATACCATGCACCTGTCCCCCTTGCCCATACTGACTGTTGCAATCTGCCTGGCCATGCCTCAACCTTCCCAGATACCATGCACCTGTCCTACGCCATAATTAAAATTTACTGCAATCTTAGCTTTGTCATCTGGACCGTGCCATATAAAAAGAAAGGCACAACCTCAGAATGTTTTTCCTTCTAAATTGCTGTAAAATTATGAGTTATGTCAACTACAATAAAACTTCAATTATTCAGATGCACTAGGGGAACATGACCAAATTTTGAATGAGTGAAGCAGCTTTACAAAAAAGCAGAAGGTGCGTAAGGAAAGAAGCGAGATTTCAGAGCTTCTCATTTCTGCTACAGGACAATCAGCCTCGCGCTGCAGCAGAGGACACAAGGAACCCACCTCGGAGTAAATCAGAGAGCACACCACAAATCAGCTCCCCTGATAGGGTAAGGTGGAAATACACTACTGGAGGGAGGCCTCTCTCCTGTGCCCATGTGAGATGTTGGCTATAAACCCCATCCTGGCCAGAGCAGTGATTTTCCACTAGGCAAATTTAAATGTGTGTTATTGTCTAGTATGTGAGATAACAAAATTGAAGATAAACTTTCACTCACCAAAAACTTGCCATATCTCAAGTAGAGTGTCCTCCCTCTTTCTTGCCCACATCTCACCTTCATTCTAGTCATGGGTGCTTATAAACCCTATTCTGTTAGAGACAGAAAGGGTTAACAAGCACCATGAGCCAACACAAGTTCAAGATATCATATACTTTTGATTGTCTGTTTTGAAAACGTTTATGCCGAGGGAAATGTTAAAGCAGGTGTCCGAATTAGAACAAGTGTCCATGTAATACAAGAAGATGGATTTTGGCTACCAAGAGCCACAAGAGCAGAGACGGAACCAAAGGCAAGATGACGTGTCATGAGTTACAAGGAAGCAGAAGGCAAGCCACCCACATCTCCTTTAGTTCTTTAGGCATTTAATCAGCTAGAAAAGCTGGTGCCTGCTGCTCCACTCCCAGTGGCCTATCCATTATCACTAAAATAATAATGACAAATTGAGAAAGGCACAGAGGACAGGCAAATGTGAAGCCAAGTGTTGAAGACGGCAACAGGAGGTGACAGCCAGCAGCCCTCAAACACCAGAAGGAGCCAGTGTCGGCCTTGGGGGCCTCCTCCTCTGGAGAGCAAAGCCAGCTGTCTACATTCATAGCCCACCAGAAAGGGCAGATGAGACAAGGAGGGCTGCAGGACAGTGACAAAGAATTCAACCCCGGAGCTGCATCAGCCCTAAAGCAGCCTTGCCTCATTTCTGCCTGAGTAAGAGCAAGCCCTGGAATCACAGTGAAGGGATTACATTAGACAGGACCTACGTTAGACAGGAGCAGGGGCTCTGACACCTGGGCTTAGCTGGGAGCTAAGGGGGAGCTGCCCTCTGCAGGCTGGCTCACCAGACTCACCTGCAGAGTTGGCCACTCAAATGGCTATCTAGAGCCCAGCCTCCGCAGCTGTCCAGCAGTCCCCTGCTTTTGGGTTGCAGACTCTAGCACCCAAATTCCAGAATCCTCTCTTGTCTCATGAGCTCATAGGTTAAGGTACAGCCTGGTTTATTATCCTGCACAAAATCCTAATGACTTAAATTAAACAACAACAACAACAACAAAAAACAGAAAGGCCCACCAAGCACCCAGAACTCCCTGGAGCTCCAGCTTCTTATGTCCTAAATATCAAAACATCATCTTGTGACTTCATTATTCTCTGTGTTTCCATTCTTTCTATAATTCCCTTCCCAACAACCTTCACCCAGGTAACTCCTGCTACTCCTGCTCTTCTGCAGAGACCACCTTGCATACCACCCCTCCTCTCCCGTTACATTAGAGGCCCAGTTGAGCATTTTATTTTACCTTTGGGACATTTATTCCTTTATTCACTCAGCAAATATTTATTGTGCATCTACTAGTCATAGGCACAGAGCTAGACAATGGGGATTCTGCCATGACCAAGAAAGAAACAAACAGTCCATGTCTTCTTGGAGCTTGCCATCTAAAGGGGAAGACATCATTAACAAGACAAAACAAACATCGTATGATAGCATATGATGCTAGATAGCATATTAAATGCTAGATAGAAATTAAATGCTAGATAGCATATTAAATGCTAGATAGAAACAGCACACTGAGCTATGAGAAAACAGCACATGCTGGACCTGAGGTGAGGCCACTACAACTGAAGCACTACTGTAAACTTACACAGTTTTCCTTCCCAGTCCCACCACCTCCTGACAGGAAGCACTCTCCACAAGGCAGGGCCCCATGACCAGCAGCTCACACCACAGCACAGGGCACCAGGCACGATGAAGGGTCGGCGAGGGCAGGGGCTCTTCACCCAGAAGACTCTGAACTCTGGCTTTCCTTCACCTTCCTCTGCACCCAGTTGCACAATTTGTTCCTCATAATTAATCCATTTGACAAGTGAGAAAACTATTTTCAAAGTAAACAAAATAAATCAAAATGGTGCTAACTTCTCTCCCTAATGTCCTCCATCAATCATGGATGACTCGAGCTTTTTAAACAGAGAAACTGGGGCAGTGGAGGGAGTGAAAAAAGTTTTAAACTCAACTGTGCTCCCAACTCTATAACATTAAGATGCTGGAATTGATTTGTTGTTAAAAGGAGAGTTGCAAGTACTATCTATGCCTAGAAGGAGGAGGGAAAAAAATCAATAGTAAACCATGTAATTGGGAGAGGGGTGAAGTAGAAAAGGGTATATTCCCTACTGACTCAGAGAAAAACGCAACAAAGAGTCAAAACACCCTGATTTAATGCCTAACTTAAGGCTGCACAAGGCAGAGCGACAGTGCCAGGAAGATGTAGAAGAAGGAAGTGTTAACTTGAAATGACTCTCACCAGCCTCTAAGGGCAGGAGCTGAACTGTTTGCTGAAAACCAAAAATTCACAAAGGAATAGTGGGAAAAGAGGAAACAAGGATAGCATAGGTCCTCCAGAGAAAGACAGAAGACAGAGCAGCCAGCCTTCCAAATCGGAAGTCACATGCTCACCTCCACAGTGCCTGTAAACAACTTTTTTTTTTTAAGTTTTTATTTATTTAATTTTGAGACAGGGTCTTGCTCTGTCACCCAGGCTGGAGTGCAGTGGTGTAATCATAGCTCACTGCAGCCTGGAACTCCTGGGCTCAAGCAATCCTCCTGCTTCAGCCTCCTGAGTAGCTGGGACTATAGGCACATACCACCATACTAGGCTAATGTTTTAATTTTTTGTAGAGGGCGGGCTCTCTCTATGTTGCTCAGGGTGGTCTCAAACTCACGGCCTAAAGTGATTACCCCAACTCGGCCTCCCAAAGCATTGATATTACTGGCATGAGCTACCACACCTGGCTCTTTAATTTTTGTACAGTGTATTGCTATGTTGCCCAGACTCAACTTAAACTCCTGGCCTCAAGGTATGCTCCCACCTCAGTCTGTCAAGCGCTGGGATGACATTCATGAGCCACCACACCAAACTGCTTAAGGTTTTGCCATTCAAATTAAAAATAAAGGCAGGCACACTAGGATGGCTACAGTAAGAAATATGGACAATTGCCAGGTGTTGGCAAAGATGGGAAGAAATCAGTGGGAATGTAAACTGGTGCAATCTCTTTGGGAAACATTCTGGCAGTTCTTCCAAAAGCTAAACAGAGAATTCCCATATGATCCCAGCAATTCCACGCCTGGGTATAAACCCAAGAGAACTGAGAACATATGGCCAGAGAAAAACTTGTACATATATATTCATAGCAGCATTATTCATAATAGCCAAAAAGTGGAAATAAACCAAATATCCATCAACAGGTGAATGGATAAACCAAATGTGGTACATGCACACAATGGAATATTCACATATAAAGAGGAATAATGCACTGATACATGCTACAATATGAAGGAACCTTAAAAAATGCTGAGACAGTAGCTGGACATAAAAGACAACATATTGTATGATTCCATTTATATGAAATGTCTAGAAGAGGCAAATCCATGGATACAGGAGTTGGCTTAGTAACTGTCAGGGCTGCAGGAAGGAGAGTGGAATGAGAATGACTGCTAGAAGTACAGGTTTCTTTTGGGGTGATCGACATGTTCTGGGATTAAACAGTGCTGATGACTGCACTCCTTTGTGAATATACTAAAAACCACTGGATTGAACACTTTAAAAGAATTTTATGATATATGAACTACATTTTAATAAAAAGAAAATAAGGGCAGAACATATATGGTAGGAGGTGGTTAACCTACTTGACAAATTTATCTCATCATCATAAACAATACAGTAATCATTAATAAGATATATATTTAATAAATCATGCCCAATTTAGCAACACCTTGAAGTAGATGGTTTGAGGTTAAGTATTATGGCCCTGAAAATGGTAAAAATATTACTTTTGAAACATTTTGTAGTATCAAACTTTTAATAAATTCTATCTGGCTTCCAATAGCTATGTACATTAGGCAGGTATTATGGGCTGAACTGTCTCCCCCACAAAATTCTTATGTTGAAGTTATAACTCCCAGTACCTTAGAATGTGACTGTGTTTGGAGATAGGGCCTTTAATAAAGAGGTAACTACGTAAAATGAGGTCCTGTGGTTGGGCCCTAATCTGATACGAGTGGTGCCCTTCTAAGAAGAGATTAGGATGCAAACAGGAACAGGGGAAAGACTACGTAAAGGACAGGGAAAAGACGACATCTACAAGCCAGTAAGAGAGGCCTTGGGAGAAACCACCCTGTCAACACCTTGATCTCAGACTGCCAGCCTCCACGACTGTGAGAAAATAAACCTCTGTGGTTTAAGCCACCCAGTCTATGGTACTTTGTCATGACAACTCTAGGAAACTAATACAGAAGGCGTTCATGTGTTAAATTCAGATTTAACTCTATATTTATTATATGCTGAAGCATATGATAGTGAACTAATAGAGTGAACTAACCATTACAAGAGCTATTCCATTTTCTAAAAGCCATCATTAAGCATTTAACTATAAGGGTCCACCGCCAAAGTAAAACATATTTTTTGTTTTTTTTTAGAGACAGGGTTTCACTCTGTCACCCTGCCTGGAGTGCAGTGGTGCAATCACGGCCCACTGCAGCCTTGAACTCCTGGGTTCAAGTGACCCTCCTGTCTCAGCCTCCCCAGTAGCTGGGACTACAGGTGCATACCACCATGCCCTTCTAATTATTTTTACTTTTTTTCTGTGGAGACACGGTCTTGCTATGTTGCCCAGGCTGGTCTTAAACTTGTGACTTCAAGTGATCCTCCTGCCTTCTCCTCACAAAGTGCTGGTATTACAGACATGAGCCACTATACCTGGCCTAAAATTCTTTTTAGAAAATTAAAATACTTTTGTGTGTGTGTGTGTATATATACATGCATACTTTAAAAGAATTTTATTATATATGAATTACATATACGTGTGTATATATACACACACACACATACATACACACACACACACACACACACACAGTAGAATATTACTCAGCCACAAAAAGAAATAAAGCACTAATAGATACTTTCCTGGGGTATCAACGTGGGTTGCTACAACCTGGAAGAACCTCAAAAACATTATGCTAAGTGAAAGAAGCCAGTGACAAAAGGGTACATACTGCATTATTCCGTTTAGATGCTCTATCAAGAACAGGCAAATCCAGAGACAGAAAGCAGATTAGTGGTTACCAGGAGGTGGAGAAGGCAGAAATAACGAGTGGTTACTTAATGGGTACAGGGTGTTTTTCTGGAATTAATAAAAAAGTTTTGAAACTAGAGACAATTGATGCTTGCACAACATTTAGTGAATATCCTAAACGACACTGAATTGTACACTTTGAAATGGTAATTGTATGTTATATGAATTTCACCTCATCTAAAAAATCATACTCCTACCAGTATAGCAGGATACCTCTTCCCACACAGGTTCTAAGAAAATAATCAGCTAAGTGTACAGTCATGCATGGGTAAAAGTGTTTGTTTTAGCATGTGTATTGTTAAAATGTTTTATAATAGTGAAAATTTGCCTAATGTTCATCAAAGAGTAGATAAATAAATCAGAGTTCATCTATATATTGGAATACTAAACAACCGATAAAAACAATTAGGTAGATCCACACAAAAAAGTCCCTTCACTTAGAAGCATATTAAATTCCTAAGTGCTATTAAAAATGTAACTGTTGGCCAGTGAAAATGATATTACACACCTGAGGACTTGCCACCTGTCAGTAGAAGGCAAAGCTGAACTGTGTTCTGTCCCAGCTTTATTTACATGGCTTTGTTCACGTGGCTGCAGTTCCCAGAGCAGTGCCTGGCACACAGTAGGTGCTCAATAAGTCTTAGATGGATGAATATCTAGGAAGAACCATTAAATTTTAAGTTTTAAGAGGAAGTTCTGTAGTTCATATATCACAGACATTGCACTTTGTCAATAAGTAGAAAGAAGATTACAAACAATGTATCTGGAAAGCTGCCATTCTGAGAAATATAGACATATACATATGTAATATGTGCCAAGAAATAAGTCCGGAGACATACACATTAAAAAGTTAACAGTGATTATCTTTACATGGTGATATTATAAATGATTTAAAAATTTTCCTTTGCATGTTGTCTGAATTTTTCTTTTAACAATAAGCATAGACTACTTTTCTAATCAGGAAAAAATTGAAAAAGCAATAAAGCTATTTCCATGTAGAAAATAAATTCCTTTTATTATCTATAATTCAATTCTGAAGACTATTAATTGGGCATGCTAGATGCTTTCACTGATCTGCTTTGGTTGTTCTGAGTTCTAAATCCATTTAGTTCTCTAAAATAAACAACTTACTCAAAGAAATCCAAACCTGCTCAGAAAATACCAACATTAGTAATGTCCAGCCACACCACAAGCACTGGTGGGCCACTGTTGGTCCAATTATTAAGAATCTGTCTGTTTTGGGTGCAATAAGCAATAGGCTCACTCAGTACCTATGAGGCACCAATAGTACCTGCTACTGACTAACTGGCCAAAGCCCCCAGAGTGTCATGAGAGGGGAGAAACCATCCAGTCAGTCAATAATCACAGGTTAATGAAAGAACACTCCACCAGCTTGCTATCCCCGAAGACCAGAAAGCTGCTATGCTCTTCAGAACTCTTAACAAAAACGACAATGACAAAAATTGTTTTCCTTGACTCTCACCTTGAGAACAAAAGACTAAACCCAAGTACAATGACACAATAGAGTTTCTTGTATACTGTTTTCATTTCTCAGTGTCACTTCTGTTTTCTGTGACTCTTACTTTGGGAGTAAATAAGTCATTTCCTCCAGGATCCTGAACTGGTCATACATAAAATCTTCCCGGCAGGACAAGCCTCAGGTGGGCAGGGAGTCTGTGAAGTAGGGAGTCTCAATCCCATCTCCTTCAGAGGCCAGTGTGGCTCAAACTTGGGGACCTCACTCATCGAAGGGATATGAGGCGAGGGGTGCGGGTGGGTAGCCTGCGCCAGACCTAAGGGTCCCACTGCCTGTCAGCTCCTGACATGCCTGACTCAGGGTCCAGGAGCCACATCCTCCAGGCTTTAAGCAGACAATGGAAATTCTGATTTTTATGTAAACGCCTGTTTTTGTTCTCTTAGCCACTAATTAGATTTTTTAAACACTATGCAGTCCAAACCAAGAACATCTATGGGCCACCAGTATGCGACACCTGAGCATTTGACCTTGAGTTTGATACTGACTCCAGGCCTTTCTACTCCTGGCAAGTCACCTAAACAGAGGACAGGTCATTATCTGAGGACTTTTGGACTTGAATTCCCTTTTCATCTTTATTTCATGAGTTTCCTCATAAAACTCTGGGGGAGACGCCCCTCTTAAGACTCTGCTGTTGTTTGGAAATCACATCGATTACAACCCACAATCAATTTTCCCCTCTAGTCAACTGCAAAATAGGATTATAGGTCCTATTCCTAGAAAGGGTGCTTAGAAAACCATTAGCAGATGTTCACAACCTGCATTCCCCTACCCCACATTATCCTGGATTCCAACAAAGACAGGGGAGCCAGAGTAGCTCTGAAACCAGGCCTGCTGGAGCGGGAAGTGAATCACTTCCCTTCAGTGGCCCAAAAACCTGGCAAAGAGGAATGATGCCTTGGCCCCAACAGCCACTGCAGAGGCTGGCTCTTACCCCACTGGAAACCTTCGTGTCCCTCCCCTACATGCCTACCCCTCAGTCTGCTGCCCTGCCTCTCCTGCATTTCTCTCTACTCCAAAGGTTCCCGTGCAGAGGGCACGGAGGCAATCCAGACTCCCTCTCTGGCCAGCCCCCCAGGCTTCCAGGGCACTAAGGAGCAAACACAAATCTCCCTCTAAGCTAGAAGGACGGGGCAGGATGGGTCCACCCTGCCCATCCGTACTGGATTCGGTAGAAATGAAGTCCATGCACATGTGCCATCTTCCTTGTAGTAGTCCTCATAAAAGCTCTGAGAGAGGTTTCATGTCCTTTTTACAGAAAAGGAGATGGAGGCTTAGAGAGGTTACTTTAATAAGAGAGAGAGAAGCCTTCTTAGAGAAGGTGAACTTCCAACTAGCATCAGAAGTCCCGGCAAGAACTTGAGGGGCACACTGGGAGAACAGTGAGTTTCCCCAAACTTAGCTTTCCCAAAGCACCCCTACTAGAGCCCACGAAGTCCTCAACACTCTAGCCACATGGGCTACCATGGGAGGCTCTAGGGAGTTTCGGCACAGAGGATAGGCTCCTTACACCACAACCAAAGACTTCAGAGCCGGATGAAAGGCATGATGGGAGAACACGGTCAGCCCCATAGCAGACGGTTGGAGATGACAGCCTGAAAACCAAAACAGCCCACAGGTGCTTAAAGAACACAGGCCCTGCCTAAAAAGAGTCCATTAGCCCTACTGCTCCTGTCCAGGTTACTTCACACACACATGCACATGCAGATGCATGCACACGTGCGTACACGCACGCACACACACATACACATACACACTCACACATATTTCTTGCAGCAGGCAAGAAATAAGGGAGACTTGAATGAAGTGCAGCAGGGGGCCTGGGAGAGATGCCTGCAGGAAATTGCTCAGAGAAGAATGCATGGGATTCAGCAACCCAGAAAGCTGCAGGTAGAGATTGAGGGAAGGCTGTCAGAGGGAGAATTGACTTTTGTTTAATAACAGCACATCCCTACAGAGCTGTTCTTCCTGTGTCATGTTTAGACATCTAGTTTGCCCTTTGTGTGGCTATCTGACCCACAAGCATCTCCATGTTTGGAGCTAGATGAAATGTCAGCGCTGGAAACATTGCTCTGAGAATTTTCTGCATAAGAATTATATTTGAAATTGTATATATAGATGTAATCAGCAAGAAAGAGGGTATAGAGGAGAGGGGGATAAAAGCAATGAATGATGCCAGCAGCAGAAACAGAGACTGAGTCTGGGAATCTCCTACTGAGTACCTTTCCAATAAACTCCTTTCTGCTTGTTAACGAAGGCAAAGCGGTTTGAAAGGAGAGGACCAGAGTAGCGGTGGAGACCTCAAAGCAGAAATCGCTAATAACCACTGCCTTTAGGAGAGCCAAACCCTCACCATTTTTATTCTTCAGTCATTCTGCTCAGGAACAAGCTTTCAGGGAGTTTGGCTGGGTGGCTGCAGTGATCCACAGACATGTCACTCGAAGTGCTTCCTTGGATCACAGGGAAGTGGCCAATGATTGTCCCATTTTACACAAGAAAATTAAATGGTCAGACCCAGATGACTTGGCAAGACCAGGGCTAACAAATCTGGGTCCCAGGTTCCACTGCTGAGAAGCAGGTCAAGGGCAGTGCGTGCTTCCTGGCCTGGGCCCTTGGGACACTGCCATAGGCTGCAGAATGGTTTTGTGTTACAGGGCTGGAAGTGCTATGATTTTTTTCTAAAAAAACAACATTACATAACTTCGCATGCTGTGAAAACATTCATTTATTTTACATCTTCATTTCACATTGTTGCAATTTAATTTTATTGTTACTGATATCCTTCTATACATTAATCTAATACTTCATTTGGTCCAAGAAGTCAGACACTGTGAATTATGCCCATCACCCAAAATTTTATCCAATTTAACAACCTTGATATGATTTAGAATATCTTTAAGATAATAATAATAAGAGATAAAAATGTTTGGAAAAACCCCAAGAAAAAAGATGCCAGGGTATGTTTGATAGCCTAAGTTTGCATCACCTATCTACCTCTTGGCCAGAAGAGAAAAGAAAACCTTCAGTGACCATCCTCCCAACACCGTATCCAATGAGAGAGGAAAGATATTTCCTCTTAGTAAAGTCAGGGTGCTTTACCACGTGACCTTAACCACTCATACAGAGACAGCTACACTGATTTTGGGGCCAGGGTATTATGTGTGAGCTTACCTGTGACTACTTATTCAAGAAAGCATTCTCAGCAGAACCCAGACTGCCTTCTCCTTCCCATCTTCTCAAATCCACATAGAGACAAGGGAAGGTCAAGTGTAGAGCAAACGCTTAGGGGATGTGTTGGGTGGGGCCATGCTCAAAGTTCAGTGCAACGCACAAAGAACTCATTAGTGATTGCCAAGTGAACAAGCAACAACCAACCATGAACTCAAAATACTCTTGGAAAGCTTAAAAATATACCCCCCTTGGGGATGAGGGATTCCAAAAACTCTTGGGAGGCAGGAATCCTGCTGGCACCCCCAATGCGCTACAGCCATGGCCCACTGTAATAAAAGATGGTCCCTACCGTGCATCTGCACTGCCTAAAAGCACCTGGGAGAGGAACTTTCCACCTTTGACAAAAGTAGGTAGGCTTAATGAGTTAATGTTTTCAAATGTTTTCTGAGCTCTTTGATGGGAGCAGCTGTGCCACTACAAAGCAGCCTTTCATCTCCAGGACAGAAATAGTCTCTCTCTTTCTACCCCCTCTATCCAGCTAAGCCTAACCAACCTCAGCAAAGCCACCCTCTCCAAGACAAAAGGAAAGGGAACAGCTCACGCAGAATGTAGGCTCTGATCCTGTCTTCCTTTGCCTAATGCACCCTGGCTAATTTTTCCCTAATGGTATCATCAGTGGCACATGCGGCCCTGCTGCAATGCTCTGTGCCATCTGAACAACAGGAGAAACCCTTCTGCTGGAAAGTGAATGCAAACAGATTCTAATCAATAGGAAGAGCTCAATTAGAGCAAGTTCAGCACACTTCAAAGGTGTTGCTACTTTCTCGCTGGCTTATCCCACACAGCCCTTTTGAGGGGCTCGACCTTGGGAGCTGGCTGGCAACAAGAGCTGCTCCAGACAACTCTGTAACTGGACCAGCAAACTTCCCACCATACTGGATGTCTTCTACAAGCCAGAAGAGGGGGAAAACTCCTTATTTCAGTTCAGAGCCACATTTCTCCTCCTGCACACCCCAGCACCTCCCTCAGGACACTGAGGGCAACTTAGTGAAGACCTGTGCCTTGGCCACTGGTCTGAAAGGCCCTGGGTATAGCAGTGCACAGATCATCACAACCACCTGCAGAAAGTCAGCTGCTTCTTCAATCTGCAAGGAAAAGACTCCTTCCCAAGAGACCTCTGGTAATGAGGTGTTAAGAGTATAAGAGCTGGGGAAGTGAGGCAGAACAGGAAACATGGCCCAAATGCCAGGCACTGTTTTCTGGGTTCAGATCTTGGCACTAACTACCTATCAGCTGTGGAATCTTGCAAAGGTTACTTAACAATCCTGCAGCTAGGTGCTATTGTCATCTCTGGTTTATAAAGGAAACAAAGGCCGAGGTGGGCGGATCACTTGAGGTCAGGAGTATAAGACCTGGCCAACAGAGTGAAACTCCATCTCTACTAAGAATACAAAAAAATCAGCTGGGTGTATTGCTGCACACCTGTAATCCTAGGTACTCGGGAGGCTGAGGTGGGAGGATTGCATGAACTCAGGAGGCAGAAATTACAGTGAGCCGAGATCATAACACTGCACTCCAGCCCAGGTGACAGCGAGAAGACTGTCTTCAAAAAAAAAAAAAGGACAAAAATCCTCTCAATATCTCAAAGCCTTAGGAAGAAAGAAAACTATTTAGCACAGTGCCAGGTGTACAGTAAGTGTTTGATAAATGCTGGCTAATGATATGCCTTCTGCTGCTGTTAGTAATACCGATGTGTTGGAAAATGTTGAGAGGAACTCTGAAAAAGAGCTAGCGGCCAGAATTTTCAGGAAAAGCTGCCTACATCCTCCTCTTTGAGTTTCATAAGGCACATTTCTGTGGTACTTTCTCAGGACTTTTATTGTGTTGAAGACAAGTTTGAGAAACACTGACTTAAATAAATTTATATATTTTTGCTACAAAGAATATCTGCAGATAGATCAAGATGGCCAACTAGAGGAATCTACCACTCATCTCCTTCACAAAAATGACAAAAACAACATAAATAACTGCATTTTGAGTAGAGTACCTAAAGGAAAACACTGGAAGTGACAAAAACCCTCTGAAGCACGAAAATCTGGAAAGCCAGCATAGGGAGGGAAGCGAAACACCTGACCAGGATCTGCTCAGGGCCAAGGGAAAGGTAAGCAGGGGATCCCCCATGGTCTCCATAGTTACTGAGGCTGCCTGCAATCCCAGCTACAGGCTAGCCCCGCAGTCCCCATAGGCCCTGAGCCCAGTGGAGGAAACTACCTGGAGTCCACAAGGTCACATTGCTCCAGAGAAGGGACACATGTTCTCCACAGTGGGACGGAGCCACTGGGGGAGCGTATTCTGCCCTGGAGGCCATTAGCCCCTATATATACATCTCCATGTCGCTGGGTCCCTGCCGTCATTCCACTGTGCCCACAAAAAAGGCTGAGTGCTGTGATCCCAGCTAGACTTGACGGTGCAGTCATCATCCCTGCCCCCGAGCCCATGCAGTGCTCTACAATCCAGGGAGCAGGCATAGCACAGAGGGGAGGATGCCCCAGAACTAGGGGAGCCAGTGTACATGCTGAGCAGAGACCTAGAGCTGACCACCTCACATCTGCCGCCACCAACAACCCCTCCAGGGGCGGAGGTGCTGCACATGTGTGCACATCCTCCGGGAACTAAAGTGCAGCCAGTCCAGTGATTGCCATCACAGAAAGCCATACCTCCTCCAGAGGTGGAGCTGTGCATGCCATGTGTCCACAAGGAGCGGCCCACCTGGTGCCCACCAATGCGAGTAACCCCACCCACTCCAGGGCCAGAGCCACCAAATGCCATGCACATCCCCCAGAAACTAAGGAGTGACCTGTTCAGCAGTGCCAGCAGCCCCACCCCCAAAACCAGTGGAGCCACTGTGCCAGGCACATCCCCCCAGGGCCTGAGAACCACCTTGTCCTGCAACCCCCCTCAATCACAAACAATGCTGCACCACTGCCTTTACAAACACCCGCAATTTAAGATTCTGAGGAAATCTCAGACACTGCTGGCATTAATTACAGTCAAAGAAATCAGACAGGGACTACACTATGATGCCCATCTAGAACAAAAGCCAAAGCACCCTACCCAACAGACACCATAGGAAACATCTATAGGAAAAGGTATTTCTCCACAAAAGTAACTCCATATATTTGGAAGGCAAGACTATACTCCACCAGATGTGCAGATATCAACGTAGGAATGAAAGAAACATGAAAAAACAAGTAAACATAACACATCCAAAGAGCACAACTCTCCAGTAACAGACCCCATAGAAAAAGAAACCTATAAAATGCCTGAAAAGGGATTAAAATAATATCAAGGAAACTCAGTGAGATATAAGAGAACACAAAATCAGAAAAACAATTTACAATCCAAATAAAACATTCAACAAAAAGATATAAAACAGAACCAAGCAGAAATCCTGGAGCTAAATAACTAAATGAATGAGATAATCAAGAGCTTCAAAAATAGACTGAGCAAAAGAAAAAAAATTTCTGAACTTGAAGACGAGTATTCTGAAATAACCTAGTCAGACCAAAGAATAAAAAGGGTGGGAAGGGAATTAAAAGAATGAAGACAGTGAAGAAAGCCTACATGACATATGGGACACCATCAACTGAATAAATATTCAAAATTTAGGAGTTCCAGAAGTAAAAGAGATTTTAAAAAGCTATTCAATAAAATAATAGCTAAACTTTTTTTTTGTTCCCGCAAGATGGTAGATTGGAGGCTTTTAACACGCCTCAGCCACTTGGAAATAGCAAAATAGTGAGTAAAGATCAACTCTGAAGAGTTTTAATTCAAGAAGGAAAATGTGAATTCACCAGAATAGTGAAGGATACCCCAAATCCCATTGAGAAAAAGGTAGGCAAGCAGCCCTTGTGATAGTGTTTGGCTGATAAACATGAGTGAAGCCCCTGTACATAAAAAGGGCAAAGAGTTTTCCTCTATGACTCACCTTTCCACTTGGGATCTGTGCAACCCATGCCAAGAAAGGGGACCCTGATTCTCCCAAACCCTGGAACTACCAGGAGGAGAGGCTGGGAGACACTGAGAGGGAAAGATATTGGAAAATGCTGCATGCATTTTCCCAACCTTGGACCACGGGGAAGATGTCATTTTTAATCCACACTAATACAAAGTCAGTCATTGTTTGGTGACCTAACAATGCAGCCACGCAGGCATTTTAGTCTCAGACTAGAGACTGGAGCACTTGCTTTGGAGTGGAGTAGAAGCCTCCCAGCTGCAATGGAGCAGCTAGTGTGGAAAATGCCCCAGCAGTAGGCACTGGAATTGGGCAATCTCCCACCACAGGACTAGAGTGGGAAGAGGGTTGCTGAAACTGTGGTTTCCTCTGAGAGGTGAGACTTGCAGCCAAGAGCAGCTTTGTGACCTGGAACTGGTCTGTGTGTCATTGCTTGGAGTCCCAGCATTCTCCCCCGAGACCATGGTGTAGCAGGGCCCTCTATGCTCTATGCCCAGGCAGATATCCAGGCATTTGAAGCACCCACTTCCCTACATTAGCAGCCTAAGCTGCCTCACGCTTGCTAAGCAGAGAATTTGGTACAGTGGGGCTCTGCTTCACACCCAGGCAGATTTCCAGGCTTAAGGAGTACCCATCTGCCTGGATTAGCAGTCTGAGCTACTTCATCCTTTCTATGCAGAGACCATGGTGGAGCAGGGTCAACTCCACTCCTTGCCCAGGTAGATCTCCAGGCATATGGAGCATCCACTTGGCTGGATCAGCAGCCTGAGCCACCTCAACCTTCTTCTGCAGAGACCATGGTGCAGCAAGGCTGTCTCTGCTCCACAGTCAGAGATCTCCAGGCACTCAGAGAACCCACTCACCTGATTTGCTTCTTGAGCTGCCTACCCCAGTTTCCTACAAAGACCTTATTGCACAACCAATTACTCCACTCCTCACCAGTAGATATATTTCCAGGCAATCAAATACCCACTCACCTAGATTAGTAGCCTGAGCTGTCTCTCCCTCCCACTGCAAAGACCTTGTTGCAGCGACAGTTTTTCCAGGGCGAACTCCCAAGTATGCAGCATGCTTGCTCCCCTGGATAAGAGCCTGAGCCACCCCTCTCTTCCCATGCTGAGATCTTGGCGCAGCAGCACATTCTCTTCCCCATGACGGGACATATCACCAGGCCTTCAGTGCACCTGCCCCCCGGAATAGAAGTATGAACTGTTATACTCTTACCACACAAAGAACTTAGTACAGCATCACTCCCTTCACTTCACATTCAGATATAACTCCAGGCATTTGTCACACCTGCTCCCATGGATAAGGAGTTTCAGCCACCCTTTGTCTCATGTAAAGACTTTGTAGTGGCAGCAGTCTCTCTGCTCCTTCCCCAGGCATATCATCTCACACGGGGCATACCTGCTCTTCCAGAGTAGGAGCTTGACCCACTCCTCCCATCCCCTGCAAAGACCTTGTTTGAACAGCAGTTTCTCCACTCCCTCCCAGAGCATGTGGCACATCTGCCTGCCTTAATGAGAAGCCTGAGCTGCCCTTCCCTTCAGGTGAAGAGACCTTAGTACAATGGCACTCTCTCAGCTTGATGTTCAGACATACTTCCAGGCATTTGGAGCACCCATTCTTCTAGATTAGGAGTTTAGGGCATTCCCCTCTCCCTTCCAGAAACTTGGGGCGGGGAAGGTTTTCCAATTCCACATCTAGACACATCTCTGAGTCCTTGGCAGCTTCCACTGCAAAAGCTGGTGCTTGTAACTGCCATTAGGTCTGCCTAGTTTGGCCCTGCCCATCTTGGTGCCCCTACCTAGGACTGAGCAGGGAACTCAGATCATTGTGCATTCCAAAGATCAGCCCCTTGCTTGAGGCAAGAGAGAGCTTCCTCCACTAAACAAGGATCAAGTATATTCCTGTCAAGTTTGGATGCAGCCAGCTGTTACCCATAAGCACCACCTACTGGCCCGGAGGTTGAAAGATAAAACATAACAAGAAATCTGAAACAGGTGCACAGTACTGGGGAACAAGATAAGCTTCCTAAGACCTCTACTACCCTGGCCAGAGAAGGAGGCAATGAGCCTGCTCATATGCCCAAAATATAGTTACTGCAACCAGCATTTAGCAAAGTTGCCAAATAAAAGCTATCTAAAACCAAGGAACTTAAAATAGACTATTTGGTACTGAAGACACCTGGAACCAAAGCCATAGGACCCTACATAACAACATATATTATGGATACCTTCCTCAGGGGTAGAAAAAAGATGCCATCCAAACAAAAGCAAACTCAAGAAAGGAAAGATAGTTTATCCACATGAGAAAAAACCAGAGAAACAATTCTAAAAGTATGAAATAAAAAAGTATTACAACACCCACAGAGTGAAACACTAACTCTCCAGCAACAGATCCTAACCAAGATAAAATCTAAATACCAGGTAAACAATTCAAATAATTTATTTTATTTTGTACTTTTTTGAGATGGAGTCTCGCTCTGTTGCCCAGGCTGGAGTGCAGTGGCACAATCTTAACTCACTGCAATCTCCACCTCCCGGGTTAAAGAGATTCTCTTGCCTCAGCCTCCTAAATAGCTGAGACTACATGCGCACACCACCACGCCTGGCTAATTATTGTATTTTTAGTAGAGACGAGGTTTCACCATGTTGACCAGGCTGGTCTTGAACTCCTGACCTCAAGTGATCCACCTGCCTCAGCCTCCCAAAGTGCTGGGGTTACAGGCATTAGCCACTGTGCCTGGCCTCAGATTATTGATTTTAAAGAAGCTCAGTGAAATCCAAGAGAAAGCTGAAAACCAACAGAAAAGAAATCAGATTAGCAAGTCAAGACATAAAAGAAGAGATAGGCTTCATTAAGGAAACAGAACTCCTGGAAATAAAAAATTCACTGTAGCAGTTATAATATACAGTTGAAAGCTTTAACAATAGGCTAGAACAAGTAGAAGAAATAATTTCAGAGCTGTATGATAGGTCTTTCAAATTGACCCACACAGATGAAAGAAAGAAAGGAAAGAAAATAATTTAAACAAATCAACAAAGCCTTCAAGAAATATGTTATGTAAACCAGCCAAACCTACGAGTTGTAGGTATTACAGAGGAAGAAGGAAAAAAAGTTAAAAGTATAAAAAATATATTTGAAGAAATAATTCAAGAAAACTTCTCTGGTTTTGTGAGAGATTAAGCCATCCAGGTAAAAGAAGATCAGAAAACTCCTGGAAAACACATTGCAAGAAGAAATACACTAAGACATAAAGTCATAAGACTATCCAAAGGCAATGTGAAGGAAAAAATTCTAAGAGTAGTAAAAGAGAAAGGTCTAATCAGCTATAAAGGAAATGCCATCAGATTAAAAGCAGACTATTCAGCAGAAACTTTACAAGCCAAAAAAATTGGTGGCCTTTTAGCCTCCTTAAAAAAAAATGGGCCAGGTGCAGTGGCTCACACCTGTAATCCCAGCACTTTTGGAAGCCGAGGCGGGTGGATCACGAGGTCAGGAGATCGAGACCATCCTGGCTAACACGGTGAAAACCCATCCCTACTAAAAATACAAAAAATTAGCCAGACATGGTGGCGGGCACCTGTAGTCCCAGCTACTTGGGAAGCTGAGGCAGGAGAATGGCATGAACCTGGGAGGTGGAGCTTGGAGTGAGCTGAGATCGTGCCACTGCACTCCAGCCTGGGCAACAGAATGAGACTCCAACTCAAAAAAAAAAAAAAATGCCAGCCAAGAATCTTATATCCTGCCAAGCTAACCTTCACAGATGAAGAAATAAAGTATTTCCCAAACAAACACGGAGGAAATTTGTAAAAATTAAAATGGCCTTGCAAGAAATACTCAAAAAGTTCTAGACATGAAAATAAAAGGATACTTGCTATCATAAAAGGCCATATAAGTAAAAATCTCACAGATTCTCTAAAGCAATTATACAATTTAAACCCCAGGGGCAACTAGGCAACAACACTATGACAGAAACAAAACTTCATATATTAATATTAACCTTGATTGTAAACGGCCCAAGTGCTCAACTTAAAAGATACGGAGTGGGAAACTGGATTAAAAAAACAAGATCCAACCACCTGCAGCCTATAAGAGACAACACCTCTGGGCTAAAGACAGCTACAGACTCAAAGTAAATGGGTGAACAAAGATATATCATGCAAAAGGAAAACAAAAGAAAGCAAGATTAGCCATCCTCATATCAAATAAAAGGACCTTAAACAAACAACAGTTATAAAAAAGACAAATAAGAGCATTATATAATAATAAAGAGCTTAATGCAACAAAAAGATACAACTATCCAAAATACACGTTGATATGACTTGGCTGTGTGCTCACCCAAATCTCATCTTGAATTGTGTAGCTCCCATAACTCCCACATGTTGTGGGAGGGACCCATTGGGAGAAAACTGAATCATGGGGGTGGTTCCCCCATACTGTTCTTGTGGTAGTGGATAAGTCTCACAAGATCTGATGGTTTTATAATGGAAAACCCCTTTCGTTTGGTTCTCATTTTCTCTCTTGCCTGCTGCCGTATAAAACAGGCCTTTTGCCTTCCACCATGATTGTGAGGCCTCCCCAGCAATGTGAAACTGTGAGTCCATTAAAACTCTTTTTCTTCATAAATCACCCAGTCTCGGGTATGTCTTTATCAGCTGTGTGAAAATGGACTAACACACACATGCATCCAACATTGGAGCACCTGGATTCATAAAACAAATACTACTACACCTAAGAAAACAGATTGATAGAAATATAATAATAGTGGGGGACTTCAACACCCCACTGACATGACAAGACAGATCACTGAGGCAGAAAATCAACAAAGAAGCTCTGGACTTAAATTGGACTATATAGACTAAATGAACCTAATTGTCACTTACAGAACATTATATCCAATGATCGCAGAATATCCATTCTTCTCAATTCTGCATGAATGTTCCAAAACTGACCATGTGCCTGACCACAAAGCAAGTCTCAATAAATTTTAAAAACCTAAAAATCATATCAAGCATCTTCTCAGACCACAGACAAATAAAATTAGGAATCAATACCAAGAGAAATGCTCAATACTACACAAGTACACATAAGCTAAACAACTTGCTCCTGAATAACCTTTGGGTAAACAACAAACTTATGGCAGAAATTGAAATCTTTTTCAAAACAAATGAAAATAGATACAATGCACCAAAACCTAGGGCACAGCAAAAGCAGTGCTAACTGGAAAGTTTATAATGTTAAACACCTACATCAAAAAAAAAAAATAGAAAGATGAAAATTAATAACCTAACGTGGACCCTCAAGGAACTAGAAAAACAAGAACAATCCAAACCAAAATCTATCAAGAGAAAAGAAAGATCAAGCAGAACTAAATGAGATTGAGATCAATAAAATAATTTATACAATGAACATTCCAACTGATAATACACAAAAGAGCATCAGAGACTAGTATGAACACCTCTACACACATAAAATAGAAAACCTACAGGAAATGGATAGATTCTGGGAAATATACAACCTCCCAAGATACAACCAAAAAGAAATAAAATCCTGATCTGACAATTAATGAGTAATAAAGCTGAATCATTACTTCCAACAACAATAACAAAAAGGCCCAAACCAGACATATTCAAAGCAAATTTTACCAGATATATAAAGGAGATCTGTTACTAATCTTATTGGAACTATTCCAAAGTATTGAAAAGGAAAGATCCCTCCCTAACTACTTCTATGAATCCAGTAACACTCTGATACCAAAATTAGGCAAGAACACAACAACAACAATAAACACGACAGGTTAATATCCCTGATGAACATAAATGCAAAAATCCTCAACAAAAATACTAGCAAACAAATCCAACAGCACATCAAAAAGATAATTCATAATGATCACGTGAATTTTATTCCAGAGATACAAGGATGGTTCAACAACTGCAAATCAGTAAGTGTGATTCTTTACATAAACAGGACTAAAAACAAACACCATATGAAAATCTCGATAGATGGAGAAAAGGCATTCAATAAAATTCAAAATCCCTTCTAAATAATAAATCCTCAACAAATTACACATCAAAGGAACATATCTCAAAATAATGAGAACCTTCTGTGAAAAATCCACAGCCAACTTTATACTGAATGGAGAGAGGCTGAAAACATTCCCTACTAGAACTGAAGGAAGACAGGATGTCCACTCTCACCACTCCTATTCAAGGCGGTACTGGAAGTCATAGCCAGAGCAGTCAAGGCGTAAAAAAAATGAATAAAATACAAATTAGAAAAGAGGAAGTCAAATTATCTCAGTCCCTTAATGATATGATCATATACCTAAAAAAACATAAAAACTCCTCTATTAGTTTGGCAGATTTGAGAAGTGAAGCTATCAGGTCCTGGGCTTTTCTTTGCTGGGAAACTTTTTTTGTACCCTGAGGTGCATCACTGGATTATTTGAAAACTTTCTACTGTTTTGATGTATGTGTTAATTGCTATAAAATTCCTTCCTACTGCTACTTTTACTGCATCCTATAGGTTTTGGTATGTTGAGTTTCTATTTTCATTTGTTTCCAAATTTTTTTTGATTTCCTTAATTTCTTCATTGACCCAGTGATTGTCCAAGAGCATGTTGTTTAATTTCCATGCATTTGTACACTTTCCAAAATACCTTTTGTTATTAATGTCTTTTGTATTCCATTGTGGCCTGAGAATAGACTTGATATGATTTTGATGTTTTAAAATTTGTTGAAACTTGTATTGTGGCCTAACATGTGGCCTATCTTGGAGAATTTTCCATGTGCTGATGAGAAAAATGTGTATTCTGTAGCTGTTGGATAAAATATTCTGTAAATGTCTGTTAGGTCCATTTGGCCTAAAGTAGAATTAAAATTCAATGTCTATTGATGGCCTGTCTAGAGGTCTGTCCAACGGTGACAGTAGGGTGTTGCAGTCTCTAGCTATTATTGTATTAGAGCCTAACTTCTTTTTTAAACCTGTTAATATTTGTTTTATATATCTGGGTGCCCTGGTGTTGACTGCATATATCTTCTTGGTGAAATGACTCCTTTATCATTATATAATCATCTTCTTTGTCTCTTTACAGTTTCTGACTTAAAGTCCATTTTATCTGATGTAAGTATAGCTACTTCTGCTTTGTTTTGGTTTCTGTTTGCATATTTATTTCTATCCCTTCAATTCAATCTATGTGTGTCATTAAAGGTGAAGTGACTTTCCTGTAGGCAACATGTAGTTGGGTCCTGTTATTTCCTTTTTTAAATCCTTTCAGCCAGTCTGTACCTTTTAATTGGAAAATTTAATCTGTTTGAAGTCAAGGTTATTATTTATAGGTGAGGACTGACCTCTTTCATTTTGTTAATTATTTTCTGGTTGTTTTGTGTATTTTTTGTTCCTTTCTTCCTTTCATTTTATTCTGATAAAAGATTTTTTTTAACTACAGATGCAATTCCATGACTTGTTAATGGTCTGATCAGGATTTCTATTTCTTCCTGGTTCAATCTTGGGGGGCTGCATGTGTCCTAGAATTTATCTATTTCCTCTGGGTTTTCTAGTTTGTGTGTATAGAGGTATTCATATTAGTTTCTGATGTTCTTTTGTATTTCTGTATTATCAGTTGTGATGGCCCCTTTATCATTTCTGATTGTAGTTGGAATCTTTTCTCATTTTTTGTTGATTAACCTGCCTAGTGGTCTGTCAATTTTGCTTACCCTTTCAAAAACCAACTTTTTGTTTCATTGCTTCATTGCATAATAGTTATTTTTTCATCTTAATCTCATTTAGTTCTGCTTGATCTCTTTGCTTTCTTTTCTTTTGCTAGATTTGAGTTTGAATTGTTCTTGTTTTTCTAGTTTCTTAAAAATTTTGAAACTTTGATCAAAGAAACTGAAGAGTTCACAAACACATACAAAAAATAGAAAAAATATCCCATGTTCATGGATTGTAAGAATGCTGTTAAAATAACTACACTACCCCAAAAGATACAAAGATTCAATGTAATTCCAATTGAAATACCAACAACATTCTTCACAGAAATAGAAAAAGCAATCCTAACATCCACATAGGGTTGCAAAAGATCCCAAACAACTAAAGCAATCTTAATCAAACAAAAACAAAAACAAACAAAAAACAAAGTTGGAGGCATCATACTACTGGACTACAAAATGTACTACAAAATGTTAGTACATACTGTACTAACCAAAACAGCATAGTACTTGCATAAAAACAGACACATACACAAACGGAACAGAATAGAGAACCCAGAAATAAATCCATTTATTTACAGCTATCTGATTTTCAACAAAGGCACCAAGAACATTTAGTGGGGAAGGAACAGTATCTTCAATAAATGGCACTGGGATTATCCATACCCAGAAAAATGAAACTAGACTACTATCTCTCACCATATACAAAATTAACTCAAAATGAATTAATGACCTAAATGTAAGAACTGAAACTAAAAAACTACTACAAGAAAACATAAGAGAAATACTTCAGGCTAATATCTGTAGAAATAAAACCTCAAAAGCAGAGGCAACAAAAGCAAAGATAAATGGGATTACATAAAAGTAAAAAGCTCTGCACGGCAAAGGAAACAATCAACGGAGTGAAGAAACAACCTATAGTATAATAGAAAATGTTTGCAAACTATTTATCCAACAAGGGATTAATATGTAGAATATACACAAGGAACTCAAACTACTCAACAGCAAAAAAAAAAATAATAAAAATAATCAAAGTAGCAATACAAATGGACAACTATATGAAAAAATGTACAACATCATAATAAGAGAAATGCAAATCAAAACCACAATGAGATATCATCTCACTCCAGTTAGAATAGTGATTATCAGAAAGACAAAAAAAAAAGCAGTTGCTGGTGAGGATGTGGAGAAAAGAACTTTTACACACTTTTGGTGGGAATGTGAATTAGCCATCATAAAAACAGTATGGAAGTTGCTCAAAGAACTAAAAATAGAACTACCATATGATCCAGCAATCCCACTACTGGTCTCAGTCATATGTAGAAGCTAAACAAATTGATCTCCCAGAAGTAGAGAATAGAATAGTGGCAACTAGCAGCTAGGAAGGGAGGAGAGATAGAGAGAAGGTAGTTAAAGGACACAAAAATTATAGCTTGATAGGAGTAAGTTCTAGGGTTCTACAGCATTGTAGGCTGACCATAATTAACAATAATTTACTCTATATTTTCCAATAGCTAGAAGGGAGGACTCTGAATGTCCCCATAATGAAATTATAATGGTTTGATGTGACAGATATGCTAATTACCCTGATTTGATCATTATAACTTACATACAGGTATTAAAATATCACAATATAAGCCATAAATATATACAGATATTATGTGTCAATTTTAAAAGAATACCTGTAAACATCAAGATATATGAATGTTATGAAGATCAAACTGAGAACTGCAAAATCAGCATATTCTCCACTCAGTCTCTTCTTCTCCCAAATAATAACATACATACCTGACAGACATACAAGACCTTGTGCAACATGTGAGCAGGAACGGGCAGGTAGCAGGCTGAGGTGTCTGCCCAGCTCAGTATTTGGATATTAACCTCCACTGTATTTCACTTTTTCCTTCCTCTAGACTGGATCATTCCAGGCTAGAGAACATTGTTAATTTATCTTCTATTTGCTTTTGAACTGAGTACATTTCAGGGTTTAGTTTTGTTTTTGTTTTATCTATATCTAGCTACATATTTCATCTCTTTAAAAAATAAAAAGAAAATTGAGCTGAGACAATTGGGTTGTTAACTCTATCAAAAAACTTTGCAGCCTTAAAAAAAAAATAAATTGGATCAGTCCATTCACTGTCCTAGTATCTGTAGCCCCAATTTAAAGCCTTCCTTTTTAATTACAAAAATCTAAATTGAGAAAATGCTTCTCCCCAGGAAGATTTTAATATACGGGAACAGGGCACAGTCACCCTAATACAAAGCCCTAAGCAGCATAGGTGGGCCCCAGGACCCCTATGAAATATTTCTTGCACTGTTTCTCGTGCGCAAAAAGTCCCCAGAGATGGCCAGCAAGACTCTGCAACTTTCAATTCATTATTCCATACCTGTCCTTCTAAACCTCTATGCTGGGACCAAAGTCCTACTCTACCTTACCTTACCAGGGATTGTAGGGTTTTCTTATGGTCAAAACAAAACAACAACAACAACAACAAAAACCACACACACACACACACAAAGAAAAACCCTTAGAAGCTTAGGTCCATATCCTATAAAAAGAATGTCACAGTTGCACTTTCAATCCCTATGTCTTGACCATCTGAGCTTTCACCCATAGCAGAAACTCAGACTTCTGCCCACATGTGACCTCCCTGAGGATAAGCTGGACTTGTAACAGATAGAGGTATGGTAAAGAGGCAGTCGCAATTAGCCCTTCCATTTTGTCCCCATAAGGAGGTAGGGACACAGTGCTTTAGTTCCTTCCCAGACTCCAAGATGCCCTCCTACAGCCAGATCTCACTCAAGTGCAAGGCAGTAAAAATGTTAGGAGTTCAGGCTGTAGAGTCAGCCTGCTCTGGGTTTGACTTCCAGTTGCATGATCCAAAGAAGGTGGCCTAACATCTCTGAGACTCATTGGCCCAGTTTAACAGATGAAGAAGCTAATAGTCGTCTCACAAGCCATAGTTTGGAGAGAGAGAGAGAGAGAGAACATAAATGAAGCTCTCAGCTTCTGGAACATAATTAATGCCAGCCAACATTAAGAACTTATCATGATAATTAGTAACTAATTAATGGGGAACGAATGCTCACAAAAAGGAGGGAAATAAAAAGCACAGAATCAATCAACAGGGAAATAGTTAAATGAACTTTGTTGCTTTCGGGTTTAGGAAGCACTGGCACACACATTGCCTCATTTTATTATGGTGAACATGTAAAAGAGGCAGGTACCATTATTCCCACTCCACATGTTGGAAGTAAAGCTCAGAGTTGCAAAGAAAACGAGTACTTAAACAAAGGATTTCTCAGCAAGGCAAAATTTACTTCTGCAGAAGGGTGCTGCTTGCATGTCTGGTCACCACAAGAGCACACCGAACAAAGTGGGGAAGGGGCTTTTATCCCTAATGCAGTTTGTCCCTGCTACTGTGTCCTGTATCCATTAGCTGGAGTTGGACTGCACAATTTAAGCTGAACCCCACTGGCTAACTTGAGAGGTGCAGGAACGTGGTTATACCAATGGGAAGGGCAGTTTTGGCAGGAAGAGCTGTTGCGACAGGAGGGGTAATTCGCAGAATGGGTTAGCATATGTGGTCTTTGCAGATAAGGACTGGCGGGAAAGTTGTTTACTGAAACTAAGACAGGGAGGCATAAGGGATAAGGAAGTTGGTTTGGGCTTGAAGTAGGGAACAAAGAACAAGGGCACTGAACAAGCTAAACCTTTGAAGAGGAACTTCTTTTGTATCTGACACACAGACTAGAAAAAGTGTCCTAGACTGGGCATGGTGGCTCATGCCTGTAATCCTAGCACTTTGGGAGGCTGAGGCAGGTGGATCACCTGAGGTCAGGAGATCGAGACCAGCCTGGCCAACATGGTGAAACCCCATCTCTACTAAAAATACAAAAAATTATCTGGGCGTGGTGGTGGGCACCTGCAATCCCAGCTACTTGGGAGGCTGAGGCAGGAGAATCACTTGAACCCAGGAGGCAGAGGTTGCAGTGAGCCGAGATCACACCATTGTACTCCAGCCTGGGTAATAAGAGTGAAACTCTGCCTCAAAAAAAAAAAAAAGTTCTAAAAATGTGGGTGGGTTTGCCAGAGGCCATATGACCAGGAGGTAGAGAATCCAGGACTTGAATCCAGATATTCTGTCCCTAAATCCACTAAGCTAAGTTGTTTCCCACGGAAAACTGAACTCCTTTTTTATAACCTTCTAAGAGGGCTAGCTTTTTAAGCAACCAGTTCTGAAAGCATGTTCGCTAATGAAGAGCCCTCGGGAAATGCCAAGGAAACCTTTGCATGGGTGACCCTTATCTTGCCTCCGTGTCCTGGCCACCAGAACTCTGCTGTTCTTCATTATTTTACGTTGAAACAAGATATGCCCCCAAATTTCCTGACACCTTTTCCATCCACCCTACTATATTTAAAACCACCAGCTCTGTGCAGGGGATGGGAACTCTGGAACAAGTTCATGGGACTACTTCTTAAGAAATTAAATGGTAATTTTTAAAAAGCCACACCCGAAGAAAAAAACACACACACACAAAAACAAAAACACCAGTGTAGTAACATAGATATGACAAGGCCTGAGTGACTTTTGAGATTAAAAGTGAAACATTTCTTAGAAAATGATGATTGACTTGATGCCTTAGACTCTCCAGCACAATTGCTGGCCTGTGGCCTCACTGCGGCTGTGTTCTCGAGCTTGGGTCCTTTCTGACTCACCCGTAGACCACAGTGACGCCTCCTAATTAAGACTTTACCTCTTCTTCTCGCCCTGCCAAGTCACTGTGCACCCAATAAAGTCTCTTTAGAATACTTTCAACGTCATTGCCTTGTGTTCAATGTATTTTGCATCGTATTCAACACTCTCTGTAGCCCAATCTCAAACTAACTCTCCGCTCTCTCTCTTACTGCTTCACTACACATACCATACTGTGGCCAGACAACTCTCCAAGGGAAGACCTCTGCTTAAATGGCAGAGTGAAGTGTTTCCTAAAGTCCTCTAAAATTCTCTCTGTCCTCCCAATCCCCTTCCTAAAAATCTGTGGTCAAGTTAAGAAATGTTGCTTGGTAATCCTTGATCTAGTTTCCTCACAGTTGTTACATTATTGCCTGGTGGCCATATTTGCAGAAAGCCCAGAACTCTGAATATTTAGAGTTGGGTGAATTTTTTTTTCCTGACCTCTCCCACCTACTAGTCATATGATCTTGAACATGTGAAAACTCATCTGTGAATATTTTCTCATGTAAAAAATGGGAGTAATACAGCTTTGCCTATATGCTTAGAGTCTACTTCAGAAGCGTTCCTTAATGTCTAAGTCTCTTAAAATTCTTATGAGAATGTCTGAGCATTCCCCAGTGGCATATCTGGACAGTGCTCTGTAGAAGGCATTCTACTGGGTGTGTGGGAGAGTGAAAGATACGTAAGATCTAGCTCCTGTTCCAATGAACCTTTGTAGGTGAGGAGACTCCTACCAAAAAAGTCTGTACTACTGCACATTAATAGTCAAATGATAAACTATGATGTACAGAGAAAAGAGAAGGCACTGTAGACTGGGTGGTAGGGGGATCAGCTCATCCTGGTCTGTCTGGGACTTCCCTTGTGTTAGCACTGAAAGTTCCATGTCCTAGGAAACCCTTCAGTTGTGGGCAAACCAGGAGGGCCGATCACCCTACAATGGTTAAGGAAGGCTTGGCAGTGATTGGAGTGTGTCTCAGAGGGGCATTTTAGGTGGTAGGAAACACACAAATTGCCTCTCTACTAAACAAACATACACCCACCCTATGACTCAGCAATTCTAGCGATATAACTGTGAGAGATAAGTTCATGGCAGCATTATTTATAATAGCCCCACTGCAACCAAGCAGATGTCCACCAATAGGAGAAGGGATATATAATTGTGCATTTATAGACTGGACTATTAAATACAACACAGGTGAATTTCTCAGGTATAGTGTTGAGTGAAAGAAGCCAGACTTATGAAAATCAGAATCTGTATGACTTCTTCCATATGACAGAAGAGAGAATAATTAGGAGCTATTGATTACAAGGGGACACAAGGGAGATTTGGTGTGCTAGAGAGGTTCTATGCCATGATCTGGGTGGTGGTTACATGGGTGTGTGTATATATATATAAGTTAATCAAGCTGTTTACTTAAAATTTGTGCATTTTATTGCATGTATTATTCCTCAAAAAAAAATTTTAAGCTGCCATTTATTAAGCCTATGTGCTCTGCACAGTGTTAAACATTTTTATCCTCACAATCCTGTGAGGTGTAGACATTGGCCATTTTATAGATTAGGCCCAGAAAAGGAAAAAGAAAATTTCTCATGACCAAGTGTTTCTCAAAAAGTGTTTCAAGGAATAGCAGTTCTGCAGGTGTTATCTGAAAAAAAAAAAAAAGAAAAGAAAAAAAAAAAAGGCTTGTGTTCAACTATGTTTGGGGAACTCTGGGAGTAAAAGGGTTAAATGTACCTTTTTACTGCAGGATTAATATGCCAATGTGCATACCTGATCTCTTTTGTAAAGCCTCCAAGGTGTAGTAAATACTACAGAGAAATACCTGTAGACCAACATTTACATTTTGAGAAAATGATTTAGCCTTATATTGTCAATATTTGCTTTAATATTCTGAGATTTTTGCCCTATGACATTATGCAGTTAATTTTATAGTATAAGCGCTGCACTCATCTAACATTACCAGCTCATATCAGCCCCTCCTCCAGAAAAGCTTTTAGGTGATACTGTTCTTCCCTCATCACAGCATAATGCCATCAGCAAATTAGTTATTACATTTCACAGAGCCTAGTGGAAACCTCTCCTGCCAATTACTGAGTAGTCAATTACATTCTGGACATATGCATTTTACACTGATTAAAAAAAGAATTACAGCCGTTGATTTTGCTTTTCAAATTAAGAGATAACATCTATGTAATATAGAATTACAGTGACTTGACTCAATAAAATAGTGATTTAAAAGAAAAAAAATGGGATTTGGAGAAAAACTGTAACCAACACATTATCCAAAAACAAGGAATAAGAAATGTTGTTAGCCTTTCTAAGCCCCAAAGACTGAAAGACCTCAGGGAACTGTAAGTTCTAACCTAATACTAATACTACCTTGAAAAGCCAAAATGTTAATTTCCTCCAGCACTGGAGAGGATTTGTCTCACTAGAAAATTTTAGATATAAACACCAAGTCAAAAATAATTCTTCAGTGACTCTGAGCATTCTGCCAATGACAACAGATTTAAAATGCATTTTAGAAGCAATGACAGGGAATTAAATAGATTTCTAGTGCTGTAAAGCTGTAAAGCTTAATATTACTTCACAAAGTGTTAAAGTGTCTGATCTTCCCTCAGCTCATTTGGTACCTTGTGAGCACTGAAGAAAAGCTAAGTGCAGGGGCACTTTATTAATGTATTGGAAGCCACATCAATGGTAGTATGCCTAACACCTTCCAAAAAGTTTTGAGAAATCTAAAGTA
This sequence comes from Homo sapiens, assembly GCF_000001405.40. NCBI lineage: Eukaryota > Metazoa > Chordata > Mammalia > Primates > Hominidae > Homo > Homo sapiens. Next base: position 28,671,697 of record NC_000019.10, read on the forward strand.
AAACGGCATGTGAGTTCCTAAAAGCCTTAACGGAAAATATTGTCAGCTATCACCTACAAAGCTGCCTCTAGCTAAAGGCCAGCTATAAATTAGAGATATTTAATTTTGCAGTAACACTCACAAAAAACTACAATGCATTATGCTTCCCCTGAAAATAATGCAAAGATTCTAATTAGTTTTTAATTGCTTGCTAAATTGTTCAGTTTTATTCAAAATGGCCTTTAAAGAGCTATGCACCAAAAATACTTCCAATATTTCTGTGAGAAAGTTGTCAGCCCTCCTAGCCTGAAGGCAGCAGAAATTGAACTCCACAAGTGCACAGGCATGGGGGGCTCACATGATTTTTAGTAAGGGAGGATTTTATTTCAACCACCTGTGACCTCACCAAAACAAACAGGTCTGAGTGCAGAAAACAACTTGATGTAAACAAATGGAATCTGGGTTGCCTGAGATTCTGGGATGTGAATGCGTTCACCTGGAAAAGATAATGTCCTGGGAGGTCACTCTACCCAGACTCCCCTTTATCTAAATATTCTCAAATGTTTCTATGGTCAAACACCAACCATTTTAGTTAAGATTTATACAGAAATGAGCCAGAGAAACTCTTATAAATTTGACCTGGTTACCCACTGGCTACTAACAGAGTCATCCACTTCCTTTGGAAATGGTTCCAATCCTGAAGATTCAAGACAACTTCAGCTTTCAGTCAAGATTGAGTAACAGTTATCAGATTTACCCTCCTGCCTTAAATAACTACAAAAGTGGACAAAATATATGAAGCAATGGTTTTCTGGACATTAGGTATCAGGCAACACAGGACTGTGATACGTAAGAAGGGAAATAGAAAAGGTGAACTCTACAATTATACCAGCTTCCTACCTGAAGGCAGTTTCCAGGCCTTAGTACAGGGAGGGGAAATGAAGCTCAGCTGATTCACCAATTCAGGGAGACAGAGTCAGAGTTCAGAGGACAAGGCAGCCAGAATTTGTAAGGCAGAGCACAGGAGATGAGGGAAATGCAGAGCCAGAGAGCACCAGAAACCTGCAGACGGTCCCCTCAAGGATTACTTGAGTTCCAATCTGTATGGTGTGAGAAGATAATACTCGAGGCTGGGAAAGAGCCACCAGAAAGGAATAAGCAGGAAAAATCTCACTCCTACCAGCCAGAGTGAAAAGACCACATAATACATGAGGGACCAGACAGATTTCTTTAAAATAAAGGGGAATCACATGAGGTATCTAAATAAGTCAAAATCATAGAAACAGAGGTTGGAAGATGGTTGCCGGGATTGTTGAGAGGAGACAGAATTAGTGTCTAAGGGGCATAGAGTTTCAGTTCTGCAAGCTGAAGCTCTGGAAACCTGTTGCACAACAATGTAAATATACTAACATTACTGAACTGTACACATAAAAATAGTTAAGGTGGCAAATTTAACTTTATGAGTTTATAACCACAATTAAAAATAAAATTTAAACATAAATAACAATAAAAATGAATAAAAAGGAAAGGAGGGCCTAAATTAGCCCAAGACTGCTCTGCATGTGCCCAAACGAAGCTTACAAGCAAGCACTGAAAGGATCCAACTAATCCCAAATAACTACTCCACAAAGAAGCCACATTACTTAAAGAAATAAAACCAATCACAGCAATAATATGAAATTCTTCGTATTCATCATCCAGTCAGAAAAAAGACAGCAAAGAAATGGAAAAATATGACCCATATCCAAGAGAAAAAGTAATCAATAGAAACAGAGCCAGAGGCAAGAGAGGTAATAAAAAGGGCAAATAAATATACTAAAATGGCTATTATAAATATATTCAATATGGTCAGGAGAGAAAAACATCATCATGATGAAGAGAGAGAGTAAAAACCATTTAGAAATGAAAAATACAATGTCTGAAATAAAAAATTCACGGAATGGGATTAACAGTGGTGTAAACAGTGCAGAGGAAAAGATGAGCAAACTTGAAAACATGGTACTAGACATTATCCAGAAAGAAAAAAACGACAGAATGAATAAAGCACCAGTGACATGTGGGATAAAATGAAAGAAGTAACATGCATGCAATTACAGTCAAGGAAGTAGAAAAAAGAGAAGGTGGAATAGAATAAAAATATGAAGAAATAAACTCATATGATGAAGTACAATAAACTCCTTGCAGAATAAAAATGAAGAAAACCACACAAAGACACGATAATGAAATGTTAACCAGTAATAAAATGAAAATCTGAAAAAACATCCAAGAGAAAAAGATACATGACAGCAGCATTGTCAGAAATTATGCGAGCCAAATGACAGTGGAGGAACATCCTTAAAGTACTGAAATAAACTGTCGATTCAGGATTCCCTACCCAGCGAAAGTCATCTTTCAAAATTAAAGACATTTTTCAAATTAAAGCTGGGAGAATTCAGTTGTCAGCAAAACTTAAGCAAAAGAAATGAATAAGATACTAAACAGAAATTTGAGCCTTTACCAAAGAGAAAAGAGCACTGGAAGTGGTCATTATATTAACACTATTAAAAAATTTTAAATCTTTTTAAAGGATAATAGTTTCAAACAAAAATAACAACAACATCTTGAGAAGTTTATAAACATATGTAAAGAGTACAATGTATGACAACAGCACAAACGATAGGTGGGAAATGGACCTTACACAGAAGGGGATAAAATATTATTTGCAGGTAGTACGTGCATGTTGTAAACCCTGAAGCGGGGTCAGCAAACTCTGGCACAGGCTAAATCCAGCCTGTTATTTTTGTATAGTTCAGAAGCTAAGAATGGTTTTTGCATTTTGGAAGAGGTGAGAGGGAAAGGAAACGTGAAAGCATCTACGTCACACAAAATCTAAAATATTTGCTACCTGGTTCTTTACAAAAAAGTTGCTAAGCCCTGTCCTAGAATAAAATTTCTCTACCTTGGTGCTACTGACATTTTGAGCCAGATAATCCCTTGTTGTGGGGGTTGTCCTGTGCACTGTAAGGTGTTTAGTGGGACTCCTGGCCTCTACCCAATAGATGCCATGAACACCCACCCCCAGTAGTGACAAATTCAAATATGTATCCAGACACTGACAAACGTCCTGGGGGTGAGAGAGAAATCTGACTGCAGTTGAGAACTACTGCACTAGAGTACATCTATTTTTTTTTTTTTTTAAATAAAAAAGAGGTAGAGCTGGGCCAGCCATGGTGGCTCACGCCTGTAATCCTAGCACTTCTGGAGGCCAAGCAGGGTGGATCACCTGAGGTCAGGAGTTCAAGACAAGCCTGGTCAACATGGTAAAACTCCGTCTCTACTAAAAATACAAAAATTAGCTGGGCATGGTGGCACTTGCCTGTAGTTCCAGCTACTTGGGATGATGAGGCAGGAGAATCACTTGAAACCAGGAGGTAGAGGTTGCGGTGAGCAGAGATTGCGCCACTGTACTTCAGCCTGGGTGACACAGTGACACTCCATCTCAAAAAAATAAACAAATAAATAAATAAAGGTAGAGCTGATAAGCCAATAGTAGAAATAAAATGAATTCTTCAAAAAAAATTTTTAAACTCTCATTCCAAAAGAAGTCAGAAAAAGAAAAAAGATTTTTCAGATAAGGCATAAGTATAAACCACAGAAAAAATATTGATAAATTAGACTTGATCAAAATTTAAACTTCTGCTCCTCAAAAGACACTGCTAAAAAAATTAAAAACCAAGCCACGGACAGAAGGAAAATATCTGCAAAACACACATTTGATAAAGTACTAGCTTTCTCCCACCGCCCAAAAAAAAAAAAAAAAATATATATATATATATATGTATGTATGTATGTATGTATGTATATGACTCAAGACAACCTGATTTGGAGACAATATAAAAAGAAGGCAAATATGCACATGAAAATATATTAAACATCATTAATAAGAGAAATCCAAATTAAAACCAAAATGAACTACCACGACACATCCACAGAACACTGAAGATTTAAGAGACGGACAATAACAAGTGCTGACAAAGATGAGGAGCAACTAGAACTCTCAGGCATGGCTGGTAAGACTACAAAATGGGACAATCACTTTGGAAAACAATTTGAAACTTTACAATGAAATAAATGTGCACTCACTATATAGCCCAGCAATCTCATAGGTATTTGCCCCAAGAGAAATGAAATATATGTTAAGGCAAAAATTGTTGCCCAAATATTCTTAGCAACTTTATCCATGATAATCAAAGAGCATGAACAACCCAAGTGGTCCATCAACTGGTAAATGAATAAATAGAAAGAAACAAACTACTGATACAAGAAACAACAGATGAATTCATCTTAAGGGCATTATGCAAAGTGTAAGAGCAACAGCAAAGACTATATACTGACTCATTTCTTTTCTATGTAATTCAAGAATAGGCAAAACTATAGTGACAGAAAGCACATCAGTGGTTGCCAGGTCGAACTATGGGCAGAGGAACTTGCCTGCAAAAGAAAATGAGGGGACTTTTGGAGGTGATACAAACATTCAATATTATGATTGTCATAGTTACACAACTGCATATATTTGTCAAGACCCAGAGAATCATTTAAAATTGGTGATATTTTTATTGTATCAAAAAAGATGATATAAGCTGATTTAAAACAAAAATAGCCAGGAAGCCTTTAGAAATAAGAATGGAGTAAGAGTGAGACTACATTTTCCCCTAGTCATTAGTAGGAAAAACAACTTGCTACAATTCAGGATGTCCGGGAAATAGTCCTTCTGGTCAAATTTGGTAGGGTGCTAGTGCTTTGGGTCCTTGTACAAGAATATACATTTAACTAAAATACTGGTTGAGAGTATTTAGGCCACAGGGTTAACAGTAGGCACACATGGGAATTTAGTATTATTCCCAGTAAACGGGGAAAGAATCAACTCTTCAATAGACAGTATCAAGAGAACTCCTGAGGCATTTAGAGAAAAACAGTTCCATATCATACAGTACACAAAATCAAATTACAGATGGAATACAAATGTAAATTTAAACAAGATTATAAAGTCACTAGAAGATAATATTAAATTTTTAAAATCTTGTGATAGATAAGGCCTATGTAAACAAGTCACAAGACCCAGAAGAGTAGATCTGACTACAATTAAAACTTAAATAAAATACCGTAAACCAAGTTCACAAGCTCAGACAGCCCAAAAGATACTTCATACATGAAAGTATAAACATTTCTATAAATATGAGTATAGGTTACTTATAAATATACTTATATATATATGATGCATTTGTTTAAATACTAAACGATTAAAAGCCACACTGTATACAATACCTATAAATCAGGAGAAGAAATGGATAAATTCCTCGACACATACACTCTCCCAAGACTAAACCAGGAAGAAGTTGAATCTCTGAATAGACCAATAACAGGAGCTGAAATTGTGGCAATAATCAATAGCTTACCAACCAAAAAGAGTCCAGGACCAGATGGATTCACAGCCGAATTCTACCAGAGGTACAAGGAGGAACTGGTACCATTCCTTCTGAAACTATTCCAATCAATAGAATAAGAGGGAATCCTGCCTAACTCATTTTATGAGGCCAGCATCATCCTGATACCAAAGCCGGGCACAGACACAACCAAAAAAGAGAATTTTAGACCAATATCCTTGATGAACATTGATGCAAAAATCCTCAATAAAATACTGGCAAACTGAATCCAGCAGCACATTGAAAAGCTTATCCACCATGATCAAGTGGGCTTCATCCCTGGGATGCAAGGCTGGTTCAATATACCCAAATCAATAAATGCAACCCAGCATATAAACAGAACCAAAGACAAAAACCACATGATTATCTCAATAGATGCAGAAAAGGCCTTTGACAAAATTCAACAACGCTTCATGCTAAAAACTCTCAATAAATTAGGTATTGAAGGGACGTATTTCAAAATAATAAGAGCTATCTATGACAAACCCACAGCCAATATCATAATGAATGGGCAAAAACTGGAAGCATTCCTTTTGAAAACTGGCACAAGACAGGGATGCCCTCTCTCACCACTCCTATTCAACATAGTGTTGGAAGTTCTGGCCAGGGCAATTAGGCAGGACAAGGAAATAAAGGGTATTCAATTAGGAAAAGAGGAAGTCAAATTGTCCCTGTTTGCAGATGACATGATTTTATATCTAGAAAACCCCATTGTCTCAGCCCAAAATCTCCTTAAGCTGATAAGCAACTTCAGCAAAGTCTCAGGATACAAAATCAACGTACAAAAATCACAAGCATTCTTATACACCAACAACAGACAAACAGAGAGCCAAATAATGAGTGAGCTCCCATTCACAATTGCTTCAAAGATAATAAAATACCTAGGAATCCAACTTACAAGGGATGTGAAGGACCTCTTCAAGGAGAACTACAAACCAATGCTCAAGGAAACAAAAGAGGATACAAACAAATGGAAGAACATTCCATGCTCATGGGTAGGAAGAATCAATATTGTGAAAATGGCCATACTGCCCAAGGTAATTTATAGATTCAATGCCATCCCCATCAAGCTACCAATGACTTTCTTCACAGAATTGGAAAAAACTACTTTAAAGTTCATATGGAACCAAAAAAGAGCCCACATCGCCAAGTCAATCCTAAGCCAAAAGAACAAAGCTGGAGGCATCACACTACCTGACTTCAAACTATACTACAAGGCTACAGTAACCAAAACAGCATGGTACTGGTACCAAAACAGAGATATAGATCAATGGAACAGAACAGAGCCCTCAGAAATAATGACGCATATCTACAACTATCTGATCTTTGACAAACCTGAGAAAAACAAGCAATGGGGAAAGGATTCCCTATTTAATAAATGGTGCTGGGAAAACTGGCTAGCCATATGTAGAAAGCTGAAACTGGATCCCTTCCTTACATCTTATACAAAAATCAATTCAAGATGGATTAAAGACTTAAATGTTAGACCTAAAACCATAAAAACCTCAGAAGAAAACCTAGGCATTACCATTCAGGACATAGGCATGGGCAAGGACTTCATGTCTAAAACACCAAAAGCAATGCCAACAAAAGCCAAAATTGACAAATGGGATCTAATTAAACTAAAGAGCTTCTGCACAGCAAAAGAATCTACCATCAGAGCGAACAGGCAACCTACAAAATGGGAGAAAATTTTCGCAACCTACTCATCTGACAAAGGGCTAATATCCAGAATCTACAATGAACTCCAACAAATTTATAAGAAAAAAAACAACCCCATCAAAAAGTGGGCGAAGGACATGAACAGACACTTCTCAAAAGAAGACATTTATGCAGCCAAAAAACACATGAAAAAATACTCACCATCACTGGCCATCAGAGAAATGCAAATCAAAACCACAATGAGATACCATCTCACACCAGTTAGAATGGCAATCATTAAAAAGTCAGGAAACAACAGGTGCTGGAGAGGATGTGGAGAAATAGGAACACTTTTACACTGTTGGTGGGACTGTAAACTAGTTCAACCTTTGTGGAAGTCAGTGTGGCGATTCCTCAGGGATCTAGAACTAGAAATACCATTTGACCCAGCCATCCCATTACTGGGTATATACCCAAAGGATTATAAATCATGCTGCTATAAAGACACATGCACACGTATGTTTATTGTGGCATTATTCACAATAGCAAAGACTTGCAACCAACCCAAATGTCCAACAATGATAGACTGGATTAAGAAAATGTGGCACATATACACCATGGAATACTATGCAGCCATAAAAAATGATGAGTTCATGTCCTTTGTAGGCACATGGATGAAATTGGAAATCATCATTCTCAGTAAACTATCGCAAGAACAAAAAACCAAACACCACATATTCTCACTCATAGGTGGGAATTGAACAATGAGAACACATGGACACAGGAAGGGGAACATCACACTCTGGGGACTGTTGTGGGGTGGGGGGAGGGGGGAGGGATAGCATTGGGAGATATACTTAATGCTAGATGATGAGTTAGTGGGTGCAGCACACCAGCATGGCACATGTATACATATGTAACTAACCTGCACATTGTGCACATGTACCCTAAAACTTAAAGTATAATTAAAAAAAAAAAAAAACCTCAAATCCAATAGAACAGGCAAAAGATGAACTGGCAATTTTCAGAAAAATAAACCTGTGAAAATATAGTAAATGATGAGATAATCAAATCAAATAACAGTAATCAAATAAATACAAATTACAATGTTTTTTTCATTCATCAGAGAAGCATTTTTTAAAATTATTAATATTCAGTGTTATGAAAGCATGTCAAACTGTCACTCCCATATACTGTGGGTAGGAGTATAAACCAGTGCTCTGTTGTTCAAGACACTCTGGCAAAAGCTATCAAAATTTTAAATCCACAACCCTCAATCCAAAAGTCTTCATCCAATAATCTAAACATAGACTATCTTAGAGAAGACACAAAGTGTTGCATTTTGAATCCTTTTTATGTATCTATTTGTAATAATGAAAAACTGGAAATTTGAATACCCATCAATACTGGGGAATAGGTTAAGTAATGACTCATCCATCCACAGCAGACATAGATGTTTTTGCCTGCAAAGCAGTTCTTCCATCTTCTTCTAGCAACAGAACCGCCCCCTTTCCCCTAGAAACTGCCCTTCCATCACCTGGGAGGTATCATTCATGAGGCTCTACCCACTCTCTATCAGGACAGAAATGTGATTTAATGGGAACAGATGACTTCATTTCTCTGGTTGTATAGTGAGTGGTCAAAAAACAAGCGGAAAATATGACCCAAGCAGATGCTAGAAGAAAGGAGTCTCTCTCTCCGAGTCCATAAAAACTGGGGCCATCTTTGGCACCACGTCGAACAAAGCCAACCTGAGAGTGACAGCCACACCAGAAAAGGCAGAACTAAAAAGATGGATCCACCAACCATGCCTAAAATCAGCTCTTGTCCTCAGACTTCCTAGTTCCAGGACCAAACCTCATAAGGCCTGCTTGAGCTGAGTTTCTGTAACTTATAACTGAAAGAATTCTGGCAATGGAGTAGAACACAAATACACAGGGATGAGGTGGATCTGTATGTACAGACATAATTTTCCACAAGGTGTTAAGGGAAAACAGCAATAGCAATTTTCAGAGCATTATTATATTATGCCTGGTTTGTTGTTTTTAAAAGATATACATTTTTCTGTTAATAGTGAGCGCTGGCAAAAGAGGAGAATATTCATTTTAACACTAACACATAAAAGACCTTGAAAAATATTATTTATACACATTTTTTAAAATCACACAATAAAATAAAACATCATGCATAAAATTTGCATCAAAGCCCAGTCATCAAATTTACCTTAATTTCCAAAGAAGCCCATGGAATATTTTTCCTAGAAAGGAGAAGAAATAGCAGCAGCAAACTGAATTATAAAGAAACAAAAGTGGTATTGCTCCCATGAGGTCATCAGTGTTTGATATATAACTTTCTTCATCTCCCTCTGGAAAGCCAAATCCAGAAAATAAATATTTCAACATCCTTCTACAACTCCAGGAAAGGGAGATATACTTGAGGTCAAATGATCTCTGGGCAGTTTTTAAAAATATATTCATGTTTACATCTATGTTGCAATGACAGACCAAGAAACCTAGGAAAGGTGATACTTGTGAAGCTCAAATGTAGTCAATTAACATACAGAATTTTGCTACCTGCCATATTCAGGTTACACTAAGGGAAGACCAGAAGGACAGGACACAGGGTAACTCAATCAACACAGAAGACTATCCTTTTTCCACATCAGTGTTTTCATCTAAAATGCCAAATCCATACCACTCCAGGGTGCTCTCAGTACTCCCTACACTGTGCTGAGATGTGTGACTCCCCATGACTGAGAAAAAAATCTACTCTCTGTAACTTAAACAAGAACGCATAAGGCCTATTCACTAATAACTAATTATGTGAATAAAAATTAATATTAGCTTAGATTTAAACTAAAATCAAAATAAACTCTGAAAAACTATCATGCTATAAACAGGAACAAGGATGGTATTAACTTCACTGACCTATCTGTGTATTGTCTTGACATTCTAGAAAGGTACAAAAGAATATATAAAATCTAAACTCCAAGATAAAGTGAAAATTCAATTGAAAAACCAACATGATTCTTTAAGATGAATAAATGGCTTTATCTTGAGGCATCATATCTAGAGGGAAAAAGAAAAAAGAATAAATGGTTTTTAAGTCAATATTTGACTGAAGCTGATGCAGAATTAATCAGTATTACATTTTAAAACTCTTTGCAACAGGATTTTTAAAAAGAAGTAAAAAAGAAACCTTTCAATGATCAAACAATAAATCTAACATATATCCTTCTACATTTAGTAGCATCTTAAAAATAAGAGTTTTTTTTTTTCAAATTTAAGAAACAAATATAACCACACTTAGGGAAAAAAAAATAATACTCTTTCTGAAACACCAAAAAGATAAAATACTGTGGGTTCTTAAGATAATTACATATGCCACACTGGCACTATGGTCCATAATGGGTTTGAAAAAATAACAAGATTTGATTTTATTATTTCATCACTATAATCTTAATCATTAGGCATATTAATGTCACGTATACTTTTTTAATATTTATTTTTAAAAGCTATGTCTCAACAATATGACACCAAAAACACACAGCTGATACAGGTTGTATAGGTAATCATTTTGACTGTGAAAAAATATGATCAGAATACTGTTACAATAAAGGAAAAATACCTTCTTTTTAATCATTCTCATTCAGCAACAGTAAAAATGCTCTATGTACACGGTGGCTCTGAAGGACACATTTCATCTCTTTTTCAGACCTGCTGTGCTATCTATTGCTGTTTTGGTGATTACACAGTTCAATATGAAAATGCGTCCCATTCAGATTCTCAATAGTAAGTCTGATTAGGCAGATAACTTTCCAATCATAAAAGCTTTTATTTTAGGACAACCATTATGCAAATCTAGGGTGGAAATCGGACTCACTGTAATTGGGATAAGAAGACACTCTGAGAAGAAGGCTGTACATGTGACACTGCATTTGGTGCACTCGTCTTGCATTCTCTTCCTTTCTTCCTCCTCTTTGAAGCCCCAGATTAAAGTATAATTACACTAGAGAGTTACAAATGGGCTTATTAGAAGAGAACTATATGTTTAAGACAGCAAGGCTTTCAGATAAGAAATCTCCAAATATTTTCTGTTATATGTTTTTACAGTCTTTCTTATAAAGAAGGAGTGTTTGATGCGCAACACCTGCTAACAGAAATAATTCTACACTCAAGCCCAGTAGAATAATCAAATATAAAATACAGACATAAAGCAAACTACAACGGCAACAGTGATTCTTGGGGCAGCATGTGCAAAATACAGTATTTTGCTATCTAATATCATTGTGATCAGAAAAGAAATGTGCCAAAACACTGTTTCTCATTCCACTTGAACTGGATCCCCATAATTCCAACAAACATCACTTGTGACATTAGGTTGTCATCAGCTTGCATGATCCCCAGTTCACTTAACCTTTTCTTCTTCATCTGGCCTTTTTGTGTAAAGGCAGAAACCAGTTCATTTACAATTTCCCTCAACTTGCTCAGAAAGGTCAGATCTTGCATAAAACTCCATTTTAGCAGGTGCACATTGCATCAGCTCCTCTGGATCTACTCTTTCAGCTACATCTGCCTTTCTACTTGTCTGAATTTTAAGTGCTTTATTTTCTGGATAAACAAACTATGACAAAGTTCAGTATGCAAGCTAGCCCAACTAAAACATAACATTTCTACACAGTCTGTTAGAGCTTTCAAGTGTTTTCTGCCAAGTATTCCTGCTGTCATCTAACTGGAGTTTACAAATTCCTTGCCATAAGAATCTCAATGAGTAGTTTTTTCCAATTCTGTGAAGAAAGTCATTGGTAGCTTGATGGGGATGGCACTGAATCTATAAATTACCTTGGGCAGTATGACCATTCTCACGATATTGATTCTTCCTATCCATAAGCATGGAATGTTCTTCCATTTGTTTGTGTCCTCTTTTATTTCATTGAGCAGTGGTTTGTAGTTCTCCTTGAAGAGGTCCTTCACATCCCTTGTAAGTTAGATTCCTAGGTATTTTATTCTCTTTGAAGCAATTGTGAATGGGAGTTCACTCATGATTTGGCTCTCTGTTTGTCTGTTATTGGAGTATAGGAATGCTTGTGATTTTTGCACATTGATTTTGTATCCTGAGACTTTGCTAAAGTTGCTTATCAGCTTAAGGAGATTTTGGGCTGAGACGATGAGGTTTTCTAAATATACAATCATGTCACATCTGCAAACAGGGATAATTTGACTTCCTCTTTTCCTAATTGAATACCCCTTATTTCTTTCTCCTGCCTGACTGCCCTGGCCAGAGCTTCCAACACTATGTTGAACAGGAGTGGTGAAAGTTCATATGGAACCCAAAAAGAGTCTGCATTGCTAAGACAATCCTAAGCCAAAAGAACAAAGCTGGAGGCATCACACTACCTGACTATACTAAAAGGCTACAGTAACCAAAACAGCATGGTACTGGTAACAAAACAGCATGGTACTGGTACCAAAACAGAGATATAGACCAATAGAACAGAATAGAGCCCTCAGAAATAATACTACACATCTACAACCATCTGATCTTTGACAAACCTGACAAAAATAAGAAATAGGGAAAGGACTCCCTATTTAATAAATGGTGCTGGGAAAACTGGCTAGCCATATGTAGAAAGCTGAAACTGGATCCCTTCCTTACACCTTATACAAAAATTAATTTGAGATGGATTAAAGACTTAAATGTTAGACCTAAAACCATAAAAAACCCAGAAGAAAACCTAGGCAATACCATTCAGGAAATAGGCATGGGCAAGGACTTCATGTCTAAAACACCACAAGCAATGGCAACAAAAGCCAAAATTGACAAATGGGATCTAATTAAACTAAAGAGCTTCTGCACAGCAAAAGAAACTACCATCAGAGTGAACAGGCAACCTACAGAATGGGAGAAAATTTTTGCAATCTACTCATCTGACAAAGGGCTAATATCCAGAATCTACAAAGAACTCAAACAAATTTACAAGAAAAAAACAACCCCATCAAAAAGTGGGTGAAGGATATGAACAGACACTTCTCAAAAGAAGACATTTACGCAGCCAACAGACACATGAAAAAATGCTCATCATCACTGGACATCAGAGAAATGCAAATCAAAACCACAATGAGATACCATCTCACACCAGTTAGAATGGTGATCATTAAAAAGTCAGGAAACAACAGGTGCTGGAGAGGTTGTGGAGAAATAGGAACACTTTTACACTGTTGGTGGGACTGTAAACTAGTTCAACCATTGTGGAAGTCAGTGTGGCGATTCCTCAAGGATCTAGAACTGGAAATACCATTTGACCCAGCCATCCCATTACAGGGTATATACCCAAAGTATTATAAATCATGCTGCTATAAAGACACATGCACACATATGTTTACTGTGGCACTATTCACAATAGCAAAGACTTGGAACCAACCCAAATGTCCATCAATGATAGACTGGATTAAGAAAATGTGGCACATATACACCATGGAATACTACGCAGCCATAAAAAAGGATGAGCTCATGTCCTTTGTAGGGACGTGGATGAAGCTAGAAACCATCATTCTCAGCAAACTATCGCAAGGACAAAAAACCAGACACCCCATGTTCTCACTCATAGGTGGGAAATGAACCATGAGAACACTTGGACACAAGAAGGGGAACGTCACACACTGGGGCCTGTTGTGGGGTGGGGGAGGGGGAGGGATAGCATTAGGAGATATACCTAATGTAAACGTGGAGTTAATGGGTGCAGCATACCAACATGGCACATGTATACATATGTAACAAACCTGCACGTTGGCACATGTACCCTAGAACTTAAAGTATAATAATAATAATAATAAAAAGAAAAAAAAAAGAATCTCGATGAGTGACTGTCTTGCTCTTTATGCCAAGGTTTCCTGATCTTCATACAGGATCACAAATTTTGAACTATTTGTCTACCCTTTTCATCCTACAATCTTCCCCACTCAACAGATATTTATTGGATATTTACTATCTGTTAAACATTGTGTTAGGAACTAGGATGCAGATTGGTAAGACAGTGCTACTTTCCTTTAACTCCCAATCTAGCAGCAAACTCTAGATGAGCCCCATGATCCCAGCCCCCGGTATTATTTTCATGACGATTAAATGGCAAAAGGAGTTTGCACTGCAATTTGCAATGTAATTAAGGTTCCTAATCAGTTTTCTCCAGCTGGTTGCAAAAGAGGAAAAGAGGAAGTCAGAGAGATTCAAAGCATGAAAGGTTTGCCTTGAGGGAGGCTCTCTTCTGCTGAGATAGAGGGGACCATGAGGCAAGAATCTGAGAGCAGCCTCTAGAAGCTAAGTGCGAGCCCCAGCAAATAGCCAACAAGAAAACAGAGACCTCAGTCCTACAACCTACAGAAATGAATTCTGTTGATGAATAACATGAATGTATTTGGAAGTAGGTTCTTCCAACTGAGCTTTTCTTTTTTTTTTTTTTTTTTTTTTGAGATGGAGTTTCATTCTTGTTGCCCAGGCTGGAGTGCAATGGCACGATCTCGGCTCACTGCAACCTCTGCCTCCCAGGTTCAAGTGATTCTCTTGCCTCAGCCTCACGAGTAGCTGGGATTACAGGCATGCGCCACCACACCCGGCTAATTTTGTATTTTTAGTAGAGATGGGGTTTCTCCATGTTGGTCAGTCTGGTCTCAAACTCCTGACCTCAGGTGATCTGCCTGCCTCGGCCTCCCAAAGTGCTGGGATTACAGGCGTGAGCCACTGTGTCCAGCCCCAACTGAGCTTTCAAACCAGAGCACTGTCCAGCTGACACCATGACTTCACCCTTCAGACCTGTGAAGAAATAAAGAACTTGCTCTTCAGGAGTGGACCCTGAAGGATGACAAGGAGTACTCTTGAAACTGCTTTAAACTTTCCTTAACTCGGTCAATGCTTAATTCTTCTCTATGACTGAGATTTAGTAGACTGAGATCTATGTCATCGCTTTGAAGTTCACAAATATCCAGTGAGTTAGCTCACCTTTGCTGCCAAGAAAGGCAGATGACAGGGAGGCACTTCCTTCTACCAATAAAAAATGGAGGCAAACTCCACTATTGGCTCCAGTAAACACAGCCCTCAACCTGGCACATGGATTACCCCACCTCCAACCTCAACAGATATCAGCCGGAGCCACCACTGCTATCACACACCCATCCTCATTCTATACGTTTATAGAAAGCCAACCACAGTAAGAAGGGAACTGAAGGACCACAGAAACCACAATGTCAAGGTTTTGAATGAACAGTTGAACTAGCTGACTTTGAAAGTTCCTTTCTCCCTCAGATTCTATAATGTTATAGCTTTACCAAAACTTCTCTTTCTCCATGCCCAAACATATTCTGGCAATCTTAAAAAAAAAAAAAAAAAAAGCAGGAAGACTCAGATCCTTAATCGGATTTTAATGCTGAAAAAAAAAGTAAATTAGGTCTGATTTTTCTATCTAAAATTCCTAAATATCGCATACCTTCAGTTTCATCTTGGGCACTTTCTTGGAGGTTAGAGAAAACTGTAGCTTTCACCAAGAAAACACCATAACCTTCATTTTATGATATTACTCACCAAGGATATTTTGGGAATGTCATAATGTTCATCTAAGAAGACCTGTGACACTGAAAACAAATGTTTCAAGGAACTGTCTTTTCAACACTGCCTGCTTAAAAAATCTTGCCTTTTTTCACACTATTCTAAAAATAAAGCAGAAAAGCTATGCTGCTATGCTGATTCACATGCTGTAGCACAGTGTGATGCAGCATTCCTCTGTCATTTCTGCAGATCTAGAGGCAACAAAGTATTCTTGCAAAAGACTTTCAATCATTAGCTACTGATATTATTAGAATTTATATACTATTTAGGCCTTTCAAAGTCGGAAAACAATAGGACCCAACATGGGAATGTAATAAAGCATAATTTCTTAGGTGAAATCATTCCAACCTTTAGAAAGCAAGTGTCTCGGCCAATGCTCAGCTTAATGAGGAGCCCTTCCTTGCAACAGCGGGTCCATTCTCACGCAGGGAACCCAAACTTACTCCCAGGATATATTTCTATGCCAGCACCCTGCAAGTTACAATTTGAGATAATAACAATCAGTTTCAAAAAGGCAGGAAGAATTTTATTACAATCACTTTTTAGGCTTTTACACAGTGCAAATGTAAAGCACAAAGATAAAGCATTTTACAGATAAGCTTTATTAGGTATTTTAAACCAACACTTCATTTGTTCCAGATTAGCAAGTCATTAGCATGTATCATTTTCAAACCACCCCCACCCCACCCCAACATACAGGCTGAGTGTCAACATTCAATTCCTGTTCCACTGTCTTTCATTCTAGATAAATCGGTTTTCAGATTCTGCCAAAAGTAGAAATCCTTTAACAATTTTGTTGAAAGATGCACTTAATCAAAATGACCATTCTCTCATCTACTCAATTAGTGAAGAACAGTATTTGAGTTTAGTAAAATATTATAATTTGAGACTAGAAATAAGGCCCTATATTTAAAAAATTCCAGTTATAAGATACCCCAATCCAACTTAAAAATCACTTCTACGAATTAAGCAATGGCCTTCACTGCTACACAGGTTAAAATTAACAACTAGTTCAAGTGTAATTTATATAGAGTAACCAGAAAGATTCAAACCTGGTCCAATTCTCTCACACTGTCTCCTCACACCACATGGCACCAACAAAAAAGAAACAGTAATAGGAATAATTTATTTCCTAATGTTATGCAAGGCACTTTAAAAAGCAAAATGAGTCACTCAAACCTCTATAGTTATTTAGGAAACCACTTAGGAATAATTTAATACACAAAATCATAGGTGAAGAAGAGCTGGTATAACTACTCATGACACATCTACTGCATGTATGATACTTTTCTAAGAGCAGTCATATACCATGAGAAAACATTTATTATTATTTTTCCCTTTGCATATGCCTGAACCATATATGTACACACTAACTTATCTCTTCTGTAGAGATGTTTTTAAAAATCTGCTAACTGGGACTTCAGAAAAAAAATTTTCAGCTCGGGGTTATGTGCAAAAAAGACACAGGAGTGATTATATTAAAAATACATATACAAATAGTTAAATATCGAACTTCAGGAATCACATAAAATTTAAAAAGAATGGGAACAGCAGCTATCTGGCAAATGATATGATCATATTCAAACTTAGTTATAAAGATGAACAAATAATTTGGCAATTAAAAAGTAACTGCCACTTGTGAAACAATAGAGATGTCTCTATTTTTTCTGCTAGGTATAACCAAAAACCATGGGCATTGTATATAAAATAAACATAAGATAACTGAAAAATGGAAAGAAGGTGGCAGACCAGCAGCAGACCTCAAGACCCAAGAAAGAACACCAACACAGTGGGAAGTTCCCAGGGTTTTCTTTTCACTTCATAATCCCCAGACTTGGAGCTTATGTAGCTGGCAATCCAGTATACAAACAGACAAAGACCAAAAATGCCCCCAAAATACTGCTTTGTCTAGTCAAAGGACTAGGCAACCTAGAAAGATGAAGGGGTGGGTTGCCCCTCCACACCTGTGGGTGTTTCTCGTTAGGTGGAACGAGAGACTTGGAAAAGAAAAAGACACAGAGACAAAGTATAGAGAAAGAAATAAGGGGAGCCAGGGAACCAGCGTTCAGCATATGGAGGATCTCGCCAGCCTCTGAGTTCCCTTAGTATTTATTGATCATTTGTGGGTGTTTCTCTGAGAGGGGGATGTGTCAGGGTCACAAGACAATAGTGGGGAGAGGGTCAGCAGACAAACACGTGAACAAAGGTCTCTGCATCATAGACAAGATAAAGAATCAAGTGCTGTGCTTTTAGATATGCATACACATAAACATCTCAATGCTTTACAAAGCAGTATTGCTGCCCGCATGTCTCACCTCCAGGCCTAAGGCGGTTTTCCCCTATCTCAGTAGATGGAACGTACAATCGGGTTTTATACGGAGACATTCCATTGCCCAGGGATGGGCAGGAGACAGATGCCTTCCTCTTGTCTCAACTGCAAGAGGCATGCCTTCCTCTTATACTAATCCTCCTCAGCACAGACCCTTTACGGGTGTCGGGCTGGGGGACGGTCAGGTCTTTCCCTTCCCAAGAGGCCATATTTCAGACTATCACATGGGGAGAAACCTTGGACAATACCTGGCTTTCCTAGGCAGAGGTCCCTGCGGCCTTCCGCAGTGTTTGTGTCCCTGGGTACTTGAGATTAGGGAGTGGTGATGACTCTTAAGGAGCATGCTGCCTTCAAGCATCTGTTTAACAAAGCACATCTTGCACAACCCTTAATCCATTTAACCCTGAGTTTGACACAGCACATGTTTCAGAGAGCACGGGGTTGGGGGTAAGGTCATAGGTTAATAGAATCTCAAGGCAGAAGAATTTTTCTTAGTACAGAACAAAATGGAGTCTCCTATGTCTACTTCTTTCTACACAGACACAGTAACAATCTGATCTCTCTTGCTTTTCCCCACAAAAGACAGAAAACAGACAATAATACCTCCATTCCAGCCAAACAGCACAAAATAAAAGAGCGACCCCATTCCCATCATGCCAGCCAAGGTTGAGAGGAACCTGGACTTTTGCCCTCTGAAGGCTGTAACCAGGTATCCCAACACTCCCACTGGGGTGGAATCAGTAAAAGCAAAACAGGGAGCCAGGACTTTCATCCCCACTAACTGGTGACAAGGCCCTCTCTGCAGCAGTATTAGTGAAGACTGAGGAGCCTGGGCTTGTACCCCCACCTAGCAGCAACAAGATGCCTGCCCCCTCCCCATTGGGGTGGTGTCAGAGCAAGCCTAGTGGAGATTACAACTTTCACAATTGGCCAGTGGTAAGAAGACCAGCCCCATATACCACAGTGTCAGTGGAGACCAAATGGGAAGCTAGAATTCCCACTCTTACCCAGCAGCAACAAGGAGCTCCTCCACCCAGCTTGAGTATCAACAGAGGCTAAGGGGAATCCATGACTTCTACCTCAACAAGGTAATGGCCACCTACCCCCATCTTTTATCTTTCTGCAGAAATGTCAGAGAAGTTAGAGAAGATCCAGACTTTCATAATGTAATACAAAAAATGTCCAGGATTCAAATGAAAATTACTTGTCATACCAAGAACCAAGAAGGTGTCAAATTGAATAAGACAATCAACTGATGCCAAAACCAAGATGTCAGAGATGACAGAATTAGCTGACAATAATTTGAAAGCAGCCAGGATAAAAATGCTTCAATGAGGAATTATAAACATACTTCAAACAAATGAAAAATGAGTCTCAGCAAAGAAATAGAACACAGAAATAACCCAATTAAAATTTTATTTTTATTTTTTATTTCAATAGCTTTAGGAGTGTAATATAGTTTGGATATTTGTCCCCACCCAAATCTCATATTGAATTGTAATCGCCAATGCTGAGGGTAGGGTTTGGTGGGTGGTGTTTGAGTCACGGA
This sequence comes from Homo sapiens, assembly GCF_000001405.40. Taxonomy (NCBI): domain Eukaryota; kingdom Metazoa; phylum Chordata; class Mammalia; order Primates; family Hominidae; genus Homo; species Homo sapiens. The sequence continues at coordinate 28,691,252 of NC_000019.10, forward strand.
GGCAAATCTCTCTTGGCTTGGTTCTGTCTTTTCAATAATAAGTGAGTTCTTGTGAGATGTGGTCATTTAGTGTGTGCCCCCTCCTACCCCCTTTCACTTGCTCCTGCTTTTGCCATGTGAGGTACCTGCTCCCTTTTTGCCTTCCACCATGATAGTAAGCTCCCTGAGCCTCCCTAGAAGCTAAGCAAATGCCAGCATCATGCTTCCTCTAAAGTCTGCAGAACCATGAGCCAATTAAACCTCTTTTCTTTTTAAATTACCCAGTATCAGGCATTTCATTACAGCAATGCAAGAACAGCCTAATACAGAAAACTGGTACCAAGGAGTGGGGCATTGCTTTAAAAACACCTGAAAATGTGGAGGCAGCTTTGGAACTGGGTAATAGCAGAGGTTAGAAAAAGTGTGGAGGGCTCCAAAAAAGACAAGAAGATGAGAAAAAGTTTGGAATGTCTTAAAGACTGGTTAAATGATTGTGACCAAAACGCTGATAGTGATAGGGACAATGAAGCCCAGCCTCAGATGGACATGAGAAACTTACTCAAAACTGGAGAAAAGGTCATGTGTGTTATGCCTTGGCAAAGAGCTTGGCTGCATTCTATTCATGCCCTAGGGATCTGTGGAAGTTTGCACTACAGAGTGATGACTTAGGGTATCTGGCAGAAGAAATTTCTAAGCCACAAAGCACTCAAAAAGTGGCCTGGCTGCTGCTTCCAACAATCTACACCCAGATGCAAGAGCAAAGGAATGACTTTAAGTTGGAGCTTTAAAGGGGGGGCAGAGCATAAAAGTTTAGAAAATTTGCAGCCTGGCCATGTGGCAGAGAAAGAAAAAGCTTTCTGGGGGAGAATTCAAGCAGGCTGCGGAACAACTACTTGTTAGATACTTGCGTGACTAAAAGGGATCCAAGTGCTAATATCCAAGACACTGGGAAAAAGGTCTTGAAGCCATTTCAGAGCTCTTCTCAGCAGCCCCTCCTATCACAAGCCCAAAGGCCTAGGAGGGAAGAATTGTTTGGGTGGCCAGGACAAGGTTCCCAAAGCCTGCACAACCTCAGGACAGTGCTCCCCACATTCTGGCTGCTCTGGCTCCAGCTGTGGCTCAAAGAGTTGCAGATACTGCTTGTGCCTCCAATCCAGAGTGGGTAAGCCACCATAGGCTTTGGCAGCTTCCACATGGTGTTAAGCCTGTGAGTGCACAGAGCGTAAGAGTGAATGAGGCTTGCTACTCTCTACATAGATTTCAGAGGACATACAGAAAAGCCTGGATGTCCAGACAGAAGCCTGCTGTAGGGGAAGAGCCCTCATGGAGAACCTCTACTAAGGCAGTGCCTACAGGAAATGTGGGGATGGAACTCCTAGAGTCCCCACTGGAGCATTGCCTAGTGGAGCTGTGAGAAGCAGGTGACCAAACTCCAGATCTGAGAATGGTAGATCCACCATCAGCTTGCACCCTGAGCCTGGAAAAGCCACAGGCACTCAACAGCCAGTGAGAGCAGCTGCAGGAGCTGAACTCTGGAAAGGCACAGGGGAAGAGCTGCCCAAGACCTTAGGAGCTCACCCCTTCCATCAGTGTAACCTGGGTGTGGGACACAGAGTCAACGGAGATTATTTTGGAGATTTAAGATTTCATGACTTCCCTGCTGGGTTTTAAACCTGTATGAGGCCTGTAACCCCTTTCTTCTGCCTGGTTTCTCCCTTGTGGAATGGGAATGTTTACCCAATGCCTATAGCTCCATTCTATCTTGGAAGTACATAACTTCCTTTTGACTTGCCTTGTTCAGATGAGACTCAGATGAGATTTTGAACCTTAAACTTTTGAACTAATGCTGGAATAAGTTAAGACTTTAGGGGACTATCAGGAAGGCATGATTGTTTTTTGCAATGTGAGAGAGACGCGAGATTTGGGAGGGTCCGGGGCAGAATGATATAGTTTGGATATACATTTTTCCCTGCCCAAATCTCATGTTGAATTGTAATCCCCAATGCTGAAGGTGGGGCCTGGTGGGAAGCTCTTGGACCATGGGGGCAGTTCCCTCATGGCCTGATGCTGTCTTCATGATAGTGAGTGAGATCTTGTGAGATCTGGTCATTTAAAAGTATATGACACCTGCAGTCCCTCTATCTCTCTTGCTCCTGGTCCAGCTAGGAGCTGCAATGTGCCAGCTCCCCCTCTGCCTTCTGTCATAATAGTAAGCTTCCTGAGACCTCCCTAGATAGAAGCAGATGCCACTAGAAGCAGAAGCCACTATGCTTCCTATATAGCCTGCAGAACCATTAGCCAATTAAACCCCTATTCCTATGAACTACCCAGCCTCACATATTTCTTTATAGCAGTGTAAGAACATCCTAATACAGAGTACACATGCTTTTTGGTTACAGGATGAATTATAGAGTGGTGGAGAGTCTGGGATTTTAGAATATCCATCACCAAAATAGTACACATTGTACCCAACAGGTACTTTTTCATCCTTCACCCTCCTTCCAACCTCGCCTATTCTGAGCCTCCAATGTTGGTGATACCAGTCTGCAAGCCTCTGTATACCTAAAGCTTAGCTCCCACTTGTAAGTGACAACATGTAGTATTTGATTTTCCACTCCTGAGTTACTTCCTGTAGAATAATGGCCTCCAGTTTGATCTAAGTTGCTGCAAAAGACATTATTTATTTTTCATAGTTCATTATTTTCTGAGTAGTATTTCATGATGTGTGTATATGTGTGTGTATATATATATATATAAAACACAAAAATAAAAATTTTAGAACTGAAGAATAATTAAATACCTCAATGATAAGTTCAACAGCAGAATGAAAAGAACAGAGGAAAGAAACAGTGCATGGAAAGACAGAACAATAAAAATTTAAAAATTACCCTATCTGAACAATAGAGAGAAATTAAACTGAAAAATAAACGTAAACTGAGCTTCAGGGACCTATTGGACTATAAGAAAAGATCCAATATTTGTGTCATTACAGACCTGGAAGGAGAGGAGAAAAAAGGTGAGGCTAAAAAGGAAATAATGACTAAAAGCTCCCACATTTGGTAAGACACAATAAGCCCACAGAGTCAAGAAGCTGAGCAAACTCCACACAGGATAAACTCAAATGAATCCATGAAATGATATATCATAATTAAATTACTGAAAGCTAATGGCAAAAACAAAAAAAAATATTGAAAGCATCAGTGAAAATTTTACACCTTAGCCATTGGAGAGAAATTGTGATTGACAGCATCAGAAACCATGGATGCCAGACAAAAGAGGCCCAGTATTATTTAAGGGTGGAAAGAAAAGAACTGTCAATCCAGAATCCTATACCTGATAAAGATATTCTTCAGGAATGAAGAAATCAAAACATTCTAAGAAGAAGAGAAACTAAGATAATTAGCAACCAGCAGATCTACTCTAATGGAATGGGTAAAGAAAGTTCTCTGAACAAAAGAGAAATAATAAAAGAGGGAATCTTGGAACATCAGAAAGGAAAAAGGGGCAAAAGCAAGCAAAAATACCAGTAAATAGGCTTTCCTTCTCCTCTTGAGTTTAAATTATGTTTGAAATTTGAAATGAAAATATTAGTATCGTCTAATGTGGTTCTAGATGTACATAAAGGAGATATTTAAGACGATTATAAAAAGAAGAAAAAGAAATTGCAGGGAGCCAAAGGCTTGTGGGACGTGACCAACTCAGCATTCCACTGGAGGCTATATGATCAAACAACAAACTGTTTTTCATGAATGCAGGATGTGGGCAAACTCATGACTGCTCCTGCTGGCAGAAGGTTTGCTGGAGGCAATCACTCCCTGGTGCTGAGGTTATCTGCCGTGACATCTACAGCCTGTTGTTCGAGGACTGCATTCTTGCAAGCCTACTCTGGACCAGGCAGCTGACCCCTTCTTTCATCCCCCTTCTCACTATCTCTTTTGCCTAATAAATATGGAAGACTGTGTAAAGCTCAGGGCCCTTGTCCACTAGAGGCAAGGTGCCCCCTGACCCCTTCTTCCAAATATACTCTTTTGTCTCTTGTCTTTTATTCCCACATTCACCCGGCTTTGTTTGGTCCCCCTAGGTCTGTGCGGGTTACATAGTGGTGCCCCAGTCAGCGACAGAATCGGGTGCTCCACAAGAGATGTAAAAAAAGCAGAGTTTCTCTACTTCACTTGAACTGGTGAATGAAGACACCAGTAAACTGTGAGGCTATGTACATATATTACCTGAAGCGATCACTAAAAAAATAGCTACACAAAAAGATATATTCAAAAACAAATGAAACTATGAAAACTGCTCAGGTAATCCACAGGATGGCAGAAAAATGCAAATCAAGAAATAAAAAGCAGAACAAACAGAAAACAACAAATAAAATAGACTAACGACTAAACATCAATAATTAAATGTAAATGGTCTAAAGACATTAAAAGACACAGATTGGGAGAGTGGATTAACAACATGACTCAACTATATGCTATCTACAACCAAATTTAAACAGAATAATATAGGCAAGTTGAAAGTAAAATAGTGGAAAAAGATATATCATGCAAACATTAATCAAGGGAAGGCAAGTGTGGTTATATTAATGTCAGATAAGGTAGACTTTGGAGCAAACAAAATTACCAGAGACAGATAATGACATTACATAATGAGAAATATGTTTCACCAAAATGACAACATAGCAATCCTAAATGGGCATACAACAAATAACAGAACTGCAAGATACGTGAAGCAAAAACTAACAGAACTGAAAAGACAAACATATCCATACTTGTGCTTAGAGATTTTAGCAACCCTATCTCAAAAATTGACACAATTACTAAACAGAAAATCAGAAAGAATACAGAAAAACTCAATAATACCACCTACCAATTTGATCTAGTTGACATTTATAGAATGAAATACCCAAAAACAGCAGAATACATATTCTTTTCATAGGGCCACTTTACACATAACAAGACAGACCACATCTTGGGCCATGAAACAAACCTCAACAAATTTCAAAGAGTTGAAATCATACACAGTGTTTTCTTACAACCATGGAATCAAACTAGGAATCAACAAAAAGATAACAGTAAAACTCCCAATACTTAGAAACTAACACTTCTAAAATCTGCATGGGTCAAAGAATGAAAATACAAAATATAAAAATATGTGGAACACAGCTAAAGTAATGCCAAGAGGGAAGTTTGTTAACATTAAGTGTGCACACTAGAAAAGAGGAAAAGTCTCAGATCAATAACCTATGCTTTCATGTGGAAAACATAGAAAAAGCAAAACAAACCCAAAACAAGCAGAAGGAATGAAATCATAAAAACAACAAAAACCAAGGAAATTGAAAACAGAACAATTTTTAAACATCAATGAAACAGGGTTGGTTCTTAAAAGAGAGAGAACAAACGAACTACCAGTATAGATTACCAAACAGAGATTATCACTACAGACCCTGCCGACATCAAAAGAATAAGGAAATACTACAAAAAATTCGATATATGTAAATTTGACAACTTAGAAGAAATGGTCCAATACTGCTAAAAGCAAAAACTACCAAAATTTACTCTATATAAAATAGGTCATTTGAATAGCTCTTTACCTATTAAGAAAATTGAATTCATAATTTTAAAAATTCCAAAAGATAAATCTCCTGGCCCAGACGGTTTCATTGGAGAAATCTATTAAACATTTAAAGAATTAACAGTAATTCTACAAAATCTCTTTTAGAAAATAAAAGAGAAAAAATACTTCAGAGTTCATTTTATGAAGCTAATATTAGTGATACCCAAACCAGACAAAGACGGGAGTACAAAAAAAACAAAACTGCAGACAAATATTCTTTATGAATATAGATGCAAAATTTCCTCACAAAACATTAGCAAGTATAATTCAGCAAAATATAAAAAGATTATACACTATGGCAAAGTGGTATTTATGCCATTGAGGCAAGGCTGGTTCAAAATTTGAAAGTCAACCAGTATAACCTATCATTATTTTTTTTTCTAATAATAAAAATCAGGTGATCATCTCAAGAAATGCAGAAAAATACTTGATAAAGAATTTGATAAAGAATATCCATAAAAAAACTTGATAAAGAATATTCATAAAAAACCTAGTTAACCTCATTCTTAATGATGAAATATTGAATACACTCCCCATAACATGAAAAATAAAGTTAAGATATCTACTCTTATTCAAAATAGTGCTGGAAGTTCTAGCCAGTGCAATAAGGCAAGAAATTTAAAAAAAAAAAAAAAAAAAAAAAAAGCTTACTAATCAGAAAAAAAAAAACAAAAAAAAAACGCAACTTTTGATACTTATAGATAACATGATTGTCTACATAGAAAATCCCAAGGAATCTACAAAAACACTTTTATAACTAATAGGTAACATTCAGCAAGGTCAAAAAATACAAAATGAACATACAGAAATCAATTATATTTCTATATACTAGCAATAAACATATGAACATTGAACTTAAAAATATAGTATGACAATCTAATAATAACAAGCAATGGAGAAAAAACTCCCTATTCAATAAGTGGTGCTGGGATAACTGGCTAGCCATATGCAGAAGATTGAAACTGAACTCCTTCCTTTCACCATATTAAAAAATCAACTGAAAATGGATTAAGGACTTAAAAGTAAGATCCAAAAGTATAAAAACCCTAGAAGAAAAACTAAAGAGCTACTGCAGAGTATCAGCAGTGTAAACAACCTACAGAATGAGAGTAAATATTTGTAAGCTATGCATCTGACAAAAGTCTTAATGGCTAGAATCTATAAGAAAAAAAAACAGGCAAAAAACAAACCCATTTAAAAATGGGCAACGGATATAAACAGACACTTCTGAAAAGAAGATATATGCATGGCCAACAAGCATATGAAAAAATGCTCAATATCAGTAATCATTAGAGAAATGCAAATAAAAGCCACAATGAGATACCATCTTACACCAGTCAGAATGGCCATAATTAAAGTCAAAAAATAGCAGATGTTGGTGAAGTTACAGAAAAGGTCATGCTTAAACACTCTTGGTGGTACTGTAAATTAATTCAGTCATTATGGAAAGCAGTTTCAAGATTTTTCAGTGAACTTAAAACACAACTACCATTTGACCTAACAATCTTATTACTGGATATATACCCAAAGGAATATAAATCATTCTACCAAAAAGACACACAAACTCGTATGTTCATCGCAGCACTAGTCACAATAGCAAAGATATGGAAACAACCTAGATGCCCATCAAGGGTGGACTGGATAAAGAAAATGTGGTAAATATATACCATGGAATACTGAGGCAGACATAAAAAAATCATGTCCCTTGAAGCAACATGGATGCAAATGGAGGTCATTATCCTAAGCAAATTAACACTGGAACAGAAAACCAAATACTGCATGTTCTCACTTATAGATGGGAGCTAAGTACTCAGTACACATGGACACAAAGATGAGAACAACAGACAACAGAAGCTACTTTAGCGGGCAGAGAGGGAGGTGGATAAAGGTCAAAAAACTACCTATTGGGTACTATGCTCACTACTTGAGTGGCTAAATCATTTGCACATCAAACCCCAGTGACATACAATTTACCCATGTAATGAACCTGCGCATGTACCTCATGAATCTAAAATAAAAGTTGAAAAAAAAAGTACAAAACACAAACAACAATTGTATGCTGAAGACTACATAATGTTGATGAAAGAAATCAAAGATCTAAATAAACAGAGAAATATGTTCACAGATTGGAAGACTCAACATAACAAAGATGTCAATTCTTCCCAAGTTTATATACGAGTTTATTAAAATTCCTTTCAAAATTTCAGCATCATTTCTTGTGGATATAAAATTATTCTAAAATTTATATTGAAAGGCAAAGAACTTGGGTAGCTGAAACAATTTTCAAAGAGACCAAGTGGGAGAAATCACTCTATTTGATTTCAAGACGTAAATACAGCTACAGGTATTAGTGAAGAAACAGGACACTGATCAGTGAAACAGAATAGAGAACACAGAAATAGACCTATACAAATATTCCCAAACAATATTTGAAAAAAATGTAAAACCAGTTTATTGGAGGAAGGACAGTCTTTTCAAGAAATGGTAAAGGAGCAACTGGACATCCAAAGGCAAAAAAACGAACCTTGACCTAAACCTCACATCTTACAGCAAAATTAACTAAGAACTGGATTACAACTTTATATAAAATGTAAAACTATAAAAATTTTAGAAAAAAATAGGAGAAAATATTTGGAAATCTACAGCTAGGCAAAGAGTTCTTAAACTTAACACTGAAATGCTCAGTCCATAAAAGGAAAAATTGATGAATTGGACTTCATCAAAAATAAAAACTTTGCTCTGTAAAAGCCCATATAAAGAAGATAAAAAGACTAGCTACAGCGCAGCAGAAAGTATCCGCAAACCACATACCTGACAAAAGACTAGTACCTAGAATATATATAGAACTCCCAAAACTACAGTAAAAAAGGACAAACAATCCAATTAGAAAATAGGCAAAAGTCACAAATAGACATCTCACTAAAGAGGATAGAAGAATGGCAAATAAGCCTATGAAAAAATGTTCAACACCGTTAACCACTACAGAAATAATTAAAACCACAGTTAGTACTACACACCTATCAGAATGGCTAAAACAAAAAATAGTGAAAACACCAAATGCTTTCAGGATACGAAGAAACTGGATCACTTAAACATTGCTAGTGGGAATCGAAAATTGTATAACCACTCTGGAGAACAGTCTGGAAGTTTCCTTAAAAAACTAAACATGCAACTGCCATAGGACCTACAATTGTATTCCTGGGCATTTACCCCTAAGAAATAAAAAGTATCTTCTCAGCAAAATCTGTACACAAATGCTTACAGCAGCTTTACTGATAATAGGCAAAAACTGAAAATAATCTAGATGTCCTCCAATGGGTGAATAAACAAACTACAGAACCACCACACGTTGGACTACTACCCAACAATAAAAAGGAACAAATTACTGGTACATACAGCTACTGGGATGAGGCTCCAGAGAATTGTGTTAAGTGAAAAATGTCAGTCCCACAAGGTCATATCCCAAAAGGAATGTGATTTCATTTTTAAAACTTTTTTGAAATGATGAAATAACAGAAATGGAAAACAGATTAAGGTTTGCCAACAGTTAAGGAAGAGACTGATGGGAGAGGAAAGTAAGTGAGTGTGGCTATAAAAGGGCAACCAGAGGAATCGCTGTGGTGATGGACGTGCTCCTCAGCCTAACTGAATGTCAGCATTCTGGCTGTGCTACGATACTGTGGTTTCATAAGATGTCACCACTGGGCCAAACTGGTAAAGAGTGTACATACAGGATCTCTCTGTGTTATCTCTTACAACAGTAGTGAATCTACAATTACCTCAAAATAAAAAGTAATTAAATAAAAGCAACTGAGCTTTGACTGTTATAAAATTGTTTATAAAGTCATAATTTTAAGAGCCTAAAATTCTCTGAAAGTTACAGTAAATTGTGAGATTTATTATTTTTCTTACTAATCTATGTTTTGAAAATGCTACGTAAGAACCTTGTACAATTGAGCTTGCATGACTTAGTAGATATAAATGTCTGAAATTCTTTGAAGAAAGAGAATAGGAGTCTGCACTTACATCTTGGTCTCATATTTTATATATTTATTTACAACTTAAACTCAAACTATTTCCCAAAAAGAGCTCATCATATCTTGTCACCATGTAAATCCAAGTTCTTCATTAAAAATGTGCGTGCTGTGCCTCATGCTACTTCACATGGCAGCACAATTTTCTGATGGAGTCTCCTTATGGTGAGTGCCTGTGATGAAAACACACAGCTGACTGCTTTAAGAAGTAATGTACCTTTTCCAGTATCAGGGACAGCCTGGAGCTGACATTAGATATAGTCTAAATATTTAATAACTTCCATTTAAACTTGAATTCGAAATTCATAAAATACAAAACAATGACCGTTTTGAGCTATTTTCTCACATCTAAAAGTAACATTCTTAAAAAAGAATGACTTGACCTCAGAAATGCAAAAGCACTTTTCATTACCACAAAAGAATATCAGAGATCAACTTTGCTCAGTATCTTGGGGAAAAAAGATCTTATTCAAGAAAGAAGACACAGATCTTAGGAAACAAATACTACTGCAATGTGAAGATAGCTAGTTTCAGTCTAGTGCTAAATTGAAAACAATGAATACAGACCACTACGTTGGAAAGTATTAAAAGAAAAAGATGACTGCACCGAGAAGAAATTAATATTAAACTAACACATTTTCAAGAATAGGCTGAACTATTTTTTACTTCAGGGTAAGATTCCTAAGTTGTCATGCTGTGTACATAAATAATCAGCCTTCCAAGTACAGGCATACCTTGGAGATATTGTAGTGTAGTTTCCAGACCACTGCAATAAAGCAAATATTGCAATAGAATGAGTCACATCAATTTTTTGGTTTCTTAATGCATATAAAAGTTATTTTTATGAGAGAACAAGGCAGGAGGATCACTTAAGCCCAGGAGTTTGAGAGCAGCCTGGCTACATAGTGAGACTCTATCTCTAGAAAGACATAAAAATATTAGCCTGGTGTGGTGGTACGTGCCTGTAGTCTCAGCTGCTCAAAAGGCTGAGGTGGAAGAATCACTTGACCCCAGGAGATTGAGGCTGTAGTGAGCTAGGACTGCACCACTGCTCTCCAGCCTGGTTGACAGAGCGAGACCCTGTCTCTCCAAAAAAAAAAAATAAAAAATAAATTAAAAAAAAAAAAGGTATGTTTATATAATATTGTAGTCTAAGTGTACAAAAGCACTATGTTTTAAAAAAAAGTATAAACCTTAATTTAAAAATACTTTATTTTGCTAAAACATACAAGGATCATCTGACCTTCAGAAAATCATAATCTTTTTTGCTGGTGGAGGGTCTTGCCTCAATGTTGACGGCTGCTGACTGATCAGGATAGTGGTTGCTGAAGGTTGGGCTGGCTGTGGCAATTTCTTAAAATAAGACGAACAGTTTGCCGCATTGACCCCTCCTTTCGAAAAAGATTTCTCAGTAGCATGTAATGCGATGTTATGATAGCATTTTACTCACAGAAGAATGTTTTTCAAAATAGGAGTTGATCATCTCAAAGCCCTCCTCTGCTTTATCAACTACACTGACGTACTATGCTAAATCCTTTGTTGTCATTTCAACAATATTCATTCTCTTTACCAGGAGTAGATTCCATCTCAAGAAATCATCTTCTTTGCTCATCCGTAAGAAGCAACTCCTCACCTGTTCAAGTTTTGTCATAAGATTGTAGCAACTCAGTCCCATCACCAGGCTCCACTTCTAATTCTGGTTCTCTTAGTATTTCCACTCATCTGCAGTTACTTCCTCCACTGACTTCTTGACCCTCAAAGAGTTTGGGAGTGTTGGAATCAATTTCTCCCAAACCCAATGTTAATGTTGACATTCTGACCTCCTCTCATGAGTCTTGAATGTTCTTAATGACATCTAAGTGGTGAATCCTTCCCAGAAGGTTTTCAATTGACTTTGCCCAGATCCATCAGAGAAATCACTATCAATTGAAGCTATACTTTATGAAGTCTATTTCTTAAATATTAAGACTTGAAAGTTGAAATTACTCCTTGATCCATGGGCTGCAGAATGGATGTTGTGTTAGCATGAAAAGAATATTAATCTCCTCGCACATTTCCGTCAGAGCTCTCAGGTGACCAGGTGCATTGTTCGGTAAGCAATATTTTGGAAGGATTTTTTTTTTTTTTTCTGAGCAGTGCGTCTCAACAGTGGGCTTGAAATATTCAGCAAACAATGCAATAAACGGATTTGCTACCACTCAGGCTTTGTTGTTCCATTTCTAGAGCACAGGCAGAATAGACATAGCATAATTCTTAAGGGCCCTAAGATTTTCAGAATTGTAATTGACCACTGATTCAAGTTAAAGTCACCAGTAAGAGAATTGGCCTGTCTTTTGAAGCTTTGAAGCCAACTAATGACTTTTCTCTAGTTATGAAAAGTCCTAGATGCATCTTCTTCCAATAGAAGGCCATTTCATCTACACTGAAAATCTGCTGTTTAGTGTAGCCACCTTCATCAGTGACTTCAGCTAGCTCTTCTGGATAGCTTTCCGCAGCTTCTACAATAGAAACTACTGCTTCACCTTGCACTTTTATGTTACAGAGATGACTTCTTTCCTTAAACCTCATGAACCAACCTCTGCTAGCCAACTTTTTCTTCTGTAGCTCCCTTGACTCTCTCAGCCTTCACAGAATTAAAAAGAGTTAGGACCTTGCTGTGTAGGCTTATGCTTAAGGGAATGTTGTAGTTGATTTAATCTTCTATGCTGACAACTAAAACTTTCTCCATATTAGTAATAAGGCTGTTTTGCTCTCTTATTCATGTGTTTGGCTTTTGATGTGCCTTTCTCACTAGGCTTAATCATTTCTAGACTTTGTTTAATGTGAGGGACATGCAACTCTTCCTTTCACTTGAACACATAGATGTCATTGTAGGGTTATTAATTGGTCTCCTTTCTATATTGCTTTGTCTCAGAATAGAGAAGCCCAAGAAGAGGGAGAGAGAAGGGGGCATGGCTGATTGTTGGAATAGTCAGAACACACACAACACTTACTAAGTTCACCATTTTTCTATGGTGATGCAGTTCACATCACCCCAAAACAATTACAGTGGTAATATCAAAGACCACTGGTCACAGATCAGCATAACAAATATAATAATAATAAAAACATTTGAAATATTGTGAGAATTACCAAAATGTCACACAAAGGCATAAAGTGAGCACCAGTTATTGGAAAAATGAGGCCAAGTAGACTTACTCGAAGCAGGGTTACCACAAACCTTCAATGTATAAAACATTCAATATCTGCAAAGCACAATACAACTAGGTATTCCTGTACTCAACAGTGGCATTTCATTAAATTCTATCTTCCATAGAAAGTAAAGTTTTCCTTCAAAGCCTAGAATGAGTAAATACACCAAACAGTCAGACATTTAAGATTTCTTTTATAACACCATGCTGAACAAATCTTATGCCTGAGATGTTAATATCCTCATTCATGCAGTCCACAGAAGTGTCACCTTTTTCCCTCTTTTCTATCACAATATTAATTGGTAGACCATATCCTAAGGAAGAGAACAGAAACATTTAAGGTGGGTGAGGGGAAATGTCCAAACACAAAAATGTAGAACACATTTCTCTAGTGCAAGGGGCTTGAAATGATAATGAGACCAGTCAACCCAGATGCATTTAAATAAAGTCGATCTCCCCACATATCTTATTTAAACCAGGGCATCAAATTTTTAACAATAACAACTTCCCAATGTGTCCCCATACTAGCAAGACTACTCTATCAGCCATCTCAGAACAGCCCAGCACAAAATGCACATACAAAGCTGCCATGAAAGTTAAAAAATAATCCTAAGGATCTACAACTGGGTCAAAGGGCTTTAAAGCATTCAGCTCTCTTAAGCTTTTGTCTAACTGCATGGGTGCTGTGGAAGGAACCTTAAGTATCTGAGATTCTATGATTCTAATACAAATTACATTTGAATAAACCTAAGCAGTTCTCAAGATTACCTAATTTTAATATTCTCGTAGAAAGAATGACTTAAAATCTGACAAACTGACTTATGACAGTTTAGCTACAGGAAAAAACAGTCTATTTCATTAATCAACAAAAAGCATTAGCTCTCCATAAATCTTAATCAAATCAGTAATACAGGCCAAGCCTCTGAGTGGGCTTACAAAAACCTGGAATATCGGAAAACTAAAGAACTCGCTTGACTTTCATTATAAAACAGAAGACAAACACATAGACGAAGCTGTAAGAAAGAAAGACCTCATTGTCTAATGATAAGTCCTTGAGTACATGAAAGCAGTAACTGCAGTAAACAGGCAAAGCCACTGAACTTATCCATACTTGAAGGGTACAGACAAGCCTCTGGGGGCACTAGAGAAGGCAAGATGACTCCATACACTGGAATGCTACCAGGGTGGACTAGAAATGACTGAACAGTGAGTAATTTTGTTTCTGATTCTGTATGTGTCTGCCTGTACTTTGAATATTTTCTACAATAACCATTGTTTTTTTAGCATCAGAAAAATTATAAATAGAAAAAGAATTGCATATTGAAGAAAAAACAGATTTTTACACAAATTACGTATTCTTATCAATTTAAAACATAAAGCCATTACCTAAAGTGAACAGATTTTCTAAAGAAAGAGAAGCCCAACCATAAGTACTATTAATACCCTGCACATAGTAGGTACTCAATATATCTCTTAAGTGTTAGGTATAGATTACTATCAGATAAGCTTTAATTTACTCATAAGCTAGTGCTCCATATATTCACACCAGAGATACCATTTGATTCCTCAATTCTCAGAAATGTCCTCTGTTAGTAAATTTACAGTCATTTTTACACTCAACTATCAGAATTTGATAGGTTATTTATGACACTCTGGCAATTACATTGTAATTTCCTCACCAATCTAAGAACTCTTATCTACTATACAATTTATAATATGAATGTTATTTTTACTCTGCCAAAAAATAAAGTGTTTTTATTGCAGTGATTTATCCTGCACATGTGTTACTTATACATACACATCTATTATAAATCAAGTATTGGAGAGGAGAAAGAACAAAATTAACAAACATAAAACAAAAAAGGGAGTGAGATGATGTACTAGTGAACAGCAGGAAATTAAACTCCCAGCCTTGCTTCCATTAAGAAGTTTTGACAAGATAAAGATCAAGAACACAGCTTAAGCAGTTAGTGAACAGCTGCACAAGTCCCAAAATGATATATGATTTTTTTGCATTACAAGCTTCATTGCTAACTTGTAGCAGTTTTGGTAAATAGTTGAATAGGTACAACTAAATTTGACACATTACGGAAATATACAAGACCAAGATGAACAATTGTAAAGTAATCTGAACTTAGGAATTACTCCAAATGAACAAAAAGATTATAACTGGAAAAGTTATTTTTAATAGATATTGAAGATATCTATTAAAGCAGATAATAGTTATCTATTAACTATTATATATTTAATATTAATCTTTCAACATTAACGTTTTCAAAAGTATACTGTGTCAAGACACAAAGTGTAGCATTTGTGACACTCAGCAAACTTTTAGAGAATTAAGATAATTTTTGATACCAATTTCAAGTAAAACGCCCTTCACCATATCTCTCACAAAAATAAGCTAAATTTAAAACAAAAAACAAACAGCCATGCACTAAGATATCACAATATCTATGAGATAAGAGCAAGTAACAAACTAAAAAATACTGAAATTAAAAATAATATTGTTGGGAATCTTTTTTTTTTAATTCTAGAAATTTGACATCCTTTCCATAAATCACCTACGATCTGTATAGTTTGCTTCTTCCTCATGGTCTTTTTTCTATACAGCCCTGTAAGTATCTTCCCAACATATACACTGCTACAAAGAACCACAAGTCCACTTACTCAAAAACTGGGTCAACTCCTTTTAAGCTTCCAATGCCTTTAATGTTTCAAGGCAATTCAATAATTCATTTGAAGTGAAATAGGTTGAAATCACATTCTTGGAGCTTTGACAAGAACAGTCATTTATTGTTTACTTAATCATGTCATGCATGAGAGTTTGGTTGTGTCTTCCATACCCACCTTCCAACTCAATGGAGTCAACACTGCACTCCATTATGCCACATACCACAAAATGGTCAGGACAAACGATAACAGTGTCACCTTCATAGCAGGCATTTATAACAGATAATGGATCACCGAAGAACTAGAAAACAACAACATATTTGCAAATATACACCCACATATGGTGTGGATCTCTGTCCCCAACCAAGTCTCATGTCTCATGTTCAATTGTAATCCCCAGTGTTGGATGTGGAGCCTAGTGGGAGGTGACTGGGTAATGGGGACAGTTTCTAATGGTTTAGTACCATCCCCCTAGTGCTGTCTCATGACAGAGTTCTCATGAGATCTGGTTGTTTAAAAGTATGTAGCACCTACCCTCATTCTCTTTCTTCCTCCTCCTCCAGCCATTTAAGCCATGCCTGCTTCCCCTTCACCTTCTGCCATGATTGTAAGTTTCCTGAGGCCTCCCCTGCCATGTGTCCTTATAACCTGCAGAACTGTGAGCCAATTAAACCTCTTTTCTTTATCAGGTATTTATAGGCAGTGTGCAAAGTGACAAATATACAACCCCACAAAGCAACTCGAGTATTATTCCAAGTGCCTTCATGTCTCACTCTGAAAATGGAGCCAACACTGCACGCTGAAGCATCTCCTTTGGTAGTGGACTGAACCTAATGCATGCCTGGTAAGTGGCTACTGCTGATGAAAGGCAGGGTTCTCACTACTTCCTATTTAACAGAAAACCACCTCTGGGAAGCTCTGTGTAGAATTCATGAAAACCTATGGTGAATCAGAAGGAAAAAAGCCACTTGCAGCAAGACACTCTTCTTTTACCTGAATTTCTATATCTTCCCCCAAGGCACCTGGCAAAGCCTGTCCATGAGTAGGGTCCACAGCAGACCAGTCATCATGGTGGAGGAGATCTCATGGGTGGAACTTCTGACAACTGGATGGACACCCTTTGCTTAGATGTTAGAATTCTGATAACCAAACACATACCATGAAGAAACCAAACAGACCTAACAGTTCTCAGTAAGATAGCAAGGAAGAAAAGATGCTAACTAGCTAAGAATTACAAAGGCACACATACCTCAACAAAGGACTCTCCATGAGTTTTAGCTTTTGCTTCACCTGTTCAATCTCTGAATACAATTTTAACCCTTCAACCATGGAGATATTTTCCTGCTCAGAGCTACAATTTGCCAAACTGCTTCTCAGATTAAAAAATTTGCTGTAACTCTCCTCACATTGAGACAACAGATTGTGGTAGTCACGTCCTGAAGGAACTCAGTTTTCAAGAATGTCATAATCCCTGAGAGTTTAAAAGCAAACTGAAATCCATTGCCTTTCAGACACATTTTTTCTCATTAAGAAAGCCCATGGAGTCCTCAAAGACCCACTAAGAAAAGTGCTTTATAACTCAGGTACATGTTAAGTCTCTCTGAATAGTACTCTAAGTGGTAACTGTTGAAAGTTTCAAACACCACTTCATTGAAGTCATTAATTTTTCTTCTTTTGAGGAATTGTTTTTTCTTAGATCCAAACATTTGTGCTTTAGAATTACCTAAAGTTCATATTGTACAATTTGTAATCATTATTTAATAAGAAATTATTTTCTTCTCATATATTAGATTCAAAATCTTAATAAGGAGTGGGTGGCAAGGGCCAACTGGGGAGTAGGGGTATAGAGGGAAGTAAATTGTTTCACAATGGTTAAGACTGCCATGTTTTTCAGAGATCTGAATGTGATTTTAAAATGTTTTAAAAGATTACCATATTTATAGGATCAAAAATTAGAAATGACTCAAACTGTCTAGTCCTTCCTTACATTTAAAGCACTATATAGGCACAAAATTATGTTGAATATTCCCAGAGAAAGACCAGGGGATTTCAAAAAAATAAACCTTTGAGATTTTGAGGGGAAAAAAATGCTGTCATTATTAGAGAATGATTAACACAAAATAACCTTGTACTGGACCACCTTACTGGCACTTGAAATTTATTCATTTACATAAATTCTCAAATATAATGACAGAACAAAAAGTATGTCTCAATGTAATAAAATAATTTATAAATGTACAGTCAATAGATATTAAATTAATGGGTTTAACAATAAAATAAAATATTGCCATTACCTGTAGTTTTAAAATAATTGCTTTATTTTTCAGTTAAATGTATATCAACTAGCTGTGCCTTAGGTTAGAGCTTCTCAATTCTGATGAATATTAGAATCACCTAGGATCTTTCAAAAATACAGATGCTCAGGCCAACATCCAGAGCAATAAAAACGGGCCTCTGAAAGTGGAGAGGTATTTTTTAAAGTTCCCCAAGCATGTAATGTGTAGCCAAGGTTGAGAACTATTGTCTTAGATTATTATTTTTTTAACTTCGTCATGCTCTTAAGAAGATGGGGGGAGGGGAGAAAGCTGAACAAAATCCTAATTCATATCAAATTATGGTGAACACTCAATATTTAAAATGAACAGAAGATTTTATTTTCTTGCTTTTCCAAGTAAATGGATTGGGTAAAGCTTGAAAAAGTAAGGATTTTGTCTACTTTGGTTATCCACACTCATTTAAAGATACTCTAGAAATCTACTTTGCAAATAAGAAATTACGAACCAAACCACTGGTCTATTAAGTTGCGAAGATTAAGACTAAAATTTTAAAATAAGTTTCTTAGCATTTCCAATATCCATGCAAGTTAGCTTATTTCTTCTCATTAGATTGATACTTTACAGTCTAGAACCAGTGAACCAACATCATCTTCAGACCCCTAAGTTCTGAAGTAGTGTGTTTTGAATTAGAAAGGAAAAATATTTGCCACATGGTGCAAAATCAAGACAGTGATTTGATCTTGCCTGCTGATAGCTCTACTCCTATCTTAGCCCAGGAACCTTTTTAGAGTCTGCATACATGTGATAACATTCCAGTTTCTCCATCAAGTGCCACAGTTTCTTCTCCGTAACTAAAGACAATTCCTCCCTTATGCTGTCCCATCTGCCAGTGATGTACAAGGCATGTATGGAGATCATTACTTGTCCACACATGCAAGGCTCTCAAATCAGAATACAATTTTTTTTGTCCACATACAGATCAAATTTGCCAGATATGCATTATATTTACCTACCATTACATTCTACTTCAATCAAAACCAATCACTGCTCTTTAAGAGCAAGTGTATCAAACCTAGAAAATATTCAAGCTTTTTGATGTTCTGGGATTGTACTGAACACACTATAGAAAAATAGGAAATGCACAATAGAAAAATTAGAAAGGTAGAAATCACAGTCAACTTATGAAAGCTGAAATCAGACATACATAATTGTAAACCAGGTAGAACCATTAACCAGATTTTCATTTTTTAAAAAATTTTGTTATTATTTACTATTTAAACCAAGAGAAACTTACTAAATCAAATCAAACTGCATGAAAATGTAAAGGCCTTGTCTTATATAATGTCAAATCATCTTTCACATAGGAAAAACAAATTACCTTCTACAATTCTTTTTAGTGTGAGTTCTAATTTTATTGCAGCATTGCCTGTTAATTTACTGCTCAGGAATACAGGAGAAAATTACTGGTCTTACAGCACCATCTAGTGGAAAGATAAGTGTCGCATGTAACAAGATCAGCATAGAACAACTACTTAATTTAGGTTGCATGATTAATTTTGGTATTTTTGAACGGAAAAGCTTTTCCTTGTCAAAATATGATAAATTAGAAGAATGCGTTTAGGTATTTTTGATTCATCTGTTAGTTTAACCTAGTATGTTTTACTATAGGAACTTAGAGTAAAGCCATATACTTTAAAAAAAAAGTATTATTTAAGTTTCAAGCAAAAAAGTCTCTATAATGCAAATAAGTTCTTTGTTTTTCAAACAATTGTCATTAAATAGATGTTCACAAACCTCCTGATTTTAGGCTTAGTTTATAAACAGTTAAAGCAGGTTTCTCTGCACTTGTTCGTTTCATTTAATAACTTGAAAAGGGGCTGCACTATTTGTATATTGGTCTATTTCTGTCTATAGGCCCTTGGAGTAAGAGTATGTGCGTGTGTATGTGTGTGTGTATGTGTGTGTGTGCGTGCATTGCGCATGTGTGTGTCTCACAAAGGTAAAATTAAGCCATGGTAACTATTTTTTCAATATGTACAAGGTCAGTAATAAACACAATCTCAATTGAGGTTTAACACGTCTGACAAAACAATCATATGCATCATCCTTTTCTTCATCCCAACTCTTCCAAATGTTCTGGTAGAAAAACCTGAAAAATAACTTAATATCATTCAAATTTAATCACTGGCTCCAAATGTTAGGATTCTGGAGGGATGAGAGCTAAAGAATAAATCAAAGCAATTCTCATATCTCAGAGAATGCTGCATATTTGCTATGGTTATCAGTTGAGTCACACAAGATAAAGACCTTCTTTGAATCAGCTAGAGGGGTTTTTCTATAACACTCATTTTTTTAAAACTTTCTTTTTATCAGAAGTAGTATTTATTGACCATCTCTAACTGGGCAGGTAGTAGTTCCATTTGTTGAGATAGAAAACACTGGGAGAGAAACAGGTTTGGGGTTCAAAATGAAGAGTTGTGTCTTTGCCATGTTCAGGCTGAGATGCCTATCTGACCTCCCAGTAATGACGTCAAATGTACAGAGAAATATACAAGCCCAGAGATCCAGGGAAAGGTCAGGGCTAGAGACATAAATCTGGGAGGTGTCAGCATATTAATAGTTTTAAAGCAGTAAATGAGATCATCTAGGGACATAATATAAAGCAGCAGTTCTCAACCCTGGTTGCACATTAGGGTCCCCCGGGATACTTTAAAAAATTGATTCCCTATCCCAGACCAATAAATCAGATATCTGCGGAGGGAAGGGGGTTAGCATTCACATGTTTTTTAAAGCTCTCTAAGCACTTTAACAAATTTTTATTACAAAAAATTCTAAACATACAACAGATAAAATAGTATCATGAATATCATGTATCCATCAGCCAACTTCAAGAATTACCCACTTGGGAGAAATCTTATTTCATCTCTACCTCACCAACCTACCCTCTGCTCCTCTCCTCTCATCATCCTGACCCTGGCTTATTTTGAAGCAAATCTCAGATGTATCAAATCATTCACAAATTTTTAGTATGTAGCTCTAAAATAAATCCTTATGCCAAAAAAGTTTTAATTTCTTAATATTACCAAATATCCAGTCAGTACTCAAATTTTCCTAATTTTCTCTTTTGCTGTTGTTGTTTTACAGTTGACTTGTTCAAATTAGGATCCAAACAAGGCCAGCTGTGGCCCTTAATGGATGCGTCTCTTAAATCACTTTTATTCTATACATTACCCCTTGCTCTTTTTACCCTTGTAATTTATTTAATAGTTTCACACACACTGAATTTTGTTGATTACTTATCCATGGGGTCATTTAACATGTTTTTCTGTTTCTTTCCTTTCTAGTAAACTGATAGTAAGATCTAGAGCTTGATGGGCTTCAGGAAAGACTTTTTGGCAGGAATACTTCAAGTGAGGTATGATGTACTTGCATCGGGAAGCACATATAGCAAGTCCTCTAATATCAGCCTTTCATTGAATGCCTTTCACTATATAAGGGAATAAACATCAATTCCTGGCCATAGTCGCAGTCTGTGTGGAGTTTTCATGTTTTTCCTATGTCTGCATGGGTTTTCTACAGGTACTCTGGCTTCCCACATCATAAAGATGTGCATACGAAAGATGAGCATGCTAGCTGAACTGGTGTGTCGACATCGTCCCAGTCTGAGTGTGGGTGTGAGTGCACCCTGGGATGAAGTGGCATTGTGTCTCATGCTGGTTCCTATCTTGCACCCTAAGCTGCCATGATAGGTTTTGGCCACCTGCATCCCTGAACTGGAATAAGCAGGTTGGAAAATGAAAGAATGAATATGAATTATTGTCAAATAAAAAATCTTAAATTAGACAATAATCATACAAATGCACAACAATAAACAATGCAGTATAAAATCACTCAGCGAGTCCATCAAGTTGGTGACGGTTTGAACCACGTGGTGGTAAAGGGTACTCCTTACAATTTTTACTTTGCCGACATTTATTCCTCAATTTGACCAACCACCACCATGACTGCCGTGACTCACTGATTCACCAAAAATTGGGTAAATAATTATTTTGTTTTTATAATCTTTCTTATATGTATACAGGATTCACATTTATTTCAATGTTCAAGATTAAAATTGTTTTTGGTCTTTATTTAGAAGTTTGGTGATGTTTTTGTGACCAGAAATAGGCCATAGGAACTTTAACTTTTGTTTGTATCTATTAGCCTATGGTAACATTGGTTTTGTAATTTCGCTTAAAGTTGAAGTTTCCAAGAACCTGTCGACAACAGTAAGTGAAGACTTCTATAACGCCTAGCCATCTCTTTTTGTGAGGTTAAGACTGATCAATGGATTCAGGTGTTGTCAGCCTGATTCACCCACTATGAAGTTCTCTATTAGTTTTTCACCTAAAGATTACAGCAGTCATTGAGGATCACTGCCTACAACCTTTATTTCATTAGTGGTTACAAAATATGGATATTCTATCATTCCTTCTTCATGTAGTGGTTGGATGTGTCTATAAGGAAAATCCCCAAGTTATTATAATGTGGTTCCAAGGTAGAGTAGATGAGAAAAAGAAGAGTAATAGGATTGATCCCTTGGTAACTCGAACACTCTAAAAAGTTAGAGCATGAGAGAAGAGCTAGGCAAGATGACTAGAAAACCAAGCCGGTGAGACACCAAATGAATAGTGCTGTCGTAGAGGCTGAGAGGAGAGTGTGTTAAGATGGGAATGGAGGAGGCAGAGCAAGGTAGTGGAAAAGAAGGCTCCTCTGATCATTCTCTGTGCAAGGACACCAATTTAACAACTATCCAGTTCTTTGGTAAGAACTAAAAATCACGTGAGCACCTATAGCACCTGGTTTTAACTTCATATCACTGAAAAGAGGCATGGAAGAGATAGAAAAAACAGTCTTGAATCGCCGATGCCACCCCTCACCCACCATCCTGTGTGGTACAGAGAGCATATCTGGGTGCTGCAGGAGGGAGAGCACTGCAATTGTAAGGCATTAAACTGAGCTGTCCTGCCACAGCAGAAAGGAAAACTAGACCAAACTCAGCTGACACTCACCTATGGAGGCGGCATTTAAACCAGCCCCAGCCAGAGCGGAATCACTCATCCCAGCAGTCCAAACTTGAGATCCTGCAAACCTTGCCACTGAGGGCTAAAGCACTTTGTGTCTCTAAGTAAACTTGACAGGCACACTAGGCCATAAGGACTGCGACTCTTAGGTGAGTCCTAGGGCTGAACTGGGCCCAGAAACACAGAGACACAGTGGACTTGGTGGGGGCACACAACCTACTGAGACATCAGCTGGGGTGTCTACCGGAGTGCTGGCATCACCCCTCCCCTAAACCCAGACTGCACAGCTCACAGCTCTAAAGGAGACCCCATCCCTCCACTTGAGAAGAGGAGGGGGAAGAGTGGGGAGGTCTTCATCTTCCATCTTGGATACCAGCTCAGCCACAGCAGGATAGGTCACCAGCCAGAGTTGTGAGGCTTCCCCATGCCGCATTCCAGGCCCTAACTCCCAACCCCCAATGACATTTCTAGACACATCCTGGGTTACAAGGAACCCACTGCTTTGAAGGAAAGGACCCAGTCCTGCCAGCATTCATCGCCTGCCAACTGAAGACCCCTTGGACCCTGAATAACCAGCAGCTATACCCAGGTACTACGTCAAGGGCCTTGATGAGCCACTGAGACTTGCTGGCTTCAGGGGAGACTCAGCACATTCCCAGCTGTGGTGGGCCACAGGCCAAGTCTCCTTCAGCTTGAGAAAAGCAGAGGGAAAAGTAAAGGGGACTTCGTCTCTCACCTTAGGTACTAGCACAGCCACAGCAGGGTAGAGTACCCAGCGGGCTATTAGTGTCCCTAATTCTGGGACTTGATTCTTGAATGGCATTTCTGGACCTGTCCTGGGTCAGAGGGAGGGAAGCCCACTGCCCTGAAGGGTGAGTCCCAGGCCAGGCAGCATTCACCACCAACTGAGTCGAGAGACCTGGGGCCTTACAGGAACATCAGCAATAGTCTGGCAGTAGTCCTTGTGGCCTGGGATGGTGGTAGCTACAGGGTGAGGCTCCTCTGCTTTTGGAAAGCGGACAGAAGAGTGGGAAGGACTGCATCTTGTGGTTTGAGTGTCAGCTCAGCCACAGTACAACAGAACACCAGGTAGACGTCTAAGGCTTTGACTCTAGTCCCTGACTTCAAGATGACACCTCTGGATCCACCTGGAGCCTGGGGGACCTCATCACCCTGAAGGGAAGGACACAGGCCTGGCTGGCTTTGTCACTTGCTGACTGTTAAGCCCCAGGTTCTTGAGCAAACATAGGCAGTAGCCAGGATGTGGTTACAGTAGGCCTTGGGTGAGACTCAGTGCTGTGCTGGCTTCAGGTCTGACCCAGTGCGGTCACAGTGGTGGTGGCCACAGGGGTGGTTGTGTCACTCCACCCTCAACTTTAGGTGACTCAGAAGAGAAACTCTGCTTGGGAGAAAGTAAGGGAAGAGAACAGGAGTCTCTGCCTGGTAATCCAGAGAATTCTCCCGGATCTTGCTCAAGACCATGAAGGCAGTACCTTCGAGTCTTCAAACATTCAAAAAAACTGAGATAATATCAAGCATCTTCTCTGACCGCAATAGAATAAAACTAGAAATCAATAACAAGAGGAATTTTGGAAACTATGCAAATACATGGAAATCAAACAATATGCGCCTAAATGACCAGAGAGTTAATGAAGAAATTAAGAAGAAAATTGAACAATTTCTTGAAACAAATCATAATGGAAATACAATATAGCAAAACCTATGGGATACAGTAAAAGCAGTACTCAAAGGAAAGTTTATAGCTATAAGTGCCTACATCAAAAAGAGGAAGAACTCCACATAAATAATCTAACAATGCATCTTAAAGAACTAGAAAAGCAAGAGCAAACCAAACCCAAAATTAGAAGAAAATAAATAATAAAGATCAGTGCAGACATAAATAAAACTGAAATGAAAATACAAAACATCAATGAAACAAAAGGTTGTTTTTTAAAAAGTTACACAAAATTGACATTGCCAAACTAAAAAAAAGAAAAAAAAAGATACGAATAAATAAAATCAAAAATGAAAAACGAGACATTACAACTGATATTGCAGAAATTCAAAGAATTTGATTCCTAGTATCATTGTTGGATAGTATAGGCAACTATATACCAATAAATCAGAAAATACAGAAGAAATGGACAAATTTCTAGATATATACAACCAATCAAGATTTAATCAGGAAGAAATCTAAAACCTGAATGGACCAATAACAAGTAACAATATCAAAGCTATAATAAAAAATCTCCAAGTAAAGAAAAGCTCGGGACTGATGGCGTCACTGCTGAGTTTTACCAATCCTCCTCAAACTATTCCAAAAAATAGCAGAGGAGGGAATACTTCCAAACTCATTCTACAAGACCAGTATTACCCTGATATCAAAATCAGACAAAGACGCATCAAAAAAAAGAAAAGAAAAGAAAAAAAAGAAAGAAAACTACAGGCCAATATCTCTGATGAATACTTATTGAAAAATTCTCAACATTACCAAACCAAATTCGCTAATATATTAGATCATTCATCATAACAAAATGTAATGTATCCCCATGATGCAAGGATGGTTCAACATACACAAATCAATGTGACATATCATATCAACAGAATGAAGGATAAAAACCATATGATCATTTCAATTGATGCTGAAAAGGCATTTCATAAAATTCAACATCCCTTCATGATAAAAACTCTCAAAAAGCTGGGTATAGAAGGAACATACCTCAACATAATAAAAGCCATATACAGCAGACCCATAGCTCTTATCATACTGAATGTGGAGAACTGAAAGTCTTTCCTCTAAGATTCGGAACACAAGGATGCCCACTTTCACCAGTGTTATTCACCACAGTACTATAAGTCCTAGCTACAGCAATCAGACAAGAGAAGGATATAAAGGGCATCCAAGTTGGAATGGAAGATGTCAAATTACCTTGTTTGCAAGTGATATGATCTTATATTTGAAAAAAACCTAAAGACTCCACCCAAAAACTACTAGAAGTGATAAATTCAGTCAAGTCGCAGAATACAAAATCAATATATAAAAATCAGTAGCATTTTTATATGCCAACAGTGAACAATCTGAAAAAAATTTAAGTAACCCCATTTAAAATAGTTACACATAAAATTAAATACCTAGGAACTACCCAAAGAAGTGAAAGATTATAATGAAAACTATAAAACAGTGATGAAAGAAAGAGAACACCAAAAAAAGGAAAAATATTCCATGTTCATGGAATGGAAGAAGCAATTTTGTTAAAATGTCCATACTATCCAAAGCAATCTACAGATTCAGTATTATCATAAGGAAAAAGAACAAAACTGGAAGAATCACATTATCTGACTTTAATTTTTTTTATTTATTTATTTTTTTGAGACGGAGTCTTGCTCTGTTGCCCAGGCTGGAGTGCAGTGGCCCGATCTCGGCTCACTGCAAGCTCCGCCTCCCGGGTTCGCACCATACTCCTGCCTCAGCCTCCCGAGTAGCTGGGACTACAGGCACCCGCCACCGCGCCCGGCTAATTTTTTGTATTTTTAGTAGAGATGGGGTTTCACCGTGTTAGTCAGGATGGTCTCGATCTCCTGACCTCGTGATTATATTACAGAGCTATAGTAACCAAACTTCAGGGACTGGCATAAAAACAGACACATAAACCAATGATAAAAAATAGAGAACCAAAAAACAAATCCCCACACATAAGCGAACTCATTTTCCACAAAGGTGCCAAGAACATACACTGGGAAAAAGACAGCTTCTTCAATAACTGGTGCTGGGAAAACTGGTTATCTATATGCAGAAGAAGGAAACTAGACTCCTATCTCTCACTATACACACAAATCAAATCCAAATGAAGACTTAAATCTAAAACCTTAAATTATATATAAAAAAAAAACCCTTAAACTACAAAACTACTACAAGAAAACATTAGGGTTTTCCCTAGAACATTGGTCTGGGCAAAAACTTCTTGTGTTATACCCTACAAGCACAGGCAACCAAGGCAGAAATGGACAGATGGGATCACATCAAGTTAAAAAGCTTCTGCATAGCAAAGGACACAATCAACAAAGTGAAGAGACAACCCATGGAATGGGAGAAAATATTTGCAAACTACCCATCTGACAAGAAATTAATAACCAGAATATACACGGGGCTGCAAACAACTCTATAGGAAAAAATCTAATAATAAAAAAATGGGCAAAAGATTTGAATAGCCATTTCTCAAAAGAAGACATACAAATGGCAAACAGGCATATGAAAAGGTGCTCAACGTCATTGTTCACCAGAGCAATGCAAATCAAAACTACAATGAGATATCATCTCACCCCAGTTAAAATGTCTTATATCCAAAACACAGGCGATAACAAATGCTGGCGAAGATGTTAAGAAAAGGGAACCAGGCCAGGCACAGTGCCTCATGCCTGTAATCCCAGCACTTTGGGAGGCCAAGGCGGGTGGATCCCTGGAGGTTGGAAGTTCGAGACCAGCCTGACCAACATGGAGAAACCCCGTCTCTACTAAAAATACAAAATTAGCTGGGCATGGTGGCACATGCCTGTAATCCCAGCTACTCGGGAGGCTGAGGCAGGAGAATCGCTTGAACCTGGAAGGCGGAGGTTGTGGTGAGCAGAGATCGCGCCATTGCACTACAGCCTGGGCAACAGGAAGGAAATTCCATCTCAAAAAAAAAAGAAAAAAGAAAAAGAAAAGGGAACCATCCTACACTGTTGGTGAGAATGTAAATTAGTAAAATAATTATGGAGAACAGTTTGGAAGTTCCTCAAAAAACTAAAAATGGAGCTACCATATCATCCAGCAATACCACTCCTGGGTATATATCCAAAATAAGGAAAATAAGTATACTGAAAAGATACCTGCACTCCTACGTTTATTTGCAGCACTGTTTACAATAGCTGGGATCTGGCAGCAATCTAAGTGTCCATCAACAGACGAACGGATAAAGAAAATGTAGGACTTCTACACAATGGAATACTATTCAGCCATAAAAAAGAATGAATCATTTGCAACAACATGGATGAAACTGGAGATCATTATGTTAAGTGAAATAAGCCAGGCACAGAAACACAAACATTGCATGTTTTCACTTATTTGTAGGATCTAATAATCAAAACAATTGAGCTTATGGAGAGAGAGGATAGAAGGATGGTTACTACAGGCTAAAAGGGTAGTTGGGGGATGAGGGGAAGGTAGGGATGGTTAATTAGAAAGAATGAATAGAACCTATTAGTTGACAGTATAACAGAGTGACTATAGTCAATAATAACATAATTGTACATTTTAAAAGAACGAAAAGAGTCTAATTGGATTGTTTATAACACAAAGGATAAGCATTTGAAGGAAGGATACACCATTCTCCATGATGTGATTATTTCACATTGCATGCCTGTATCAAAACATCTCATGTAACCCATAAATATATAAACCTACTATGTACCCACAAAAATTAAAAATAAAAAAATAAAAAAATAGAAATGATCAAACACCTAGAATACAGTCAAGAGGTCAAGCAGGATGAGATCAGAGAAGTGTCAACTGGATTTGAGAACATGGAAGTCCTTGATAATCTTGAGCACAATTTTCATGGTGAAGTCAGAGTAGAAGTGTTACTGGGATGCCAAGAAGTACAGACTGTCTGTCTGTGACTATATATAACTCTTTCAAAAAGTTCTGTGTGAAAAGAAAGGAGCACTAAAAATGAAGCCAGCCATCTTTTAATTCTTATGGATTGGGCTGTCAGTCTCTTCACCCTCTAGAGTCTATTTTTTTTTTTTTTAATGAATCTAAGCATGCCTTTACTCAATTCAAAAAAAACCTCTGCCAGCTCTTTGCGGCCCTCAAAATGAAGTCCTAAACGTGATAATATAACATGGATTCATAATTTAACTCCAATTACCTCCCTTGCCTGAGAGCCCTTGTGGGTAAACTGTCAATTTCACAAGCTCTTTCTAACCTCCATGTAACATGTTGGTCAGCCTGCTGGAAGTGTCTTCCTTCTCCACCTGGTAAGCCTGTATTTACAACCCATGACTCAGCTCAGACATCCTCCTCACCAGTACCATGCCAGGCACTTACACATCATTCACATCTACACCTCCCCAGTCTTTATTCCTTTAAGCCAGAAACATGAGTATCAGCCTTGACTTCCACATCCACTCATGTCTCATCCCCCATAACTGTTCGACAACCAAGGCCCAGCTATTCTACTTTCTCAATAAGCCTCCATCCCCACTCTAGACCCCTCCATATCCCCACTCTAGACCCCTCCATATCGCCACTCTAGACCCCTCCATATCCCCCACTCTAGACCCCTCCATATCCCCACTCTAGACCCCTCCATATCCCCACTCTATACCCCTACATATCCCCACTCTAGATCCCTCCATATCCCCCACTCTAGTGCTCTCCGTATCCTGAATCTAGACCCCTCCATATCCCCACTCTAGACCCCTCCATATCCCCACTCTATACCCCTACATATCCCCACTCTAGATCCCTCCATATCCCCCACTCTAGTGCTCTCCGTATCCTGACTCTAGACCCCTCCATATCCGCCACTCTAGATCTCTCCATATCCCCACTCTAGACCCCTCCATATCCCCACCTCCCTATTCCATCTCCCTCCACTTGTTTTCCACACAGCAGCCAGAACGAACCTTTTAAAACACAAAGCAAGTCATATTGACCCCAGAATAAAAATCCCTCCATGGCTTTTCATGCTCTTACAAAATGATTCACTGGGAGACAAAGCCCTGCACCGTCTGAGCCCTGCCAACCTCTCTACCCTGGCTGAGAGTCCACAGGACTCTCCCAGCACTGTGTTCTGGCCACATTGACCTTGCAGCTCCTCAAAGCCACTGAGTTCCTGAACCGGTTCCCCCATCTCTGCCACCCCTTTCACCTGCCATTCCTTTCACCTTTTACACCCAAATTTGAATGTCATTTCCTCAGGAAATAAGCACAGAACAGCAACCTGACCCAGTCTTAGGACACTCTGCAATTCTTCACGGTGCTCACGGCCGCTTCCAATTGCATCTGCATCCTTATGTGACTATTCTATAAAGCTTCACCTCCCACCTTTAGACTGGCAGCTCCCCGACAAGGGTGTTGGTTTTGTGCACCAGTCATACCCCACCCTCAGCTGAGAACCCAGCACTCCACACTTATTGAATCAATGGGCAAATGAAAACCCTCATAATTTGACCTTCTCTAGGCACCGACCAGAATCTGAGTCCTCAACATGGAGAGTAAATGTAACCAGGCTCCTCTTCCTTAACAGGAACTCTTACCAGTTCCAGGTACTTGTCTTTCTACCAACTTCTATACCCATAGAGATTGGCATCCTCTCTAATTTCCTAAACTCATCAGTTATCCCTTCACCTTCAAATGCTTCAACTGACAGACTATTTTAAAGCAAGAGAAACATAACAGAGTCATTTTGGTCCTGGACAGAAACCAGTTCTTTAGATTTATATTGCTTGGCTTAATACTGAATACCCAGGGTTAAATGTTCTTGCATGCAATTAGAGATTGTCCATAAGATGTCGGAAGCGGCATCTGAGGCACTCTGCTTCTTTATCGAGTATTTAAACTAAGCTTGGCAAAACCAGGTTAACTGACAAATGGTATAGAAACAGGAAAGTACTTTCAAAACTACAAAACACCAAGCAACATTATTAACATTATGATCGTTGCATTAGCCAGTCTTCCACTTACTAGAGGAATATAAGTCCATTTTTACATGGCTAAAAGTAGACTTCTTTAGTGAATGTACTTACATATAGAAAATCCAAAAGAACTATCTGTATCAGACACTATCTGATAGAAGATTTATCTGAAAAAAATTTTAAATCATACCTATTAATATGAATCCAGGTGTGGGCTTTCTTTCTCATGTAAGGGACAAAGGGTCTGTTTGTACAGGTGGAAATAACTGCCAAATAGGCTGAATGGCAGGAACACAAACCCTAGGGATCCAGGAAGCAGCCTCAGAAAACACCTTCTCTGACCAGATACCTCCTTGAAGAAAATGTGTATTAGTTTAATCAGTGCATACATCATCATCATGGTACACAAACTTCTTTGCTTTCCTTCCTTTCCTCTTTCTGTCCTTTTAGACTCAAATATACCAACCATAAGCCTTAGCATCCATAACTTTTAAGTCAGTTTCTAAATATACACAAACCAAATTAAGAATCCCCTACCTTTTGTTAACATTTGGGGATACCAGGTAAAAGACAAACAGGAATGCTTTGTACTGTACTATTTTTGTTAACTTTTCTGTGAGTTTGAAATTATCCCAAATGATTTAAAACTTTTTTTTAATTTAAAAAGATTATCCTATCATTGAATATTTTAAAATATTGCCATGACCAAGTTTACAGTTTGAATTTTAAAGCTGGGTCTAACACAGACCAGAATTACTTCAATTCATCCAAAATTTCTGGCCACAAAGTTATTTTTATCAACTTACCTTCCTAGCTGACATGCTCAGTTACAAGTTACAAGTGCTGTCTCCAGAATCATCAAACACCACCCAGCTCCTTCAGGGGCAACTGATGTTCCTTCAGCTCGAGGAGCTCTTTCACACACTCCAAGGTGAAAGTACTCGCTCAAGATTCACAGAGGTATGGCTCAGCAAGCTGCACCACTGCCTTCAAGGCTGAAATGTCCACATCTGTGGCCTAAAATGTAAAATAATGTGACTTAACACGTGGAAATCAAAATTAAGCTCCACGTATAAAACACTACTGACAGCCTGATTTTTTTAAAGCATGCAATAGGGGCAGGGATGCTTCTTCCATTATGGAAGCCTATCCTTCCATAAAGGATAAACATGAGAGGCCTGGCTTTTAGCTCATGGAACTTACATTGTAATCAAGGGGGTAAATAAACAAGATAGTGATGAGTAGGTGACAGAGAGTAACTAGCAGGGGTGGTGATCTGGTTTTGCTGGGATGGCCAGGCGAAGTCACCTCTGCGCTGAGAATGAAAAGGAAGCAGCCATCCAAAGAGCAGGGAAGACGCAAAAGGCCTGTGGTCGAGAGGGGCTTGGCCACTGAAAGAGCAGAAAGGCAGTCCTTCTTGCTAGAGCCAAAGGGAGGAAACTGGGAGCAGGGGAGAAACAGTAAGTGATGAGGTAGGAGAGAAAGGCAAAAAGACCAGGACATATAGAGCATCTGGCGCTTGGATTTTACATGTTCTCCAGCACCATGAGAAGCCATAAAGCCAACACGGGACCCTCGGTAAATGCAATGCATTAGTAGTTTTAAGCAGAGAAATTGTACACTTCTCTTTTAAAACAATGACTTTGACTGCTTTTAGAGAAGTGATGGGGGCAGGAGGGGTGGGCACTATCATAACCCAATGAAAAGGCCAGAACTTCAACTGAAGATATCAGCATAATCCAAAACTTAAAAACTCACAAGGAACAGCTGCAACCCACTGCCTCGTTCATAATCACTGCAGTATGCAATGCCATTTTCTAAAGGAGCTGCAGCAACAACTTGTATACACACCCCCTGGTTTAACATTTTAGCTTAACAGGACTTTTTGTGGTTCAGTTAACAAACACTGAGAAAAATTCACAGCTGTAATTGGAGTGCAAATTTAATGTAAAAGGCCCAGTCAGTTGAAAAATAAGATTGTTTTTACTTTCTGCAATGAGACACATTATCAAAAGATTAACCACATATCTACAAATTTACTAGGCAAAAATGGGATAGTTTTAAAATGCCTCTTTGGTTTGAGTTACTTAATGGGCTACAACTAAGAAGGTAAAAAATTAATGGAAACTGTTGACTTCATAATTAGGCCTCCTCATTTTTTAAATGATCTCAAATACTTCCTCCACTTCATAGGTTTATAATCCAGTTCCCCTTGTCAAAGGACGCTGAAACTTAAGCCACTTTAATTCCCTGGTAGCTCCTCCTCAGCTGCCTTTAAAATTTGCGGAACACTTCCTACACCATAGCAATTAGATGTGAAAAACATGCTATTTCAATCAGCTCATAAACTTTAATTAAAAATAAGCACTTTGGCTCTAAGAGTCTGAAGTAAAGTGCTTATAGCTTGAGACAAATGTCTTAACAACAAAATTAACTTTACCTCAAGCAGCACCTTGAGCACATCATGTGCCAGACTGTCCGCCATCCAGATGGCTCAAGGACCTTCTCCAAGAACTCAGCTGTGAATTCCCGTGCCTCAGAGGCCTTGCAGTCAACTACAAACAAATTAAACACAGGAAGAAGTGAGAATGCATAAAGCAGAGGGAAGTTAATAAATCCACTTAAATCCATTTTCTCAGAACCAACAACTGGCAATCTGAGGGACTGAGATAGGCAGTCTGCTTATAAACTAAAAAGATAAAAGGAGCAAAAAAGGACAGGCACGGTGGCTCACGTGTGTAATCCCAGCACTTTGGGAGGCCGAGGTGGGCAGATCACTAGAGCTCAGGAGTTCAAGACCAGCCTGGGCAACACGGCAAAACCCTCTCTTTAGAAAAAATACAAAAATTAGCCAGGTGTAGTGGTGCATGCCTGTAGTCCCAGCTGCTCAAGAGGCTGAGGTGGGAGGATGGCTTGAGCCAAGAAGCAGAGGTCGCAGTGAGCCAAGATCGTGCCACTGCCCTCCAGCCTCGGTGACAAAGCAAGACTCTATCACCAAAAAAAAAAAAAAAAAAAAAAAAAAGCAGAAAAGAAACAAAAAAGAGAACCTACTCACCTAAAATGTAGTCTTGATAGGCCCTGGATTACTCACAGAGTAAAAGTTGATTTGTTTGCAAAATTTCTAGGTGAAGTGGCTTTTTTCCTTCTGGAATAAAACTTTGTAAACTACAACCTGGCTCATCAAGACAGTTACAATCACTGCGTGAATCTTCATTTTGAAAGAAACCTAAAAAAACAAAAACGATAAGCAGGCACAAGTATCCCAGATACTTCCAGTGCTCGTAGAGTGCTTCTGTCTTCACATCCTTGCTTGAAATTCCAAACCAACAAGGATTTGAGTATGAATGCTCTATTTATCTCTATTATTGTCAGAAGAAACAGCTTTACGAACTTAAAAAATATCTGAAAATCCAAGTTCTACTTAAAAACAGTAAGAGCTTAAGATCTTTCACAAGTTAGGTTTTTGTTGTTATGTGGGGATTTGGAGGAAAGCAGAGAAATAAGGTTGTTTTTTAATCCAGTGGAAACCACCTAAGTTCTTCTCCCTAGAAGTAACTATCTTTACTATAGTTAGTAAGTTATAACAGTCAAGTATCTGTTATTTTTTTTTCTCCCAAACACTTCCACAAAGCAGCATTAAAAGAGAGAGCTGATTTCCTATACTCCCTCTCCAACGGGCTGAAGCCTCTCTTTATTTTCTACAATATCAGTCTGCCAATGGCTCCTCAATAAACAGGGATGAGAGATTCTTAATAATGCATAAGGTTTACTTCACTAAGACTACTAGGTTCCTCCTCATTAATTTCAATGACTGTGTCTAAGGAAAAGATCAGAAAATGCAAATCACATTAGGTTTGGGCTGTATGTAATTATGTTTCATAAGGCATGATTCAGCCAGTGGCGTATCTAATTCTGTGTAATAAGATGTTTTTAAAAAACGAAATGACGGCTGGGAACGGTGGCTCACGCCTGTAATCCCAGCACTTTGGGAGGCCGAGGCGGGCGGATCATGAGGTCAGGAGATCGAGACCATCCTGGCTAACACGGTGAAACCCCGCCTCTACTAAAAATACAAAAAATTAGCTGGGCGTGGTGGCGGGCGCCTGTAGTCCCAGCTACTTGAGAGGCTGAGGCAGGAGAATGGCGTGAACCTGGGAGACGGAGCTTGCAATGAGCCAAGATCATGCCACTGCACTCCAGCCTGGGCGACAGAGCGAGACTCTGTCTCAAAAAAAAAAAAACAAAAACCGAAATGACCACTAAATAAGCAATGCTGAGGGTAGCACTTAGACTGGCAGAGTAGTTTCCGAAGGTGGTTTCAAGGAAGGTGTCTGAGACGGTAATTAGCAGCAGTCTTTCTTCCTCCACCACCTTTGATTTTCTCCTTTCCCTTTCTCCTTCCTTCCATTCCTTTGTCCCAGCTCAGGCCCCCAGAATTACTTGATCCCACACATGAGACGATCAAAGCAGGCAAGGGTCTACTACTGTTCACAAACACTGACACGCATGAGCCTTAGAGGGCATCAACACCTTACTGGCTGTGTGACAATCTCTCTGTGCCTCAGTTTTCTTGCCTATAAAGAGAAGATAAAAATAGTATGCTTACTTCAATTAAATTAAGAGAATTAAAGAAATTACTTGTTAACCATTTACTACAGTGCCAATTACACAGTATATATGTATATTTGTTAAATATACCTTACTTCGGCACCACTCTTTACAGCTATTTTGTTTTTCCAGCTTTACTGAAGTAAATAAAAATATTGTATAATCTAAGGGGTACAATGTGATGTTTTGATATACATTATGAAATGATTGCCACCATAAAGCAAATTAACATTTCCATCACCTCGCATTTGTGCGCTGAGAACACGTCTCACTCTCGGCAAATTTCAAGTACACAGTAGTGTCATTAACTACAGTTACCAAGCTGCACACTAGATCCCCAGAACTTACTCAACTTTGTACTCTTTGACCCACATCTTCCCCATTTCTCCCACTTGCAGCCCCTAGCAACCACTACGCTGCTCTTTTTCTCTCAGTTCTGCTTTATTTTCCACATAGGTGATATTATTTAGAATTTTTCTTTATTTACAGCCACTTTAAAAATATTCCCCTTCGCACAGTGTTTCACTGCGTCTTCACCACAAGGACAGCCACTGGCTCCGTCTTTAGATGGGAAAACTGCGGCCCGGCGACTTTTGCTAGTTGGAAAGGTGGGTCAGTGGTGGAATTAAGTCACACTTAGGCCTTTTCACTTCGCAGCGGCTCTTTCCACTACACGATACAACTGAACGTGTTAAAGTAAAAACGTGACCCAGTTTAAAATGTCGGGGGCGGGGGAACGGAAGCGGGGGGAAGGAATCTACCTGAGGAGTGAGGAGGCAGAAAGGACCGAGAACAAGGGGACCCGGTTCCATTTCTGGACCCCGTCCGCAGGCTGCTCGCCCGACTTGGGGTCGCTCTGCCCCGGACGATCAGGACAGCTGCGTGGGCCCAGGGTTCCAGCTGCCTTTATCTTCGGGAGAGCGAATGGCTCAGATCTCCGCGGAGATGGAGCTGGAAAAGCGGAGCCCTCGCTCCACGGCTCGCGGCAGTTCCTTGAAGCCCACCCAGGTGGGGAGCCCCTGGCGCAGCCCAACTCTCTGCAGTCTCGGGGAAGCTGAGGCAGAGAGGGAAGCCCCGCCCCGGGTCCTTCCCGACCCCGACGTCCTGGCCCGCCGAGTCCCAAGGCCCCGGCCCGGGCGCCCCCCGAGGGGCCGGACGCCCAGGCCTCACTAGGGAGCGGCTCCTGGCCCGGCCCGGCGGGCGCTCACCTTTCTCCCGGGCACTGGAGCCTCCCTGGCCGCCCAGGTGCACGCGACCCCGAGACTCCGTCTCCCGGCCACCCAGTCAGGCACTTCAAATTCCCGCGGACGGCGCGGCGCCTCTGATTGGACGGGCGGCCGAGCTCGTACCGGTGAGAGCCCCGCCCCGCCGCCCCGCCAAGCGCCCCCTCCCGGCAGGCGGACCGCTGCTCTCGCTCAAGTTCTGGCGTGGGGCTGCGCTGGAGCAACTGGGGCGAAGTTGAACTGGGACATCCTTGGAGATGATTTTTGAAAAACGAGCAAGCCATGCCTGGAAATGAGGGAGAGTGGGAAAGACACTGGATTGAGAGTCAGAAGACATGGTGTTTAGACGGACTTCGGCCATTCCTAGGGGCACTGCCTTGGGCAAATCATTTCCCCTTTCAGGCGCACCTCACCTGTGCCAGGATGCTGGCACACACACAGTGTATTTTCAAAGAATGTCAAATGTAGTATTTGTTTTTATTATTGATCAAAGGCAGCTGTAGCTTCCAATAATAATGGCTAACATCTACCGAGTACTGTGTGCGAGACACCCTTCTGCATGCTTTACCTGAATTACCTTATTTAATCTTCAAAAACCATCCCGTGAGAGAGGAACTATTATTATACCCATTTTACAGAGAACTAATAGAGACAACGAGAAGTGAAGTGACTTCTCCGATCTAACTAGGCAAAGCCAGGAGGTGAAATCAGCCAGACTCCAGAAGAAACCCTTTAGTGCCTCTGTCAGGCCCTCACTTGCCAGGCTGATGAGAGCAACCTGAGATGGCCCAGGTCACCAGGACACCAGGCGGGGTGAGTCCACAGGAGGCCAGGAGCCTGGACATGACACCCAGGGCAGCCTTCTCGTAGGGAAATATTTCCACTTAATGCTTTGACGGAAAACCTGGGCTACAGTCTCTCAGATCCCCTACAGCTGAAATAAAACGGAGCCAGGAGAGGTGATTGTGGAAACCTGCACTTAATTCAGCTAGCTTTGCCAGGAAACAAGATTTCTTTGACTTGTGTGCAGAGTCTGACCTTACATTTATTTGTTCACTGAACAAATATTTATTGAGCACCATAAGGTGAAAACACAAAACAATAAAATTAGGACTAACAACGGGCCTTGAGGACTAAGGTAGCTTTTTCATAATTTTCCCGTTTAACCCTCCCGCCCATAAACCTCACAAGTGGCAGCATTTCTCCTTACCCATTTTCATCATCACTTTAGACAACACAGCTCTCTTCTTATTCAATTACCAAATATTTCTTCAAACATCAAGATATTACTCAAACCAGTGCTTCTAGAAAATTATTTGAAAGAAACAGGAGGCAACAGGGTCAGACAGAATACCAATGCTATTGCAAACTCCATAAAGGAGAAACTATTGATTACATGGGATACATTTGCTAGACACAGCCCTTCTCATTTCCACACCGGTGTCACCACATATTCCCTACTTGTTCAGATTCTATCAGAGGTTTTTAGAGTCTCTCCCTAAGTGGAGACCTGTTAGAAGCACATATGTCTTGTGAGTTTTCTTTCCCTGCCCCTCCATATCCTAAAGAAAGGATTTTTCTTCTTCCTCCTTTTCAATCTCTTCCCTTGTAGCCTATCATAACCTTCTACTCGCCCTAAGGTGGACATCACCTACTGCTATTCCATCTTTTTTATATCTTTGCTCTTTTTATCACTACTGGGTCCTTACTGTGTTTAAACATGGGCTCACAAATACCTGCGCTCCCCCTAAAACCTTCCCAAAGCCCAACTTCAACCCTGAGAAACTGCCCTTTTGCTTCCCTTCTTGGTAGCCCCAGACTTTTCAGTACAGTGCCTCCCTCTCCTGCTTTCTTGAAGGCCAGCAGCCCCTCCTGAGGCCCCCAACTTCCACCCCACAGCACTGACCTGGCTGACCACCCACCTGTGCTCTTTCCTCCCTTGCCCTCTGCGTCCTCTCCCTTGATCTCCAGTCTAGTTCTCTGACTACAGTACCTGGGTGAACTGTGGTCTGAAAGGATTGAATGAAAAATTCCAGAAATAAATGATAAGTTTCAAATTGTGAGCTGTTCTGAGTAGCAAGACTCATTCCTTTGTCCACAAGTGCCCACACTGTATACGCTACCCATCTGGTAGTCACTGTCAAGGCCGAAGGAAAACTTCTCCTTTACCCTTGAAGGTTTGTTGAAAATCAACCAACAAAAGGCAGATTAATAAGAGAAAAGGCATACAAATGTATTCACATGCACGGGGTTGGGGATATCACACAGGATGACCGCACCAGGCAGTGGGGTAGAGGTGGTTGTACACCCTTCTTCTTAGGGCAAAGGGAGGTGAGGAAGTGTGGATGATTGAGGGGTATGAGGGGAGAATTCCATGGGCTTAAAGAACATACAATGACCTGGGACAAAGTCTGTTGAGCCCACAGAGCAGACAATGGTTTATGACAAAAGTCCGTCCAGGGGTATTGAAAAACTCCCGTCTTTCTTCCTGCAATATACATTCAGTTAATTAAAATTCAGGGAAGAAACCCAAGGTAATTGTTTCCTTCTTTGGTGGGTCAGACTTTAGGCAGAAAAAGGAACTTCAGAGAACTTCATCTGTGCTTTGTGAGAGACAGAGGATTGGAAGACAGGATAGTGAAGGTCAGAGAGACCTTGAGGCTGCTTCTTCAGCTCACCATGACAAAGCACTGTGGTTTGGGGTATCAGTTTCTGGGCCCCAATATCACTCAGTGGCCATCTCAATTATCAGATCAAAAAAGCATAGTATAGTATATACAGGGTTTGGTGGGTTTGGTACTATTTGTAATTTCAGGCATTCACTGGGGGTCTTGGAACAGCACAGTGGGAGTACAGTAGTGTTCCCAAGGATAAGGGGGCACTACTGTACTCTTTCTTGCCCTTGTTTTTCTTCCTGTCTCTCAGATTCTCTAAACCTAGGTGATTCCCAGGGGCATATACTACAGAAGTCCTAGTACAGGTTATGGTGATTCATGCAAGAAAGTAGATTTGCTCATTTATTTGTCAAATAATAAATATATATATAGAATAGACTGTGGGCCAGACATTGTTCTACATTCTAGGGTAACAGGGCAAATAAGACAGCCAACATCCCAGCCTGCACATGATGAAAAAGTAAAAAAAAAAAAAATCAATTCACAAGCAAATTTCAATTATAAAAAATGCAAAAAATAAAAGAAATTCAATGATGTGACAGAAAATGAAGGGGGAACAAATTCAGATTTTATGCAAAACACTTGATTTTAAACTGTTAGCAACTAATTTTTAAAAAAATTAAATACCATGTAAGCCAGAAAAACTTCACTTCCTGGGCCAAATTGGCCCATGGCCCACCAGATTGCAATTTCTGTTCCAAGCTCCAACTACTGAAAATGTAGTCCAGGGACCAGGAGATTGTTAGAAATACAGAGCCCCTCCCTCCCTCCCCAACCCATCCCCCAGAGCTGCTGGATCAGAATCTGTGTTCAACAAGTTCCACAGTCCCCAAGTGACATCATTCACATTTGATGCAAAGGCCTTCAGAACTCATGTCTTTCCTGAGGCTGTTTAATTTTCATATTCCTGCTGGAAAACTTGACCTGGGGTTCTTACCTGTGGTTCACCTCCACCTCCACAATGCTGCAAAGCCACACCTAAGCACAGCCCATCCTCCAGTTTAGATGTCTCTCACCATGTCCCACTCCCCAACCACGGCCTGTGTGGGCCGCCACCATCTCCCCTAGGGCTGCTGGGGCAGCATCTAGGAAGTCACACTCAAGCCTCCACCTGCCCCAGCCCTTCAGAATTGACTGCTCTCCTCTTGCTGCTCCTGGTCTAGGGGTCTCAAACTTAAATATCGAAAGTCTAGACCAAAGACACAAAGCAGAGAAGTGAGTGCTGCTCTTTCTCCAGTGGGCAGGAGATGAGCCAATGTTGCCACGTGGGCCTTCCAAGAGAAGCCATAAAGCTAAATGTAGTGAGACAATTTCCATATTAAAATGTTAACATCTAGTTTTTAAAAATTCAAACAGTATGCCCACCAAATAAAACCTATCTGCAGACCACCAGTTTGAGACATCTAAGACCTAGTCTGCATGGTGCATTGTCACAGAGGCTGTGCACTCTTTGAAGGCAAGAAACGTGTCATGTTCCTTATTGCGTTGCTGGCACCTACCACTAGGACGGATTTAGTAAAGGGAAAAACTAAATTAATACTGTTTGTATCTGTGTGTGTGTCTGTCCTTTTTCTTTTAAATTTTAGATTCAAGGGCAC
Organism: Homo sapiens; assembly: GCF_000001405.40. NCBI lineage: Eukaryota > Metazoa > Chordata > Mammalia > Primates > Hominidae > Homo > Homo sapiens. The sequence goes on from NC_000019.10 coordinate 28,731,868, forward strand.
AGATGTGGGATTCTTGCAAGGACATATTGCATGATGCTAAGGTTTGGGTTTCTATTGATCCTGACACCCAAATAGTGAACACAGTACCTGTATTTTTCAGTTTTCGCACTGCTATAAATAACCACTTGAGACTATGTAATTTATAAGGAAAAGAGGTTTAATTGACTCACAGTTCTGCATGACTGGGGAGGCCTCAGGAAACTTACAATCATGGAGGAAGGCGAAGGGGAAGCAAGTCACATCTTACATGGTGGCAGGAGAGGGAGAGAGAAAGAAGGAGAAGGAGAAAGAAGGAGGAGGAGGAGGAGGAGGTGGAGAAGGAGGAGGAGGAGGAGGCAGCAGCAGCACATACTTTTAAACAACCAGATCTTGTGAGGACACACTATCATGAGAACAGGAAAAGGGAAATCTGCCCCTATGATCCAACCACCTCCCACCAGTTCCCTCTCTTGACACATGGAGATTACAATTCCACATGAGATTTGGATGGGGACACAGAGCCAAACCATATCAGTACCCAATAGGTAGTTTTTCAACCCTTGCCCTCCTCCTTTTCTTCCACTTTCTGGAGTAACCAGTGTCTATTGTTCTCATCTTTATGTCCATGTAAACCCAATGTTTTGCTCCCACTTATAAGTGAGAACATGCAATATATGCATTTCTATTTCTGCATTAGTTTGCTTAGGATAATGGCCTCCAGCTGCATTTATACTGCTGCAAAGGGGATGATTTCATTCTTTTTTATTGCTGTGTAATATTCCATGGTATATATGCAGTACATTTTCTTTATCCAGTCCACTACTGATAGGCACCTAGGTTGATTCCATGTCTTTCCTATTGTGAACAGTGCTGCAATGAACATACGAGTGCAGTTGTCTTTTAGGTAGAATGATTTCTTTTCCTTTAGGTATATACCCAATAATAGGACTGCTGGGTTGAATGATTGTTTTATATTTAGTCCTTTGAGAAATCTCTAAACTGTTTCCCAAAGTGGCCAAACATTCCTACCAACAGTGGATAAATGTTCTCTCTCTTTTTTTTTTTTTGCAACCATGTAGGCTGCTTTGGGAAGTATGGCTATTTTAATGATATCCACTTTTCCAATCCATGAGTATGGAATGTTTTCCATTTGTTTGTGTCATTTATGCTTTCTTTCAGCAATGTTTTGTAATTCTCCTTGCAGAGCTCTTTCACCTTCTTGGTTAGATATATTACTAGGTATTTTTTTGTGTGTGGCTATTGTAAATAAGATTTCAGTCTTTACTTGGTAATCGGCTTGAACATTATTAGTGTAGAGATATGTTACTGATGTTTGTATGTTGATTTTGTGTCCTGAAACTTTACTGAAGTCATTTATTGGGTCTAGAGTCTTTGGGCTTTTGGTGGAGTCTTTGGGCTTTTTTAGGTGCAGGATTATATAATCAGTAAAGAGAGAAAACATGACTACTTCTTTTCCTATTTTAATGCCTTTTACTTCTTGCTCTTTCCTTATTGCTCTGGCTAGGACATCCAGTACTGTGTTGAATAAAAGTGGTGAAACTGAATATCCTTGTTGTGTTCCAGTTCCTAGGGGAAATGGCCCAGCTTTTGGCCATTCAATATGATGTTGGCTGTTGCTTTATCATAGATGGCTCTTATTATTTTGATGCACGTTCCTTTTATGACTAGTTATTTGAGGGTTTTTATCATGAACAAATGCTGGATTTTATCGAATGCTTTTTCTGCATCTATTAGATAATTCTATAGTTTTTGTTTTTAATTCTGTTTATAAGTTGAATCACATTTATTAATTTGCATACATTAAACTAACTTTGCATTCCAGAAGTAAAGCCCATCTGATCATGTGTGAACTAAGTTTCTGATGTGCTGCTAAATTTAGTTTGCTAGTATTCTGTTGGGGACTTTTGAATGTATGTTCATCAGGGATATTGGCCTGTAATTTTATTTTTCGGTTGTGTCTTTGCCAGATTTTGATATCAGGATGATACTGGTTTCATGGAATGTTTTAGGAAAGAATCCCTCCTCTTCAATTTTGTTTGAATAGTTTCAGTGGGATTGGTACTAGCTGTTTTTTATGTGTCTGGTAGAATTCAGCTGTAGTCCAGGGCTTTTTTTGGTGAGTAGTTGTTTTTGTTTGTTTGTTGTTCTTGTTTGTTTGGTAGTGAGTTTATTTCCATGTTTAGAACTTCATTAAGCATCTCTTGTAGGCCTGGTCTGGTGGTGATAGATTCCCTCAGCTATTGTTTTTCTGGGAAAGACTTTACTTCTGCTTTATGAAGCTTAGTTTGTCAGCATATAAAATTCTTGGCTGGCATTTCTTTTCTTTAAGGATGCTAAATATGGGCCTCAATCTATTCTGGCTTGCAAGGTTTTTGCTGAGAAGTCTGCTGTTCATCTGCTGGGTTTCCCCTCATAGTTAACATGACCCTTTTCTTTAGCTGACTTTAAGATTTTTTTCTTTCACACTGACCTTGGATAGTCTGACTACGCGCCTTGGGGATAGGTGTCTTTTATAGTTATCTTGCAGGAGTTCTCTGGATTTCTTATATCTGCAGGTTGACCTCTACAGAAAAGTTGGGGAAACTTCCCTGAATTATATTCTCAAATATATTCTCCAAGCTGCTTACTTTCTCTTCTTCTCTCTCAAGAGTGCCAATATGTCTTAGATTTTTATTGCTTTACATAATCTCATGTTTCTCAAAAGCTTTGTTCATTAAACATTTTTTGTCTTTATTTTTGTTGGGGTTGATTCAAAGAACCAATCTTTGAACTCTGAGATTCTTTCATCTGCTTGGTCTATCCTGTTGCTAAGGTTTTCAGTGTATTTTGAAGTTCCTGTAGTGAATTTTTAAAATTTTCAATTCCAAAAGTTCTGTTTATTTCATAACATAATTATGTTGTCTTTCAAATCCTGAATCACTTTTCTGTTTCCTTTGTGTTGGATTTCAACTTTCTCTTAGATCTTGTTGAGTTTCTTTGCCACTCACACTCTGAATTATATTTCTGTCATTTCAGACATTTCTTTTTGGTTAGAATCCACTTCTTGGGAGCTAGTAAGATACTTTGGAGGTGACAAAACACTCTGGCTTTTTGTATTACTGGAGTTATTGTGCTGATTTCTTCTCATCTGAGAAAGTTGACACTTTATTTTTCAAATGTGCTACCATTTGGATGGGGCATTTTGATTTCTTATTGTTTTTTCCTTTGAGAATTTGACTGTGGTTTATGTTGTGTATGATCAATTGGCTTTATGTCTGAGAGCTATCAGAGGGCCTGGGTTCCTTGGTTGCAGACAGATTCATATGGTGGCTTTCTAGGAAACTGCTTGGTGTAGCAATGTGTTTTCATTTGGTGCTATAATTCAGACTGCAGTCAAGTCGATGGCACTTCAGGGCAAGAGCCAGCAGGAGGGTCTCACTTTGCCTGTGCTCACCCTCAGCAGGGGTGGAGGCAATAGAGACATACGAGAGCACCCTCCCCCAGCACTGCTGTTCTTCAGCAGAAGTAGAGGCCCTTGAGAAGCTCGAGAAGTGCCTCTTTCAGCCCACGCTTCCCGGGACCCAACAGGAAGATCTATGGCTGCATCCACAGCAAGGCACTGAGGAGAAACAGGGGCAATTAGACGACCTCCTCTCCAAGTTTGTTTGTAGGCTTTGGTGTTACCCCCTCCAGTGGTTGGCACTGCGCTTCCATTTCCTTTGACCCAAGGGAAGCTTTGACAGGCTGTGTTCTTACTTCCCTTAAAGGCTGTCCTCACCAAGGGTTAGGTCTCCAGCGCAGGTGTGCGGGGCAGGTAAGGGGGAGGGTGCCTCCCTTCCACTCCTCAAAGTTGGTGGGTCACACTTTGCCAGCTGATCAAGGGAGCAAACTGGGGCACCCAGCAAGGATACACACTGACTGGTTCCAGATCATAAAGCTGTCCTTGGCTGCAAGTCCTCCTGCTAAGGAGAAACCTCTTCTTCAGCACTTCTCCTGCGGCAGCCCCCTGTAACAAGAGAGTCTAATTTAACTGCCTGCTCCTGGAGTGGTATCCACACTCACCACTCAATTCTGGCTGTGGGGGCCCTTCCCCTGCTCCAGGGCAAATGGTCTACTCTCTGGCCTGAGACTAAAATGTCTGCAGAAGACATTATTGCCAGGTTGCCACACAATGACTGCCTTGGTATGAGCCCAGATTAAAAATAGTATCATCCTCTCGGTCCCAAGTCTGGGAAAATGCCAGCAGCTTTTCCCAGTGTCTTCCCTCCCTCCATCTCTCAGCCTCCCCCAAGCTAGCTCCGGGGCTTGAGAAAAAAGGGGTGCTCTGTCTTGGCCTGGGTTGCACAGACCCCTAGCAGAAGGATGAGACACAGAGGGAGACAGGCTGCCACCCTTGCAGACAAGGGCTTTACTCACTGGTCAGCCAAATGCTGTCATGGAAGCTGCTTGTGCGTCTTTCCCTCCCCAGAGTCTGGTGTGTCCTTCACTAGTCTGGTGAATTCCTGTCTTCCTTCTTGAGTGAAAATTCACAGAGTTGATCTTTAAGCACTATTTTTCTATTTCCCTGTGGCTGTGGCATGCGGAAAGCCTCTCATCTGCCATCTTCATCATTACCGGATTCTCTAATTTACTGCTTGTTTTCCCTTCCTTCCTTCCTTCCTTTGCATTCTCTTTTCATCACCAACATGGTCTCTAACCCCTAGTGGACCTTTCAGATAGTGGTTTGCCTATGGTTCTTTTTATATATAACAATACAATGTCATTAGCCGAATAACTTGGGTTTAGAGTCTAGCAGCCAGGGCTGGGGCCATGCTGGCTGCTTCTGCCCAGATGCTTCCAGGAAGCAGATTCAACATTGACATCATTACCCGAGTCAGGGTCAGTGAAGGCTGATTGTATTGGTGACCCTCTTCCGCCTGCAAATATCTCAACAGCTTCCCTAAGAACAGGAACAGCCTTTCGGGTGGTAACTAACAGCGTGGCTAAGGGCTTTGATTCCCTAGGAGACAAGTACTACTGTAAGTCATTATTGGACATTCATGTGAATCAATTTCAGAGAGCAAATATGGACCAGACAGACAGCACATATTCTGAACAGCAGAGAAAGGGAAAGAGGGCCCCTGATTGTAGGAGGGGTCCCATTGGGGTAAGGCTTGTCTCTCTATCTGCAGCTGTATAGAGCTCCACATGGGCCCAGGGTGGGCCTGAGCACCTTCCATAAGAAAGAAAGGTAGCCCACAACTCCCATCGGCTTCAGGGAGAGAAGAGATACTAGCTCACTGCTACTGATTTGAGTATCTAGGGCTTCCCATAATGAAAACGAAACCAAAGAAAAGCCAGGCCCAAATCTTGGCATGTATTTTCCACTAGAGGGCAGCTTAAACTTTCAAAATAAAATAAATCTTGCACACTTTGTAAAGTACTATATATAAAATTTGTATGTACACATCATGTAAAACTAATGTTCATATTCTAGTCTTTGCAAGCCTGTACAAGCAGGTCAAGTGTTCAATTCCATATGTCTGAATGTATGTATCCTAGGAAACTAGTCTAGGATACAACTGAAAAATTCTGAAGAAAGTTAAGAAGAGAAGTGCCAATGCCCAGTGATCTGCCCTCTCAGTCCAAGTCCTGCCCTGCACGACCCAGTGTTTATGTTTTTATCAGGCCTATGGAGAGAACACAGGTCAGTGTGTCTGCTTCTAGCTATGATGAGGAACTGAAGTTAAATTTACCTTCCCACTATAAGGAACTAGAAAACCAGACAAAATATATGAAACAACAGTTTTTAAACAATGATCACGGCAGGGCTGTGATCCCTAAGAGAAGACAAACAAAAGTTGTGAGTACTGTAATCCCCCTGGCTTTCTGCCTGCAGGCGCCTCTGGACTGCAGAACTGGAAGGGGGAGTTTCAACAGAGCACAGCATCTCACCGAGTTAGGGAAAGAGAGATCAGTTTGGAGAGACAGTAGTGGCTGGAATTTTTAAAAAGAAGAACCAAGAGAAAGAGCTGATTTCAAAAAGAGCTTGAGAAATGTTTAGAAGGTTGCCACTCTAGTCTGATTCTGAATACTGAGCCACATGTTACTAGGGTGAAACTGCATGGGCTGAGCCAAGAGTTAAACGATGACCACAACTCACACAGGGATGGGAGACATGGAGTTCAGACAAGCCAGAGCGGTGACCCCTCAAAGACAACTATCTAAAGTATATAAAGCACTCACAGAACTCTGAAAACAACAAACAATGAAAGACAAATAGGCAAAAAACATAAATAGACATTTCACTGAAGAGGATATAAGGATGCCAAATAAGTACATGAAAAATGTTCAACTTCATTAACATAAGGGAAATGACAAATGAAACCTGATGGCTCACGCCTGTAATCCCAGCACTTTGGGAGGCTGAGGCTGCTGAATCACCTGAGGTCAGGAGTACAAGACCAGCCTGGCCAACAAGGGGGAAACCCCATCTCTAATAAAAATACGAAAAAATTAGCCGCGCATTGTGGTGCACGCCTGTAATCCCAGCTACTCAGGAGGCTCAGGCAGGAGAATCACTTGAACCCGGGAGGCGGAGGTTGCAGTGAGCGGAGATCGCACCACTGCACTCCAGCCTTGATGACACAGCGAGATTCTATCTCAAACAAATAAATAACTAAAACCATAATGAGGTATTACTACACACATATCAGAATGATTAGAATAAAAATTAGCAGAAGTAGCATAATGCTGCGATACAGAGAAACTGGATTACTCAAACATTGCTGGTGAAATGTAAAATGGTACAAACACTCTGGAAAATAGTTTGGTGCTTTCTAAAAAAAATGAAACATGTAAGTACCATAAGACACATAACTGTATTCCTGGGCATTTATCCCTGAGAAATGAAAATTGTGTTTATACAATCACCTGTACACTAATGTTTATAGCAACATTAGTCATAATAGCCCTAAACTGGAAACAACCCAGACGTCCTTCAATAGGTGAACTGTCAGACAAATTGTGATGCCTTCAAGCCATGTGTATAAATTAGACTTCTCCAGAGAAAGAGAATTAATATAAGATTATGTTGGTGGGACTGTAAACTAGTTCAACCATTGTGGAAGTCAGTGTGGCGATTCCTCAGGGATCTAGAACTAGAAACACCATTTGACCCAGCCATCCCTTTACTGGGTATATACCCAAAGGACTATAAATCATGCTGCTATAAAGACACATGCACACGTATGTTTATTGCGGCACTATTCACAATAGCAAAGACTTGGAACCAACCCAAATGTCCAACAATGATAGACTGGATTAAGAAAATGTGGCACATATACACCATGGAATACTATGCAGCCATAAAACATGATGAGTTCATGTCCTTCGTAGGGACATAGATGAAATTGGAAATCATCACTCTCAGTAAACTATCGCAAGAACAAAAACTGAACACCACATATTCTCACTCATAGGTGGGAATTGAACAATGAGAACACATGGACACAGGAAGGGGAACATCACACTCTGGGGACTGTTGTGGGGTGGGGGGAGGTGGGAGGGATAGCTTTAGGAGATATACCTAATGCTAAATGACGAGTTAATGGGTGCAGCACAACAGCATGGCACATGTATACATATGTAACTAACCTGCACATTGTGCACATGTACCCTAAAACTTAAAGTATAATAATAATAAAATTTTAAAAAAAGATTATATATAGAGGGGGTGGGGGGAGAGAGAGAGAGAGAAGGGGGAAATTTTTAGAAATTGGCTCACACAATTGTAGGAGCTGGCATTTTTAAACTTTGTAGACCAAACAGGCAGACTGAAAACTCAGGTAGGAGTGGATGCTGAAGTCTTGAGGCAAAATTTCTTTTTCTTTGGAAAACTAGTCTTTTCTATTAAGGCCTTCAACTATTTATATGAGGCCCATGACATTATTGAGAGTAATATCTTTTACTTAAAATCAACTCATTATAGATGTTAACCATGTCTACAAAATACCTTCACAGCAACACCTATATTAGTGTTTAATTAAATAACTGGGTACTATGGCTTAATCATATTGACACTTAAAACTGACCATCACACCATATTCAGCAATTAAGAAGAGCAAACTATTGCTATACATAAGAAACTGGGCGACTCTCCAGTGAATTTTGCTGAGCAAAAAAGCCATTTCTAAAAGGTTACATACTGTATAATTCCATTTATATAACATTTTTGAAATGACAAAATTTTAGAAATAGAAGAGTAATTAGTGGTAGCCAGAGTGGGAGGAAGAGGTGGGAGTAGATAAGAAGAAAAAGAAGGAGGGTGTGTTTATGAAATTACAACATAAGGGATCCTCGTGATACTGGAACTGACCAGTATCTGAACTGTGGTGTTGAAGACATGAACTTATACAGATTCTAAAATAATATAATACTTAATCCACACACACAATGAGCACAGCAAAATTAGGGAAATTGGATTAAGGTCAGTAGATTATATCAATGTCAATATCCTGGTATAATAGATACTATATTATACTATATTATAGTGTATAATGAGCATAATTTTCATTTCTCAGGGATAAATGCCCAGGAGAACAGTTGTGGGTCACATGGTAGTTACAGGTTTTATTTGTTAAGAAAGTGACAAACTACTTTTCAGTGTAGTTGTACCATTTTACACTTCCAGCAGCAATGTTGGAGTGATCCAGTTTCTCTGTATCCTTGGCAGCATAACACTATGCCACAACATAGTATCTGCTATACTGTATTATAGTATATTATATATATACTATAGTATAGTATATATTAATGTATACTATATTATACTATAGTTTTCAAATGTTACAACTGGAGGAAACAATGCAAAGTGAGCGGAAATCTCTATTATTTTTTAACATCAACTTTATTCTTATAATTTACATAAATAAAATGCAGTCACTTTAAGTGTACACTTTAAAAGTTTCAACAAACATATACAATTGTACAATCATCACCACAACAAAGATATAAAATATTTTCATCATCCCAAAAGAGTCCCTTGTGTCACTTCCCAGTCAACCGCCTTCTCCTAAAACCCCTGTTTCCAGCCCCTGGTAAACATTGATCTGCTATCATTATAAATTTGTCTTTACTAGGTTTCATATATGTAGAATCATGGAGTGTGCATACTGTATAATTCCAACTACATGTCATTCTGGAAAAGGCAAAACTATGGAGACAGTAAAAAGATCAGTGGTTGCTGAGAGTTACGGGCAGAGAGTGGGATGAATAGGCAGAGTAGAGAGGATTTTTAGAGTAGTGAAATTTTTTGTATGATGCTATAATACTGGATACATATAATTACAGTATACCTTTGTCAAAACCTATAGAATGTACAACATCAAGACCGAACCCTAATATAAATTATAAACTTTAGGTGATAATGATGTGGCAATGTAGACTCAGTTGTAACAAACGTACCACTCCGGCAGACAATGTTGATAATGAGGGAGGCTGCGGAGGATGTATTAATACAAGGGAACTATCTGTACTCTCCACTTAAATTTGCTCTAAAAAAAAGTATTTTTAAAAAGAAAAAGTAAGAAAAGCTCAGAGCCTACCAGACTCATAAATGTTAGTGTTCTTCAGGGATGGCCTCACTTCTTTTATGTCTCTGTTCTTAAAAAAACTAGATAATTTTATCCAGTCAACCCAGCAATGTCCTTGTTGGGTATATGCCCAGAGCAACATACACTGTTCTACCAGAATGCATGCCCACACCAGCATTCACCATAGCAGAGACAGGGAATCAACCAAGGTGCCCATTAATAGTGGACTGGATAAAGAAAATATGGTAAATATATACCATGCAATACTACACACCATAGAAAATAATGAAATTATATCCTTTGCCACTGGAGGCCATTATCCTTAGTGAAACAGTGTAGAAAGAGAAAACCAAATACCACATGTTTTCACATATAAGTGGGATCTGAACATTGAGTACACATGGACATAAAGATGGGAACAACAGACGCTGGTTGCTACAAGAGGAGAGAGGGTTAGATGGGGGGCAAAGTTTTAAAAACTACCTATCAGGTGCTATGCTCACTAACTAGGTGATGGTATTATTCATACCCCAAACCTCAGTGACATGCAATTTACCCACGTAACAAACCTGCACACGTATCCCCTGAACCTAAAATAAAAGTTGAAGAAAAAAAGAAGCCAAAAAGTGTGTTATTATTGAATAAAAGAAGAATTTTGAAATGACTTATAGCACTCTTTCCAAGTTTTGGTCCCCTGTGTTAGACCTTAAGGTATCAATACGCTCTTAATATTATAAGAAGTTTTGATTTTTAACTCAGAGAAGTTCAACTTTTGTTGTGTCTTGCTGCTTTCAGCTTTCTATCCTCTTGAGAAGGCCTGAGAGGATAACTTTCTCTTTGTAACTTTTTCATCAGTGTTTGTAACTTTTTTCCCCCTATAACTCTAAATGCTGTTGAGGCCTGATGCAAAAATATTTTATCTTAAAGGTCTCAAAGGCAGTGGTTTCCTCCAGTATAACTTGATTCTGCACTCTTGTTTTTTCTTAATATATCTAAATTGTTTCATGAACAGGAAAACTTAACTCATGACTGGGAGTAATTTGAGTATTCTTTCCATCAGGTTTGAATTCCAGGTGATCTGAATAGGCTTCTCATAAGTGGAAGCCATCACTGCAGAGGGTCTTCCTTCGACTTTGGTAACTGGCCTAAGAAACAGATCTTATGTTTTATTGAGATAATTCCTACGTCATCATTATTAAATTTTTTATTTGCTTAGGAAAACTGAGATTTAAAGAAAAATTAAGGCTTTTACACCTATATAACATTCTGTATTGATTTTAAAATCCTTGTGCTGTTAAGTTACAGGACTTTGACTCCTGGGTCTTGAAAAGGCACCAATTCCTGTTAAATCTTGAACATTTAAAATGCATTTGTGAGACACAGGGCCAGAAATTAAACTTATTCAATCTCTCTCAGCCCAGGGACTACTATGAAAGAGGTGGGCATGTAAGATTATAGGGGCTTATTTTGAGAGACAAAATTAGTTCAGAGTTTCTCTGTAAATTAAACATTTTTATCAAAAGCACATTGATGCAAGGTCAGCATATAGGTCCCTGTGTTGGAATAGCAAGGTTTCCTTGAGGCATTAATCTGCTCCTTAACTTAAAAAAAAAAAAAAAAAAAAAAGCTTATAAAAGATTTATGGAAATTATATCTTATCAAGCTGACTAAAATTAGATTTGTTCATAAGGCTTATTTATATTAGCTTAAATATTAGTAATACATTATATGAAGGTAAATTTTAATTTTTAGTTTTCTCTTTTGAACAAAACGTTTGTGTAATATTAAGAAATAGTAAAATGTTTTTGTTTGCCCTTTGAGTAAACTACAAAAAAAAAAAAAAAAGAAAAAAAAAAACAAGAAGGGGGAGAGAGAGAGACAGACCCAGCTGGCCTCATGGTGTCTTTATTAGACCTTATTATTTGGGAACCTGAGTCTCTTCTATGTTAAGAGTAAAAGTTTCTGCCTTTTTGAAATTTTTGAGTTATCACTTTGGCTAACTGAATAACTTATTTTCAGTAACATATAATGCCATTTTGCAATTTTAAGTGTTTTAAACCTTTGTTATTTGACAAATGCTCCAAAATCAAATTCTAAATTCAGTCTTTTGGCCTTAAACTAACTTTTTAGAAGTCCAGCAAAGACATATTTGTCTTATTTGGTATAATAAAATCATACAGGAAGCATTGTCAAATATACGAAGGTGTTTAACTTTCTTTGGGTTATATTTATATAAATGTCTTATTAGTATGTGCTTCAAAATCGTATGATTCCTACAGTTCTAATATGTTTGAGTATATGTTATCAGTAATAATTATAATTATTATGTTAAATTGTTGTATGTTACAAAATAATCAAATTTCCTTGTCAATTGTATCTCTAACAATGACAGTTCTAAGATTTTGCCATCCACAAATATTGTATTACTTTAATCCTTTTCAAAAAGTAGTTTTTAACTTCAGTGAGTGCTCTTAAACACAGGTTTCTGATAATTTTGGAGACTGTGTTGTTGGAATAGAAAAATATAACTTCCAGGACTCTAATTAAAAAGTTAATGTGTTCATGAGAATTGTCAACACAATATCAACTGGAATGAGTTAATTGGGCTTGATGGTTTGAAAAAATCTAACCTGAGATTTATTGTATTAAAATGTTCCAGTAAAGCCAATTTTAAAAAGAAGCCTATATGGAGGATAGTTTTTCTTGCTGGAATTTATGCAAATAATCAGGCCAAGTATAATAAAACTAAAACATTTTTTTTTTCAAATAAATTAGTCCTGCTATGAGTTGTCTTTGGTAAAAATGGAGAACTGAAAGAGACAAATTATCTTTCAAAAGAAACTATAGTATATGTGTTATTACATTCTAGTCTTGTTCACTGTTTTTTCAGTTTTTATTATTTTCTACAATTTGGACCAAATCCTAAAGTTTTCCTGGCTACAAGTTTTCCAAACTAATGTTTTTAATTTTTTCCTTTCTTTTTTTTCCTCTAATTTGTCTAATTTGAAATCACCAGAAATTAAAGCTGTGTTTTTCTCAAAGCACTGTGAACTGAAGCTAAACAACTTAGGAAGAAATAACAACCTATTTATATGTCCTAAATCAGTTTTCCAGGATTCTTTTCCCTTTTTGTTGTTATGATCTTTCCTCCCTCCTTTTTTTCCCCATTTTATTTCTCTGTTCTTCTCAATGGAATGTGAGAATTCACAACCTGAATGAGCCTTCCTAACAATGTGGACTTATCCATCTAGGAATGAACTATCCTAGTGGTGAGAGATCAGACAAAACCCAATACCACAGATTCATTTTCATCTAAAATACTTTCTTTGAAAGATCCTTTTAAATAGGGGGAAAGTGATAAAGAAAAACTAGAATGTTGGAACCCCAAATTAATTATGCCAAAAGGGAAAAGTTAGAGCCTAGAAGCTGAGTTATTAAAAACAAAACAAAACAAAAAACTGCCTTTCCTTTTGTTCCTAAACCGATTGCTACAGATAGAATGCCACATGTCTCCACAAAGGGCCTCCCTCATCCTGACAATGTAAATTAACAGCTTATCTTCATGGACACAAAACAAGAGGAGACTGGAAACCGTCCCACCACCCACCCCAAGACAAATGCATACTTGACTGCTTCCTCTACTCAATGTTTACTTTATCTTATGTAAAGTGCACATTTACCGAACACGAGATGAATGCATAATTGACTTTTCCCTCTACGTCCGCCTTTTCACGTGCAACAGGTGGATTCAGTTAACCTAACAGAAGCCTCACAAGAATGTGACCATATCCTTCTCTTTTCTTTCTTTCCCTTTTTCCCTTCTGCCACATTTACCCTTTAAATATTGAAGCCATCAAAACCTTCCTCAGAAAAAGCACAGGCCCCAGATCCTGTTGTAGCTTATGTCTGTTTTTCCCAGGTACATCGTCAGCCTTGACAAAATACATCTCTAAAATGATAAAGACTCGCCTCATTTTTTCTGATACATATGAAAAGAGGGTCTATATTTACATTAATCTCTGAGTGTTCTTGGCCTCATTGAAGACCCACTTCCAAAAATTAGACACCTTCTCAGAAATTGGGAGGAATATAATTTTTTGCTTCAATTCTCACCAAACTGCCCAGAAACCTCCTGACATCTTGGAATGTCTTTTAAGAATCCCAGGTATCCCAGTAACCATTTTCACATACAATACAGCTGGACTGGCTGGTTCATGATGTAAATAGACCTGTTCTGTCACCCCTACTCCATCACTGCTGTCACACAGACATTCCTCCTCCCATTCTAAGGAAAGGTCTTTATAATGTGACAACACCTTCCTCAGGAAGTCTCCCAGTCCTTATTTCTGAGTGAGCCTCATATTTCATTATTTTTGGAGGATATTCCTGACCAGCTGGGGTGATGGTACCCTAGGAGAAGGTATCATTCCATACTAGTCTTGAGCTCAGAAGCAGATCCGGGAGGAATTGTCCCTTAAGCACTAAGGGTTTCTACTCTTCTCAACCCATATTCATTCCTTAGTTTATCCCACCCAGTCTCGTGGCTTTAAACTCCATCTACATTTTTCACTTTTGAAAGCATGCTCTGTGGACCAGTAGCAGCATCTGGGAGCTGGCTGGAAGTGCAGCTTTCCAGACCCTGCCCTCGTCCTACAAAATCAGAATTTGCATTTTAACAAATCCCCAGATGACTTACCAGCATGTGGTGGTGCGTTGCCCTATGCCTGGTACCTCCCAAGTTATCTCCTGTCCTGATATCTGCCCCAGCCACTCTGCAGCTGCTTACATCACAGTTCAGCTTGAAGGTCCACCAGACATATTAAACATATCCAAAATCAGATTCTTAGTTTCTGCTCCCTAACCCTGCCCCACCCCCTGCCTTCCCCATTCCAGCAATTACCCTTATCCAGTTGTTCAGAACAGCAATCTTGTCATTATCCCTGAAGACTTCCCTCATACGCTATCCAATCCCCCAGAAACTGCTTCCATCCACTTATTACCACTTGCCCTGCTGCCTGTCCAAGGCAACATGGCGTCTGACATAAAGTGATACAATTTCCTCCATCTTGCTACTTCCAGTCTTACCACCACAGCAGCCATCATGATCCTTTTAAAATGCAAGTAAGAACAGTTGCTCCCAGAGTCCCATCTCATGTTTTGGAGTGCTGGTCACAGGCGTCACTGTGGCCTCCAGGGCTCTGCAGGATCTGAATATGCCCTGAGCCCAGCTCATGGCCAGCCATTCTCCCATGACTCACAGCTCACCAGCCAAACCAGCTGCTTTGTGCTCCTTGAAGTGTGAACACATGGACACACTCTTGGCCACAGTGCTAGTGTGGCTCATGCTTCATCTGCTCATGTTTCTTCTTTATGGAGGTTTTCCTCACCACCTCATCAAAACGATGCTTCTGCCTATCCTCTAGTCCCATTTTCTGTTATTTTTTTCACAGCAGTTCTTGCCACCTGACATTTTTCACATTTATTTACCTATTTATTTATTTTCTGTTTTCCCAACTAAAGTGAACGTGGTGCTTTGTGGTTTTGCTGTCTCCAGTGCCTAGCTCAATGTCTGAAACATAGTAGATTTTTCTTAAATATTTGCTTAGTAAATGAATTTTACTGCTCAGTGGGCACCACTCTTACCCCTGAGAAAGAGTCCTATCATTTTTCTAAATAGGCCAGGAGAAGAGGTCCTGACTGCTATCATTAATCACTAGTTAGTCCACTACTTTTGCCTAATGGAGTAAACATATCCTAATAACTTTTTCCCAATGTTTGCTTACAAAGTCCCTTCTGGATCAAATTCTTATGTTAGAGAAAGAAAACAGTGTAAGATGCATTTGAAAGAAAGCATAATTCCATTTGCCTTTTATTGCCGCATATCACTATAGGCCTATGGAGTGACCAATACAAAATGAAAAATATTCTCCTAATATTTGTAAACTTTCACTTAGAAAAACTTCTCATTCCCTGAACTCTTTTCATACCCCGAGAAAAAAATACTTAATGGTAAATGTTTTAAAAAGCAAGCTTACATTTACTTGTTATGAGTGGATTTCTCTATAAGTCTTAGTATATATCAGAGAAAAAAACATGTTCTAAAACTTCTCAATGTTTGCTAACAAATTCCTTTCTGTGTTAAACCCTTCCAATCACTAAAAAATAGTTTATAATTCTTTTGATCAAAGTATAATTTCTTACAAATGTTTTTCTATATAAAAATTTTTCATTCACTTTAATAAAAGTTAATGATATATCCTAAGAAAAACTCTTTCTTACATTTGCTTTTTATTGCTGGATGTCTTTATTGGTAGATGAAGGCCAGAAGAAGTAAAAAGAAGTTCAAATTACATATATATATACACACACACACACACACACACGTATGTATATATACATACATATCATATATATGATATGATATAACATATATATGATATGTATATCCATATCATATATATATGTTATATCATATCATATATATATCATATATCATATCACATATATCCTATATCATATATATCATATATCATATCATATATCATATATATATAATTGATTAGAAAATAGTTTTCTTGTACAACTCGTTCATGCACTGAAAGAAAACAGTTGATAGTAAATTTTGATAAAAGCAAGCCTGACATTGACTATTTATAGGTGGATTGCTCTATCGTCCTCTAGGCCAGGGGTCCCCAATCCCTGGGCCATGGACCACTACTGCTCTGTGGCCTGTTAGGAACTGGGCTGCAAAGCAGGAGGTGAGTGGAGGGTCAGTGAGCAAAGCTGAACTCCAACTCTTATTGTGAACTGCCCCTGCGAGGGTTCTAGGTTGCACACTCCTTATGGGATTCTAATACCTAATGGTCTGTCACTGTCTCCCATCACCCCCAGACGAGACCATCTAGTTGCAGGAAAACAATCTCAGGCCTCCCACTGATTCTACATTATGGTGGGTATGTAATGATAATAGAAATAAAGTGCACAATAAATGTAATGAGTTTGAATTATTTCGAAATTATCTCTCCACCATATGTGGAAAAATTTTCTTCCAAGAAACTGGTCCCTGGTGCCAAAAAGTTTGGAGCCCACTACTCTAGATGGCTATTAGCAAAATGAATATGTTCTAATACATATTCCTCAATATTTGCTTACAAATGCCATTTTGTGACAAATTCTATTCACTGACAGGAAACAGTACATGATGAGTCCTAGGGGGAGGATGATTACAAATTTATTTTATATCTAAATATCTCTCTAAGTCTATAAGCACTGAATGAGAAAAAAATATATTCATATAACATGTTCTAAACTTTCACTTTGAAAAACATCTTATTCATCCAAATTTTCTATTAACTGAAAGAAAAGTTAACAAAGAATCATGAAGAATGCAAGCTTACATTTACTTTGTATGCACAGATTTCTCTATTGGCCTCCTGGCATAAATGGACAAGGACACATGTTCTAATAACCTATTTTCCAAATTTGCCTAAACATGCCTTCCTGTGTCAAACTCTTCTATGCACTGAAAAAAAAAATAACTTATGATGCATCCTCAAAGAAGTATAATTACATTTTCCTTTTATTGCTGGGCATCTGTGTTGGCTGATGAGGGCTCCAAAAACCCAGAAATATATTAGAATACTGTATTAGTCCATTTTCACGCTGCTGATAAAGACTACCTGAGACTGGGAAAAAAGAAAGGTTTAATTGGACTTACAGTTCCACATGGCTGGGGAGTCCTCAAAATCATGGCAGGAGGTGAAAGGCATTTCTTATATGGTGGTGGCAAGAAAAAATGAGAAAGAAGCAAAAGTGGAAACCCCTGATAAACCCATCAGATCTCATGAGACTTATTCACTATCATGAGAATAGCATGGGAAAGACCGGCCCCCATGATTCAATTACCTCCCCCTGGGTCCCTCCCACACATGTGGGAATTCTGGGAGATACAATTCAAGTTGAGATTTGGGTGGGGACAGAGCCACACCGTATCATTCCACCCCTGGACCCCTCCAAATCTCATGTCCTCAAATTTCAAAACCAATCATGCCTTCCTAACAGTACCCCAAAGTCTTAACTCATGTCAGTGTTAACTCAAAAGTCCACAGTCCAAAGTCTCATCGGAGAAAAGGCAAGTCCCTTATGCCTATGAGCCTGTAAAATCAAAAGCAAGTTAGCTAATTCCTAGATACAACAGGGGTATAAGCATTGGGTAAATACAGCCATTCCAAATGAGAGAAATTGGCAAGGGGATGCAGGCCCATGCAAGTCCGAAATCCAGCAAGGCAGTCAAATCTTAAAGTTTCAAAATGATCTCCTTTGACTCCATGTTTCACATCCAGTTCACGCTGATGCAAAAGGTGGGTTTACATGGGCTTGCGCAGCTCCGCCCCTGTGGTCTGGCAGGGAACTGCCTCCCTCCCAGCTGCTTTTATGGGCTGGTGTTGAGTGTCTGTGGCTTTTCCAGGTGCACGGTGCAAGCTGTCGGTGGATCTACCATTCTGGGGTCTTAGGATGGTGGCTCTCTTCTCATAGCTCCACTAGGCAGCACCCCAGTGGGGACTCTGTGTGGAGTCTCCCACCCCACATTTCCCTTCCATACTGCCCTAGCAGAGGTTCTCCATGAGGGCCCCAGCCCTGTAGCAAACTTCTGACTGGACATCTAGGTATTTCCATACATCCTCTGAAACCTAGGTGGAGGTTCCCAAACCTGAATTCCTGACTTCTGTGCACCCACAGGCTCAACACCACATGGAAGCTGCAAGGCTTGAGGCTTGCACCCACTGAAGCCATGGCCTGAGCTCTATGTTGGCCTCTTTCAGTCATAGCTGGAGTGGCTGGGACACAGGGCACCAAGTACCTAGAATGCACACAGCATAGGGACCCTGGGCCTGGTCCAGGAAACCATCTTTTCCTCCTAGGCCTCTGAGCCTGTTATGGGAGAGACTGCTGTGAAGACCTCTGACATGCCCTGGAGACATTTTCTCCATTGCCTTGGGTATTAACATTACTTATGCAAATTTCTGCAGCTGACTTGAATTTCTCCTCAGCAAATGGGTTTTTCTTTTCTATTGCATTGTCAGGCTGCAAATTTTCCAAACTTTTATGCTCTGTTTCCCTTTTGAAACTGAATGCCTTTAATAGCACCCAAGTCACCTCTTGAATGCTTTGCTGCTTAGAAATTTCTTCTGCCAGATACCCTAAATCATCTCTCTCAAGTTCAAAATTCCTCAAATCTCTAGGGCAGGAGAAAAATGCTGCCAGTCTCTTTGCTAAAACGTAACAAGGGTCACCTTTACTCCAGTTCCCAACAAGTTATGCATCTCCATCTGAGACCACCTCAGCCTGGACCTTATTGTTCATATCACTATCAGCATGTTTGTCAAAGCCATTGAACAAGTCTCTAGGAAGTTCCAAACTTTCCCATATTTTCCTGTCTTCTTCTGTGACCTCCAAACTGTTCCAATATCTGCCTGTTACCTAGTTCAAAAGTCGCTTCCACATTTTCAGGTATCTTTTCAGCAATACCCACTCTGGGTATCAATTTACTTTATTAGTCTGTGTTCACACTGCTGATAAAGACATACCTGAGACTGGGAGAAAGAGAAGTTTAACTGGACTTGCAGTTCCACATGGCTGGGGAGGCCTCATAATCATGGCGGGAGGTGAAAGGCATTTCTCATGTGGCAGCAGCAAGAGAAAATGAGGAAGAAGCAAACGCAGAAACTTCCAATGAACCTATTAGATCTCCTGAGACTTATTCACTATCACAAGAATAGCATGGGAAAGCCCGGCCCCCATGATTCAATTTCCTCCCCTGGGTCCCTCCCACAACACATGGGAATTCTGAGAGATATAATTCAAGCTGAGATTTGGGTGGAAACACAGCCAAACCATATAAAATACCATATACGAAATTTTTAGTTAAAAAAATTATCTCATTCATTCAACTATTTTATTCACTGAAATAAAGCAGTTAGTGACAGATCTGGAAAAAAGTTAACCTACATTTACTGTTTAAATTTATGAATATCTTTTCTGGCTGTTGGTGTCTATTGGAGAAAGAAACATGTCCTAATAATGTCTTCTCAGTGTCTAAGTACAAATTATTTTTGTGTTAAACTCCTCTATTCGTTATTTTAAAAAGAAGTTCTTGATGCATCTTATGGAAAGCATGCTTACATTTGCCTCTGATTGCGTGACATCTCTATAAGCCCATAAGAGCCCGATAGGGAATAAAAATGTTCAAATTATATAACACAAACCTTTACTTAGAAAAGGATCTTCTTCTTCAAGCTCTTTCATTCACTGAAAGAAAACAGTTAATTATGAATCTTAAAGAAAGCAAGCTTACTTTTACTCTTTATAGGTGGATTTTCTATTGGTCTCTTGCTGTCTACTAGAAAAAGAAACATGTTATAATAATTTCTTCTTTGTGTTTGCTTAAAGATGATTTTTTTTCAAACTCTCCATTTACAGAATGAAAGAATACTGTGATGCATCTTAAGGAAATCATAATTAAATTTGCTGTTTTTTTTCTGGATAGCTCTACTGGCCAATGAGGGCCCAAAGAAGAAAGAAAAATGTTTCAATAACATGTTCTCAGTTTTCACTTAGAAAATTATCTTGTTCATAAAAATCTTAGACTTACTGAAAGAAACAGTGAATGATGAATCATAAAAAAAAAGCTTACATTTACTTTTTATACGTGTATTTTTCTATTGGCCTATTGGTGCCTATTGGAGACAGAAATATGTTCTAATAACTTCTCAATATTTGCTTACAAACACCTTTCTTTTTGAAACACTTCAAATAAAAAAAGAGTTTATTATGCATTCTAAGAAAACCATAATTACACTTCTCTTTTATTGCTAAAAATGTCTTTAGGCCTACGTGGTTACAATGGGCATAGCAAAATGTTCAAATAACGTGTTCTAAACTTTTGGTTAGAAATGCATCTCACTTATCAAATTCTTCTATTCACTGAAAGAAAACAGTTAATGATTAATCTTGCAGAAAACAAGCTTACATTTACTTTTTATAGGTGGATTTCTCTATCAGCCTCTTGGTGCTCATTGGAGAAAAACCATGTTCTAATAATTTCTTCTAAATGTTTACTTACAAATGCCTTTTAGTGTCGAACTCTTTTATTCACTGAATGAAAACAGTTTACAATGTTTCTTATGGGAAGCATGACTACATTTGCCTTTTGTTGCTGGATATTTCTGTATGTCTATGAAATCTCAGTGGAAAGAGAAAAATGTTCAATAACATGTTCTAAACTTCACTGAGAAAAGCATCACAGTCACCAAACATTCCAGTTCATTGAAATAAAACAGTAAATAATCAATCTTGCAGAAAGTAAGGGTACCTTTACTTTCTATGGGTGGAGTTTTTTTGTTTTTTGGACTTGGCACCTATTAGAGAAAGAAACATGACCTTCTCAACATTTGGTTATAAGTTCCTTTTTTGTTAAACTATCATTCATGGAAAGAAACAGGTTATAACGCTTTTTATGGAAAGTATGTTTCCACTTGCCTCTTATTACTGCATATCTCTATAGGCCTATGAGGTGTCAGTAGGAAGAATAATGTTAATATGTTCTACAATGAGAACACATGGACATAGGGTGGGAACATCACACACCAGGGCATGTCGGTGGGTGGGGGGCTGGGGGAGGGATAGCATTAGGAGAAATAACTAATGTAAATGATGAGTTGATGGGTGCAGCAAACCAACATGGCACATGTATACCTATGTAACAAAACTTCATGTTGTGTACATGTACCCAAAGACTTAAAGTATTTTATATATATATATATATGTTCTAAACTTAACTGAGTAAAAAAATCTCATTTGTCAAGTGCTTCCATTTGTTGAAAGAAAACAGTTAATGGTAAATCTTGAAGAAAGTAAGCTTACATTTACTGTTTTTTTGGTAACTTTTTTTGAATCTTGGCATCTATTACAAAAAGACACAAGTACTAATAACTTATTCTCAATGTTTGTTTACAAACTCCTTTTCTTTCCAGCTCGTCTATCCACTGGAAAAAAGGAGTTAATCATGTACCCTTAAAAAAGCATTATTACTTTTTTTTTTTTGGAGATGGAGTCTCGCTCTGTTGCCCAGGCTAGAGTGCAGTGGCACTATCTCAGCTCACTGCAACCTCTGCCTCCTGGGCCCAAGTGATTCTTCCACCTCAGCCTCCCGAGTAGCTGGGACCACAGGCTCACAATGCCATGCCTGGCTAATTTTTTGTATTTTTTTTTTTTTTAGTAGAGATGGGGGTTTCACCCTGTTGCCCAGGCTGGTCTCAAACTCCTGAAGTCAGGCAATCCACCTGCCTCGGCCTCCCAAAGTGCTAGGATTACAGGCATGAGCCAACATGCCCAGCCGCATTATTACATTTTTTAAAAGCTGGATGTATCCATAGGTCCACGAGGGCCCAAATGGAAAAAAAAATGTTCAAATAACATGTTCAAATTTTTTTTAAAAAGATATTGGAGAGGAGAAAAGCCAAGAGGGATGACCTGACACGGTGAAGAGGAACTTCTCCCTGGGAGACCAGACAATCAAGAAGACCAGTACTCCAAGCAGATTGTCAGAAAGAACACATTGAGAGTGTGTGGAGGAAGGACACAGACACTAGGCTGAAGAGAGAGAAATGTGGAAACCCTGCAAAGGGTTGCCAAGCACCAGGACTTGTTCCTCGCCTTATGCAGCTCTTGGGGAAAGGGTGAGTTAAATAGGCATGGAGTGGTTCACTCTCACCATGGACCTCCAGAATCCTAGCTGCAGAAGACCCCATGATCCCCTGGACATCTCAGATGGCAGGGAGAGCTGTTTGAAGAGCTGGCAGAGAGGGGACTCCAGCCTTTGTGTAGCCCAAAGGGTTTGGCATGGGAACAACTGCAGTGTAGCATGGCCAGGGATGCCCATCCCCCAAGGCTCACCCCACTCGTTTAGGTAGCTTTGGCGTTTCTTGGCTGTTGGACCCAAGTAGAACAGAGCTACCTTGCCCATGGGATGGAGCCATTCTGATCTGAACACCCCCGTCTGCCAGTCTCTCCTAGAGTCCCTGCCTGGCCCCACCCACTAACAGTGCAGCCTCAGATGCTCAAACAAGGTGTTTCCCAGTGGCCACCACCATAGGTCCTTCACTGGAAGACCACACCTAACTATCAGAGAGCTTCTGTTCAAGGGACCCCAACAGCACACAACTGTCCACAGCCTGCCCTGACTGCTTCACTGGCACACACTTGCCTGCAGCATCCTCCCACCATTTTGATGGCATGTAACTGCCCCAAATCTGCCAACTGCTTTGCTGGTGCATGTTAGTGTGTGGGCCTCACCATCCTGGTGCCATCAGTGTAAATGTATGCACAGATCCTGCTGAGCCACCACCCTGCCACTGCTGGTGCACATGTGGACCCTGCTGCACCACTGTCCCACTGCCACCAGTGTGTGAACACGTGTGGACCCTGCCATGCTGCTGCCACTTGTGTACACACAGGCATGCACACAAATGCTGCCATACCATTGCCCTGTTGCTGCTGGAATGTACAAGTGCACGCCCTGCTGCCATTACCCTGATGAAGCCCTTTTAGCAGCACCCCCATCAAAGTGTTTTTGCCAGCAGACCCAGAACGCCTTGCTACCTCCAGTGAAGTGGATGTTTAACATTGAAGAGCCAGAGAACAAAGCCATGGGCCTGGTCCCAGGCCCCAGTGTTGGAGTATACAGCCCAGGAGCACTGAGCTGAGCCTCAGCCCCCTGAAATTATCCAGTTAAATAGCCAGCCAACTGAACCCAAATGTCACCACAGTAAAGTCCTCAAGGATATCAAGAATATAAGAGCAAAAAGCTCCATCAAAAGAATAGCAAATTCAAAAATTAAAGAAACATCACTCCACATAGATAAGAGAATCAGTGCTAGAACTCTGGCAACTGAAAGAGCAGACGTGTCTTCCTACCTTCAAATCCCCAAACTAGCTCCTCATTAATTTAGCCAGACAGAAATTACTGAAATGTCAGACATATAATGCAGAATCTATATAGCAATGAAGATCACTGAGATTCAGGAGAAAGTTGAAACCCAGTCCAAGGAATCTAAGGAAATCAACAAAATGATACAAGAGCTGAAATACAAGATAAAACCACTTTAATGCAAAACCAAACTGATCTAATGGAGCTGAAAAACTCACTACAAGAATTTTATAAAACATTAACAGCAGAATAGACCAAGCTGAGGAAAGAATTTCAGAGCTTCAAGACTGGTTCTTCGAACTGACTCAGTCAAACACAAATTTAAAAAAAGAACTTTGAAATAAACAAAATCTCTGAGAAATAATACATTTATGTAAAGAGACTAAATCTATCATGCATTAGTGTCCCTGAAATGGAGAGAAAGCAAGCAACTTGGAAAACATATTTGAGAATATTGTTGATGAAAAATTTCTCAGCTTTGCTAGCAAAGTCACCATTCATGGTCAGAAAATTTAGAGAACCCCTTCAAGATAGACAAGAAGGCCCTCCTCAAGACACAGAGTCAGCATATTCTTCAGGGTGAATACAAAATAAAAAATACTAAAGGCAAGTGGAGAGAAAGGGCAGGCCACAAACAAAGGGAATCCCATCAGCTTAACAGCAGACTTTTCAGCAGAAATCCTATAAACCAGAAGAGATTGAGGGCCTATATTCTGTATCCGTAATAAAAAATTCCAACCAAGAATTTCATATCCAGCCAAACTAAGCTTCATAAGAAAAAAAAATCTCTAATTCTTTTCAGATAAGTAAATGCTAAGGCAATGATCACCAGACCTTCCTTAAAAGAGATCCTGAGGAAATGCTAAACATGGAAATGAATGACTGTTACTAGCCACCAGAAAGCACATTTACGTACATAGACCAAGGACACTATAAAGCAACTACAAAATTAAGTCTACATAAAAACCAGCTAACAATATGGTGACAGGATTAAATGTACACATATCAATAAATTTTGAATGTGAATGGAAAAAATGGGAATAAATGCACCACTTAAAAGTCACGGAATGGCAAGTTGGATAAAGAAGCAAGACAACTGCGTGCTCTATTGAAAATACCCATCTTACCTGCTATGACACTCAAAGGCTCAAATTATAGGAATATATAAAAATTTACCAACTAAACAAAAAAAGCAGAATTTGCTATTCTTATTTCAGACAAAACAGACTTTAATCAACATTAATGAGAAAGAACAAAGAAAGGCATTACACAATGATAAAGGGTTCAATTCAAGAAGACTTAACTATCTTAAATATGTATGCACTCAACATCACAGCACCTAGATACATAAAGCAAGTTCTTAGAAACCTACAAAGAGACTTAGATACCACATAACAATACCAAACAACTTCAACACCCCACTGACAGATCATCGAGGCAGAAAAGTAAAAAAAAGACACTCAGGAGAATACCCCACTAAGATGGCCGAATAGGAACTGCTCCAGTCTGCAGCACCCAGCGTGAGCGACACAGAAGATGGGTGATTTCTGCATTTCCAACTGAGGTACCAGGTTCATCTCACTCGGGCTTGTCAGACAGTGGGTGCAGCCCATGGAGCAGGGTGGGGCATCGCCTCTCCCAGGAAGCACAAGCGGTTGAGGAATTCCCTTTCCTAGCAAAGGGAAGCCATGACAGACAGTACCTGGAAAATTGGGACACTCCCACCCTAATACTGCACTTTTCCAACAGCCTTAGCAAACAGCACACCAGGAGATTATATCCTGTGCCTGGCTCAGAGGGTCCCACACCCACAGAGCCTCACTCACTGCTAGAACAGCAGTCTCAGATTGAACTGCAAGGTGGCAGCTAGGCTTGGGGAGGGGTGTCTGCCATTGCTGAGGTTTGAGTAGGTAAACAAAGTGGCCAGGAAGCTTGAACTGGGTGGAGCCCACTGCAACTCAAGGAGGCCTGCCTGCCTCTGTGGACTCCACCTCTGGGGGCACGGTATAGCTGAACAAAAGGCAGCAGAAACTTCTGCAGACTTAAACGTCCCTGTCTGACAGCTTTGAAGAGAGTAGTGGTTCTCCCAGCACGGAGCTTGAGATCTGAGAATGGACAGATTGCCTCCTCAAGTGGGTCCCTGACCCCCGAGTAGCCTCACTGGGAGACACCTCCCAGTAGGGGCCAACTGACACCTCATACAGCCGGGTGCCCCTCTGAGATGAAGCTTCCAGAGGAAGGATCAGGCAGCAACACCTTCCGTTCTGCAATATTTGCTGTTCTGCAGCCTCCGCTGGTGATATCCAGGCAAACAGGGTCTGGAGTGGACCTCCAGCAAACTCCAACAGACCTGCAGCTGAGGGTCCTGACTGTTAGAAGGAAAATTAACAAACAGAAAGGACACCCACACCAAAACCCCATCCGTATGTTACCATCATCAAAGACCAAAGGTAGACAAAAACCACAAAGATGGGGAGAAACCAGAGCAGAAAAGCTGAAAATTCTAAAAATCAGAGTGCCTCTTCTCCTCCAAAGGAACGCAGCTCCTCACCATCAGTGGAACAAAGCTGGATGGAGAATGACTTTGATGAGTTGAGAAAAGAAAGCTTCAAATGATCAGTAATAACAAACTTCTCTGAGTTAAAGGAGGATGTTTGAACCCATCACAAAGAAGCTAAAAACCTTGAAAAAAGATTAGACAAATGGCTAACTAGAATAAATAGTGTAGAGAAGTCCTTAAATGACCTGATGGAGCTTAAAACCATAGCACAAGAACTACGTGATGCATGCACAAGCTTCAATAGCAGATTTGATAAAGTGGAAGAAAGGGTATCAGAGATTGAAGATCAAATGAATGAAATGAAGCGAGAAGAGAAGTTTAGAGAAAAAAGATTAAAAAGAAATGAACAAAGCCTCCAAGAAATATGGGACTATGTGAAAAGACCAAATCTACGTCTGATTGGTGTACCTGAAAGTGACGGGGAGAATGGAACCAAGTTGGAAAACCCTCTTCAGGATATTATCCAGGAGAATTTCCCCAACCTAGCAAGTCAGGCCAACATTGAAATTCAGGAAATACAGAGAACGCCATAAAGATACTCCTCGAGAAGAGCAACTCCAAGACACATAATGGTCAGATTCACCAAAGTTGAAATGAAGGAAAAAATGTTAAGGGCAGCCAGAGAGAAAGGTCGGGTTACCCACAAAGGGAAGCCCATCAGACTAACAGTGGATCTCTTGGAAGAAACTCTACAAGCCAGAAGGCAGTGGGGGCCAATATTCAACATTCTTAAAGAAAAGAATTTTCAACCCAGAATTTCATATCCAGCCAAACTAAGCTTCATAAGTGAAGGAGAAATAGAATCCTTTACAGACAAACAAATGCGGACAGATGTTGTCACCACTAGGCCTGCCTTACAAGAGCTCCTGAAGGAAGCACTAAACATGCAAAGGAACAACCAGCACCAGCCACTGCAAAAACATGCTGAATTGTAAAGACCATCAGTGCTAGGAAGAAACTGCATCAACTAATGAGCAAAATAACCAGCTAACATCATAATGACAGGATCAAATTCACACATAACAATACTAAACTTAAATGTAAATGGGCTAAATGCTCCAATTAAAAGACACAGATTGGCAAATTGGATAAAGAGTCAAGACCTATCAGTGTGCTATATTCAGGAGACCCATTTCATGTGCAGAGATGCACATAGGCTCAAAATAAAAGGATGGAGGAAGATCTACCAAGCAAATGGAAAACAAAAAAGAAGCAGGGGTTGCAATCCTAGTCTCTGATAAAACAGACTTTAAACCAACAAAGATCAAAAGAGACAAAAAAAGGCCATTACATAAAGGTAAAGGGATCAATTCAACAAGAAGAGCTAACTATCTTAAATATGTATGCACCCAATACAAGAGCACCCAGATTCATAAAGCAAGTCCTTAGAGACCTACAAAGAGACTTAGACTCCCACACAATAATCATGGGAGACTTTAACACCCCACTGTCAACATTAGACAAATCAATGAGACAGAAAGTTAACAAGGATATCCAGGAATTGAACTCAGCTCTGCATCAAGTGGACCTAATAGACATCTACAGAACTCTCCACCCCAAATCAACAGAATATACATTCTTCTTAGCACCACACCGCACTTACTCCAAAATTGACCACATACTTGGAAGTAAAGCTCTCCTCAGCAAACGTAAAAGAGCAGAAATTATAACAAACTTTCTCTCAGACCACAGTGCAATCAAACTAAAACTCATGATTAAGAAACTCACTCAAAACCACTCAACTACATGGAAACTGAACAACCTGCTCCTGAATGACTACTGGGTACATAATGAAATGAAGGCAGAAACAAAGATGTTCTTTGAAACCAAAGAGAACAAAGACACAACATATCAGAATCTCTGGGACACATTTAAAGCAGTGTGTAGAAGGAAATTTATAGCACTAAATGCCCACAAGAGAAAGCAGGAAAGATCTAAAATTGACACCCTAACATCACAATTAAAAGAACTAGAGAAGCAAGAGCAAACACATTCAAAAGCTAAGAGAAGGCAAGAAATAACTAAGATCAGAGCAGAACTGAAGGAGATAGAGACACAAAAAAAACCCTTCAAAAAATCAATGAATCCAGGAGCTGATTTTTAGAAAAGATCAACAAAATTGATAGACCACTAGCAAGAGTAATAAAGAAGAAAGGAGAGAAGAATCAAACAGATGCAATAAAAAAAATGATAAAGGGGACATCACCACCGATCCCACAGAAATACAAACTACGATCAGGGAATACTATAAACACCTCTACACAAATAAAACAGAAAATCTAGAAGAAATAGATGAATTCCTGGACACATACACCCTCCCAAGACTAAACCAGGGAGAAATTGAATCCCTGAATAGACCAATAACAGATTCTGAAATTGAGGCAACAATTAATATCCTACCAACCAAAAAAAGTCCAGGACAAGATAGATTCACACCCAAATTCTACCAGAGGTACAAAGAGGAGCTGGTACCATTCCCTCTGAAACTATCTGAATCAATAGGAAAAGAGGGAATCCTCCCTAATTCATTTTATGAGGCCAACATCTCCTGATACCAAAGCCTGGCAGAGACACACACACAAAAAGAGAATTTTAGACCAATATCCTTGATGAACATCCACGCAAAAATTCCCAATATAATACTGGCAAACCGAATCCAGCAGCACATCAAAAACTTATCCACCACGATCAAGTGGGCTTCACCCCTGGGATGCAAGGCTGGTTCAACGTATGCAAATCAATAAATGTAATCCATCATATAAACAGAACCAAAGACAAAAAGCACATGATTATCTCAATAGACACAGAAAAGGCATTCAAAAAATTCAGCAGCCCTTCATGCTAAAAACTCTCAATAAACTAGGTATTGATGGGACGTAGCTCAAAATAATAAGAGCTATTTATGACAAAATGATAGCCAATATCATACTGAATGGGCAAAAACTGGAAGCATTCCCTTTGAAAACTGGCACAAGACAGGGATGCCCTCTCTCACCACTCCTGTTCAACACAGTGTTGGAAGTTCTGGCCAGGGCAATCAGGCAAGAGAAAGAAACAAAGGGTATTTGATTAGGAAAACAGGAAGTCAAATTGTCCCTGTTTGCAGATGACATGACTGTATATTTAGAAAACCCCATCATCTCAGCCCAAAATATCCTTAAGCTGATAAGCAACTTCAGCAAAGTCTCAGAATACAAAATCAATGTGCAAAAATCACAAGCATTCCTATACTCCAATAACAGACAAACAGAGAGCCATAGCATGAGTGAACTCTCATTCGCAATTGCTTCAAAGAGAATAAAATACCTAGGAATCCAACTTACAAGGGATGTGAAGGACCTCTTCAAGGAGAACTACAAAGCACTGCTCAACGAAATAAAAGAGGACACAAACAAATGGAAGAACATTCCATGCTCATGGATAGGAAGAATCAATATCGTGAAAATGGCCATACTGCCCAAGGTAATTTATAGATTCAACGCCATCCCCATCAAGCTACCAATGACTTTCTTCAAAGAATTGGAAAAAAGTACTTTAAAGTTCATATGGAACCAAAGCTGGAGGCATCATGCTACCTGACTTCAAACTATACTACAAGGCTACAGTAACCAAAACAGCATGGTACTGGTACCAAAACAGAGATATAGACCAATGGAACAGAATAGAGCCCTCGGAAATAATACCACACATCTACAACCATCTGGTGTTTGACAAACCTGACAAAAAACAAGCAATGAGGAAAGGATTCCCTATTTAATAAATGGTGCTGGGAAAACTGGCTAGCCATATGTAGAAAGCTGAAACTGGATCACTTCCTTACATCTTATACAAATATTAATTCAAGATGGATGAAAGACTTAAACGTCAGACCTGAAAACCATAAAAACTCTAGAAGAAAACCTAGGCAATACCATTCAGGACATAGGCATGGGCAAGGACTTCATGACTAAAACACCAAAAGCAATGGCAACAAAAGCCAAAATTGACAAATGGGTTCTAATTAAACTAAAGAGCTTCTGCACAGCAGAAGAAACTAACATCAAAGTGAACAGGCAACCTACAGAATGGGAGAAAATTTTTACAATCTACCCATCTGACAAAGGTCTAACATCCAGAATCTACAAAGAACTTTAACAAATTTACAAGAAAAAAATCAAACAACCCCATCAAAAAGTGGGCAAAGGATATGAAGAGACATTTCTCAAAAGAAGACATTTATTCAGCCAACAGACACATGAAAAAATGCTCATCATCACTGGCCATCAGAGAAATGCGAATCAAAACCACAGTGAGATACCATCTCACACCAGTTAGAATGGCGATCATTAAAAACTCAGGAAACAACAGGTGCTGGAGAGGATGTGGAGAAATAGCAACACTTTTACACTGTTGGTGGGACTGTAAACTAGTTCAACCATTGTGGAAGACAGTGTGGCGATTCCTCAAGGATCTAGAATTAGAAATACCATTTGACCCAGCCATCCCATCACTGGGCATATACCCAAAGGATTATAAATCATGCTGCCATGAAGACACATACACACATGTTTATTGCAGCACTATCCACGATAGCAAAGATTTGGAACCAACCCAAATGTCCATCAATGATAGACTGGATTAAGAAAATGTGATACATATACACCATGGAATCCTATGCAGCCATAAAAAATGATGAGTTCATGTCCTTTGTAGGGACATGGATGAAGCTGGAAGCCATCATTCTCAGCAAACTATCGCAAAGACAGAAAACCAAATACCGCATATTCTCACTCATAGGTGGGAATTGAACAATGAGATCACATGGACACAGGAAGGGGAATATCACACTCTGGGGACTGTGGTGGGGTGGGGGGAGGGGGGAGAGATAGCATTGGGAGATATACCTAATGCTAGATGACGACTTAGTGGGTGCAGCACACCAGCATGTCACATGTATACATATGTAACTAACCTGCACAATGTGCACATGTACCCTAAAACTTAAAGTATAATAAAAAAAAAAAATACATTACTCCTTTCCGAAAAAAAAAAAAATAATAATTCTCAAATAACTTAAAATAGCACTACCATTCAACCCAGCAATCCCATTTTTTGGTTATATACCAAAATAAATAAATACTATTTTCCCCAGAAGACACATGTTTGTTTTTGTTCATTGCAGCGATATTCACAATAGCAAAGACATGCAATCAAACCTAGGTGCCCATCAACTGTAGCCTGGATAAGGAAAATGTGGCACATATACACTATGAAATACTATGCAGTCATAAAAAAAGAATGAAATCATGTATTTTTCCTACCAACATAGATGCAGCTGGAGGCCATTACCCTAAAGTGAATTAATTCAGGAACAGAAAAATCAAATACTGCATGTTCTCATGTATAAGTGTGAGCTAAACTTTTGAGTACACATAAACACAAAAAGGAAAACCATAAATGCCAGGGCTTACTTGATGGTGAAGGGTGAAAGTTAGAATCAGAAAACTACTTATTGGGTACTATGCTCACTACCTGTGTGATAAAATCATTTTTACACCAAACCCCAGTGACACACAATTTACTCATGTAAGAAATATGCACATGAACCCCTGAACTTAAAAGTTGGAAAAAAACCTTGGTCTTCTCTTAAAATTACTGGGTTTCTTTTGGAGAGACTATAATAAGAGTTTATAAAAGGCTTTTTAAAACTCTCTTTACACAAACTTCTTGGAAAAAAAAATTCTGTGTTTAATCAAAATAATTTATTGTGCTCTGTATTTTATTAGGTCTTCTGATTAGTAAGAAAACTGAGTCTTCCTAATATTAAAAAATTTAGAGTTTTTTGAGAACTATGTAACTTTTCTGTATTTGCCTCTTTTTTCATAACGTGATTCCATTAAGTGTTTTAAATATTTTGTTTGATATTTTTGACAAAGTTCTCAAAAGAAACTTTTAATTAAGTCTTTCTGACCTTGAATTAACTTACAATAACTACAGAGGGTCCCTGAGACATCTGAGATTTGAAAAAGAGAGATATTAAGCTAGTTTGAATTATTTGGTATGTAAAATTATATGTGAAGAAATGTCAAATAAGAAATGTTTAATTTTTTTTCAATATGACATTGGAGGCAATGTTAGCATGTGTCTCCCATGCAGAAAGGCAAAACATTTGTAAATATTCATGCTGTGAACCTTTTTCCAAGATGCAGCACAGAAATTTATCAGAAAAACTGAAAGAAAGCATAGACTGTTTGAATGAAGTGGTGGGCTGCAGCTTACACTGTGAGCCAGGCAGAAAACATCCAACAAGAGACAATGAACCTATTCATGAACCCAGCACATCACTACTACAACCAGAGTCTCAGAAAGCCATCACACAAAAATTCTCTATAACCAAGAAATTCATACAGAGTCTTTGCCACTGAAAGCACTCAGAGCTGGAACTAGGTAACAATAATCTGTAAACATTAAAATCACATTCTTGACCATGTGTGGTGACTCACACTTGCAATCCCAGCACTTTGGGAGGCAGAGGCAGGTGGATAACTTGAGGTCAAGAGTTCGAGACCAGCCTGGCCAACATCATGAAACCTCGTCTCTACCAAAAGTACAAAAATTAGCCGGGTGTGGTGACACGTGCTTATAATCCCAGCTACTCAGGAGGCTGAGGCAGGAGAATCACTTGAGCCCAGGAGGCAAAGGCTCCTGCACTCCAGGCTGGGTGACACAGTGAGACTTTGTCTCAAAAAAAAAAAATTTACGTTCTGAAGAAAAAAAAAACCAGTATAATCAACCACAAATTCAAAAGTAATTACAAGAAATAGTCTACACCAAAGAGAAAGAACCAAAAAACCAATTCTAGCAATATGAAGAAAAAAAAAAACCCCAGGATTTTCTAATCCTCTAAAAAGGTCACACTAACTGTCCAGCAGTGGATCCAAACTAAGATGAAATCCTTGAAATACCAGATAAAAAATTCAAAAAGTTCATTAATTTGTTCAAGGAGATACAAAACAAAGGTAAAAACCAACATAAAGAAATTTTAAAAATTCAGGATATTAATAAAAACTTTTCTAAAGAGATAGATTATTTTAAAGGAAACTCAATCAGAACTTCTGCAATCAAAGACACTTTTAGGGAACTACAAAATTCAGTAGAAAATTTTAACAACAGACTAGACCAAATATAAGAGAGTTTAAGAGCTTGAAGACAAAACTTTTGTATTAACCGAATCAGAAAAAAAAAATCAAAAATGATCAAATTCCTCAATGAATAGGAGATTATGTAAAACAGCCAAACCCAAGAACAAAAGGTATTTCTGGGTGAGAAGAAAAAACAAAATTTTAGAATACCTATTTGAGAGAATTATTGGTAAAACTTCCTTGGTGTTGCTAAATATCTAGATATCCAAATACAAGAAGCTCAAAAAACTTCTGTAAGATTAATTCCAACCAGTATATCACCAAGGCCTAAGTTTAATGTGAAGGAAAGAATTCTAAGAGCAGTGAGACAAAAGCATCAGGTAACTTATGAATTAAAACCTATCAGGTTAACAGCAAACTTCTCAACAGAAACCTTACAAGCCAGAAGTGATTGGGATGCTAACTTTAGCCTTCTAAAAAAAAAAAAATGACTGTCAACCAAGAATTTTATATCCAGTCACACTGTTACATAAATGAAGGGAAAAAAGTATTTCTCAGATAAGCAAATGATGAGGAAATTTGTCACTACTAGACAAGTCCTACAGAAAATGCTAAAAGAAAAAATTCAATTTAGAAACAAAAGGTTGATACACACTACAACAGAAACTCTTAAAAGCATAAAACTAACAGGGCTTATAAAACAATAACACAATGGAGAAAACAAAGTCACTTGATAACAACATGATGACTGGAAAATTACCTCACATCTCAATACCAACATAGAATGTAAATGGTCTAAGTGCTCTACTTAAAAAATACAGACAGGTAGAATAAAATATATTACAAAACAAATATCTGCCTTCTTCAGGAGACACACCTAATACATAAAGATTCTTTAAAATTCAAAGTAAAGGGGTAAAAAAAGATATTTCATGCAAATGGAAACCAAAAGCAAATAGGAGTAGATATTCTTATAACAGAAAAACAGACTTTAAAGAAACAACAGTAAAAAAGACAAAGAAGAACATTATACAATAATACAATAATCAACTATATGATAACATATGATAATCCTAAATATATATGCATTTTACTCTGGAGCTCCCAGATTCATAAAACTATTACTACTAGACTAATAAAAGAGATAGACAGCAATACAATAATAATGGGGAATTCAATATTCTACTGACAGCACTAGACAGATCATCAAGGCAGAAAGTCAATAAAGAAACCCTGGACTTACACTGTAGTCTAGAACAAATGGGCCTAACAGCTATTTAGAAAACATTCTACCCAAGACGTACAGAATATACACTCTTCTCAGCAACACATGAAACATTCTCCAACATAGACCATATAATATCCCACAAAACAAGTATCAATATTTTTTTAATATTGAAATTATATCAAGTTGCTTCACAGACCATAGTGGAATAAATAAAACTAAAAGTCAGTTACAAAAGGTCCCTTAAACCTATACATGTACATAGAAATTAAACTGTCTGCTCCGGAATAATTTTTGGATTAACAATACAATCAATAAAATTTTAAAAATATTTGAAATGAATGATAACAGGGAAACAAGGTATCAGGACCTCTGGAATACAGCAAAACCAGTGCTAAAAGGAAAATTCACAATGCCAAATACCTACATCAAAAAGGCTGAAAAGAATCTGGATGGCAAGAAAGATCATCGAGATTCAGGAGAAAGTTGAAACCCATTCCAAAGAAACTAAAGAGTCCAGTATAACAATTCAAAAAATGAAAGATATAATAGCCATTTTAATATAGAACCAAACTGAGCTAATAGAGCTGAAAAACTCACTATAAGAATTTTACAGCACAAACAGAAGTACTTTTTATTTAAATTTTAATTGAAGTTCAGGGGTACATAAACAGGTTTTATATAAGCAAATGCATCATGGCAGTTTGTTGTACAGATTATTTCATCACCCAGGTATTAAGCATAGTATCCATTGTTATTTTCCTGATCCTCTCCCTCCTACAAACCTCCTCTCTTTGATAGGCAGGGGGTGTTGTTCCCCTCTATGTGTCCATGTGTTCTCATCATTTAGCTCTCATTTACAAGTAAGAACATGTAGTATTTGTTTTTCTGTTTCTGCATTAGTTTTCTAAAGATAATAGCCTCCAGCTCCATCCTTGCTCCTGCAAAGGACATGATCTTGTTTGTTTTCATAACTGCATACTATTCCCTGGTGTATATGTACCATATTTTCTTTATCCAGTCTGTTACTGATAAACATTTAGGTTGATTCCATGTGTTTGGTATTGGGAATAATGCTGCATGCATGTATCTATATAATAGTAGAATGTTTTCTATTCCTTTGGGTATAGACCCAGTAATGGAATTGCTGGGTGGAATGGAAATTCTATTTTTAGGTCTTTGAGGAATTGCCACACTGTCTTCCACAATGATTGAACTAATTTACACTTCCAACAATGTATGTGTTCTTTTTTCTCCACACCTCTGCCAGCATCTGTTATTTTTTGACTTTTTAATACTAGCCATTCCAACTGATGTGAGATGGTATCTCATGGTGGTTTTGCTTTGCATTTCCGTAATGCTCAGTGAAGTTCAGCTTTTTAAAATATGCTTGTTGGATCCACATTTGTCTTCTTTTGAAATGTGTCTGTTCGTGTTTATTGCCCACTTTTTATTTTTTTATTTTTTATTATTATACTTTAAGTTTTAGGGTACATGTGCACAATGTGCAGGTTTGTTACATACATATACATGTGCCATGCTGGTGTGCTGCACCCATTAACTCGTCAATTAGCATTAGGTATATCTCCTAATGCTATCCCTCCCCCCTCCCCCACCCCACAACAGTACCCAGAGTGAGATGTTCCCTTCCTGTATCCATGTGTTCTCATTGTTCAATTCCCACCTACGAGTGAGAACATGCGGTGTTTGGTTTTTTGTCCTTGAGATAGCCTACTGAGAATGATGATTTCCAATTTCATCCATGTCCCTACAAAGGACATGAACTCATCATTTCTTATGGCTGCATAGTATTCCATGGTGTATATGTGCCACATTTTCTTAATCCAGTCTATCATTGTTGGATATTTGGATTGGTTTCAAGTCTTTGCTATTGTGGATAGTGCCACAATAAATATACGTATGCATGTGTCTTTATAGCAGCATGATTTATAGTCCTTTGGGTATATACCCAGTAATGGGATGGGTATATACCCAGAAATGGTATTTCTAGTTCTAGATCCCTGAGGAATTGCCACACTGACTTCCACAATGGTTGAACTAGTTTACAGTCCCAACAACAGTGTAAAAGTGTTCCTATTTCTCCACATCCTCTCCAGCACCTGTTGTTTCCTGAGTTTTTAATGATTGCCATTCTAACTGGTGTGAGATGGTATCTCACTGTGGTTTTGATTCGCATTTCTCTGATGGCCAGTGATGATGAGCATTTGTTCATGTGTTTTTTGGCTGCATAAATGTCTTCTTTTGAGAAGTGTCTGTTCATGTCCTTTGCCCACTTTTTGATGGGGTTGTTTTTTTTTTTCTTGTGAATTTGTTTGTGTTCATTGTAGATTCTGGATATTAGCCCTTTGTCAGATGAGTAGGTTGTGAAAATTTTCTCCCATTTTGTAGGTTGCCTGTTCACTCTGATGGTAGATTCTTTTGCTGTGCAGAAGCTCTTTAGTTTAATTAGATCCCATTTGTCAATTTTGCCTTTTGTTGCCATTGCTTTTGGTGTTTTAGACATGAAGTCCTTGCCCATGCCTATGTCCTGAATGGTAATGCCTAGGTTTTCTTCTAGGGTTTGTATGGTTTTAGGTCTAACGTTTAAGTCTTTAATCCATCTTGAATTAATTTTCGTATAAGGTGTAAGGAAGGGATCCAGTTTCAGCTTTCCACATATGGCTAGCCAGTTTTCCCAGCACCATTTATTAAATAGGGAATACTTTCCCCATTGCTTGTTTTTCTCAGGTTTGTCACTTACAAGGGACTTGAAGGACCTCTTCAAGGAGAACTGCAAACCACTGCTCAATGAAATAAAAGAGGATACAAATGGAAGAACATTCCATGCTCATGGGTACGAAGAATCAATATCGTGAAAATGGCCATACTGCCCAAGGTAATTTATAGATTCAATGCCATCCCCATCAAGCTACCAATGACTTTCTTCACAGAATTGGAAAAAACTACTTTAAAGTTCATACGGAACCAAAAAAGAGCCTGCATCGCCAAGTCAATCCTAAGCCAAAAGTACAAAGCTGGAGGCACCACGCTACCTGACTTCAAACTATTCTACAAGGCTACAGTAACCAAAACAGCATGGTCCTGGTATCAAAACAGAGATATAGATCAATGGAACAGAACAGAGCCCTCAGAAATAACGCCGCATATCTACAACTATCTGATCTTTGACAAACCTGAGAAAAACAAGTATTGCCCACTTTTTAATATCGTTGGTTGTTGTCTTCTCATAAATTTAAGTTTCTTATAGATGCTGAATACTAGACCTTTGTCAGATGCATAGTTTGCGGTATTTTTCTCCCATTCTGCAGGTTGTCTGTTTGCTCTGTTGATTGTTTCTTTTGCTATGAATAAATGCTTTAGTTTAGTTAGATCCTATGTGTCAATTTTTGCTTTTGCTGCAATTGTTTTTGGCATCTTTGTCATAAAATCTTTGCTCATGCCTATGTCCTGAATGGTATTGTCTAGGTTGTCTTTCAGGGTTTTTATAGTTCTGGGTTTTACATTTAAGTCTTTAATCCATCCTGTGTTAATTTTTGTATATGGTGTAAAGAAAGGGTCCAGTTTCAATCTTCTGCATATGGCTAGCTGGTTATCCCAGAACCATTTATTAAACAGAGAGTCCTTTTCCGATTGCTTGTTTTTGTCAGGTTTGTCAAAGATCAGATAGTTGTAGGTGTGTGGCCTTATTTCTGGGTTCTCTATTCTATTCCATAGATCTATCTGTTTTTCTACCAGTACCATGCTGTTTTGGTTACTGTGGCCCTGTAGTATAGTTTGAAGTCAGGTAGTGTGATGCCTTCAGCTTTGTTCTTTATGCTTAGGATTGCCTTGGCTATTCAGGCTCTTTCTTGATTCCATATGAATTTTAAAATAGTTTTTTTCAATTATGTGAAGAATCTCAGTTGTAGTTTTATAGAAATAACATTGAATCTACAAATTGCTTTGGCCAGCATGGCCATTTTAACAATATTGATTCTTCTTATCTCTTGAGCATGGAATGTTTTTCCACTTGTTCATGTTATCTTTGATTTCTTGGAGCAATGTTCCATATTTCTCCTTGTAGAGATCTTTCACCTCTCTGGTTAGCTGTATTCCTAGGTATTGTATTTTATTTTTTTGTGGCAATTGTGAATGCGATTGAATTTCTGATTAGGCTCTTGGCTTGACTGTTGTCAGTGTATAGGAATGTCAATAAATTTTGCACATTGATTTTACATTCTGAGACTTTGCTGAAATTTTTTAGGATAATGGAGCTTTTGGGCTGAGATTATTGAGTATTTTAGATATAGAATCATGTCATCTGCAAACAGTGATATTTTGACTTCCTCTCTTCTTATTTGGATGCCTTTTATTTCTTTCTCTTGCCTGATTGCCCTGGCTGGGACTTCCAATACTATGTTGAATAGGAGTGGTGAGAGAGAGCATCCTTGCCATGTGCCAGTTTACAAGAGGAATGCTTGCATCTTTTGCCCATTCAGTATGATGTTTGCTGTGGTTTCATCACAGATGGCTCTTATTATTTTGAGGTACGTTTCTTTAATACCTAGTTTATTAAGAGTTTTTAACAAGTAGTGTTGAATTTTACCAAAAGCCTTTTCTGCTTCTATTGAGATAATCATGTGGCTTTTGTCTTTAGTTCTGTTTATGTGATGAATCATATTTATTGATATACAAATGTTGAACCAAACTTGCAACCCAATGGATAAAGCCTATTTGATCTTAGTGGATGAGCTTTTGGATGTGCTGCTGGATTCAGTTCGCCGGTATTTTCTTGAGGACTTTTGCATCGATGTTCATCAAGATATTAAGCTGAAGTTTTATTTTTTTGTTGTGTCCCTGCCAGGTTTTGGTATCAAGATGATACTGGTCTCATAGAATGAGTTAGGGAGGAGTCCCTTCTCCTCAATTTTTTTGAAATAGTTTCAGCAGGAATTGTGCCAGCTCTTTGAACATCTTGTAGAATTCAGCTATAAATCTGTCTGATCCTGGGATTTGTTTTGTTTTTTAGGCAATTTATTACTGACTCAATTTCAGAGCTCATTATTGGTTTGCTCAGGTATGCAATTACTTCCTGGTTCAGTATTGGGAGGGTGTACATGTCTAGGTATTTATCCATTTCTTCCAGACTTTCTAGTTTATATGCATAGAGGTGTTTATAATATTCTCTGATGACTGTCTATATTCCTATGGGGTGACTGGTAATATCTCCCTTGTTTCAGATTGTATTTCTCTGAATGTTTTTCTTCTTTATTAGTCTAGCTGTGGTGTCTGTTTCATTTTTTTCCCAAAAAGCTAGCTGGAGAATTCATTGATCTTTTGAATAAATTTTCATGTTTCAATCTCCTTCAGTTCAACTCTCATTTTGGTTATTTCTTGTCTTCTGCTAGCTTTAAGATTTTTTACTCTTGATTCTCTAGTTCTCTTAGTTGTGATGTCACATTGTTATCTTGAGATTTTTCTACCTCAAGTTAGAAGTAGAAACTTCTTTCTACTTTTGAGGTGATAATTTAGTGTCCCAGAGATTCTGGTATGTTGTTTCTTTGTTCTCATTAGTTTCAAAAAACCTCTTGATAGCTGCCTTAATTTCATTATTTACCCAAGAGTCATTCATGAGCAGGTTATTCAATTTCTATGTAATTTTATGATTTTGAGTAAATTTCTTAGTCTTTCTTTCTAATTTGATTTCACCATGGTCTGAGTGATTGTTATGATTTCAGTTTTTTGCATTTGCGAAAGAGTGTTTTACTTCTGATTATGTGACTGATTTTAGAGTATGTGCCATGTGGCAATGAGAAGAATGTATATTCTGTTGTTTTTGGGTGGAGAGTTCTGTAGATGCCTATCAGGACCATTTGATCCAATGCTGAGTTCAGAGCCTAAACATCTTTGTTAATCTTTCATCTCAATGATCTAATATTGACGGTGGAGTATTTGTCTCTCAATATTATTGTGTGGGAGTCTAAATCTCTTTAAAGGTCTCTAAGAACTTGCTTTATGAATCTGGGTGCTCCTGTATTTGGTGCATATATATTCAGAATGGTTGGAATTTTTGTTGAACTTTTTACCATTACATAATTTTTTCCATTTGCTTGGTAAATTTTTCTCCATCCTTTTATTTTGAGCCTATATGTGTCAATGCATGTGAGATGAGTCTTTTGAAGACAGCAGCCCAAGGGGTCTTGGTTCTTTATCCAGCTTGCCACTCTGTGTCTTTTAATTGGGGGCATTTGGCCCATTTACATTCAAGGTTAGTATTGATATGTGTGGATTTGATTCTGTCATCATGATGTTACCTGAATTTTCAAACTTGTTTATCTGGTTGCTTTATATTGTGACTGGTCTGGGTCCTTCAGTGTGTTTTTGTCAGGAGCTCTGGGAAGTTATGTCTGGTGGTAACAAATTTCCTCAGCACTTACTTGTCTGAAAAGAATTTTATTTCTTCTTTGCTCAGGAAGCTTTGTTTAGCCAGATATAAAATATTGGGTGGGGATTTGTTTTCTTTAAAAATGTTGAATATTGGCCCCCAATCTCTTCTGGCTTGTAGAATTTCTGATGAGAGATCTGCCGTTAGTCTGATGGGGTTCCCTTTGTCAGTAACTTAACATTTCTCTCTAGCTGCCTTTAACATGTTTTTTCCATTTTGACCTTGGAGAATCTGATGATTAAATGTCTTACGGTTACCTTTTTGTGAAGTATCTTACTGGGGTTCCCTGCATTTCCTGAATTTGAATCGTGGTCTCTCTAGCTAGGTTAGGGAAGTTGTTATGGATGATATCTCGAAATACATTTTGCAAGTTGGTTCCATTCTCCCCCATCACTTTCATGGACACCAATGATTCACAGAGTCTGTCTCTACATAATTCCATATTTCTCAGAGGTTTTGTTCATTTTTTTTGCCATTCTTTTTTCTCTGTTTGTCTGACTGTCTTATTTATTTCAGCAAGCCAGTCTTCAAGCTCTGAGATTCTTTCTTCCACTTGCTCTATTCTGCTTTCAGCTCCATCAGGTTGGTTATGTTCCTTACTATGCTGGCTGTTTTGACTGTCAGTTCCTGTATTGTTTAATCATGATTTTTAGCTTCCTTGGATTAAGTTTCAATGTACTCCTGTAGTTCAGTGATCTTTGTTCCTATCTATGTTCTGAATTCTAATTCTGTCATTTCAGCCATCTCAGCTCACTTCAGAACCTTTGCTGGAGAGCTGATGTGTTCATTTGGAGGAAAGGAGGCACTGTGGCTTTTTGAGTTTTCAGGGTTCCTGCACTGATCCTTTCATTTTCGTGGGCTTATTACCTTCAATCTGTGAGACTTCTGACCTATGGATGAGTTTTTTTCTTTTATCCTAATTGATAACCTTGAGGGTTTGATTGTGGTATAAGGTGGATTCAGCTGACTGGCTTCATTTCTGGAAGATTTATGGTGGCCAACACTCAACTCCCAGCTCCTGGACTGCATGCTCTAAATCTGGGTGACTTGTATTCTGTCCCAACTTTGTTCTCTTGCTCTTTGAAGTCAGGAACCCACTGTGCTGGGGGCCAGGGGAAGGGAATATGCTCCTAGTCCACTGGTCACTACACTCTGATAGGCTGTGTCAGCCAAAGTGTTTTGAAGTGCAGGGACAGTGGGATCCATCCTCCTTCACACATGCCGACAGCAATGGTAGTGGTAGCTGTGGCAG
The DNA here is from genome assembly GCF_000001405.40 of Homo sapiens. Classification (NCBI taxonomy): domain Eukaryota; kingdom Metazoa; phylum Chordata; class Mammalia; order Primates; family Hominidae; genus Homo; species Homo sapiens. The sequence goes on from NC_000019.10 coordinate 28,774,009, forward strand.
AGTGATACCAGGTACTAAGGTATCTGCCTCCCTTCAAACCTCAGGTCCTCGCCAAAGCTTCTTATACCCTTAGTTGACTGCCAGGTTGTTGCAAGTGCCTAATAACAGGCACAATTTCAGAAAGACCCACAAGATGTGAAATTGGCTCAAACTACTGTGGTAAGTGTATCAGAAGTATTAACAGCAGAATAAACCAAGCTGAAGATACAATTTCAGAGCTTGAAGACTGGTCTTTGAATGAACTCAGACAAAAATAATGAAAAAAGGATTTTAAAAAATGAAAAAATTTAGAAATATAGGATTATGTAGAGAGATCAAATCTATGACACATTGGCATTCCTGAAAAGAGAGAGAGAGCAATCAATTTGGAAAACATATATAAGAATATTGTCCATGAACATTTCTCTAACTTTCCTAGTTGAGACTTAGCTTCACATTTCACCAAATGGACCTAACGGACATCTCCACGATACTCCACATAACAAAAACAAACATTCAAATTCAAGAAATTCAGAGAACATCTGTGAGATACTCTAATGACTAAGAAACATAGTCATTAGAGCCTCCAAGGTCAACATGAAACAATATTAATGGCAGCTAGAGAGAAGTAGCAGGTCACCTACAAAGGAACCCAATCAGGCTAACAGCAAATCTTTCAGCAGAATTCTAAGCCAGAAAAGACTGGGGGCCTATATTCAAAATTCTTAAAGAAAATAAAGTCCAACAAAGAATTTCATATCTGGCCAAGCTAAGCTTTATATATAAGTGAATAAGAAATGAAATTCTTTTAAGACAAGCAAATGCTAAGGGAATTTGTTACCACCAGGTCTGCCTTACAAAAGATCCTTAAGAGAGAGTGAAACATGGAAATAAATGTTCTTTTCCAATCACCACAAAACACACTCAAGTACCTAGACCATGGACACTATAAAGCAATATTTAATCAAGTCTACTTAACAACCAGCTAACAGCATAATTACAGGGTCAAATCTGCACATGTCAATATTAACCTTGAATGTAAATGAATTAAACTCCCCATTTAAAAGGCAAAGAGTGACAGGTTGTGCAAAGAAGAAGACTCAACTGTATGCTGTCTTCAAGAGACCCTTCTCACATGCAAGAACACCCACAGGCTCAAAATAAATGGATGGAGACAGACCAATCAAGCAAACAGAAGACCAAAAAGAGCAGGGTTTGCTATTTTTACTGCAGACAAAATTAACTTTAAGCCAATAACAATCAAAAAAGATAAATAAGGGCATTACATAATAATAATGTGTTCAATTCAACTAGAAGATTTAACTATTCTACATCTCTATCTATCTATCTATCTATCTATCTATCTATGTATCTATCTACACATCTAACACTGGAGCACCCATATTTATAAAATAGCTCTTACAGACATACAAAGAGACTCAGATAACATCACAAAAGAAGTGGGAGACTTCAACACCCCAGTGACTTTTGGACACATAATCAAGACAGAATACTAACAAAGATATTTGAGACTTGACATTTCACCAAATGGACATAACAGACATCGCCATAACACTCCACATAACAAAAACAAAATATTCCCTCTTCTCACATTCACATGGCACATGCTATAAAATTGACCCCATGCTTGGCCAAAAGCAGTTCTTAACAAATTAAAAAGAAAAAATCATACCAACCATACTCTTGGACCACAGCAAAACAAGAATAGAAACCAATACCAATTAGATCTCTCAAAACCATACAATTAAATGGAAATTAAACAATCTGTTCCTGAATGACTTTTAAGTAAACAAAGAAATTAAGGCAAAAATTAAGAAATTCTGGGAAACTAATAAAAGCAAAGAAACAATGTACCAGAATCTGTGAGACATAACTAAAGTAATGTTAAGAGGAAAGTTTGTACTGCAAAACACCCACATCAGAAACATCTCAAATTAATAACATATTATAATATCACACCCAGAGAAACTTGAAAAAACAAGAGAAAATCAACCTAAAATTCACATAAGAAAAGAAATAGGTCAGGGGTGGTGGCTCAAGCCTGTAATCCCAGCACTTTGGGAGGCCGAGGTGGGCAGATCACCTGAGGTCGGGAGTTCCGGACCAGCCTAATCAACATGGAGAAACCCCGTTTCTACTAAAAGTACAAAACTGGCCAGGTGTGGTGGTGCATGCCTGTAACCCCAGCCACTCCGGAGGCTGGGGCAGGAGAATCACTTGAACCTGGGAGGCAGAGGTTGCGGTGAGCTGAGATGGCACCAATGCACTCCAGCCTGGGCAACAAGAGTGAAACTCCATCTCAAAAAACAAAAACAAACCAACAAAAAAGAAATAACAAAAGTCAGAGCTGAAATAAATGAAATGGAGATGAGGAAAACTATACAAAAAATCAATGAAACAAAAATTGTTTTTTCTAAGAATAAAGAAGACTGATAGACTTCTAGCTAGACTAATAAAGGGATCAAGGGAGAAAATCCAAAAACCTACAATCAGAAATGAACATGGAGACATTACTACTGACCTTACAGAAATACAAAAAAAAAAAAAAAAAAAAAAACCCTCAGAGACTATTATGAACAATTCTATGCACAAAAACTAGAAAATCTAGAAGAAATTGATAAATTCCTGCAAAAATGCCACTTCCCAAGATTGAACTAAGAAGAAATTGTAACCCTGAACAGACCAATAATCAGTTTCAAAATTGCACCAGTAGCCAGGCACAGTGGCTCATTCTTTAATCTCTGAACTTTGAAGACTGAGGCAGGTGGATCACTTGAGGCTAGGAGTTTGAGACCAGCCTGGCCAGTATAGCAAAACCCTGTCTCTACAGAAAATACAAAAATTAGCCAGGCATGGTGGCACATGCCTGTGATCCCAGCAACTTGGTAAGCTGTGGCACAAGAATCACTTGAGCCTGGGACACAGAAGTTGCAGTGAGCCAAGATCATGCCACTGCACTCCAGCCTGGGCAACAAAGTGATACTCTGTTTCAAAAAACAATAATAATTGAAATAAATAAAAATGATAAAAAAATTTGCACCAGCAATATAAAATCTATCAACCATAAAAAGCCCTTGAACACACAGATCTACAGTCAAATTCTACCATATATGTATAGAAGAGCTGGGATGAATCCTACCGAAACTATTTCAAAAAATTCTGAACTCATTCTATGAGGCTAAAATCATTCTGATACCAAACTTCTGCAGAGACACAATGCAAAAAGCAAACTTCAGGCCATGACTCCGAATATCTGGAACAGCTCAGAAATCTGGGTGCAGAAAGCTAGGGACAAGCCTAGCCAGTCAAGTTGCCTCCAGGGCAGATGCCAGAGGCAGATTCACTGGGCTGGGAGAGTGCAAGCTGAATAGACCCCACAACCATCTGCTGAGCTGAAAACCCTGGGCCATGGGTGCCTTCCCAGTTGCATATCATTGGGTATCTCTGCCCTGCCAGAAACTCCTCCACTCCTTGACCCACTGCACCAGTAGACATACCCTACAACCCACTCGGACTCTCTCAAGCACAGGGAACTGGCAAGCCCCTGGGGAGTTGTGAATCTACTGGTGACCCAACACTTAGCTGGTACCACCCCTAAGGAAGGAGAGAGTGCATCCTACCAAATCTCCCATTGGGGCAAAGAAAACACAGGCATGGCACCAGTTTTTGAAGGGGATGGCACCAAGTCCTGCGAATGAAATTGGAGAGGGAGTCATCTCTTGCCCCTGCCTTCTTTCCCTGCTGCATAAGCACTGAAAAAGTTGTGAACAGCAGAGTTAAGAGCTTATCTGCTGGCCCTTACTCTAGTGGACTACATCCTAAGTTATACCACCAAACACAAGTACATTCCTCCAATAGGCAATGCCTCTGAAACCCACCAGAGTAACGTATATACAACCTAGGAACCCATAAGTACAGAGCCTTGGCCTTCTGAAAGCACTCAGAAATGAAGCCAATTGACTATACACTATATTCACCAGTCAAACTCTCAAGTGGAGCAAGAATAAAAAAACAAAAAAGTCCCATCCAAATGACAGCAAACTAAAAAAAAAAGACAGCTCTCTCAGATGAGAAAAAATTAGCACAAGAACTCTGGCAATCAAAAATGTCAGAATGTTTTGTTACCTCCAGAAGATCACACTGATTCCCTAGTAATTAATCCCAGCCAGATTGAAATGTCTGAAATTAAAGACACATAATTCAGAATGTGGGTGTCAAGAAAGCTCAAAGAGATTTAAGAGAAAGTTGAAACCAATGCAGGGAAGCCAGAAAAAAAGATCCAAGATTTGAAAGACAACATAAGCATATTAAGAAAGTACCAAATTGAACTTCTGGAATTAAAAAATTCACTACAGGAGTGTCAAACTACAGTCGGAATCTTGAACAACAGACTAGACCAAGCAGAGAAAAGAATTTCAGAGCTCTAAGACAGGTCCTTCAAATCAACCCAGTCAGACAAAAGTAAAGAAAAAAGATTAAAAATTGAACAAGAAAATCCAAGAAATATGGGATTATGTAAAATGACCGAACCTACTACTCATGGGCATTTCGGAGAGAAAAGAAGAAAGTGTAAGCAACTGGAAAACTTATTTGAAGATGTAACTCATAAAAATATTCCCAATCTCACTAGAGAGGTCAACATGCAAACACAAAAAATTGAGAAAACCCCTATGAGATACTATACAAGATGATCATCCCCAAGGCATATAGTTGTCAGATGTTCTGAGGTCAACACAAAAGAAAACATTTTAAAGGTAGCCAGAGAGAAGGGTCATATCACCTATGAAAGGAAACCCCATCAGGTTAACAGTGGACTTCTCAGTAGAAATGTTGCAAGCCACAGGATTCTATTCTATTCTATTCTATTCTATTCTATTCTATTCTATTCTACTCTATTCTATTCTAATTTTGAGACAGAATCTTGCTCTGTTGCCCAGGCTGGAGGGCAGCGGCACAATCTCGGCTCACTGCAGCCTCCTCCTCCTCAGTTCAAGTGATTCTCCAGCCTCAGCCGCCCGAGTAGCTAGGACTACAGGCACCCGCCAACACGCCCAGCTAATTTTTGTTTGTTTAGTAGAGATGGGGTTTCACCATATTAGCCAGGCTGGTCTCAAACTCCTGACTTCAGGTGATCAACCCACCTTGGCCTCTCAAAGTGCTGGGATTACAGGTGTAAGCCACCGTGCCCAGCCAAAATTTCATCCCTATTATTAGCATTCTTAAAGAAAACACATTCCAATTAAGAATTTCACATTTCACTAATCTAAGCTTCATAAGCAAAGGAGAAATAAAATCTTTTTCAGACAAGCAATTGCTAAGGGAATTTGTTACCACTAGGCTGGCCTTACAAAAGATGCTTAAGAACATTCTAAACTTGGAAACAAAAGAAAGATACCTGTTACTACAAAATACATGTAAATAAATAGCACACAGACCCTATAAAGCAACCACACAATCAAGACCACAAAGCAAACAGCCAATAACACCATGACAGGAAAGAAAACTCACATATCAATATTAACCTTGAATATAATGATCTAAATGCCCCCACTTAAAAGGCACAGAGTACCAAGTTTGATTTTAAAAAATCCAACCTTCTAATGTTTTCAAAAGATCCATCTCAGATTTAACTACACACATAAACTGAAAGTAAAAGGATGGAAAGAAAACTATTATGCAAATGGAGAACAAAAAACACCAGGGCTTACAATTCTTTTATCAGATAAAAGAGACTCCAACAACAGCAAAGGAGAAAGCAGGTCATTAGATAATTATAAAGGGTTTAATTCAATCATAAGCCTTAACTATCCTAAATATATATGCACTCAACATTGAATAACCCAGATTCATAAAACGAATACTTCTAGACCAACGAAAAGACCCAGAGAGCCACACAGTAATAGTGAGGGATGTCAGTATTTCACTGACAGTGCTATACAGATCACTACGGCAAAAAAAACAAAAACCAAAAAACAAAACAAAACAAAAAAACCTAACAAATTCTGGACTTAAATTTGACACTAGACCTAGACCAATCAGATATAATAGACATCTACAGAATACGTCATCCAAGAACCCCACATTATGTATTTATCTCATTCACACATGGAACATACTCCAAGATTGACCACATGCTTGGCAATAAGTCAAGTCTAAATGAATTTTTTAAAAAATCAAAATTATATCAAGCATACTATTGGACCCCAGTATATTAAAAGTAGCAATCAATACCAAAAGAAACTCTCAAAATCACAAAATTACATGAAATCTAAACAACTTGATCATTATTGAATTTTGGGCAAACAATGAAATTAAAGCAGAAATGAAGACTTTTTTGAAGCTAATTAGACACAGCAAACCTAAATCTCTGGGAGGCAGCTAAAGCAGTGTTAAGAGGAAAATTTATAGTGCTAAATCCCTTTATGAAAAAGTTAGAAGATCCCCAATAAACGACCTAACAGTGCAACTGAAGGAACTAGAGAAAAAAAAATCCAACCCAAAAGCTAGTAGAAGAAAAGAAATAACTAAAATAAGAGGAGAATGAAATGAGACTGAGATGCAAAAGGCCATACAAAAGATCAATGAAACCAGGAGCTTGCTTTTGAAAGGAATAGATTGGTACACCATTAGCTAGATTAATCAAGAAAAAAAAAGAATCAAAATAAGCACAATCAGAAATAAAAAAGGTGATATTAAAACTGATCCCGCAGAAATCTGAAAGATCCTCAGAGACTCCAAACCAAATCCAGTAGCAAATTCAAAAGTTAATTCACCATAATCAAGTAGGCTTTATTCCTGGGATACAGGGCTGGCTCAACATATGCAAATCAATAAATAAAATTCACCACATAAACAGGATGAAAACTAAAAACATGATTGTCTCAATAGATTCAGCAAAAACGTTTGATGGATTTCAGCTTCCTTCATGATAGAAACCCTCAACAAAGTAGGCATCGAAGGAATATAACTCAAAAGAATCAGAACCCTCTGTGACAAACCTACAGCTAACATTGGAATGATGGGTAAAGCTCAAACCATTCCCCTTGATAACTGGAAGAAGACAAGAATTCAGACTCTCCCAACTCCTATTAAACATAGTACTGGAAGTCTTAGCTAGAGCAAACAGCAAGAGAAATAAATAAAAGGTGTCCAAATTGGAAGAGAGGAAGTCAAATTATTCCATTTGCTGATGGCTTTCTATCCTGGGTTCTCTATTCTGTTCCACTGGTCTTTGGTGTGATTTATTTTGGAGAATATTTCATGTGCAGATGAGAATAATGTATATCCTGCCATTGTGTAAAATGTTCTGAAAATGCCTGTTGGGTTGATTTGGTCTGAAGTCTAATTTAACTGCAATGTTTCTGTGCTGATTTTCTGCCTCAGCATTGTCAACAGTGTTAATACCCCATTATTATTGCTGTCTATCTGTTCTCTTAGGTCTATCAGTATTTGTTTTATGAATATGGGTGCTCCAGCATTGGGTGCATATACATTTAGATAGTTATGTCTTCTTGTTGAATTGAGCCCTTTGTTATTATGTAATAATCTTCTTTTTTTAATGCTGTTGATTTAGTCTGTTTTATTTCATATAAGTTTGGCTATTTCAGCTCATTTTGGTTTTCCATTTGTGTGGTATATCTTTTCCCACTGGTTTTCTTTGAGGCTTGGCTTTTTACCATTAAAGCGTGTCTCTTGTAGGCAGCAAATGTTTGGATCTTACTTTTCTTATTTAATTTGCCAGTCTATATCTTGTAAGTGGAATATTTAGGCCAATTACACTCAGGGGTAATATTGAAATGCAATGTTTTTATTGCTGTCATAATGTTTTTACCTGGTTGTTTTGTAGCAACAATTGTATAATTGCTTTATAGACTCTGTGATCTTTTTACTTATGTGTGCTTTTATGATGGCAAATTTTGTCCTTTTATTTCTGTCTTTAGAACTCTTTTGAGCATTTCTTGTAAGTCCAGTCAAGAGGTGACAAATTCCCTTAGCATTTGCTTGTCTGAGAAATACTTTATTTCTCCTTCATTTATGAAGCTTAATTTAGCCAAAGCCAAAGGTTTTGGTTGGCAGTTCTTTGCTTTAAGAAGACAGAAAATCGAAGCCTGATCTCTTCTGGGTTGTACAGTTTTTGCCAAGAAGTCCACTGTCATTCTGATGAGACAGTCTTTATAGGTGCTTTGATACTTCTCTCTAGCTGATTTCAGCATTTGTTCCTTTATGTTAACTTTGGTTTGTCTGATGAATATATGCCCTGGTGAGATCCATCTTGCAGAAAATCTTTCAGGTGTTATTTGCACTTCTTATATCTGAATGTCTAATTCTGTATCTAGATCAGAAAAGTTTCTTGAGTTAACTAATCAGATACATTTCCCATGCTTTTTACTGTTTCTTCTTCTCACTCAGAAATGCCCATAGCTTGTAGGTTTGATTACTTTACATAATCCCACATTTCTTGAGGGCTTTTTAAATTTTTTATATTCTTTTTTTCCTAATTTTCTTATGACTGGGTTAATTCAAAGGACTGGGCTTTCAGGTCTGAAATTCTCCCTTCTGCTTGTCTGGTTTATTGTTAAAATCTTCAACTACATTTTATAATTCCTTCAATGAATTTTTCACTTCCAGAAGTTCTGTTTCTTTTTTAAATATCTCTTTAGTAAATTTTGTATTAATATCCTTAATTGTTATTCTGATTTCTTTATGTTGGTTTTCAACTTTCTCTTGGATCTCATTGAGCTTCCTTACAATAAAAAAAATTTGAATTTTTTTTTATGTGTCACTTTAGTTTTATTTGTTAGAATCCATTGCTTCAGAACTGCTGTGATCCTTTGTGGGTGTCAAAACACTCTGTCTTTCTGTACTGCTGAAGTTCTCACATTATTTCTCATTTATAGAAGCTGTCACTTAGTTATTTTCTATTTGCTTTCATTTGAAGAACATTTTCAATTTTCAATTCTTTTCTCTTTTGGGGGTGTGATTATATGTTGTGTGTAATCATTTGGCTTCAATTCTGGGTGCCTTCAGGGGGCTAAGGCTCTAGATGAGTTTCTTGGTTATAGATAGTTTTTGTGCAGTGGCTTTCTCAAATGCTGATTGTTGTACCAATATATTGGGCATATAATTTGACTCACTATCTTTTGCAGGGCTGGGAGTGCAGAAGCCTCAGGAAGATTATCTCATTCCCTAGTATCATGCCCTTCTGCCAACAGGTTTTGTATATGGTTATGCAGTTCAGTTTACGGTTTAGTAGTTGGCACTTACTAGCAGACACTGGCTTGTTGTTTTGACAATTTGATGACTAGCAAAAGCCCCTCCCCTGAAGGGGGTGGTGGGAAAGCTCACTGTGGGATGCACACAGGTCTCTGCCAAGTGGTAGAGGTGTGAAGGGTGTTGCACTAGCTCCTCATCCTAGGGATGTAACTTACATCCCTATCTACTCCTGTTCAAGGGCTCACAACCTGCAGTTCAGATAGACAATGTCCTTTATCTCCACGCTGCAATGCAACTAGGTTTCGTAGAAAACATTCATCCTGTGGCTACAGCTGAAAGGGCCTCTGGAAAAAACCTCTTCCCACAGCTTGAAATAGACAGCTGTAGCTGGTCTATACTCTGTAGCTGGTTCATTCTATGGTGCAGAAATGCTGCTGCTTTGTATGGGGAGGAAGAGATAAGTCCCACCCTTTGAGCAAGTCCAGGTTGGTGGGGACACTTTCAACTGGGGTGCAGCTGCCCTAAGTGTACTGAAAAGCCTGTTTCCAAGTGCATCCACACAAACCCCCAGCAGAAAACGTCATGATTGTGTCTGCAGCAGTGATGGAGACAGCAAAAGATGCCTTTTCCATTTCAGTTCCCAGCCAATGGTACCACCTGTCCTTTGGGACAAGACAATACTCCTAATTTTCAAAGATCAGCATTGCACCTGTGTCTCTGCTAGGAGAAATACAGCCATTTTCTGGTTATAAGTGGGGAGGGGGGCTCTCCATCAGGGAAGAATGTGCATTCCAGTTTCCTTTGTCCCAAAATGTGCTCTGGTGGACTACAATCCCCCTTCCCTAGTGAAGGCCTGTATCAAAGGCTAGGTCTCTAAGGATCTTGCAGCTCCCCAAGGTCCTGCTGGTTCTCTGTGGTTGCCGTAGGCAGAAGAGGTTCTGGGAAATGTTTGTGTGGGATATAGTCATGCAGAGAGACACAAGGGCTAAAATTATCTGGACCGAATAGAGGCCCCAAACAGATGTACAGTCTGTATGGTGCTCACCACCTCAGCTCGGGTTTGAGGGGGAGAGCAAGCAAACCTATGTGAACTCACCACCCAGTGCTCTGCCCTCCAGATGTTCCCCAATCACTGCCAACAGTGGTGCCTGCGTTTGCAAGGGCAGAGGGGCTCTCAGACAAATTGGTGGCAATGAGTTGGGTACAAGAGTGAGGATAAAAAGACACACTCCCATCTACACTTTCCATGGGACTCCAAGTTCCTCATGGGTCAGTCTCTGCCAGACATTTATGCCCTTTTTTTTTCCTGTACCCCCAACTTCTTCCTGTGGGTTCTCCAAAGGTTTCCGACACTTTTCCCTCAGCAGTCCACTTGGGCCATGATTATTCACCTGTAAGGTTAAATCTTCTTTCTAAGGAGAACTGGTATCTGATGTCTCTAGTAAGCCATCTTGAAAAAAATCACGATTTTCATTCTTTATTCTGTTAATGTGATTTATCACAATTATTTTTATTTAGCTTTATTGAGGCAAAGAAATAAGACAAATAAAATTGCGTATATTTAAAATGTACAACATGATGATTTGAAGTAAATATATATTGTGAACTGACTGCTGCAGTCAAGTTAATTATCATATTCACTACTTCAAGGACTTAATTTTTTTCTTTCATTTTGATGAGAATGCTTAAGGTCTACTCTTAGAAAATTTCAAAGTATATAATTTAGTATTATTAACTGTAGTCACCATGCTTTACATTATATTCTCAGAACTTACTTATCTTAGAATGGTAAGTTTGTATACTTTGGCCTACATCTCCCAATTTGACCCGCCCCTAGACCTTATCAACTACCATTCTACTTTATTTCTAAGAACTCAATTTTATTGTTTTATATTCCACAGTCACTTCTTTTGCTTTAAAATGAATTATGTAAATTACAGCACAGAGAAAAGAGGCAGAAAGAAGGCTAAAGGGTTTTACACTACTTAATCTTGGGATTGGGGTAAAAATTATGACCTGTGGGTCAAATGCAGTCCTTTACCTGTTTATGTAAATAAAGCTTTATCGGAACACAGCTATACTCATTCATTTACATAATATCTGTATCTGTTTTCACACTTCAACAGCAGAACTGAGTAAGAAGAAAGACTGTATAGCTCATATAACCTAAAATATTTATTATCTGCCCTTTGCAGAAAAGCTTTCTGACTAGTTGTAAATTAAAAAGAGCATCTTCATCATAATCTGAATGAGCTGAAGTAACACAAAATCATCTTCACCAATGTTCTTGAGCCAGAGTAAGTGGATTGATATATTTCCATATCATATGTGGTTTGTATTAGTCAATATTGTGTTGCTATAAAGGAATACTTCGGACTGGGTAATTTATTTTATTTTTATTGATTTATTGTTTTTCCAAGACAGGGTCTCACTATCACCACTGGTATACAGTGGCACAATTTTGGCTCACGTAACTGCCACCTTCCAGGTTCAAGCGATTCTCCCACCTCAGTCTCCCATTTGCTGGAACTACAGGAGCACGCCACCATGTCTGGTTAATTTTTGTATTTTTAGTAGAGGCGGGATTTCACAATATTGGCCAGGCTCAAACTCCTGACCTCAAGTGATCTGCCTGCCTAGGCCTCCCAAAGTGCTGGGATTACAGGCATGAGCCACCAGGCTCAGCCCCTATTTTTAAAATAGGTTAATTTACCTCACAGTTCTGCAGGCTATACAAGCATAGTGCCACTATCTGCTTTAGGCCAGGACCTCAGGAAGCTCCCACTCATGGCAGATGGCAAAAGGGAACAGGTTTGTCACACGGTAAGAGAGGGAGCCAGAGAGATGCCATGCTCCTTTAAGCCACCAGCTCTCATGTGAACTAACAGAGCAGGGACTTGCTCATTACCATAGGGAAGGCAGCACCGAGCCATTCATGAGGGATCCATACCATCACTCAAACACCTTCCACCAGGCCTCACCCCTCTGACACTGGGGATCACATTTCAACATGAGATCTGGAGGAGAGAAATATCCCAACCATATCAGGTTACTCAAACATTCTGCTTAGAATTTGTGCGGCCAAAACTAGTTACCAACTGTGTTTGTTAAATAAAAAATGGTATTAAAAATTTTTGTGTATAACTAAAAAATTATACAGATAGGTATAGAGAAAGAGAAAGGGAAGAGGGAGAGGGAGAGGGAGAGAGAGAGAGAGAGAGAGAGAGAGAGAGAGAGAGAGAGAGGAGCTATCCAATTTGAGTGTAAGGAAATCTAAAAAAAAATAAGAACTTAAAATCCTATTACTAGAAACTGCTTTTTGAAACCTAGAAATATTTTATTATATTTTTCTTTATATTTAACAGCATGGGACTGTTAGTAGGACCCCTACCAAAGACAATTTACAACTTCAAGTTTTACCCACCAATGATGTGACAAAAGCTTTTTGAATTTAAACTAAGCAGCACTTCTATTAAACATTGATTTTAATAATATAATTGAAGTGATATAGCAAACTAAAAATGTTTTTATTTCTAAAGTAAATATTTTAGTCAAAGTTGCATCAAAAATCAAGCACTTCTGTGACATTTTTCAAGACTTTAACCACAATTATAGTTAGTACTACATAGTACACATTATTTAAAATGTATTATAAACCTTTTCTCTTTATATGAAATATAAAATTTAAAATGCTGTAACATGATTCATATTGAAAAACATGTAAAATTGTATACACTGCTCTCATACAGAAAGTGCCACTGGAATCACATAAAACTTTCTAATGCTTTAAGGTGCCAGGCACAGTGCTTGGCACATATTACATACTTCATAAATGTTTGTTCACTCATTCTCTCATTTACTCATGTACTCAAAGAAATACGGGCTTAAGGAGAAACTGCATTATAATGAGAACTGAAAGCACAATCTTTTATCAACAAACTTGGAGTTTTGACAAAGACTTTGACAGAGAGTGGAGCAGATGAGAGGATGATAATCAAGATTTCAAACTCCTTGGTTAAAATCTACTAAGTAAAGCCCTGGGTTCACAAGATGACATCATAGAGAATCAGAGTCAATACTCCACAAAAAGAATGCATTCTTTCAATACCCAGGTTGGACTTTTATATATAACCATCTGCTTGAAGCTGGGAATAAGTCGTGTTAGAAGTAAAACACACAGTCCACCGGCAGGTAAGAACCACCTGATGGGGGACTTGTTTTTCTGCGCTGAGACTTCTTTTCAGGTAGGGTCTCATTCTCTTGGTTTTGACAACTTAATACAAGTTGAATTAAAAAAAAAAACTGGCTTAACCCAAAAAGTTTTATTTTAAAATAAAGATAAATAAATGTAGAAGGTAGAGGGGTGTTTAACATTCCTATTTTTTTCCTGTTATGCACGAACCAATCCATCTATTCTGCATATTTGTGCCAAAGTCACAATGTGAGGTGTCAACTTTTTGAGGAGCATTTCTGGGCTATTTGCGGAAGGTCTGATAAATGCAGTATTTTACCAGAGTAATAAGGTCTACAAAATGCAAAAAGCTGTAAAAAAGAGAAGAAAGTATGGGTACTAAGCAGAATATAAGATAAAAATTGATCTTGGAGGAAATTTACCTATTTTCTGTTTGCCCCAAGAATACCGTGCTGGCAGCAAGATGCACTTTATTTTTTCCTAAATGGGAAACGGGTTAAAAATCTGTAACAAAAATAAAACATAACACTGGCAAGTCACTTGCAGCTGGCCTGAATTGTCTTTGGTATTCAGAGAAGGGAAAAAAAAAAAAAAAATGGAGGGCCGGGCGCAGTGTCTCATGCCCGTAATCCCAGCATTCTGGGAGGCCGAGGTAGGCGGATCACAAAGTCAGGAGTTCACGACCAGCCTGACCAACATGGTGAAACACTGTGTATACTAAAAATACAAATATTAGCCAGGCATGGCGGCACACACCTGTAATCCCAGGTACTCAGGAGGCTGAAGCAGGAGAACTGCTTGAACCCGGGAGGCGGAGGTTGCAGTGAGCCGAGATTGCGCCACTGCACTCCAGCCTGGGTGACAGAGCGAAACTCTGTCTCAAAAAAAAAAAAAAAAAAAGTACTGTTGTAGGTCCAGTCTTGTCATTCCACAGAAGGTAGGGAGCGTAGGGAGAGGTGTAGAAAACCCTCTCAAATTCTTCGCTTATGAACTGACTCTGCTTGAATACTTCTCTACCTTCTCTTAACTCCAGTCATCTGAGTAATACAAAGAGAGCCGTTGGAGATACAGGTTGTATCTCCTCATCTCTTGAGAATTTCCTGGGAAACCAAGAAGGCCTCTTTACTCTGCATTCTTATAAACAAATTAAGAGTTTGGAGACTTCATTGCCATCTGCACAGCTTCTCTGGGTCTTTGCCAATTAAACTTTCTTGCCTTTTTTTTTTTTAGTGATTCCTAAGTGGGCTTGTGCTATTTTTAGCAAGGCTTTTTTGAGAACCAAGTACTTTCCCTTTTCTCTTCTAAAGTTATGGTCATCTACCTTTATCATTTAAACAATTTAAAGGTTTAAGTAGTAAAAAAATTACAATCTCAAAATATGTCCTAAAATTTGACTCTCTTAAAGACTTTATTGTAACTGGCTCTACATCCTTATTTTCTATGTTTACTAAAAACTTTTGTAGTGGTTGTCATTTATGCATCATTGGCTGGGCTGTGAGAACTGTTTAATAATTTGTGGTCTGAGATGATCAACCTTGGAAAATATTTAATTGTATTCATTCATTAAATCTTTTCCCAACTTAAATCTAAAAGCTAAGTTGAAAAGAAATGTTATCAAATACGGAAATAAGCCTTCAGAATTCCAAGTTGGATTTCTTGTATGAACTTTTTTGTCTCATTAAACTTTGTTTAATGAGACAAAATCTTTAAATTCAGAGTAAATATCATACTAGTTATACTGTTTCCAATTTTATTAATGTCAATGGACGATGTCTAAATTAAACAATAAAAAGTCCCTTCAGTTTATGTGACAGAAAATGCGTGAGCATTAGATATTTATCTTACACCATAGTTACTGATAATTTTTTTTGCCAAAATATAAAGAATTAGTAATTTCTTTAAAAAGAAATAACAATGCAAAACCTACTGATGGTAAGAGAAAATCCCTGAGATACTTACTTCAACACTTTTATCACTGAAAACGATTTTGAAGCTATTCTAATTATTTTGATTTCTATAAAGATCAATAGAAAAAATTTTAAAAACATAAAATATTTGTGAATGGCACACTCACCTGATAAGATAATAAAGGATATCATCCCAGATAGAATATTTAAGAAAGTTGCACTGTGTTTTGTTTTTGCTTTAATGAGTTGTAAAAGTAATTTAGCTTATCAAGACAAATTCAGAGCTACATAATAGTATCGTGAATTTTGCCAAGTCACATAAATAAAGTTGTGAGTTGGATGACTCTCCTAACGTTATTATGAGATTTAAGTGGATAAAACTTGCTCGGTAGATTTATTAGTTCAGAAAAATAATCTCCTACCAGCAAAACCAAGAATTTCTTTTAGAACAGGTTTCAAGGCAACAAACTGTGGCATTTTTCCGCACTTTTTGTCATGCTACCACCACTGACTGAACCACCTGAATTAAGTCTCAAACTCAGGCTTATAGGTAGTGGTTATGACAAATAGCAGTTTTAATGATTTCATATGAAGACAAAGACTTAAAGAGTATTTTTTGTGAGATCATGCCCCTAGAAGAAACTAAACTTAACCATGAAATTTAAATGAAATAGATTTTATTTAAACCGATTAAACAGGATTTGAAATGGTTGCCAGTCTGGTCATCCAATAGGGAACTTGAAAATTCAGACATGGATTGGCACTTCTGTTTGTTTTTTGAGTCTTCTTGTCACTGATGCAGTTATACTATATTTTTTCTTTATCTTAGTTCATTACATTACTAAAATGGAGAAAAATGAGACAATGTGGAATATTTGACAGTTGCTCCACTGTAGGAATATATAATAGGTTCCAAAGGCCATTCTTAACTCCTGCAATGTGCTCTATATTCTTGGCTTTCTCTTAGGAAGTCTAGCCTCCAGACTTCAGAGCTCTACAAACCATATATATGTGTGTGTGTGTGTGTGTGTGTGTGTGTGTGTGTGTGTGTGTGTGTGTGTGTGTATAAATATATGTAACTCTCTCTAAATATAAAACTCTCTATATAACTCTCTATATACATAGAGTTATATAGAGTTTTATATAGTTATATATATATATATATACATATATTTAAAATATATATGGTTTGTAGAGTACTTGGTGGTGTAAAAGTAATTGCGATCTTTGCTGTAACACACATCATTCTTATATGACCACTATCATGTTGACTTAGAGGTCTAGGTTTTCAGACTACATTCTATAGTGGTCCACGTAAAACAAAACAGGTGAGACTGGTCCTGGTCCTCGGAACTGCTTTTATCCAACAGCAGAATTACCTGAAAGTGTGGTGTTGGCTAAATGTAACACAGGCAGAGGGTGAGCCTCTGTATTAAACACCTAGTAGTCTAAAGGTAAAAGGTCACCACTGGAGAACAGCACATACAAATATTTTAAGTGTTTCAGCAAGAAAGACACCCTGCTCTACATCACCATGTGTAGGAGTAGAGAAATGTACATCTTTGACTCCAGAAAATCCACCACTGACTCAGCAATACTTTTCAATGGCCAGTGCTGTTCCCTGCCCCACTGCCTGTATTTTGGATTGTGAGAGAATCACCGTAGGTACCAACGGTTTCAATTACTTCTGGACACAGGATATAATACTTTTCAGCCTGACAGCCACAACCTCCACTGCACCATCAAACTTGACTGACTCAGGACCTAGCTTTAATGCAGTCTGTCATATGACTCATGACATGTATATGCAATTTCCACCCCAGCTCTAAATAATGACAGACTTATCTGTTCTGGAACCATCTTCTCCTAGTGCAAACATTACCCCAGCAAAGCAGGCCAGATGCCCCATCTTGTTTTCCAAGTGCCCACTGATCCATTCTTTACTAAAGATTAAGACATCCATGGGAGTTCTTGTTTTTTTGCAGCCTCAAGAGCATCACCACACATCTTTCTCCATTCATGGTCTGTTTTATCTGACATCAAACGTGCTCTCAGTAAGTAGTCATAAAAACTGTCTCCCGATCACCAAATGATGTGTGATACCGACCCCAGCACCCTGTTCTTGGGTTTAATTTGGATAAAGACCGTTTGGACAATCCATTTTCTGAAGCAGTTTCCGCATGTACATGACCTTGTTGTAGTAAACCAGGTCTTCTGTCAAGTAGCTGAGGTGGATGAACTCCATGTGCAGTGTACCAGATTCAGCCAGAATGCTGCTACATGCAGGCCCCTAGCTTCAGCTGCACCCTACTCCACTCTGCAAATGTACCATTGTCCAGGGAATCCCAGTACATGTGTGAAAGGCAGGAAGGAATTTCTTAGCCAGTTGCACAGCTTTAATCTTGAATATCTCCTTTCCTGAAAGGTGATATGCTGCAAGTAGGCCTTCAATAAACTGAATGTTGACGTCAAACACAAACATCTCTGAATTCACACTGACCTCAAGGTTGTCTTTAAACAATCTTTGCACATCTAGGAATTCAGCATGAAGTCCCAAGATATAAAGGGTATCCAAAGCATCTACAACGGTAGCACCCATTTGTGAATTTTCAAATGTTAGTGGCACATCCTTTCCTTTTAATAGGTCTGAGTTCATTATGCCCCCAACTGTATGTCCTATAATTATCCTAGGCATGTTTCATGCTTTAATTTTTTTCCCTTTTCTTTTTTATGTTGTCTTCCAGGTCTCCACCATTCATGCCTACAAAGTTTGGAATAAGGACTGGTGGCAGTGGCTTGTTCTCTGTCTTCATTTCTTGGACCCTATTTTTCTCTATCTGAATTTCTGCTTGGATTTCCTTGCTTGACTTTTCTTTTCTTTCCTTTTTTTGAGATGTGGTCTCACTCTGTCACCCTGGCTGAGTGTTGCAGTGCCATCAGGGCTCACTGCAGCCTCCACCTCCCAGGCTCAAGCAATCCTCCCACCTTAGACCCCAGAATAGCTGGGATTACAAAAGGGCACTACCAGGCCTGGCTGGTTGTTGATTTTTTGTGGAGACAAGGTCTCATCATGTTGCCCAGGCTGGTCTCAAACTCCTAGATGAAAGCCATCCTCCTGACTTGGCCTCCCAAAGTGTTGGGATTACAGGTGTGAGCCACAGCACCCAGGCTGCTTGACTTTCTCAATTTTTCTTTTGTCTCTTCCAGGGACTTGTCATGATTAGCTCGAACTTTATTTCTCAGAGGTTCTTCTTCTTCTTCTCTGTGTGTATGTTAATTGGGTGCATAGATCAGGAAGACTTCAGGGTTTTTAGCCCCTTTGCCAGCTACTACATGAGGAATTAACACATCGTCTAAACCCAGATCAAAGCGTTTGTGTTTTGAGAAGCCTAGAAGAAAAAAGAATGCCCCCAAACACAGGGTGATGAAGGCATTAAAAATAAGTGTCTTCTCAGAAAGTCTCAAGGTAGTGCTGTGATGTGGGGAGGGCGGCCCCAGGTTCAGAGGTGGGATCCCACGTCTGGAGAGGGCAGCAGGGCTGGGGTAGTCATCGTTTATGCTCTTGAAGCTTACAGCAAATGCACGATACATTGAACTGTCTTCAAAATCTTGGCAAAAATGGGAAAACTCAATTTTGCTCCACTTGAAGGACTGCTGCGCTTCTTCACAGGCACCTCTTTG
The DNA here is from genome assembly GCF_000001405.40 of Homo sapiens. NCBI lineage: Eukaryota > Metazoa > Chordata > Mammalia > Primates > Hominidae > Homo > Homo sapiens. The sequence continues at coordinate 28,793,002 of NC_000019.10, forward strand.
ACGCTCCTCCAATTCCATTCAGAAACGTGAGTGACCCCCCCCCCACCCCCTTAAACGATCACAAGCTTATGTCCTGCGAGATCTCGTTTGCCCTTTGACTTTCAGGGCCCTATCGGGTTATCAGAAGACTCTTCATTCCTAGGGGTAGATCAGAGAAGTCACACTGCAAAGGAGCTGCCCCTTGGGGAGGTGCTCAAGGGTGGTCTTCTGCCCCAAAAGGGAGTCTGGCTAACTCTGAGAATTGCAGAAGGTTCACCATCTCTGGTCCTTCCATTCCAGAATCTCTTAACCTTAGTGGTGGAAAAAATAAGGGTCTCCACCGAAATCTCAAAACAGGGAGGAAGGTTTCCGGCCTCCCGGAGGCCAAGGCAGAGGCGCTGGGGGAAGGAGCAAGAAGGGACCAGCCGCCCGCGCTTCCCGACGCTGCCAGGCAGGCTCCCGGGACGGGCAGAGCTCCGAGGCTGCCTCCGGGCAGTCACGTCCAACGTACCTGAGCCCGGCCAGCCGCTGTCGCTGTCGCCGCCGCACTCGCCTGTCCGGACGCACCTTCCTCCTCCTCCGCGGCCCCCGAGAAGCTGGGCGCGCAGGCAAGGGAGGCGCGGCGGCCCCTGCGGCTGGTCAGTTCACCAGGTGCCTGCTCCCGAGCGAGTTGCCACCGACCCCGCCGCGCCCGGCCGAGCCCCGCGCTCCGCAGCGTGGGAAGGAGCCGAGCAGAGACCCTTGCTCCGAGAGCCCGGGGTCGGCGCCTGCTCATTCCTCGCGCAGCCGTGGGGCAGCGGGTGGCCCCGGGCGCGCGCGAGCAGCCTCTTCTCTGGCACGCAGAGGCCGGCTCCGTGTCCTCGGCCAGCCGCCGTGGGGGCCTCCTCCGCGCTGCCTCGCGTGGTGCCCGGCTCGGCCTAGATGCGGCTGCTGAGAGATGGCGCCCACGCGCGGGGCTGCGGCCCAGCCTCTGCCTCCCCAGTACTGGTGGGCGCCGAACAGCTGCGGGGCGACACGCGCTGGGCGCACGCACGTAGGAGCCGGAGGGTGGGGCAGATGGGGCGCTTCCGGAACCCTCCCCGACTCGCGAGTGGGCGGCGCCGGCGGCGGAGCGTGGGGCGCGCTCCCTGGAGTCCACAGTTAAGTGACACAATCCTGGGTTTACCTTTCTCTGTCGGGATCATTTTTCTTAGCATGACGACCTCCAGGTCAGACACAAGGTCACAGGTGGCGGTTTCTGCCTTCCTCTGGCTGAATATATTTCATTAAATATATATTCCGCATTTTCTGTATCCAGTCATCCCTCTGTGGACTGATAGGTTGTTTCTGTGTCTTGGCTAGTTTAAATAATGGCGTAATAAACATAAAGTGCAGATTATCTCTTTAAGATACCGATTTCCTTTCCTTCAGACACATACTCAGAAGTGAGTTGTATTTTTAACTTTTTGAGGAACCTCTGTATGTTAGTTCATATGTCTGCACCAGTTTACATTCCCACCAACAGTGTACAAGGACTTCCCTTTCTCTACATGCTCTGCAACAGTTGTTCTCTCTTGTGAGGTGTTGGTGACTATTTTTAGTAATAGCCATTGTAACAGAAGTGAGATGGTATCTCATTGTGGTTTTGATTTGAATTTCCCTGATAGTGATGTCAAGCATCTTTGTGTATTTATACCTGTTACTGATTTTTTAATTTTCTTGAAAAAAATGCCTATTCGGAAGATATACCTGTTTTTATTTGGGTGTTTTTTGTTTGTTTGTTTGTTTGCTATTAGGTTGAGTACCATATATATTTTGAATACTAACCTCTCATTAGATTATGGTTTGTAAATATTTCTCCTATTCTGTGGGTTACCTTTTCATCTTGTTGATTGCGTCCTTTGCTGTGCAGAAGCTTTTTAGTTTGATATCATACCATTTGTCTATTTTTTATTTTTTTGCCCGTGCTTTGTGGTATATACAAAAAATCTTTGCCAAGACAAATGTCAAGGAGCCTTTCCCTGTTTTCTTCTAGGAGTTTTACAGTTTCAGATCCTACACTTAAACCTTTAATCCATTTCAAATTGATTTTTGTATATGGCGTAAAATAAACAGTCTAATTTCTTTTTCTTCCTCCTACCTTCCTTTTTTTTCCTTTTATTTCTTCTTCTCTTTTTTTATTCTTGCATGTGAATATCCAGTTTTCCAAACATCGTTTATTGAAGAGACTATCCTTTTTCCATTGTGTCTCCTAGGCAACTTTGTCTAAAATAAATTGACCTTAAATGTGTGGGTTTATTTATGGGCTCTTTATTCTGTTCGATTGATTGCTATGTCTTTTCTTATGTCAGTATCATGCTGGTTTGATAAATATAGCTTAATAATATAATCTAAAAACAGGAAGAGTGTTGCTTCCAACTTTGTTCTCTCTCAAGAGTGCTTTGGCTGTTTAGAGCTTTTTGTGTTTCCACACATATTTTAGAATTATTTTTATTTATTCAAAAAAAGGTCATTGGAATTTTGATAGGAATTATATTGAATTTGTATGTTGCTGTAGGTAGTATGGCAATTTTAACAATATTAATCATGAATGTGATACATATTTTATTTTTGTCTTCAGTATGTTTCATCAATATTTTATAGTGTTGAGTGTCTAGATCCTTCAAACCCTTGGTTAAATATCTTCCTAAGTGTTTTTTTTTAAATACTATTTAAATTGGATAGTTTTCTTGACTGCTTTTCAGGTAGGTCATTATGATGTAAAGAAGTGCAACTGATTTTTGTGTTGATGTTGTACCTAAAACTACTGAATTTATTCATTAGTTCTAACATTTTTTTGGGGAATTTGTTTTCTATGTATAGGATCTTGCTATTTGCAGGGATAATTTTACTGCTTGTCCTCTGATATGGATGTCTTTTGTTTCTTTCTTTTTTTTTTTCTCTTGCCTAATTGCTCTCGTTACTACTTCCAGTACCATGCTGAAAAGAAGTGGTGACAGCGGGCATTCTTGTCTTGTTCCTGACCTTAGAGGAAAAGTTTTAGTTTTCCCTGATTATTATGTTAACTGTGAGTTTCTCATAGATGGCCTCTACTATATTGAGGAAATTTTCTTCTATTTCTAATTTGCCAGGAGTGTTAGATTTTTTCAAATGTTTTTTTCTGTGTCTATTGAGATAACCATGTGGTTTTTATCTTTCATTCTTTTAATGTGCTGTATCATTTGACTGATTTGTCTATGCTGAAATTTTTGCTATAGGAAATGGAAAGCTATCAAAAGATTTTCATAAAGGATATTTTGGATAAGTCCCCTCAGACCACTGCTAGGCAATGGGTTCTCAAAAACTAAATATGGAGAAAAGAAAGTTTGAGATGTTGCTGTAGGAATGATGTTGGCTTGTAGGAGAGCCTATGGGTTGGGAGAGAAAGGGATGGATTTAAAAATTATTGGAATGGTAACCTAGCCTCAAGGAGAGGGGGATTCTCCGTGCTCCTTTCTTTTCTCATGTCTTTGATTTTTGCCACCTTGAAAGTTAATGTGATTGGTTAGATTTCAGGACAGAATAAAGGAATTATTTCTAGAGATTAATATTTTAAAGTATTCCAATTACACCGGAGTCAGGTTTTCCCCTCTCCTCCTCCTCCTCTCTCTCTTCCTTTTTTCCTTTTTCTCTTTGTTTCATTGTTTTTATTCCTTTTCTCTATGCATTAACACCACCAAAGAGGCTTGGAGAGTTAGTCTTGTTCTCACCCTCACACTCTGTGTCTTACAATTTTTTCCCTATGGCACTGTTGGAGGTGCAGACATGAGGTCGATTATATTCAAGAATCATGCTTGGGGAAGGGAGGAGAAACAAGATAAAGGGGCTTTGACTCAGGACTCCTTCAGTCCACTATCACAAGAAAAAGGAGATTTCCAAAGTATTCAGACCAGATCTCTAGTTTATTCAAACCTGAGTCAAAGCCTCATCTAATAATAAAGTTACTTTTCTCTGTCTCTTTTTTTTTACCTTTTTGTACCTACAGCTCCTTTAAATTAATTTTATAGAGAAATAATTGGTTTAAAAATAATTGGTTTGAAAAATAATTCAGATATTTTTGTGTCCTTTGAAACAATATTACCTTAAGAACACCTAAACATTCTTTGCAGCATTGAATTAAATAATGCATGCCTTATTCATAACATGTTATAAAACAGCCATTTAAATAAGATTTATATGCATTAAATTGTAAAAGGGCCCAGCAGATATTGTCATTTGACTAAAAATTGTAAAGTTAAAGAAATATAAACATTATAAAAGTCCACAAACCTTCACACCAAACTTTGAATGGTCAATAATATTCACTTAGGGGTGAATCCATCACTGGAAACAGTGATGGATTGTGACAAAGATCATTTTATATTTCACTTTATGGAATTCTTTTGTTTAAGTTATTTTGAGATATTGAAAAAATATTTCATATATAAAATTTTATGAGGAATATTAATATGATTATTATTAATACAATGTAATAGTAATATTAATATATTTCTAATGTACAAATATGAGAAATATATTAATATATTAATATATTTCTAATATACAAATATACAAATATATTAATATATTAATATATTTCTCATATAAATGTTAATATTCACTTTTATGTATAAGAAATATTTTATATAGATTTATATAAAATTTATATATTTATATGCATATAAACGCATATATTTATAAATAGTATAAATATATAAATTTCCATTTTTATTTTAGATTCAGTGGGTACATGTGCAGGTTTGCTACAAGGGTAAACTGTATGATGCTAAGGGTTTGACTTCTATTGATCCGATCATCCAGACAGTGAACGTAGTACCCAATAGGAATTCAGTTCTTGTCCTCATTCCTCCCTCCCTCCTTTTGGATTCTACAGGGTGTGTTGTTCCCATCTTTATGTCCATCTGTATCTAAGATTTGGCTCCCACTTATAAATGAGAACATGCAATGTTTGATTTTTTTTTCTGTGTCAATTTGCTTAAGATACTAGCCTCCAGCTTCATCCATATTGCTGCAAATGACATTATTTCATTTTTTACAGCTGTGTAGTATTTCCTGATGAATATGTACCACATTTGTTTATTTCAATGAGTTTTAGGGTACAGGTAGTTTTTGATTACATAGGTAAGTTCTTTAGTGGTAATTTTTGAAATTTTAGTGCACATGTCACCTGATCAGTGTACACTCTATCCAATATGTAGTCTTTTATCCATCACCTCCCTGTCAACATTCCCCACCAAGTCCCCAAATTTCATTATATCACTCTATGCCTTTGCATCCTCATAGCTTAACTCCCACTTATATGTGAGAATATATGATATTTGGTTTTTCATTCCTGAGTTACTTCATTTGGAATAATGGCCTCCAGCTCCAACTAAGTTGCTGCAAAAGACATTATTTTGTTTCTTTTTATGACTGAGTAGTATTTCATGCTCTCTCTCTCTATATATATATATATATACACACACACATATATGTATATGCACGTATATACATATATACATATATATACAGTCATATACATATATGTATATGCACGTATATACATATATACCGTCATATACATATATACTTGCATATACATGTATGTGTGTATGTGTGTGTGTGTGTGTATATATATATATATACACATACCACATTTTCTTTATCTACTCATTGATAAGTGAACACTTAGGTTGGTTCTATATCTTTGCAATTGTGGATATTGATCTTTCCTGCACAGACTAAAGAACACAGCTGCAAATGCAATGATGCACAAAGGAGCCATGCATCTGAGTAAGAACCTGTCTACTGCCCATGGCTCTCAAGTGCCAAATAATGCAAAATAGCCCAAACGACAACACCAAAAATAACTTTACTAATTATCACCTTCTGTAAACCAAAATCAGGAATTCAACAACAAACATTCTGTATGCAGCCTTATCCCTCTGAAATTTTCCAGGAGTGAAGTAAACTGACTATACTAAACTTAGACCACAGTTAAAGTAATACTGGCTCTCCTAGATGAGAAAGAATAAGCACAAGAACTCTGGCAGTTTAAAAAGAAAAAAAAACTGTCTTTTTACCTCAGACAAGCCCACTAACTCCCCAGCAATGCTTCTTAACCAATCAATTGTCTGAAGTGACAGACATGGAATTCAGAATCTGGATAACAAGAGAGCTCCTTGAGATCAAGGAAAAAGTTGAAACTCAGTTCAAGGAAGACAAGCAATTCAGTAAATTGATAAAGAGCTAAAAGACAAAATAGCCCTTTTAAAAGAGACCCAAACTGAACTTCTTGAGGTGAAAAATTAACTACAAGAATTTTATAATACAGTTGGAAGTATTAACAGTGGAATTGATCATGCTGAGAAAAGAATCTCAGAGCTTGAAGACCAGTTCTTCAAATTAACTCAGTCAGACAAAAATAAAGAAGAATTGAGAAAAATGAACAAAGTTTTCAAGAACTATAGGATTATGTAAAGAGACCAAATCTATGACTCACTGGCATTCCTGAGAGAGGAGAGAGAATAAGCAACTTGGAAAATGTGTTTGAGGTTATAGTTCATGAACATTTTCCCTAATCTTGCTAGAGAGGTTGACATGCAAATTCGAGAAATATAGAGAAGCTCCACCACATACTATAAAAGATGACCATCTCCAAGGCACATAGTCATTAGATTCATCAAGTTCAATGAAAAAAAAACAAAAACAAACTCAAAAAGCCAAAAATGTAAAAGCAGCTAGAGGGAAGCGGCAGGGGCAATTCCCGATCAGGCTAGCATCAGACCAATCAGAAGAAACCTTGTAAACCAGAAGAGATTGAGGATCTATTTCCAGTATACTTAAAAAAAAAAAAAAATTCCAACCAAGAATTTCATATCCTGACAAGCTAAGCTTCATAAATGACAGAGAAATAAGATCTTCCTCAGACAAGCAAATGTTGAGGGAATATATTTCAACTAGACTAGCCTTACAAGGGGTTCTTAACAGAAGTGTTAAACATAGATTAGAAAGAACAATACCTACTACCACAAAAGCACACTTAAGTGCACAGCTACAGGCACTATAAAACAACTACACAATCAAGTCTACACCACAACCAGCTAACAACAACATCACAGCATCAAAATCATACACCTCAAGACTAAATTTGAATATACATGGGCTGAACACCCCATTTAAAAGACATAGAGTGGCAGCCTGAATAAAAAGATGAGATCTAACCATCTGTTGTCTTCAAAAGACCCATTTCACATGCAATAACACCTACAGGCTCAAAGTAAAATGGTAGAGTAAGAACTACCCTGCAAACAGAAAACAAAAAAGAGCCAGATTTCTATTCTTGTGTCAGATAAAATAGACTTTAAATCAATAAAAATTGAGAAGGACAGTGAATGGCATTACACAATGATAACAATAAATGTATTCAACATTGGAGCACCCAGATTCACAAAACAACTTCCTCTTGGCCTATGAACAGACTTAGACTACCACGCAATAATAGTGGAGACTTCAACACCCCATTGACAGTGTTAGCCAGATCATATAAGTAAAAAACTAACAAAGAATCTCTGGAATTAAGATTGACAGTTGACAAATTGGACTTCATAGACATCCACAGAACACTCCACTCAACAACCACAGAATTATTCTCATCTGCACACGCAGTGTATTCTAAGTTCTCCCACATGCTCAGTCATAAAGCAAGCTTCAATAAATTTTAAAGAAATTGAAATTATACCAAGCATAACCTCTAATCACAGTGCAATAAGAATAGAAATGGAAACCAAAAGATCTCTCCAATCTACACAAATACATGGAAATTAAACAGCTTACTTCAAGTAGCTCCTGGGTGGACACTGAAATTAAGGCAGAAATAAAATTCTTTGAAATTAGTAAAAATGGGACACAACTTTCCAAAATCTCTGATATACAGCCAAAGCTGTGTTAAGAGGAAAGTACCCTTCAATGCCTTCAACAAAAAGTCAGAAAGATTTGAAATTAATAAGCTAACTTTGTACTTAAAGGAACTAGGAAAGAAGAACAAACAACTCCAAAGCTAGCAGAAGAAAAGAAATAATGAAAATCTGAAAACACCTTGAGACCAGAAAATCCATACAAAGGCTCAACAAAACCAAAAGCTGGTTGTTTGAAAGGATAAATGAGATTGATAGACTATAAGCTAGATTAAGAAAAAAAAGAGAGGGGATTCAAATAAACACAATACACCATCAGAAATGACACAGGTAACATTACAACCGATCCAAAAGAGATGCAGAACATCATCAAAGACTGTGATGAACCCCTTTGTGTTCATAACACACAAACTAGAAAATCTAAAAGAAATGGATAATCCCTGGAAATGCCCAACTTCCCAAGACTAAGTCAGGAAGAAATAGAAATCCCAAATATACTAATATCAAGTTTTGAAATTAAATCAGTAATAAATAACATACCAACCAAAATAGCCCTGGATCAAGTGGATTCACAGCTGAATTCTACCAGATATAGGAAGAAGAACTGACATCAGTCCTACTGAAATGATTTCAAAAAAAATCAAGGAGGATGGACTTTTTCTGTGAAGCCAGCATCAGCCTGATACCAATATCTGGCAGAGACCCAATGAAAAAAGAAAACTTCAGACCAATATAGATTATGAACATAGACACAAAAATCCTCAATGAAATACTAACAAATCTAATCCAGCAGAATAGCAAAAAGTTAATACACCATGATCAAGTAAGCTTTATTCCTGAAATGTATGGCTGGCTTAACATATGCAAATTGATAAATGTGATTAACCACATAAAAAAATAAAAAGCAAAAACCATATGGCTATCTCAATAGATGCATAAAAACTTTTGATAAAATCCAACATCCCTTTATGATAAAACCCTCAACAAAGTAGTCATTGAAAGAACACACCTCAAAATAATAAGAGCCATTTATGACAAACACACAGCCAACATTTTACTGAATGAGCTCGAACCACTCACTTTGAGAACTGGAAAAAGACAAAGATGCCCACTTTCACCACTCCTATTCAACATAGTACTAGAAGTTCTTGCCAGGGCAGTCAGGCAAGAGAAAGAAACAAAAGACACCCAAATAAGAAAAGAATAAGTCAAATCGTCTATCTTCACTGATATTATCATTCTGCACTTAGAAAATCCTAAAGACTCTTCCAAAAGGCTCCTAGAACTGATAAATAACTTTAGTAAAGTTTCAGGATACAAAAATCAATGTACAAAGAATTTGTATATACCAAAAATGTCCAGGCTGAGAGTCAAATCAAGAACACAACCCCACTTAGACAATAGCCAGACACACACACACAAATGCTCAGGAATATAGCTAGCCAAGTAGATGAAAGATCGCTATAAGGAGAAATACAGAACACTGCTGAAAGAAATCAGAGATGACAAAAATAAATGGAAAAGCATTCCATGCTCATGGATAAAAAGAATCAATATAAAACTGGCCATATTGCCCAAGGCAATTTACAGATTCAAATGCTGTTTCTATCAAACTACCAATGTCATTCTTTACAGAATTAGAAAAAGTACTATTCTAAAATTCAGATAGAACCAAAAAAGAGCCCCAAGAACCAAAGCAATCCCAAGCAAAAAGAACAAAGCATCACACTACTCAACTTCAAACTCTACTATAAAGCCATCATAACCAAAGCAGCTTGATACTGCTACAAAAACAGACGCATAGACCAATGTAACAGAATAGAAAACTCAGAAATAAAAACACACAGCTAGAAACCATCTAATATTCAAAAAGGCCAACAAAAGCAAGCAATGAAGAAAGGGCCCCCTATCCAATAAATGATGCTGGATAACTGACTAGCCATATGCAAAAGATTGATGGTGGACTCCTACCATTCACCATGTACAAAAATTAACTCAGAATGGATTAAAGATTTAAATGTAAGACCTCAAGTTTTAAAAGTCCTGGAAAAAAACCTAGGAAATACTCTTCTTTATTTGACCTTGGCAGAAAATTGTTTGACTAAGTCCCCAAAAGCAATTGCAACAAAACCAAAAATAGACAAGTGGGACCTAATTAAACTAAAGAGCTTCTGCACAGCAAAAGAAAATATAAACAGAGCGAACAGACAGCCTACACAATGGGAGAAGATATCCTCAAATTATGCATCTAACAAAGGCCTAATTTCCAGAATTTATAGGGAACTTAAATCAACAAGCAAAAATTAATTCCATTAAAAAGTGGGCAAAGGACATGAGCCTATACTTTTGAAAAGACACGAGTGTCCAAAAAACATGAAAACATGCTCGGCGTTACTAATAATCAGAGAAATGAAAATCCAAACCACAATTAGATACCGTCTCATACCAGTCAAAATGGCTATTTATAAAATGTCAAAAAACAACATATACTGGCAAGGCTTTAGAGAAAAGGAAATGCTTATACACTGTTGCTGTGAATGTAAATTAATCCAGCTACTCTGGAAAGCAGTCTGGAGATTTCTCAAGTAACTTATAACATAGCTACCATTTGACCTGGAAATCTCATGATTGGGTTTATATTCAAAAGAAAATAAATTATTCCACCAAAAAGGCACATGTACTTGTATGTCCATCGCTATGCTATTTGCAATTGCGAAGACATGGAGTCAACTCAGGTGCCCATTAATTTTAAGTTGGATAAGGAAAATATGATACATATTCTCTATGGAATACTATGTAGACATAAAAACTGAGATCATATCCTTTAAAGCAACATAGATGGAGCTGGAGATCATAATCTTAAACAAATTAACACAGAAACAGAAAACCAAATACTACATGTTGTCACTTATAAGTGGGAGCTAACCCTATAGCACACACAGACATCAATATGGGGACAATTGACACTGTGGACTACTAGAGGGTGGAGGAAGTGGGGGTGGGTTAAAAAACTACCTATTGGGTACTATGCTCACTACCTGGGTGATGAGATCCACACTCCAAACCACAGCATTACTCAATATTCCCACGTAACACACTTGCACATTTGCCCTTTGTATCTAAAAGTTTAAATGTAAAAAAGACAAATATAAGCATGCTTTCTTTTTTATTTTTAAAGATTTAGTGGGTAGAAGTGCAGATTTCTTACATGCATATATTGGATAGTGATGGAGTCTGGGCTTTAGTGTACCCATCACCTGAATACTGGACATTGTATCTGTTAGGTAACTTCTCAGCTTTTGCCCACCTCTCATCTTCCTGCCTTCCGTAGTCTCCAGTGTCTGTTATTCCACTCTATGTGTCTATGTGTGCCCTTCACTTAGCTTCCACTTATAAGTAAGAACATGCATATTTTATTTTCTGTTTCTGAGTTATTTTACTTGGGATATATAGCCTCCAGTGCCATTCATGTTGCTGCAGAAGACATGAATTCATTCTTATTTATGACTGAGTACTATTGTATGGTGTGCGTGTGTGTGAATATATGTGTGTGTGTGTATGTATATACATATATGTGCGCTGTGACCATACATACACATACATATATGTATATATACATGCATATATGTATACATTCACACATATATACCTATGTACATATACACACCTATATACATGTGTGTACATACACATATACATGTATATAGGTGTGTGTATATACATACACACACACCCAATCTGATTATTTTTCAGCAGTGTTTTGTATTTCTCCTTGTAGAGATCTTTCATCTACTAGGCTAGCTGTATTCCTGGGCATTTTTCTGGAAGTGTATATATATGTATATATGTATATGTATGTATATACATATATATGTGTATATGTATATGTATGTATATACATATATATGTGTATATGTATATGTATGTATATACATATATATGTGTATATGTATATGTATGTATATACATATATATGTGTATATGTATATGTATGTATATACATATATATGTGTATATGTATATGTATGTATATACATATATATGTGTATATGTATATGTATGTATATACATATATATGTGTATATGTATATGTATGTATATACATATATATGTGTATATGTATATGTATGTATATACATATATATGTGTATATGTATATGTATGTATATACATATATATGTGTATATGTATATGTATGTATATACATATATATGTGTATATGTATATGTATGTATATACATATATATGTGTATATGTATATGTATGTATATACATATATATGTGTATATGTATATGTATGTATATACATATATATGTGTATATGTATATGTATGTATATACATATATATGTGTATATGTATATGTATGTATATACATATATAGTGTATATGTATATGTATGTATATACATATATAGTGTATATGTATGTATATACATATATAGTGTATATGTATGTATATACATATATAGTGTATATGTATGTATATACATATATAGTGTATATGTATATGTATGTATATACATATATAGTGTATATGTATATGTATGTATATACATATGTATGTGTATATGTATATGTATGTACATATGTATGTGTATATGTATATGTATGTATATACATATATGTACACATTCACACATATATACATACATATATTTACACTCACACCAATATACATGTATGTGTGTATATACACATATGCATATATGTATATATACACATATGTATATAGGTGTGTGTGTGTATATATACATATATACATGTATACCCACTCTGATAATTTTTCAGCAGTTTTGCATTTCTCCTTGTAGAGATCTTTCGTCTACTAGGCTAGCTGTAGTCCTGGGCATACACATGTAAACACACACAACATGTACACATTTTCTTTATTCAATCATCTTTTGATCAACACTTAGATTAATTTCACATCTTTGCTATTGAGAATAGTGCTGTGATAAATGTACAAGTGTAGGTATCTTTTAGATATAATGATTTATCTTTTAATCTGATTGTAGTTTTATTTTTAGTTTATTTAGTTTATTGAGAAATCTCCATACTGTTTTCAGCAAAGTTTGTACTAATTTATAATCCAGTGAGTGATGTATAAGGATTCCCTTTTCTCCACATTGTCATTAGCATCTATTGGCTTTTTAATAATAGCTATTTTAACTGGTGTAGATGGTATCTCATAGTGATTTTAATTTGCATTTTTCAGATGATTAGTGATGTTAAGTATTTTTTCATATGTCTGTTGGCCACTTGTATGTTTTCTTTTGAAAAATAGCTGTTTCTTTCTACCGGAGGTACAAGGAGGAACTGGTACCATTCCTTCTGAAACTATTCCAATCAATAGAAAAAGAGGGAATCCTGCCTAACTCATTTTATGAGGCCAGCATCATCCTGATACCAAAGCCGGGCACAGACACAACCAAAAAAGAGAATTTTAGACCAATATCCTTGATGAACATTGATGCAAAAATCCTCAATAAAATACTGGCAAACCGAATCCAGCAGCACATCAAAAAGCTTATCCACCATGATCAAGTGGGCTTCATCCCTGGGATGCAAGGCTGGTTCAATATACGCAAATCAATAAATGTAATCCAGCATATAAACAGAGCCAAAGACAAAAACCACATGATTAGCTCAATAGATGCAGAAAAGGCCTTTGACAAAATTCAACAACGCTTCATGCTAAAAACTCTCAATAAATTAGGTATCGATGGGACATATCTCAAAATAATAAGAGCTATCTATGACAAACCCACAGCCAATATCATACTGAATGGGCAAAAACTGGAAGCATTCCCTTTGAAAACTGGCACAAGACAGGGATGCCCTCTCTCACCACTCCTATTCAACACAGTGTTGGAAGTTCTGGCCAGGGCAATTAGGCAGGAGAAGGAAATAAAGGGTATTCAATTAGGAAAAGAGGAAGTCAAATTGTCCCTGTTTGCAGACGACATGATTGTATATCTAGAAAACCCCATTGTCTCAGCCCAAAATCTCCTTAAGCTGATAAGCAACTCCAGCAAAGTCTCAGGATACAAAATCAATGTACAAAAATCACAAGCATTCTTATACACCAATAACAGACAAACAGAGAGCCAAATCATGAGTGAACTCCCATTCACAATTGCTTCAAAGAGAATAAAATACTTAGCAATCCAACTTAAAAGGGACGTGAAGGACCTCTTCAAGGAGAACTACAAACCACTGCTCAATGAAATAAAAGAGGATACAAACAAATGGAAGAACATTCCATGCTCATGGGTAGGAAGAATCAATATCGTGAAAATGGCCATACTGCCCAAGGTAATTTATAGATTCAATGCCATCCCCATCAAGCTACCAATGCCTTTCTTCACAGAATTGGAAAAAACTACTTTAAAGTTCATATGGAACCAAAAAAGAGCCCGCATCGCCAAGTCAATCCTAAGCCAAAAGAACAAAGCTGGAGGCATCACGCTGCCTGACTTCAAACTATACTACAAGGGTACAGTAACCAAAACAGCATGGTACTGGTACCAAAACAGAGATATAGATCAATGGAACAGAACAGAGCCCTCAGAAATAACGCCGCATATCTACAACTATCTGATCTTTGACAAACCTGAGAAAAACAAGCAATGGGGAAAGGATTCCCTATTTAATAAATGGTGCTGGGAAAACTGGCTAGCCATATGTAGAAAGCTGAAACTGGATCCCTTCCTTACACCTTATACAAAAATTAATTCAAGATGGATTAAAGACTTAAACGTTAGACCTAAAACCATAAAAACCCCAGAAGAAAACCTAGGCATTACCATTCAGGACATAGGCATGGGCAAGGACTTCATGTCTAAAACACCAAAAGCAATGGCAACAAAAGCCAAAATTGACAAATGGGATCTAATTAAACTAAAGAGCTTCTGCCCAGCAAAAGAATCTACCATCAGAGTGAACAGGCAACATACACAATGGGAGAAAATTTTCACAACCTACTCATCTGACAAAGGGCTAATATCCAGAATCTACAATGAATTCAAACAAATTTACAAGAAAAAAACAAACAACCCCATCAAAAAGTGGGCGAAGGACATGAACAGACACTTCTCAAAAGAAGACATTTATGCAGCCAAAAAACACATGAAAAAATGCTCATCATCACTGGCCATCAGAGAAATGCGAATCAAAACCACAATGAGATACCATCTCACACCAGTTAGAATGGCAATCATTAAAAAGTCAGGAAACAACAGGTGCTGGAGAGGATGTGGAGAAATAGGAACACTTTTACACTGTTGGTGGGACTGTAAACTAGTTCAACCATTGTGGAAGACAGTGTGGTGATTCCTCCAGGATCTAGAACTAGAAATACCATTTGACCCAGCCATCCCATTACTGGGTATGTACCCAAAGGATTATATATCATGCTGCTATAAAGACACATGCACACGTGTGTTTATTGCGGCACTATTCACAATAGCAAAGGCTTGGAACCAACCCAAATGTCCATCAATGATAGACTGGATTAAGAAAATGTGGCACATATACACCATGGAATACTGTGCAGCCATAAAAAAAGGATGAGTTCATGTCCTTTGTAGGGACATGGATGAAGCTGGAAACCATCATTCTGAGCAAACTATCGCAAGGACAGAAATCCAAGCACCTCATGTTCTCACTCATAGGTGGCAGTTGAACAATGAGAACACTTGGACACAGGGTGGGGAACATCACACACTGGGGCCTGTCATGGGGTGGGGGGAGGAGGGAGGGATAGCATTAGGAGATATACCCAATGTAAATGACGAGTTAATGGGTGCAGCACACCAACATGGCACATGTATACATATGTAACAAACCTGCATGTTGTGCACAGGCACACTAGAACTTAAAGTATAATAATAATAATAATTAAAAAAGTGGTAAAAAACTAAAAACTAAAAAATAAATAAATAAAATAAGTTATTAGAAGAAAAAAGCAAAAAAAAAAAAAAACAGCCCTAGCTGATGGTAATTTTCTTTATAGTATTTCTGTTTTCAATTTCATTTATTTCTATTAAAATATTTATTATGTTTTAATTTTTTTCTTCATATTTAATTTAATATTCCCTTTCTAGTTTATTAAGGTGGGAGCTTAGATTATTGGTTGTATATCTTATTTTTAATGTATGCAATCAATGCTATAAATTTTCCTCTAAGCACTGCTTTGCTGCATCCCACACATTTGATAAGTTGTGCTTTTTGTTTCATTAGAAATATTTTTAAATTTTTCTTGAGATTTCTTCTTTGACCTATTAGTTATAAGGGTGTTGTTTATTATCTAAGTATTTCGAAGTCTTCTTGCTATCTTTTTGTTATTAATTTCTACTGTAATTCCATTGTTGTCTGCAAGTATACATTGTATGATTTTCATTTTTTTATATTTGTTAATGTGTGTTTTATGGCTCAGAATGTTGTCTATATTGGTAACTCTTCCACGTGAGCTTGATCAGAATGTGTTGGATAAAGTAGTCTATGAATGTTCATGATGTTTAGTGGATAGATGATGCTGTTTCACTATGCACTTGATGGTTTTCTTTTTTCTATATCTGTCTATATCTGATGTGAGTGTTAAAGACTTCAACTAAAAAAATGGATTAATCTAGTCTCCTTGAAACACTGAGTTTTTACCTCTTGCATTTTGATACTCTGTTCTTTAGGTGCACACACATGAAGAATCCTCATGTCTATTCAGAGAATTGACCCCTTTATCATTGTGTAATTGTCCTTATCTTTGGTAATTTCCTTGCACTGAAGTCTGCTCTGTCTGAAATTAATACCACTACTCCCACCTTTTTTTTTTTTTTGAGACGGAGTTTCGCTGTTGTTACCTGGGTTGAAATGCAGTGGCGTGATCTTGGTTCATTGCAACCTCTGCCTTTGGTTTCAAGCGATTCTCCTGTCTCAGCCTCCCGAGTAGCTGGGATTACAGGCGCCTGCCACCACACCCGGCTAATTTTTCATTTTTTTAGTAGAGACGGGGTTTCACCATGTTGGCCAGGATGGTCTCGCTCTCTTGACCTCGTGATCTGTCCGCCTTGGCCTCCCAAAGTGCTGGGATTACAGGCATGAGCTACCATGCCTGGCCATTAAATTTAGAATTAAGACCAGAAATCAGGACAAATGTCCACTAATTAAAGCTCAGATGGAGCATTCAGATAAGGCATTATGACAAGTTAGGGCACAGATGATAAGAGATTTTGATCTAATTATTCTCAGAATCTTCTGTCACAGATATAAAATAATTATAACCTACGGAAGACATGAAGACACATTCCTGCCCCCACATCCAATAAGTAGGGTCATAACTATTTCATTACCCTTCCCCTCTGTTTCCACCCATAACTCCAATTCCCAGAAATAAAGTAGAAAATAAGAAAAAAACAGGTTTGGGGGATTTGGAAACAGGAAGGTTAGAACCATGGATGTAAAGAAGGACGCTGGAGAGACTGAACTGGAAAATACCGTGGAAATAATGCAGTCTAGGCTTAGAGTGTGTTTTCTCTTTCTAGCAATAAAAACCACACTTCTGGTGGCTCACGCCTGTAATCCCAGCCCTCTGGGAGGCCAGGGAGGGTGGATCACCTAAGATCAGGAGTTCGAGAGGAGCCTGGCCAGTATAGTGAAACCCCATTTCTACTAAAAATACAGAAATTAGCCAGGTGTGGTGGCACACAACCTGTAGTCCCAGCTACTCGGGAGGCTGAGGCAGGAGAATTGCTTGAACCCGGGAGGCAGAGGTTGCAGTAAGCCGAGATCATGCCACAGCACTCCATCCTAGGTGACAGAGCAAGATTCTGTCTTAAATAAATAAATAAATAACATAACCAATAACCACAATTTTAGTGAAGATCATGCCCATTATTATAAATTTTCCTTTAAAGCAAGAAAATGTATACCTATTAGAGGATTTAAATTGCTAGAAAAATACCTAGAGATTACACACATTAACCCAGTTATTCTTGTCATAAAACACTTAAAAAGTGATCACATTTGTTTATCACTCCAGAGTAAGTTTTGGAAAATACTTGAGAGCAGAGGCAATGCCCAAATCTCCCTGGCCAAGGTAAAAGCTCTTCTAGGCAATTTTTTATTCGAGTAGGAAATAAAAACTGTGTTGCTAGTTTATTTAGAAAGTGACAAAAATGTAAGCACTATGCATATAATTCTATGTATTATAGGGAATTAGTTACATAGCTAGGACTTTTCTCAAGGGAAAACTCTTGGCATATTTTTAACATTTAATAATTATATGAATATAGATGAAATATTTTAAAATATTAACAAATAGAACATCAGTATATTAAAAGAGTGGCATGTTATTCTCCAAATCAGAACCATTTTATAATAGTAATACAATAAATACTACTTATTATGCTAAATTTTTTTCTTACATATGCTGGACACTTGTATATGTACCTCACTTGTATTAATCCATTTAAAATTTAAAAGATTGGCCAGACACAGTGGCTTACACCTGTAATCCCAGAACTTTGGGAAGCGGAGGCAAGAGGATCACTTGAGGCCAGGAGTTTGAGACCAGCCGTTTGAGACCAGCCTGGGCACTATAGCAAGATCCTGTCTCTCAAAATTTTTTTTTTTTAAAAGAAAAAAATTTTAATGTAAAAGATTCCTAAGTGGAGTTGATGTTATCTCTAATGAACAATGAAATGAACAGAGATATAAGAGATACAGATAATTTTAATAACTTGTCCACAGGTGCACAGTCCAGGAACATCAGTAATCTAATAAACATTATATAAAGTCAATAGCTGCCCAAAAAGCTCTTAACAAAACTTTGGCAACTATTCTCAGTGCACTTTATGAGATCACTGTTAGAGGGGCACTTTTATAGAAAACACTGTAAGCTCATACCCAACACTCCGTGTGTTTTCTATACCTTCCACTTCCCCTTAGTCCAGGCAATGCGATTAAGTAGAAGTAATTTTTAAAAATCCCTTCCAGATTTGGCCCTTAAAATAATCTACACATAGGATTCTCTAACTTCTCTAACTTCTTCACTGCCTGATAACCTTTGAGAAGTTGTGTTCCAGGTGATGTAGCTACATGATGGTGAGGAGCTGCGGGACTGACCTTGGACTGTTTTTGAGTGGGTTTATTGTGTTAAACCACTGAAATTACAGAAGCTTTTCTTTTTTTTCTTTTTTTTTTTTTGAGACGGAGTCTCGCTCTGTTGCCCAGGCTGGAGTGCAGTGGTGCGATCTCGGCTCACTGCAACCTCTGCCTCCCAGATTCAAGCAATTCTCTGCCTCAGCCTCCCGAGCAGCTGGGATTACAGGCACCCGCCATCACGCCCAACTAACTTTTGTATTTTTAGTAGAGGCAGGGTTTCACCATCTTGGCCAGGCTGGTCTTGAATTCCTGACCTTGTGATCCACCCTCCTCGGCCTCCCAAAGTGCTGGGATTACAGGCGTGAGCCACCGCGTCCAGCCTCAAAAGCCTTTTTATTTCAGCAGTTAGAGGTAATTTCTTGGACAAATACAGTGAAAAACTACATCAATAAAACAAATATAAGAAAAAATTATGACTATCTCAAACTAATATTCAGTAGCATTATTAATGAGAATCACAAGATATATTACTTGACCGGCAGTAACAAAACAGAAATGCCAGCTATTTTTCAGAATACAAAGTAAAATAAACAGAAACATCTCTAAAGATTTCTTTTGCAATAGTAATAACTATTCAGGAAATATAAAGGAAGAAGAATCCCAATGTATTAACAGTAACATGCATATAGAATATTTAGAAATAAGCTAACAAAAATGTTCATGTTGAAGATGGAAAATAATATGACAAGATGTTACTATGCTGAATATAGGTGAAAGTGGGAAGAAAGAGGTGTACTATATTAGTCAGGGTCCCAGAGGAAAACAGGTGTCTACGCTAATCGGATAATTAAGAATTTAATGAAAAGACTAATTAAAGTATGGGAAAGTAAGGGGCACAAACACAAGTGTAAGAAACAGTGATGCACTCTGGGACTTGCAACACCAGGAAGCTGTTACCAGCTCTAGGCCTGAGGAGCATGGGAAAAACAAACAAACAAAAAACAAAAAAAAAAACAATTTACAAAACAAGGGGGGCACTGAGAAAAGTGGCTAACAAAACAACCTGTTATCTCAGGGGTTCAAGACCACCCTGGCCAACATGGCGAAACCCCATCTCTACTAAAAATACAAAAATTAGCCGGGTGCAGTGGCTTGCACCTGTAATCCCAGCTACTCCGGAAGCTGAGTCAGGAGAATTGCTTGAACCCAGGAGACGGTGGTTGCAGTGAACCAAGATTGCGCCATTGCACTTCAGCCTGGGCAACAGAGCAAGACTACATCTCAAAAAAAAAAAAAGGCCATTATCAGGAAAGCTGGGATATAAATCTCACTTCCCTCCCACCTCCCAGTCCTTGTCAGACCTGTACATGGGCTGCACCTAATTGAGAGTTGGAGGGCAAGGGAACTCGTGAGTATATTAATAAAAACTAGCTTCCTGGACATATAGCAGAATGCAAAAGGGTAAAAAATAAATCTGGGTGGGTAAATGTGATGGAATACTATACTGTTTCCCTAAATTGGAAGTTGAATGAAAAAAATGTCAGTAGTCCCACCATCATTTATAGATTTAATATGATTCCTTTTATAATACTAATAAGAATTGGGGACACATTATGAAATAATCCTTAAGTTCATCTGGAAAAATAAAGAGGTTAAAAATGATAATAATAAAACAAAAGACTGGCAATAATGGGGGAATTATTTTTACATATACATACATATAATAATAAAAGTCATTTGTACAAGTTTATACACATACATGTAAATTAATAGGATCAAATGAATGACTTCATCTCCAACACAATCATTTGCATGCATGGATAACTACATTTGTGTGTATGAAACAAGAGCTAACCTAGAGACACCTGGGAAGGCTAGACACTTGTCAGATTGTTTTTCAGACCTACATACTTAGTCTGTTTCTGTTGCTCTAACAGAATGTTACACACTGAGTAGTATTTAAATATATATATATATATATATATTTAATATATATTAATATAAATATATATATTTGTAGTTCTAGAAGCTGGGAAGTCCAAGGTCGAAGGTCCACATCTGGTGAGGGCCTTCTTACAGCATCATAACATAGTGGAAGGCATCACATTTTCAGAGGGCAAGAGCAGGCAGGCTAGTTCAGCTCTCTCTCTCTCCCTTTTTTTTTTTTTTTTTTTTTTTTTTGAGATGGAGTCTCTCTGTCTCCCAGGCTGGACTGCAGTGGCACAATCTTTGCTCACTTCAACCTCCACATCCCAGGCTCAAGTGATTCTCCTACCTCAGCCTCCTGAGTACTTGGGATTACAGGTGTGTGCCACCACATCCAGCTAAGTTTTGTATTTTTAGTAGAGATGGGGTTTTGCCACATTGGCCAGGCTGATCTCAAACTCCTGACCTCAGGTGATCTGCCCACCTTGGCCTCCCACAGTGCTCAGATTACAGGCATGTGTCACCATGCCCAGTCCCTCTCTCCTCTTCTTATAAAGCCACTATGCCATCATGAGGGCCCCCACACACATGACCTTAATTCTAATTACCTCCAAAAGCCCCCACCTCCAAATACCATTAACATACGCATTTGGGGATTAAGTTTCCAGCACATGAACTTTGGGAGGACACATTCAAACCATAGCATTCTGCCTCTGGCCCCAAAATCCATGTCTTTCTCACATGCAGAATACATTCATTTCATACCAATAGCCCCAAAGTCTTAACTCATTCCAGCACCAACTCAAAAGTCCAAAGTCTCACCTAAATCATGAATGAGTGAGACTGAAAGCACAATTTATTCTGAGATGAATTTCCTTCAGCTGCGAGCCTGGGAAGTCAAACAAATTATGCTCAAAATACATTAGTGGGACAGGCATGGGATAGAAATTTCCATTCCAAAAGGGAGTAATAAGAAGAAATGAGTAACAGGCTCCAAGTAAGTCCAAAACCCAACAGGGTGAACAACATTAAATCTCATACCACTTCCTGGTTGGAGTGGGGATGGGCCCCCACTGCCTCAGGCAGCCCTGCCCCTGGGACTTTGCTGGGTTCAGCCCATGCTTCCGCTTTCCCAGGGTGGATTTACATGCTGGTAGCTCTATACTTCTTAGGTCCTGGTGGTGGTCCCACTCCAATGGCTCCATTTGGCATTTCCCTGGTAGGAACTCAGCATGGCAGCTCTGCCCCTGCAGCAGGTTTCTGCCTGGGCCTGAATGCTTTCTATGACAGGTTTTGGAATCTAGATGGAGGAAACTGTGCCTCCGTAGCTCTTGCATTCTGCACTCCTGCAGTATTAGCTCCACATGGACACTGCTAAGGCTTATGGCTTAGGCCTTCTGCAATGGTGGTCTGAACTGCAACTGGGGCTGCCTGAGCCACAGCTGGGGCTAAAAAGTGCTGCACCAGAATGCAGTGAGCAGAGCTCTGAGGTGGCACAGGGCAGTGAGACATGGAGGGATCCCCTGGCCAGACCCGCAAAACCATTTTGCCCTCCTAGAGCTCTGGGCCTGTGAGGGGCCATATCGATGATCTCAGAAATGCCTTCAGGACTGTTTCCCCTTTTTCTCAATGATTAGCACCTGGTCCCTTCTATTCCTGCTCATCTCTAGTGACCAGTCACTCAGCCACACCCTTGCTGTGTTCTCCCTAACTTGTTTTTCTGTTCTTCACATTGCCAAACTGTGAATTTTCCAAATTTTTATACTTGGCTTCCATTTTAATTATTATTCTGCTTGAAATCATCTCTTTGCTCCCATATCTCACTGTAAGCATTCAAGAACAGCCATGCAGTATCCAGAACACTTTGTGGCTTAGATTTTTTTTTTTTTTTGGCCCAGCTCACCACTCTTAGGTTCCACCTTCCATAATGTCCTAGGACATGGACATAATGCAGCCAAGTTCTTTCCTGCTTTATAACAAGGATGACCTTTATTTCTATCTGAGACCTTGTTAGAATGGCCTTTCCTGTACACATTTCTACTAGCATTCTGGTCATGACTACTTAAGTGCTCTCTAATAAGTTCCTGACTTTCCCTCATTTTCTTGTCTCTTATGAATCTTCACAAGAATTACCCCTAATCCTCTGCTTCTGCCACTATGCAACACGCTTTTCTGAGCCTGTTGCTTCACATTCTTCCATTTTCTACCCATTACCCAATACCAAACTACCTCCAAATATTCAGGAATTTTTATAGTGACAATCCCACATCTCAGTACCAATTTTCTGTCTCAGTCCATTTTCTGTTGCTATAACTGAATAGCACAGATTGGGTAGTTTATTTTTAAAAATAGATGTTTATTTAGCTCATAGTCTTGTTGTCACCAAGTTCAAAAGCATGGCACCAGCACCTGGCAAGGGCCTCTGTGCTGCACCATACTATAGCATGAGGTGTTCTCATGGTAGGCAGGCATGGGTGCATCTGCTCATGACTTTATTCCTCTTCTTATAAAGCCACCAGTCTCATCATGGGGTCTCAGCCTAATGACCTTATGTTATCCTAATTGCTGCCCAAAGGCCCCATTTAGTCCCACCTCTTAATAGTATCACAAAGACAACTGAATTCCAACATGAGTTTTGGAGAAGGCACTCAAACCATAGCAGTACTCATACACTCATACCCTTTCATCATATGTAAGAATATTGCAATTATTTCATCTTTAAATCTGATTGTGGGGAAGATCTATTTCTGACACATGGAAAATCCATGTCCCAGTCTCTAAGATAAGAACCAAGTCCCAGGGATTTTCTTTTAAGTCAGCGTCTCTGCTCATATTATAATTTCATTCAGTGGATATGTATTCCTAAATCTACTTTCAATTTAACTGATATTCCCCCAAGATGGATTCAGATAAAAAGCTGGGCCTTATGGGACAGGATTCCTTCATGAATTCAGCACTAATTTTCTCCTCCTGTCACATCTTCTGCAGATATACGGAGAGAGCTTTAATATAGCATCCTCCATGCTGCCATCTGGGGAAATTCTTAATCAACACACCCTCCCAGACAAATGGGCCATCAAGTGTTTCACAGATGGATGGGACAGTCAGGCCGCCCCGAATTAGTGGGCTTGGCTTATCTGGTTTTTTTCTCTATTATTTCTGTTCCCCTTTTTGCAGTCTCTTTGCTGTAATTGAATTATGCTTATAACTCACGTCTTTTATGAGCATAGCTCAAACACACCTTACTGGGGACAAAGCTGCTAGTACTCAGCATGAATAGGTGTTTTGAAGCCAAAGAAGCACGCATTTCTGTCCTTAAAAATTCTTACAGTGCTATTCTGATGGGGAGACAGTCTGAAATATATATAGGTAGGCCAGATTTCAAGAGAGGAGATAGAGTAATTTGGAAACTTAAGCATTTTGGTGCCTCTCTAAAAGGGACAAGGATGCCATTCTACACAACTCTGGAGAGCATGGCGACATTTCATTCTTTGCCCCTAGCAAACTTAGAACATGGCGCCCTGGAGAGGCTCACATTCACTTAGAAAAAAATACAATAGTGAGCATACTTTTAAACTGCTCTTTTTATAAGACTCAACATATACTCAGAAAAATTCCAGTTGGGATCTGTGGAAGAGAAAAAGTTTCTGCAAAATTGGAGAAAATGTGTAGCACAGTATTGTCACTATGTGTGTGCAAGTGAAATGTAAGTGCTTTAGTAAAGTTCTTAAGCTCACCCTCCTCTATGTCTACCTTCAGGACTCAGCCATCTCTGAGCATAAACACATGAAAATATATGCTAACTCGTATGAAATTCAATATGAATATTTGAGAGCTTTCTGGGGCTGGGTGTGGTGGCTCATGCCTGTAATCCCATTACTTTGAGAGGCAGAGACAGAAGAATGGCTTGAGGCCAGGTATTCCAGACCAGCCTGGGCAACATAGCAAGGTCTTGTCTCTACTAAAAATAAAATTAAAAATAAAATTACCTATAATTGGTGGCTTGTGCCTCAAGTCCCAGCTGCTTGGGAGGCTAATGTGAGAGAATCACCTGAGCAAAGGAGCTCAAGGCTGTATTAAGCTATGATTGTGCCACTGTATTCCAGCCTGGGTGTTTTCAAAAAATAAAAATAGAAAAGAGTTTTCTGGGAAGGAAGAGATCCTAAATGAAGCCATCAGAAACAACTAGTTTGACTCAGCTGCAAAGGGTTTGCTAACGCAAGTGAGAAATAATTCTGAATACAGAATGAAGTCCAACTCCTGGGAAATTCTTTGGATTCTAGCAAGAGGACAAGAGACACAAGTAAACAGAGGTCAATGCCATGAGGATCATGTGAGATACAGGCACGCAAGCAGGATTAAGATGGGGCTAGAGAGGACCGCAAAGAAGATGAATCCATCCATTTCTTCACACACCACCCCCAAGACTGGGCTGCATCAGGGACCCAGCCTCCTAGTGATGCAGTTGGGAAGAGACCACAGTGCCTACTGAAACTGCAGTAACCGTTAGTGAGAGAAGGAAGAAGCAGGCAAGAGAATGTTGGTGTATTCAAAATAGACAACCTGTCAAAACTCCAAGGACTATGACGGGAACTTTTCAAGGAGCTGGGCCATGTGAGCATGTGGCTACCTGAGCTAGGAAGTCCATGCTATTACTGTCATTGTGACCCAGTCTGTACCAACTAGCTGGTCTGACCATGCAAGCACAGGGGATATACTACACAAAGCATTCCTCTTTTTATTGAGCCTCAAAAGAAACTGGAAACTGGTGTCTAGATCTCAATGGTGTGGAGATGAGAGCCAGATGAGTCCATGTCTCCCATCCCTTAGCCAGCACTGTCCATCTTGGAATGTTAAGCTGCAAGGGCAAATGATATCTTACTGTGGTCTTCTGACCCAGTATTCCACACCACATTTAAATATTGTCAGTGCCACTATTGATTTAGGCATGCAAAAATGAGATCCTTCAATTACAGAGAACAAACGTGCTGTATATAATGCATTTCAGAGATATTTATTGCAATTCTCATAGCAGGATCCTGATGGAGAACAAAGAAATTAAAGCTCAGAGCTACTTGAGCACTCTTCTCTTAAGAAACAGGGGATCTCCTACTTCCTGATGTCACTTGTTCTCTCTTCAGCTTCTTGACCACTGCATAGCCTAATCTGGTTGCCTGACACTTGTTAGATTCAGAGCTTCCTGCTAGCCACTGTGCAAAAAGAGAGGAACAATCCACACCAAGACAAGAAAACCTTGCTTAGGAGGAGAATGGAATGATTGCAAACACTATGAGAATAAAGACTACACCTGTTATATTTGTTGAAGTATTCCCACCATATGGTCCAGTGCTGAAACATGGCAGGCACTCAATGAGTTTTTAGTTTTTCACTCAAAATTAAATTAAAATAATGAGATGACCTTTATATCAGAGGTGAAAGGCTTAGTGAGTGGAAAGGAGGGAGAAACTAACTGTCTAGGTTGTGTGCATTGATGGAGAGTGGAAGACACTGGCAACTGAGTTGCAGACCTGGGCTGGAGCAAGTTGTCCTGACTCCTAACCAGTTGTCCATTCCCATGCACTGCACCACCCTGACTATGAACTTGGGTATGGAGGGC
Source organism: Homo sapiens (assembly GCF_000001405.40). NCBI lineage: Eukaryota > Metazoa > Chordata > Mammalia > Primates > Hominidae > Homo > Homo sapiens. The sequence continues at coordinate 28,819,538 of NC_000019.10, forward strand.
ATGGGTAGTGGTGGCTCCCCTCAGGTATCTCCAGGCCCTCTGCCCTCTGTGCTGGCAGTCCTGACTGTGAACTCAGGCATGGAGGGTGTGGGTAATGGTGGCTCCCCTCTGGGTATCTCAAGGCTCTCTGCCCTCCATGCTGGCAGTATTTGCCAGTGCAGGTGAGGGCATGGTGAATGAAGCCCCTCATATCAGAGTTTGACTTCAGATGGTAGATTTTGTGTGAGTGATGCAGCAGGCACACATTTTACTCATTTTAATTTTTTCAAGCTTTACTGAGGCATAATTCATAAATATAAATTATATATATTTAATGTGTACAGAGGGATGTTTTGATATATGTATATACTGTGAAATGATTACTGCCATCAAGCTAATTAACATAACCATCACCACATAGTTACCGTGTGTGTGTGTGTGTATGTGTGTGTGTGTGTGTGTGTGGTGAGATCACAAGATCTACCCTCTTAGCAAATTTCCAGGATGCAATACACTATTATACATTATAGTCACCAAGCTAGCTATACATAAGACCTCCAGAATGTATTCATCTCATAGCTGAAAGTATGTACCCTTCCACCCAAATCCCCCAATTTCCCTCACCCCCAGTCCCTGTCAACCTATTTTCTACTCTGTTCCTATGAGTTGGACTTCTTTAGATTTTACATATAAATGAGATCATGCAGTATTTGTCTTTCTGGGGAAGAGGTTTTAAAACCAACAACCTGTTCCAGTGACTCCCCTCCTTTGAGTGTGATGGTGACACCTTGCGTCAGTGACAGTCCTCACAGGGAGGCTGAGGCTGGGCCAGCTGGAAAGTGATGGTCAGTGAGGCACTGCGTGGGACTCCCTGAAACTGATACAACAGTTTCATACAGTTTCAGCAGTACATGCACACCTGGAGTTGCCACCAGATTCTCTTCCTGAACTGTGGGCTCCTTGTGGGGGTGGATGGTGAAGTCTCCTGGTCATTAAGCCCCTGCAGCCCCAGGGCAAGCTCCCCTCTGGGTGAGGATGGAGACTCAAGACTCAGTAGGGCAGAAATACATCTCCATTCCTGGGTTCCTGCAGCTAGCTTTCCCTCCTGGAAATGAGTTTGGGCTTCACCAGTTCACTCTTTGGCCAGCCAGGTTCCCTTGATATCTAACACATTCTCATCACAATGACTGAGGTGACAGTGGGACTTAATGTTTTCATCTTCCGTGCCCTTGTGACTGACAGTCATAAAAATGTTCATTCAAAGAAACTAGCCATGTCCTGTGCCTGACCAACCATGAGGCCTTCCAAGCCCCACCCAGGCATCACTGACTCCTTCCAGCTTCCTTTGCTCCCCAGGCTGAGTTCAGCCTCTGCCTGTCCTGTATTGCAGAGCACCTTGTCATCCCTCCTTCATGTAGCCTAGGTCTACCTGTTGGGGGCTAGAATTTTCTGGTCCTTATTATCTTTCTTCTTGGTCTTAATCCTATGACCAAGGTGAAAAAAGCAGTAGGAGAAGTTGAAAATTGAGTACATTGAAGCCTTGACCAGCTGGTAAACAGATTCTATCTTCCTTGATGCAGAATCAATAACCTACAACTTTAGCTGAATTTCTCAGGACAGCCTTCTCTGGGACCCATCTCTGTCCCCTAAAAATTTCAGAATGTTCTATCTTCTAGCCCAACTGAACCTGTGTGTGTGCTTTGCAGCTGTGAGGGCCATTGCCATGAGCACCTACCTGTGAAGTAGGCGTAATGCTGTTCCTTCCATCCTCATGGCCCCAGAATGTTTTCCCATTGGGCTGAGTTGAGCCCAGTTGAGTGGAACCACTTCTTCTATTCAAGCATCTTGGAATAGAGGTCTGAGGAATCCAGACTCTCCTTACTTGGCTCTGGGCTGCCTCCTCAGAGCTATTAGCCAAATTAATGGCACATCTATAACTGGCACAGCAGCTTGTGTCTGGGTTCTGGTATATTTATCTGGTAAATGTTCTGTAAAATCATATTATGAAATTAAAACAAGATCTTAATAAATCACAGTGTATGAGATTTACCAACAGGATTAAGAAGACATTTCTGGAGGCAGGAATTGTGCTTGTTTCCCAAAGGTATGCCTTGCTTGGTACTGCTAAATGCTGCACTGGGGTCCCTGGAGTGGCCGAGAGCCCTGTGGCTCTATAGCTCAGCAAGGGTGTCCTGGAGTTGATCCAAGTTGTGAAATGTTCCTTACATCTCCTTGATTGTCAAGCTCTCACTCCTCTCCACAGCTCAGCAAGGGTGTCCTGGGGTTGATCCAAGTTGTGAAATGTTCCTTACATCCCCTTGGTTGTCAGGCTGTCACTCCTCTCTGAAATACATCCAGCTCTTGACCACTTCTCCACCTGGTGCTCATGCTTTAGTTCAGGTCCTCAAAATGGATGATTCCAGCAGCCTCTTTACTCATCACCTATCACAACATCACACGGGCTCTGATTTATCACACACTCAGCCCTGTCATGATGTGCTTCCCCAAAGTGCACCCCAGCACCCCCAAGCCAGACACCTTCCAATCAGCCTCCTACCCCCACACTCACCTCCATATTTCTCTCTGTTGCTAGAGTACGTGAGGCACATCAGAGGTCGCCCTTGTCCTTAGGCTGTGGATTGGATTTAACTAACTGGGAGTTTGAGAGATGCAAGGAGACCAGAATGAGAAAGGAGGATGAATTCAGTATTTATTTTGCCACTGCTTTTCTGTGAGGCCATCTCAGCCTGGTTGTTTCCCTCCAACAAAGGTCAAAGCTCCTCTTAAAGAGGCCTGCTCTCCATGATTCTGTCCTTCTGATGCTAGAAATAACTTTCTCCCCAAATCCCTTTGGGCCTGATACGGTCACTAGAACCATGTTACTGCCCTACTTATGGGCTTGCTGAACACTCCTTGTTAAAAAGTGATAAAAGAAAAACTTCAGCTAAATTAAATTTAAAAGAGTTTAATTGAGCAATGAACAACTCATGAATCAGGCAGCCTCCTGAGCCAGAGTAGGCTCTGACACTCCAGAGCAACCACATGGTGGAAGATTAATGGGCAGCAAAGGAAAGTGATGTAGAGAAAATAGAAGTGAGGTACAGAGACATTTGGGTTGGTTACAGGTGTTTGCTTTATTTGAACACAGTTTGAACACTCAGCAGTGTATGAGTGGTTGAAGTATGGCTGCTTGGATTGGCTGAGACTCAGCTATTGTTACAGGTACATACTCCTAAATTAGGTTTTCAATCTCATCTACCTACTAAGTTAGGTTGTGGTTAGTCCACAGGGACTCAAATACAGAAGTAGGGAGTCCTTCTCAGGCCACATTTAGTTCGCTTTCACTATAATAGTCCGTTTATTGAATTGTCCCTTTCTTATTCTAATTAGAGTTGACCATCCTTTTCCTGACCAGCCTTCAACTAGCACACTTATCTTTCTAAAACCATTCAGGGTTTCACATTAAACTCACAAACATTTTTCTCAAAGAGCAGAGCCAGTCCAGGGAGACTCCCCAGGAAGGGAGCCTCACTCTTTTGGTTCCTGCAAATTTTCTGCCATAGCTCTTTGTTGGTTGAACCCAACTAGATGTTGGAAAACAGGGGTTTGTGAATGTCATAGACACAACATCCTTCCTCCTGGAGCAGGGGCAGGGAGAAGAGTGGAGAGGGGGCATGGGGGTGGGAATGAAAGGTAGCACAGAATGGTTCCTGACAGAGGCTTCAACCTCTGGGTGATGCTGAGGAATCCCCTCTGGGTGTGTCACATACAGCTGCAGGGGGAGGACACGTCTAGCAAGAGGAAGACATCTGGGATGCCGGACTTGGAGCAGTTATGCTCATGATGCAGGGAAGATTCGCAGAGATTCCATATTCGGTGGGAGGGGTTCCTTGAGATCTGAGAGAGGAGGACAGGTAGGTTCGGAGGGAGAAACCGCGGCTCACACTTTCATCAACTCGTGAGCTCTCAGTGCCTGAAGGCAGAGCACGTCTTCCCCATTAGTCATCAGCATTCAGAAGCAGAAAATCAGAGCTCGCCTCCCTCCTAGGTGTGTGATCAGCTGCCAGACCCTGAGAGGAGTGTTTCCTACCCAGGCCTTTTCTCCACAGATGTGCCTCCTTCCTTCTCCTTACCTTCCGTCTGTCTCTCTTTCCCTTTCTCTTACTATGTTTCTTTGTTTTCATTCTTCCCCTGCTCAGTGTGACTGTTGCGATAGTGATCTCTCCCAAACACAGGTCACTTGGGCCCCTTCCCACCTCTATCTTCACTCCATTCTGCAGAGCAATTCCTTCCAAAGCATCAAGCATGTTCAAATGCAAATTGCACATCCTAAGAACTCCCTTTTGTTCCTAAGGAATGAGCCCAACACCCCGGGGAGACCCTGAAGGCCCTTCTCTCCCTGGCTCCAGTCCTTCTTTCTAATCTCCTCCCCACCCCCATATCTCCCTGTGCACATTACACACACCCAAGCAGCTTGTAGGCCCTAGGGACGCCCTGTGTTTCCACCCCAAATGCTTTCACCAGGAGATTCCTTCCATAGAACGTCTCTTCCCATTTTTCCTCCTAGCCCAACCACCATTTCCTCTATGTAATTTTCACTTCACTTCTTTACCGGTGTTTTCCCAGCATTTCATATTAATCATTTTCTCCTCCATAATTTATAATGTCTTCTGTATTCTCTTTATTGGTCAGGAGTGACACCATCTTTACAGGACTCTAAGGGGAAAGTGAAAACAGAAAACTGCCTTTGCCTGGTCTCTCCTCCTCCCTCATAACTAATCAGCCATCCAGATCTCACTGATTTAGCCTCTAAAGATTTCTCAAATCTATTCCTCTCTCCCTTCCTACCGCCATTGCCCTACTTCAGATGCTTGTCATTTCTCTCCCAGAACATCGCAACAGCCTTAAAATTGGCTTCCATGCCTCCGGTCTTTCTCCTCTTCAATGTATTTTCCATTCTGCAGTCACTCTGTACTCTTCCAATCTGTCTAAAACACACATCTGACCTTGTCCCTCCCCAGCTTAAAACACCTTCAACTGAGGAATACAGTCTAAGTTCCCTGGCCCAGATATGGCCAGAGCCCCATTCTCCAGCCTCATGGTTGACACCTGTGCTTCCACTGCTCCCTCCTGAGCACGTGGTGTCCAGTGCAGCCCAGGACATACCTCTCCCATCTGTCCTCTTGGTATATGAGGTCCCTGTGCAGGAAATGCCTCTCACTCTCCAACACACACACACACACACACTCAACACATGTTCATTCACACACAGTCTTGTTGGCTTGGTGAACTCCTTCTCGGCCTTCAAAACTCACTTCCATTCTTGCTCCACAGTCTACTCCTAACTGGCCGTCTGTAGCATAGGGATCTCCAAACTACAGCCCCCCGGTCAAATCTAGGCTAACTGCTTGTTGTTTTTGTAAATAAAATTTTACTGAAGCCAGGCACAGCGCCTCATCCCTGTAATCCCAGCTTTTTGGGAGGCCAAGGCAGGAGGATCATTTGAGCCCAGGAGTTTGAGACTGGCCTGGGCAAAAGAACAAGATCCATTTCTACAAAAAAAAAAAAAAGAAAGAAAGAAAGAAAAGAATTAGCTGGGCATGTTGGTGTGCACCTGTAGTCCCAGCTACTCGGGAGGCAGAGGCCAGAGGATCACTTGAGCTCAGAAGTTCGAGGCTGCAGTGAGCTATGATCACACCATTTCACTCCAGCCTTGGTGACAGAATGATTCTGTCTCTTAAAAAAGAAAGTTTTATTGAAACACAGCATGACTTTCATTGGTATATTATCTGCAGCTGCTTTTGCACTACCCTTGCAGAGTGGAAAAGTCGAGACAGAGACCATAAATATTTATTCTACAGCTGTTTAAGGAAACTTCTCTTTATATAAATATATTTAACCTTTATATATATATATATACACACACACACACACACACACACACATATATACACATATATATACACACATGTATATTTGAATATTTGAAGAAATCTGAGAAATATAATTTTGAGTGAAAAGCAAATTTCACAGTGATAGTCACAGCACGCACACAGCTTCTGCACATGTGAAAGCATACACAAATCAGCACTTGTAAATAAAAACATACATATAATACAAAAATTTACAAATAGACTGAAAGATACACATTAAATACATGGCAATTATTTTCTCTGAAGAGAAGAAAGGAAAAAATTTAGGCTTGTTGCCAAAGGGCTTTAGCTTTATTTTTAATCTATTTATTTTAAAAAGACTGGATGTAAATATGACAACCTATTAAAAACTGATCATTTGGGGCAGGCACGGTGGCTCATGCCTGTAATCCCAGCACTTTGGGAGGCCGAGGTGGGCAGATCACGAGGTCAGGAGTTCAAGACCAGCCTGCCCAATATGGTGAAACCCCCTCTCTACTAAAAAATATAAAAATTAGCCGGGCGTGGTGGCACATGCCTGTAGTCCCAGCTACTCGGCACACTGAGGCAGAAGAATTGCTTAACTCGGGAGGTGGAGGTTGCAGTGAGCCAAGATCATGCCACTGCACTCCATCCTGGGCGACAGAGTGAGACTCCGTCTCAAAAACAACAACAACAACAAAAAACTGATTATTTGGGATAGTGAAAATAAGGGCACTTATTGTTTTAGTTTTTTGCTTTCATATTTTCAGAGTTCTCAACATAAAAACAAACCTTTCTTCAGATATCACCCCCGTTCAGCCCTTCTCCACTCCTTAATTTCCACATGGAGATACTGGCCCCTCTCCCACACTTTCCTTCATTCCTTCCACACACTGAAGTGTGATATGATCAAGGCAGTTGTCAACATTGTCACTTGTATGATTGTCTTTCTCATTGGAATGAATGTGAGCTCACTGAGGACAAGTACGATTTTGAATTTATGCCCTAGTGCGTGTCCGAATATGTTTGAGATGAGTTTACCTCTCTTATGCCTGCAACAAAATTTTATTTTGTTTAAAGGGTAGTTATTTTTTTCTTACATCTCCCTAATTAGCCAAGAGCTCCTTGGGGCCAGGGATATGTTCTTACTGTCCTCTCAGTCCCTGTGGCCCGGCATCCAGCTATCACTCAAGGAAGGTGGAAATGCGGGATCAGGACCCAGGGCTTGGCTCCAGACAGCCCATCTCCAGTAGAGGCACAAGCAGTGGGCCCAGCTTTAACTTCCGTAACTGCCCAGGATGAGAACAGACAGGGAGCAAACTGAGTAATGGACTAAAAAGCAAGGAACTTGGAGAGAAGGTTAGAGGAGATCAGATTGTTTACCCAAAGCAGAGACTCAAAGGCAAGTGCACAAATCTCTGCCACATGCCCTTAATTTGTCTACTGCTCTCTGGCCACTGTCTCTGTTTTTTGTTTTTTTTTTTACTGGTTCCCTCTCCATACATGACCATGAACCACTAGCATAAGGAGGTGACTGTCAAAGTGTGGTCTCAGATCAGCAGCAGCAGGGTCACCCGGGAGCTTGTCAGAAACGCAAATGCTGGGGCCGACCCCAGAAACCCTGCTACACAGTTTGGTCCCCAGCCTTCCCCCTCTATGGCCTACCTTCACCTCTCACCTTGGGCAAATCCACAGTCTCCCAAATAATCCATTACTGTCCGGCACTGAGATCTGTAAATTCAGGGCTCTAGCACAGACTCACCCTTGAACTCCGGTCATGCCTGAGCAACCCTCTGCCCCCACTTAGCATCTCTGCTTAGAGCTCCTGAAGGCCCTGCTGACTACCACGTCCTGGGTGTGAACTACCCCCAAATCTGGCCCTCGATCCAGCTGCGTAACATTGTCTTCCATCTATATAACTTATCTGGAAAGCTCTACTATTTTCTCACCCTGTTCCCTTCCTTAATCCACCACCAATCCCCGGATATTTTACATTCTACGTGTCTGTTACATCCACCCACCCCTGTGATAACCATGGCACTTCTGTCTCAGGGATATTTAAACATGAAAAGGGATCCTGTTTTTCCACTTAACATGGCACTACCAGACCTTGCACAGCCTGACCATGCTCCTCTGACCTCACCGGGCGACAGCCTCTCCCTTGCTCTTTGAGGCCCAGGAACACTGCTCAGCTTCTCAAACAGGCCATGCTTGTGGGCGTCACGAGGCCTCTATGCGTGCAGCCCCTTCCCTTGGCACTGTCTTTTTACCCCAGCCCACCTTCACCTATATTTATTCCTACTTGCCTTTCGTAGCTCAGTTGTAGGATCCTCTTGGGGGAGACTTTCTGTCTGGGCATATACTTTTTGTTTGTTAGTTTTCTATAGCTGCAAAACAAGTTACCACAAACTTAGAGACTTAGAGCGAGACCCATTTACTGGCTCACTCTTATCTTAGGGTAAGAGTTTGGGCACCGCATGGTTGGGTCCTCTGCTTCGGGGTCTCACAAGGCTAAAATCAAGGTGCCAGCTGGGTGCTCCTTTCTGGAGACTCTGGGAAGGAATTCACTTCCAAACTCCTTCAGATTGTTGGCCAAATTCAGTTCCTTGTGATTATTTTTTCTTGTGAGCTGTCAGCCAGGGGCGCTCTCTGCTCCTAGAGGCCATCTCTATTCTTTCCTACCTTGTCCCCTTCATCTTCCAATCCAGGAACAAACAATCTCCCTCACATCAAATTCCACCCAAGCTTTACATCTCCATCTCCAGGGAGAATCCTGGTTTTTTTTTTAAGTGTTGCCTGGTTAGAACAGGTCCACTGAGGATAATTCTTGTATCTTAAGATCAACTGATTTTTGGGAACTTAATTACATCTGTAAAATCTGTGACACCAACACATAGATTCTTGTTTGACTGAATAACATGGAGAAGGTGTATACATGAGAAGGGGATCTTGGTGGCCACCCGAGAATTCTGCTGATCACACAGTCTTCTGACGTTTGATTCACAGCAGTCTCCTCCACCACCTTTCTAACTTTATCTCCACTGAGCACCCTTCGCCCACACTGGGCTGGAGGTTTCTGTCTCTGTGCCTTTGCTCACGCTGGCGCCTCTCTCTGGAATGCCCTCCTCTGTCATCTTTGCTTAACACCACCCCAGTCCCTCCTGTCCCCTCTTCTCTGTGTCCCTGTAGCACTCGTCACATCTAGGACAAAGCACTAGCACCGTCCAGCATGGAGTCACTGCTGCTGAGCTCATTAGCCCTGGTCAGCCTGGCAGCAGGTGGAGGACAGGAAGTGGTGCTCATTCCTCGTGGCCTGAGCCCACGGCACCCAGGCCATGGTGGGGTGCAGGTTAGATGCTCCATACGTTACAGAGTGAACTGAAGGAAGTGAAACCTGGAGACCTGCAGAGTGACTGCTGAGAGGAGGATGAGAGGAGAAAAGGGAGAGGGAAGTGGAGGATAATTACAGGAGAAGGCTCGGGACCTCCCCTACTATCTGCACATGGCTTTCGCTCCACTCACAAAAGGTCAGTAAAGCCGGTGCCACTGGAAGTCTTGGATAAGCTACCTAGGGTGGGGCTGAGGGGCTGCTTTTAGAGTGGGGGCCCCATTCTCCATGTCACACTCATTGACCCTCACAAAGGATCAGGCAGTCTGCAGAACAGACACAAGTTTGGATTTTAAAAATATTTATGCACAATAAGGTTCAAACTTTTAAAGCTGATATATATAGTTTAGCTAAAGTTCAAGTAGCTATGCAGAGAAAGAAAGGACATGATCCATGTCCCAGAAATTATCCAAGAAAATGTGAGTGGTGGTTTACATGTTTGGATTTGGGGAGAGATCGTTTGGGTTCAGGATGGGCAGGGCAGTGCCTTTTCTCTGGGAGCCTGCCTGGTGACCCTGAGGACAGGACCATCTAGAATGCTAAGAGAAACCCTCCTCATACCAGTGGGGATCTGAGGTCTCACAGAACATGAAGACCATGGTGGCAGAGGCTGGGCAAGCTCCTAGGCTGGGACTTGTCCACACATCCCCTGATAGGAGCATCATCACAAAGCAAAGCAGCTGCACCCACAATAAGTAGTCCCCAGGCATTTGTCCTGCTTTCCTTTGCTTGTGTGGTTGCAGGAGATATGCAGACTGCACTTTCAGGGAAGAGGGTGAGGTTGAAGGGAAGAGCAGTGCTGGGGTGAAAAGAGCACCAGACAGGGAGGAGGCAAGCTGAGGTCCAGCCCTCCCAGTCCTGACTAAGTAACTCAAGGTGAGCAGCTAATAAAATAGTGCAGCCAGCGTTAGAAAAAAACCAGACATCTTATTGTGTGAAATTATTTCTATTATCATAGACTAGAATCCATAAGCTTTAAAATTTTTAATTGCCAAAAAATTCTAATGGAAAAGGTATAGAAATGCTGAAATGTCTACTTTTGACTGTCATTTACCACTTCAGCATGGCGATGGCAATGGCTTTCGTGTATTTAGTCCCTCAACTCACTGTGCAGTTGCTTTGCAGAGGCAGCAGTCATCCTGCCAGCTCTTGGCCTTCCCTGCCACCCAGCAGAGTGCCTGCTGCCCAGTCGGGTCATCTGGCAGCCACAGCAGAACTCGCTACTCTTGGAAAATTGCTTCCCATACTCTAATGTGCCCTGTTGGCATCTGTGGAGACCTGGACCCCAAAAAACTGTTCAAGACTGACCATAAAAGATTTAGAGCTGGAGATATTACTTTGAAAATACTTCCTAATATATAAATTATCCGGAAACGGGCTCCATGCCTGCTCATTAGGGCAATGTTTTAACTTGGCTTCCATCCTAGAGTATTATCGGTCCCCACAATTAAACTAAAATATAAGTGAGGCTTTCATGGGGTGGGAAAGAAGGGAGTTTGAAATATCAATTGGTTCAGGATGCCTATGAATATATATTTTCCAGTGGTGGTGCTTGACTCTCAAAGCCAGGTCCTGGCAGCTGAGCCTGGCCAATAGCATTGGCTTTGTTCTGCGATGGCAGTGGTGAGACTGGTAGGATTCTTTATTTCTTTTATAGAAAATCAAGGTAATGATTAGAGCAGTCACTGGAGTGACTGAATGCTTCTTTGTGCTGGGAACTATACTAAATTATTTAAAGGGATTAACTTTTTCAGCTGTCGAAATGAACATATGAAATGGGTCTTATTAACAGACCCAGAAACTGAGGCAAAAAGCTAAAGACATTTCCTTTAGTCCAGGGCCACAAACCAGCAGCTCAGAGGGAATTTGGACATAGACTTTTCTTTTTTCTTTGGCCAAAATAGAAATAACAACGTGTGTGTGTGTGTGTGTGTGTGTGTGTGTGTTTGTGTGTATGTGTGTTTGTCTGTGTGTGTGTGTATTTTTCTATCTTTATCTCTATTTCTATCTCTTTCAATGTCTTTGGGCAGGGCATAAAATGCCCAATTTGCCACAGACCCCACCAGTCCCTAATGTCTTTCACCTTGCACTCTACACATATTTATTCTACCCGTTTGCCCCTTGAAGACACTGAGTTGTTAACTTCGCGTGGACCAGTCAACAGAGCTAGACTTGGTCAACAGGGTGGGGCGGTGTCTTGGGGAAACAACAGTACCCTAAATTCAGTTCTTCTACAGGAGGGGCTCACCTAGCTCCTCTGTCTTTCTTATCTCTTTTCTAGTCCTGTCACTGAAGCCACCTCAGACCTTTTCAGAGCTTTGTTTTTGGAAAGTGTCTCCTGTTGGGCTCTCCAGAAGCAGGTGCTGAGATAGAGGGGTGAGGGGCACGAGTTGTACGGAGATCAACAGCTAACAGGACTGGGAGAAAGCAGGATTGGGAAGAGGAGGTGACCGAGTAGTCAAGGGGAGCTGGGCCCAGGGAGTCCTGGCCAGGGGGGAGCAGCAGGTGGAGGACCTGGAGTCCTAAGTCCAGCTTCAGACTAAAGAGGTCAGGCCTTTTTAACCAGGCCCTGCTAAGTCCCTGCTAGGTGATATTTAGAAAGTGTGCACCAGACAGGCCCAGAAGCCAGAGGCTGTCCGCTAACCATACTCCAGTAGCTGGGCAAGTCCCCCCCGAAGGGCCCCTGGGCAGCCGTCTCCACGTCAACCACAGAAGGCATTTCCAACTCCAACTCCAGTTGGTGTTAAGGTCAGATCTCCTCTCTGGTGTGGCCTATCTGCCGGAGCAGGTGGACTCTCTCTGGGTCTGTGTGTCCTGGGCGGAGCCACCTGGGATCCAAAGCACAACTAGGAGAATCTGGAAGGGGGAGGGAGGACTGACCCCACATTTGCATGACAAGAAGCTCTAATGTCAACCTTCCTCAAGGCCATCTTTCTGTGCCTCAAAGAACCCTTTGTCTAAACCTAATCACCTCCCAAAGGCCCCATCTGTAAATGCCATCACATTGTGGGTAAGGACTTCCACAGATGAATTTGGGGGAACACAGTTTAGTCCATAGGAACCCTTACTATGAAAGGCATCAGAGAGTAAAGACATCTCTTAGGCTGTCTCTAGGCAGACAAAGATGACTGAGCACACCCATTTTCTACCTTCCAAACTGTACCATTTGTTTTCCTTATGGTCCTGTAGAGTGAGGTGACCAGTAGTATTTTGGTTTGATTTCTTAGAAAAAGCTCAAACCAAAATGAATTTCCTAACATTTTCACCTAAAAGCTGTAAGCCCAGGCTCAGCAGGGATGTGTTTTCACTCTCAGGAGAAAGATGTTAGGGATCTAGCACAACTTTCTTCCTCCCCAAATTCTCTTTCAGACACTCTGGGAGAACTTGAGCAAGGGTGAGGGCCTCGCCAGCACCCAGCCATGCACCCATGGGCACCCTGGCCCTCAGGCCGCCAGCCTCCAGAACAGTGAGAAAATAGAAAAGGGATTTCTGTTGTTTCAGCCAAAAAACATACCTTGCATGCACATTAGTTTTCTATTCGAGAGCCCTGATATCCCCCTCGGGGTTTCTATGTGAGCACTTGACCATGTGTGAGTAGGAGGGGTCCTTGCTCAGTGCCCAGGTGTTGCGCTGTACCCCATGGGTTCCAGTGGGGATGGCACTGTGTCTGAGGGGCTAAAGAAGAGACCTAAGACAGCAACCAAGACACAGGGTTTATTGAGGCGACTTGCATAGAGGGTAGTCCAGTAGCCGCAGGCTGGACAGGAGAACCACTACAGTTTGTAACAAGCATGCCATTCATATAGCATTTCACGTAGCACCCTACACTTAACCCAAAACAAAGGGCCTCGACTCCCCGTACAGACTGGGTTCCAAGGGATGGGCCAGGGGTTCAGATGTCCTTCATGGATAAGGAGTGGATTTCTTTCTTTCTTTTTTTTTTTTGAGAAAGAGTCTCGCTCTGTCACCTAGGCTGGAGTGCAGTGGCACAATCTCGACTCACTGCAACCTCTGCCTCCTGGGTTCAAGCAATTCTCCTGCCTCAGCCTCCCTAGTAGCTGGGATAGACACACATCACCATGACCAGCTAATTTTTGTATTTTTAGTAGAGGCAGGGTTTTGCCATGTTGGCCTGGCTGGTCTTGAACTCCTGACCTCAAGTGATCTGCCCACCTCAGCCTCCCAAAGTGCTGGGATTATAGGCGTGAGCCACTGCGCCTGGCCAGGAGTGGATTTCTGAGTGGAACTCAGATTCGTTAGCTCGGGGCTCTGAACACACATTCTTCTTAGACCATAGGGTCATTCTTGGGGTCGGCTTCAGTTATGGCTGTCAGGGGGCTCTGCCACACCCAGGGGCTGTTCGATGCTGCAGAGTGAAAGGCAGTAGCTGCAGTTGGGAACCTCCCTCCCCTCCATCCCCTACCCTGTGTCACTGACGAAGACGATGCCACTGACCACATCCCGCATAGGGGGAAGGCTTTCTGGGAATGTCACTCCTCCTTGACAAGGAGCAGGGGGCTCCCGCCATGTCTTGGGTGTATGTTCCTGAACATTGGGATGATGGGCAATCTTGGGCTGCACTTTTTCCAACTCTGCTCCTGGACCCGCCCTCGTGCTGTGGGTCCCATCCCCAGGCCCTAAGCAGCTGCTTAAATGGAGCTGCAGAAGAGCCAAAGCTTCCATCACTCTCACCCTCTCTTAGCTTCAGTCTTGACTCCTTCTCTGAGCCCCTGTACCCATCTTGTGCTGCCTACGTCCTACCTTGGGCTGCTCGGTATTGGCTGGCACAGGAGACCCAGAGCTCCGTGACATCAGGGACGGGGCTGGCTCTGTGGAATGATAGCTGCCAACCCAGCCTGGTGCCTGTGTTGTGCAGGATGCAAGAGCCGCAAGCATATGTGCTGCCACTCGGGGCACCTATGTAAGGGCAAGGACAGGACAGGCTCTGGGGGCTGCAGGTGATGTTCCCAGTGAAGAAAATGTTGTGGCATAATGTTGTCCCTGGTCATTTCTGGGGACCCACAGAACTACCTATTCTGTGTATATGATGTCTCACTTCATTATGCAGGAATTTTGGCCACTATGAATGAGCTATGAGGAAACCAGGTGGCATTTGTAGCATTTCAGAGCCATTCTCTAGTGCACTAGTTCTATTAGATAGTCTACAAATCAGCGGGGAGGGCACTGGAAGGGTGAGTTTTTAATACATTTGAAAATATTTCATAGTCTTTTTCCTCTTTGAAATTCTTACAGTAAATAAAACAAGTTTAACTCAGAGCTTCATAAATGTAAGTGGCCATGAAACTCTCCCTTTTGTGGGACAACCTCCTGCCACTGACACCCCCTTTCACGGGGGAGGTGGCCTGCAGTCCCCAGAGCCTGCCCTGTGATGTCCATCAGAAGTACCTGGGAAGGGTAGTTTGAGAAGCATCAGTCTGACTTTCTCTTTAGAAAATCAAGCCCATTCCACAGATATAGTCAGATATCTGTGATGTTATCAACTGGCCTGCCTTCCAATTCAGTGTGATAAACACTTATTAAGCCCCCACTGGGTATGAAATACTGAGACAGGTGGAGTGCGAAAGACAGATAAAGAATGCTTCTATGAAGCTTAGAGCCTATGACATGACAGAAGATAAGTTAGGAAGAAGAATGGCTCTACAACAAGGTAAATTGCTTTTCTTATTGATTAAGGTAAGTGTTATAAAATAGACAGAATGTCATGGGAGTCAAAGTTAAAAGAGAAAAAATCTGTATCCAGCTGGGACAACCAGAGAAGGCCACTATCCTGAGGTCCTGAAAGATCTTTCCGCCTGCCTGCCTGAGGTCTTGGCTTGGGTATCTCAAACCAAATTCAAGAGCCTGACCCTATAAACCCGGTGCTTCTCCCCTGTTCTCTCTCTCAGAAGGGTACCAGCCACCTGCTGCATAGGCAGACACCCTGAAGTCTTCCTTGTCTGACCCTGCCCGGCCATAGAGAAATGTATTCATGGTGTTTTTGTCTTTCTCTCCAGCACTTGTGTCAGCCTGTGGTGTCAAACCTATGCATGTGTTCATTTAATGAGTGTCTACCTCCCCCACTCTTTGGGAGCACCCCAAGAACACACATGTAATGTTCCTGCTCATCAGTGTAGTCTCAGAACTGGGTTAATTCCTGGCACCGAGGAGTCTCCAAATAAGTGACGCTGAATAAATGCCTGAAGGAACAAATAAACAAGCGTGTGGACTGATTTCAGAACTCACCCTTGATTGAGAGTTACAGTGTGTAGAAATGGAGGAAAAGCATTTTCAGGGTGGAAGGAATCAGAGGAGCAAAGTCACTGATGGCAGCATGGATCCTTGATAGAATCCTGGAATGGAAACAAGACACTGGCGAAAAAACTGGTGAGATCTAAATAAAGTCTGTAGTTTAGGGGAGAGTGACGTGCTAATGTTAATTTCTCAGTTTTGGCAGATGTGCCCTGGGAATTTAAGATGTCAACATTATGGAAAGCTGCTGAGGGGTAGATGGGGACTCTCTGTACCATCTTTGCAAAGCTTCTGCTGTAATCTAAAATTTTTATAAAATTGAACATTTATTTTAAAAAAATTAACTTTCTTTTTGCCCCAGAGGAAACAGAGACCATCCCAGTCAAATTAAAGAAAGTCTTGGTAGTTATGACCAATATCAGAGCTTTGGTCCTGGAGTCCTTGGAATTAATAAAAGGAACACACTTAAGGGTGTTTTTCTAAAAACAAAACAAAACGAAACAAAAAACGGGGTGAGATTCATGGTGGGCCACAGCAGAATGCTGGGGGTGTTCAGGGCATGTCTCTGACAGGTGAGGCACAGACCAGCAGAGCTCCTTTTCTCCTCCCCAAACTTTTCCTGCTGTTCCCTTGCCAGATACTGGCTTGAGGAAACTGACTCGGAGGTCCTTTTCAGTTGAAGGCTAGCTCAAACCTCCAGACTCCTGCCCTGGGACCCTGTCCTGCCAAAATCCCCTTAGATCCCTGTCACTAGCTCTGCATGCCAGTCCCACAGCTCTGTTCTTTGCTGGTCCTTCTTTGGGGGTCGGCCCTAAGATGCTAAAGTGGCCCTGCCCATGGGAAATGCAGGATGGCTCACAGCCAGTGACTGGCTGGTGTGAGGCTGCACCACACAGCTCCCCGCTAGGCTCAGGACAGACTCTGAGGTCGACTCATGCTCCAGTGCTCCCTGTGGGGTCTGCCTATGTCTGGGGCTTCTCCTGAAATCACACTCTTGCTTGGCTTCCTTCTTTCTGTTTTCTGTCCTGCTTCTTCCACACCCTTGGTGGTGGTGTGTGTGTGTGTGTGTATGTGTGCATGCACAGACATTTTTCAGAATTTCCGTAATCAGTCCTTGCTTTAAAATCTAATTCTAAAAAATCCAGAACCCAGACACTAAGAATTGGTTTTAGCATCACAAGACCTGCCCTCAAAATCTAGCTGTAATACCCACCAGCTGTGTGACCTTGGAGACCATCTCCCCGCCCCTCTTACCTATAAAGTGAAGATAATCACATCTGCTTCTTGGCTGATCGTGGTGCTTACACAGGTTAACTGGTGTCAAGTACCTGGCACCTTTCCTCAGTCCCTGAGTGCACAGTTCCTGAGCATCCTGGGCCCCTCTTCCATGTGAAGGCTGTGCCCATGGACCTCAGATAAACTCCCTGTGTGTCTCAGTCAATAGAGGATATTAGCAAATGCTTAGCCAAGTGTTCTGGCTGCGTTTACTCCCACATCCACCAACATAAAAAGTAAACAGCAGAATAAATTGCCCATCTGCTGCCATCAATCACAAATACAATCTTCGCCCACTGTAACACAAGGCAAATACAGTAATGACAAAATCCATAGCTGGGGAAATGATAGAGTGGTGGCCAGGATTTTCCTCTCTCCACAGCCCCAGTCCATGTTCTATTATTTAAATGCACAGGGAGCAACCACGGCGATCAATATGTTGCCTGCCTTCGCTGTCACAAGGCAGGCTGGTTGCTCGGGCCTCGAACTTAGGGCCTCTGGATGGCATGCTTCAGGCAGCTCAGTTCTAGGTCAGTGGACCCTGAGAGGAAGAAAAGCAAAGCCCCCAGTCCTCAGAGATGGAAGAAGTCACCAGAAGGAACAAGACAAGAATATGTCACAATGGTTCAGTACCTGCACATCTATAGAGTAAGTTTAAAATAAACGTTTCTGGTTTCAAAAGAGATAAGAATGTTCACAAATATGGAAAAACCCAAGGAAGAAAATCTTAAAAATGTATGATTTTACCTCTCCCCAAATAGTCACTGTTAAAATATTGCTCTATATCCTTTTAGACATTTTCTCATCCTGGTAGGCATATGCACACATATATACAAAGTTGAGGTAATGATAGGTGTCCAACTGTGCTCTTCCTACTCTCTCTGTTTGGTTCACTGCAGCCT
Organism: Homo sapiens; assembly: GCF_000001405.40. Taxonomy (NCBI): domain Eukaryota; kingdom Metazoa; phylum Chordata; class Mammalia; order Primates; family Hominidae; genus Homo; species Homo sapiens. The sequence continues at coordinate 28,837,225 of NC_000019.10, forward strand.
CTGCCTCTGGGTTCAAGCGATTCTCCTGCCTCAGCCTCCTGAGTAGGTGGGATTACAGGTGTGCACCACCATGCCTGGCTAATTTTTGTATTTTTAGTAGATACGGGGTTTCACAGTGTTGATCAGGCTGGTCTCGAGCTCCTGACCTCGTGATCCGCCCGCCTTGGCCTCCCAAAGTGCTGGAATTACAGGCATGAGCCACCATGCCTGGCCGGTTCTATCTTTTAAAAAAGCCTGCTAGTTTAATAGATAAAAATAATACTTCATTATTCTACCTTGTGTTAAGTAATTTTACTAACAATATAATCTTAGTTTGTTTGCTATTGGCTCTGTTTGACAGATGAAAAAAATTAAGTTCAGAGAGAATAAGTTGTCAGCCAGCATCACAGAATTTCTGGCAAGACGGCGCCTGTGAGGGTGAAGTGTGCGCTTCCCGGCTCTAAAATCCCTGTTATGTCAGAATAATTGTTAATAAAATTCTTTATGAAATTGCCACATCATGGCATTTACACATCACACATTTGAGTTTAATGAAAGAGATTTGAGCAATGAGTTTGACAAAAGGGGAATGTAAATCTGGCCACAAGAATATGTCTCTTTTGTTCTTAGTGAAACCCTTGGTTGTTCAAGGAGGGGCAGGCCGTGTACATGTGTGCACATGTGGATGTGCACACATGCATATATGTGACTGTGTGTTTTAGGGGGTGCTGGTGTGAGCTCAGAGCACAAGAAGGGGTCCTGCCTTTTCCCACTGCTCACTGGTGTTTTTTTGCATAATTATAAAACAGAGCCTGCCATGTCACATAGGGACCGCTGCTGGAGCAACCAATATCCCTGGGATTGATGGCATTCATTCTACAGACATTTCTTAAACAGATGTGCTTGTCATTGAATGAAACTATGAACACAATAGGAATAGTCTCTTCCCTCACTGGGCTTCTGTCTAGTTGAACAAAGCAGAAAGACCAGCCACTGATAGATCACGACTCATGTACAACCTTGGGTAATCAGTAAAAGATCACTGATGTGGACAGATATTTACATGGACCAAACGCAAGTAAGCCAAACAACTATCTTAAAGTGGGTGTCTGGGCCTCATTAGCATGCTGAAACTAATCAAATGAGTGAGAAAATAATATATCTCCTGGGTTGAATTCAGCAAGGTCTTCTAGGGTCAATTACAAGTACAATTAGCAAATAAACTCATAGATTATTTCCTGTTTACACTTCAAACAAACCTGACTTTGCTGATTTACACGGCAGGTTGCACCTTGATTATAAATTATTAAGTGGTCAATAATGAATGGCATTACTGTTTTAATTTCCCCAAGTATGTTTGAATATCACAGCAAAGAGATGAGATCAGTCAACACATTTGCATATCGTCCAGAAAGACATAAAGCAGAATTAACCGTACTTTGGAAATAGATGGCTGAAGAGAAAGCTCACCCCTGAGTTTACATTGCAATCCTGATAAATCTCTCCCCAGTAACGCTGGCAATGAACTCTGAGAGGAAGGAGAGATCGGGTTTGTTAAATTGCATTGAGTCTCCAGCTCTCAGATATGGATGAGTAACAAAAGTTCCATGTATGATTCTTATCATGTGTGGGTCATTACAGCCATCCATTCACAGATGTAAGAGCTGTGCTGGGAATCTGGTGTATGACACTGAAATCCCTCCAGTCAGTTCTCATGGAGAGCTGGTTTCTTATTGAAGATCAGCAGATCCCGAAGACACTGTGGAGCCTCCTGGAGATTCAGACTCAAGGCTTCTGCCCACTCACATGTCCTCCTGCTCTCCCTTCAGCCCCCTCATTCCTTGGAAGCTCACTCCCCTCCTCCCACATCCCGTCTGTCCCTCCATGCTGCCCCAGAGCACTCTCTGAACAGGTGCACCCTGCTGGAGTCTGAGCACTGACCCAGCAAGGCAAGGGCTCCTCGGAGAGACACAAACGGACTGAGTGAGGCTGGCAGGAAGCCCTTTCACCCCCCAATTATTCTGGTGCTTGCTGTTTCTATCAAAGTAGCTACACTGAGGAAAGAGACTTGCCCTGTGTGTGCACTCCGGGGGACAGGCAGGCCACTGTCACATGCCCCCATGCTTGCCCTGGGCTTGTTGTGTGCAGCAAGCACTCAGTTTATTTCTGTTGAATGAGTGAATGATTGAATGAGAGCCTCCACTGCAGCTCTGGGCTCTCAGGAAACTGCGGTGGCCTCTGTCCTCCAGACACCCCTCATTCAGTGTTGGTTGTCATAGCCATTCCAGCCACTCTTGAAAAACATAATTTTGACCCTCATTTTATCTTCATGGGGTGCATGTGCAGGTTTGTTACATGGGTATATGTGTGATGCTGGGGCTTGGGACACAAATGATCCTGTGACCCATGTAGTGAGCATGGTATCTAACAGGTGGTTTTCCATCCCTTGTCCCCACCCTTTCTTTCTCTAGCAGTCCCTGGTGTCTGGTTCCCATCTTTGTGTCCACGGGTACCTGATGCTTAGCCCCCACTGATACACAGCTACTTTCATAAGCACCTCAACTTGGAAGCAACGGGATGCTGGGCTCCCAGTGGAGGGCATGACTTAAGTTTACAGAAGAGATTCACTTGTTGAAGGGACCTGCCGTCTTCTAAATTTGAAGTCCAATTTGAAAAACTGAAGTGCTCTTAGACATGTGCAGCCTTCCAGTAATTTCCCGCTGAGTTCCACTGCACTTCCCAGAGTCAGGCTCCTCCTCTCATCAGGCCTAAGCATTTAAGCACCAAGTGAGGAAGGAATTCAAACAGCTTCGGGACATGTAGGGAGGATGACGAGAAAAGGAGGAGTGTGAAATGCCTCCCAAATATGTAACAACTTGCCAGGTTTTTCCAGAAAATAAGCAATTCCCTCTGTCCCCCAGCTTCTAGGTGCAAAAAGAAAACAGCTGGATTTCCAAAATACAAAAGGCTCCTGCCTCCCAGTTCCCAGATTTGGGCAGCAGAGGGATCATATGTCCCCAGCTTTCTCCAAGATAGAGGCTTAGTTTGGGGATGTTTCATGTAAATGGGGACTAGCGCACCCGAGACGCCAAGGAACAGGATGGGAAATGTACGAGTGGCAAAGAACCCTGGTTCTGTGATTTACTGGACATGTGACTTGGGAAAATTGCTTCCTCTCTCTAAGCAATTTTTTTTTTAGTTCATAAGCTGTAGATATGAATACTGATCTCTTGTTGCTATAAATTATCTCACATATTAAAGCACTTGGCACATGGAAGTCTCCCAAAGATTTCACAGTCACTCTGGCTCAGGGTTTACTCCTGGAGGAAGGACTTTCTTCCCTTCATTTGCTCTCAAGTCCACTTGACTCCCTTGGTCCCACTGGCCTCCCTCTTGCACCTCTGCCCCTGTGCAGGCCATGAGCTTCACGAGGGTGAGGAAGAAGGCGCAGGTGTGTCTGTTCACAGCCTTGCCCTGCATGGCCCAATCCTGGCACATGATGGACGCTCACTGAATACGTATTGGGCGACTGACTCAACAAATCCTAGAGGCCATCGCAGGGCACAGGCGTCCTCTCTTTTTTTCTGCAGAACTATTCCACACTTTATGCTGTTCCTTGGGCTTCCTTAAGCTTCTGGTGATGAGATGAAAGCTTATTATATTTCAATCTATTCTCTTTCTACCTTTAAATATTGGCATTTTACTGTAAGAAAAGCAGACTTTATTTTCAATTCATATAAAATTCATTTTTTAAAATAAAAAACCCTAAGAATTTAAAGAAAGAGTAATCAGCCACCAGGACTTCTTTGTTTTTGTGACATGTGCCTCCCAGGCCCATGCCACGCATTCTTCAACTCTCTCATCTCTAACACAACTGAAATTCCGCTCCCCATGTGGCTGCTCTTGCAGTAAAATGACAATTGACTGCCAACTTTCCTGAGTCTTCAGCTTTTCTCTTACATTCAACAAGATAAAGAAGCATTGGACCAGGGGCCCAGAGTCTCTGAGCTGCTTTCTCCTCACCTGTATGTCTCCTAAGCCCTCATAGGAGCAGCTTCAGTCATGGAGGGCACCATGCTCAGGTTGTCCACAGCTCCCAGGTCATCAGCAACCGTCTGTGACTCTGTGCAAAGCTGAAGGGTGACGATCCTTCCAAGACAGTCACCAGAACACTGTGTGTGTGGGGAGAAGGTGGACAGAGGAAGGAAGAGCCCTCCTGGCATTCAAGGCTTCTGACCACAACCTCTCCCTCTGTCCAGAGGGGGCGGGGTCTCCAAGCCACAGGGACTGCATGCTCAGATAGGCAGTTTTGATGATGCTGCCTCCCCTACTCCACAGCTCCTCATCCTTCCTTCCCTCCAGGCCTTTCACACTGGGGAAGAGGGTGTTTTGCTTGATGCCTTTTGAAGCCTGACCTCAAAGCCAAGCCTCAATCCCCTTCTTCAAAAAGCCTTTCCTGGCCTTCCTGAGGCCTCCCCCACACCCCTCACCACAGTGAGTTTCACTGTCTGTCAGTGAGGTTGCACGCCTATGACACTTCTGTTTTCACAGTTTCCCTGCACAGAGCAGTGGGTAAGTCACAGAATCAGTGTCCCATCACTTACCGGCTATGGAACCTTAGCCATAAAAAAGGTCTTCATGAACTTCAGTTTCCACATCGGCCAAAAGGATGATAACACCTAACACATGGGGTTCTTGTGAGGGTTGAATTAGAATAATTCCTGTGGGCAGATGGCCTCTGAAAGCGTGCAATGAGATTTACAAGGATGTCAATGGCAGTATTGCTTTAGTTTTTTTTTTTGTTTGTTTTTTTGTTTTGTTTTTTTGAGATGGAATCTTGCTCTGTCATCCAGGCTGGAGTGCAGTAGTGCGATCTTGGCTCACTGCAACCTCCGCCTCCTGGGTTCAAGCAATTCTCCTGCCTCAGCATGCTGAGTAGCTGGAATTACAGGCACCCGCCACCATGCCTAATTTTTTTTTTTTTTTTTGAGACGGAGTCTCGTTCTGTCACCAGGCTGGAGTGCAGTGGCGTGATCTCAGGTCACTGCAACCTCTGCCTCCCGAGTTTAAGCCATTCTTCTGCCTCAGCCTCCCTAGTACCTGGGACTACTGGTGTGCGCCACCACACCCAGCTAATTTTTGTATTTTTAGTAGAGACAGCGTTTCACCATGTTGGCCAGGATGGTCTCGATCTCCTGACCTCGTGATCCTCCCGCCTCAGCCTCCCAAAGTGTTGGGATTACAGGTATAAGCCACTGTGCCCGGCCAACTTTTGTATTTTTAATAGAGACAGGGTTTCACCATCATGTTGGCCAGGCTAGTCTCGAGCTCTTGACCTTGTGATCCACCCACCTCGGCCTCCCAAAAGTGCTGAGATTACAGGCGTGAGCCACCGTGCCAGCCAGTATTGTTTTTAAGAGCCAAAAATTCAGGAAAACTTTTTAAATGCCACCAAAACAGAATTGATTAAATAGATTTTGATTACATCCCGAAGTGAAATATTATGCAGCTATTAAAAAGAATAATCTTCCTTCTCAGTCTTCCTCATGGTCCAAATTGAACTGCATTTCATAATAGGAAACAGATTGAGAAGATAATCGTAGTCTTCAAGATAGACAAACAGTAGGGTTTTCTAAATGTCAAACTCACTGTGAGAAATCCTAAGCTCCTATATACTATATATGAGTGAAGCATTTTGCTCAGTCATCAACTGACAATTTTTCTTCTAAGAAAGAGGCTGGGTTGGGGGGCTCAGTGGCTCACACCTGTAATCCCAGCAGTCTGGGAGGCTGAGGCAGGCAGATCACCTGAGGTCAGGAGTTCGAGACCAGCCTGGCCAACATGATGAAATCCCATCTCTACTAAAAAATACAAAAATTAGCCAGGCATGGTGGCACGCACCTGTAATCGCAGCTACTCAGGAGGCTGAGGCAGAAGAATCACTTGAACCCAAGAGGCGGAGGCTGCAGTGAGCCGAGATTGCACCACTACACTCCAGCCTGGGTGACAGAGTGAAACTCCATCTCAAAAAAAAAAAAAAAAAAAAAAAAAAAGAGGCCAGCGCACTGTCCATTGGATCCATAGTTCTCAGACTTTGTACTGGATGCTTGAGAATTGCTGGGATCCCCTGGGAAGCTGAGAGAATCCCACCATAAGGCTCCTCAACTTACTTACACTCTGACCTCATCTGCAAAATTCCTTCTGAAGCCTGTTCTTTTACCTTGAACCTTGGAATTGTTCCATAATTTTCACCCTCTGTATTTCCCCCAAATGCATTCAGAGGCTTCTCCTCACACAAGTGTCTGCCATTTATTGGTGGAGCATTTGCTGTGCTCTAACAGGGACTTAAGATAGGAATAATAATGAAAGTATAGGACCAGAGCCTGCTGCGTTGTGCAGAGCCATTCAATGCCAGCCTGCCGCAGAGAGGCATCATTGTGTCTGATTGGGGGAAATGATTATTTTTTGCCTTGTCTTCCACTATCACCTATGAAAGCCTCCTAGAGTGTCTTTGTCTTCCCCACACACATACCTCACACATCTGACTCACTGCTCTTACTATGTTTCGGGCTTTGGGAACTCAGTCCATTCAAATTCCATATAAACACTGATGAACCAGGGCCCAAGTGAGGGTGGACTGTGAGTGAGAAGCCTCTGATCCGGGCCTCTGGCTCTACAGGAGCTCATGGAGCTGAAGTGGCAATGCCTCCAGCTCTGCTGCTGGACAGACCTGAATGCAAATCTGAACCCTCTGCCACCCTGTTTGCTCATTTACAGAATGGTGTGGTATCACCCATCTCTTTGGCTGCTTGTGAGAATTAAGAGAAATGAGGCGTGTAAAGTCCCTGGAGCATGGGAAGTCCTCCCAAGAAAGCATTTCTTGAGCTGCTGGAAAAACATCTCCTAAGTCTGAAAGAACTTCGAGCAGTCAGGTGGTAAATTTTGTCAGTAAATTATTACAGAATAAAAGCATATGCGTGTACATTGCTATAAAGCATATCAGAGATTTCAATTATTAAAGCTTTTAAACTTCTGAAAACTGCTGCAACATTGCAAAGAAGATAACCACAGGATTGGAAACTGAACTTAAAGAACATCATAGTCAACATGAAAGAACACTATTTGCATATGATGTTTCATATAAAGTATCTCCTAACAAGGGAGCTAATTCTAAAATTATCTTTTATAATTTATCAATGTAAACATATGGTGATAGAATACATAAACAGACATTTAAAATTATGTACAAAGCAGGAAGTCCTTTCTTTTTTTGTACGATCTTCACCAATTTCAGGGAATTTCAGAGGACACATTAAAATGACATTGTATGAACTTGCCTTTAAAATTAAATTCAGAATTATGCAAAACCGATTGATGTGAAGACATAAAACCTCTTAGAAAATTTGTTCCACAAAAATTATCATCTTTAGTTTTACTAAAAACTTTTCAGAAATGTATCCCAATACTGTCACTCACAATTTTTAACGACTCCAATAAGAACTAAATCAGCCAAAAAAAATCGGTTTCTAAAATTAAAATTATCAAAAATTATTTGTGACCTTACATTTGCCAAGTGACTGACATTGCTTTCAAATATGTCAATTGGAAATTAAGTTGCTAAAAGTAAAATTTCTGATGACCTGATAAATGAATTTGCAAAAATATAAGCCCGAGAAATTTATCATCAATTAAGGTATTATACTGATAAATTGTTATTTGTTGTATTGTATGAATTATGACACAAAAATATTTTCTTAATTTTAAATTTATATTGTTGAATATCATGATTACCTTAATGTATTACAAATAACATTATTTTTAAAGGATAAATCTTTATATTTTAGTGCCTTTAACTACAATTTTTCTGCTTTTATATTGTGACAAAATACACATAGCATACAATGTTTCATTAGTGATATTTTGTACGTTTTTTCCTGCTTTTTGTATAAGGGACCCGAAAATAATGTAGCTAGTTTAGCATATCTTCACCCATTGCCCACCCCCTTCCCCTCTTCAACCTCTAATACAAAGGGCCAAGGATTAAAATTTCATTGCTCTTGAATTTCAACCAGGAAGTGGAAAGTGAAATTTCTAGGTAACAAGGACTTACGCAAGATGTAGGTCCAGTAAGTATCGGAATCAGATGCCAGCCCCAGAGCCATGCTTGTCTAGAGGAGCACACGTCTTGTTCACAGTGGGGATGAGATCGTCTGTCTGAGATTGAGGCTGAGTTAGCAGCATCTGTAGACTCCTGTGAGCAAGGCTGCCAAGTTTGGCCCTGGTGAACCCCTTGGCCTCTCCTTCACAAAGCCTCCTGCTACCATCTGCACATCCCCAACCCCTCCTTCACCTAGAACAGTCCTGTCCCCAGGCGTTCCCTTCTGCTGTTAGTGAGGCTGAAGCTAACATTCTGAGCCTCTGAGGGGGATGATGACAGCAGCTACGTCTTTGGGTGATGAGTGTTATGGCTGCAGAGGACCTTGCGAGGGCGGGGCTGAGTGGTTTGGAAGCCTATTTCCTAAGGCACCTTACACACTAGGGGGATTCCATGGTCAGAGTAATTAAGGAAGGGTGGATAACACGGTGCTTCCGAAGGATTTGTTCACAGAGCAGCACATTAAATGTCCTGAGAAATTCCAGTAAGACACCCAGGCCTTCCCAATCTTATCTGGCTGCAAGGCCTTAGAACTCCTAACAGTTCCTGGGACTAGGGCTCCGCAGAACACCCTTTAAAATATATGTTTTTTGTTCACTGCTCTAATTTTAAGGATGGGGAGCCAAGATTCAGATTCAAGGGAACACACTTAAGATCATAAAGTGAGATCCAAGAAGATAATGCACATTTTTATTCCCCAATTTTAGGTTGGTCTTTTAAGAGATTCAAAGGAAGGAGCCTCTAATGGTGACAATGTAAGGCTGATAATTCTGGAGTCTCTATTGTGCGTGTGTATGGGCTGTGTGTGTATGTGTGTGCATGTGTGTGTATATGTTTTGTGCGTGTATGTGTGTGTCTCTGTTGTGTGTGCATGTATGGGTGTGTGGGTGTGTGTTGGTGTGCATGTGTATATTGGTATGTATGTGTATGTGTTGTGTGTATGTGTATCTATCTGAATGGGTGTGTGTGTCTGTGTGTTGTGTGTAATGTGCATATGTGCATGGGTGTATGTGTGTGTATATGTATGTGTGTGTTGTGTGTTGTGTGTATGTGTGTATGGGTGTGTATGTGTGTATGTGTTTACGGATGTGTGTATATATGTGTGATGTGTGTGGATATGTGTGTGGATGTGTGTGGTGAGTATGAGTGTGTACAGGTGTATGGGTGTGTATATGTATGTATGTGTTGATGGATATGTGGGTGTCTATATTTGTGTAAGTATGTGTTTATGTTTGTGTGGGTGTATGTGTGTGCATGTGAGTGTGTTGTTTATGTGTGTATATGGGCATATGGATGTGTACATGGATGTACGTATTGTCTATAAATGTGTTTGTGGGTGTGTGTGTATATATATGTGTGCATGTATTTGTGTGTGTTGGGTGTATGGGTGTGTGTATGTGTATTATGTGTTTATGAATGTGTGTGTATGTGCATGTATGGGTGTGTGTGTGTGTGTATTTGGATGAGACTTTATCTGTATCTCTGCGGTGGTATGGGAGCTGGAACCCTTCCTACTGAGCTGCCCTCTCTGTTCCGGATTTACAGCAGGACTAAACAGCAGGAGAAACCAATGAAAATACAGTCCACTAATGCATCCAGTCTGGACGGGGCAGTGAATGGAGGTCAGGAACTTCTGTGGTGCCAGTCCCAGCTCTCAGGCTTTTTCAGCAGCTCTGAGGAGGTCTCAGGCATAGGTTCCAAAATCAGAAGCCTTCAGGAATGAGCCATTCTGGATAGTCATGTTTTACTGGTCAGTGAGAATTTGTTTCCTTTAAAATCAAAATTCTTCAAAATATATTAATCATTTTGGAAGAAAAATTTTTCATATTTTATAGTTTGCATTCTTTCTTGCACAGTAAGGAAATACACTCGGACATATTTTGGAGGTAGTTTTGAATTTTTGTTTTTGCTCTCTCGTGCCTGATGCACAGACCCTCAGACACTATCAGAGCCTGCCTTTTGGGACATAAAGGTCATTTTGCCCCTATACTAAGCAGACTGAAGTTTCTACATTTTACACCACTGTAACTGCTTTATATGTTTTCCTGGTTTCCCTGTGGCGCAAGTCTGCAGTCTCATTTTCGCTTCTTCCTCTGCTTCCCACATCACCATATTTAATTTCCTGCCAGACCTGCATGTGCGAGCTGCCTGATCTGGGAAAGTCATTTGATCTCTCAGAAACTCCTTTCCTCATGGTAAATGGTAGTAGCATTGCTTGCCCAACAGTGCTGCCATGTTGAGTAAGACACCGTGAGTGCCTTAGCCTCCCGCCCTCTTCTTCCAGGCTTTGCTGGAGCCCTGCTGAGGGAGCCTCATGGGCTGGATGCTCTCGCTCTCTCTCTCCTTCTCTCTCTCTCCTATGAGTCACTCTTGTACTGTTGTGTGATGCTTCCTTCTAGCAAATCACTGTATTGCTGAATAACACCCTCTATAGAGCTGCAAGAAACTCTTGCTTTATGATTTTTTTTTATTTTTATTTTTTGAGACAGAGTTTTGCTCTTGTTGCCCAGGCTGGAAGTGCAATGGCGCCATCTCCGCTCACTGCAAACTCCGCCTCCCGAGTTCAAGCATTTCTCCTGCCTCAGCCTCCCGAGTAGCTGGGATTACAGGCACCCACCACCATGCCCAGCTAATTTTTGTATTTTTAGTAGAGATGGGGTTTCACCGCGTTGGCCAGGTTGGTCTTGAACTCCTGACCTCAGCTCATTTGCCAGCCTCGGCCTCCCAAAGTGCTGGTATTACAGGTGTGAGCCACTGTGCCCGGCCTGTTTTATCAGTTTTTAAGGTCTTGCTTGATTTTAACCAGTTAGAGAATAAGGTATTTTCAATTAGAGAATAAGAGAAAAATTCTGCTGTTGCTGTTGTTGCTGTTTTTCCTATCTGGGCTCTTGGTATTGGGCTGCAGGGGAGAGAACGTTCTTGGTGTCTGTTTGGCTAAAATTCTATTGAGTGAGATGGCAGTCATGAGGCTAATGGTGATGATTCCACTCCTCCCTCCTTCAGAGCCCACGGGAAGACAGCACTTCCCCATCCCTCTTTGAAGTGTGTTGCTGCATGTGACATGCTTTGGCCAGTGAAATGCAAGTGGAAGTGATGTTTGTTATTTCCACACCCAGGTTGTAATTGCCCATGTGGTCTTCCCTGACTGTGCTAATCATGGAGAGATGGGTGGAAGTGGTGCCTGGGCTGCCCAAATCCCTGAATGGCCACAGGAATAGAGTTCCCCGAAAGCTTGTGTTTAGACACAGAGCATTAGCAAGAAATAGTCTTCTTTTATAATAAGCCACTAACTTTCAGGGATATTTGTTACTCCGGCATAACCCTGTATGCCCTGACTGATACAGCAAGTAAGTAAATAACATAGTTCTCTCCCAAGAGTCTTTATTAGCAGCCTGTGAAGTGCTTTTTTCCTCTGACTTCTCATTTCCTCTTCAAGGCCAGGACACCTAGCAACTAGTCTCAATAACCCATTCATTTTCTTTGTGGATAGCTCTGGAGGAGAAATCTACAGCCCTGCCCAGCTGTGCTCTCTGTTTCTGACCCTGCAGCCCTGGTTTAGACTCAGTCGAACATTTACCCATTATGTTCTAGACCTGTGTGATGGTGCATCTCCCCTCCCCCTCCATCACATTTTGGAGCACATGGAAGCTTTTCCAAGACTATTTCAGCTTGCCAGTTTCCTGTCAGATTTTTCATTGTATATTTTTCTAATTAAGTTAATTGAATCGAAAAGTCTCTTCATATAAATAACAGACCTCTCCTTTCTCTCACTGCTTGATGACTTTCAACTACAAAGTCATTTTTTTCCTCTCTTTTATTTGACTTCAGGCACCCTTTGCTAAACACTTATAATTGTCCTAATATAAAAGCAATGCAACTGATTTCCACACTATGAAAACATTTGGAGACTGCTGTGTGTGTGTATTCATATATTTGTAATTTTTTAAGCTCTAGCAAGAGCCTCATCTTTTTTCCCCTAAAATCCCTTTAACATTCTTAGCCTAGCTGAGTGAAGATAGCCACAATCCTGGCTCAGTATAGTCACTTGTAATTACCTTCAGGTGCAAAAGAGTTCTTAATGCTTCAAATTCTCTTTCCACTGTATCAAAGTAAATAGATGTAATTTATTATTGAAAGCGCTGCTGCTATGCCGATGTAGTGGGTGGGAGTTGACATTTGGGATATTGTGTAATGTATAATGAGTCTGAAATGAGTGGTTCTGATCCAGTCAGCATCACAGGCAATTTCCCTGGTAAGGAAAAATGCCTGCAAATTAAGTTGCATATCTTCACTAAGGCAGGGAATGGCATAAACTGTGGAAATATTGATTCTGATTCTGCTTTTCTTAGAAATTGCTCTGGATGTGTATTCAGAAACATGTTTTCTCTGAGACAGAACCCTATATTTTCAGCCAGAATGATGTTTGAAAGGCATCTTTGGTAAGGACTGTTTCTCAGATGCTATGAAAATGAAATCAATGGGGCTAATTTCTCCTTGTCGCTTTCTATGAATGCTGCATGAGGGATTGCAGACCAGCCACAAAATCAGGCTGAGGACCACTGTTCCCCGCCTGTCCTTTTCCTCTGCAGCCCAGGCTGTGCAGAGTGGCTTTGCCCAAAGGGAGATCCAAAGGTGGGGCTTGCTCAGAAATGACAGGCTGGGAAGTTATTTTGTGGCTAAGAGGAGGGGAGAAAATAGCTGGGAAAGAGAAATGACATGCATGGGCTGCCAGGAGAAGATGGAAGAGAGAGCCACCACCTGTAAAACAGCAACATTATGGAACTGGAAGGCACCAACCACAAGATGAAGAAGTGCGTAAATTTACCTGGAAATCACACTGAAACGAGGCCAGTTTTTTACACCACTTCAGGAACTAGCAGGTGCTCTGTCTCTCCAGCCTCACTGTCTCATTCTCCTTCTTACCCTTGCTGCCTCAATTGATTGCAGAAATTACATTCCAGACCATGAGTAAAGGACTCAATGTTGCTGCCCGACGAGTCTTTTCTGCTTTCTGACAACACTGTTGGTTTGCACAGATTCACTTAAAAGTGTTAAAAATGTCAGACATCTGTTAAAAATGTCAGCAGTGGTTTTGCTCCACTCTTCCCACATACCAGACAGGAAAACAGAGACACCAGGTGCCCTGCAAACTTCCCTTAGGGGGATGCCTGTTCTTCACACCATGGATTCAATCTTTGGAACAAAATCACCAGCTTTGTAAGGCCTCAAGGTACATCAATTAATTACCCCCAGGAAGAGCCATACACAGTCAGCTATCAAAGGGGGATGAGACCTCAACATACTGTGGGCTGTCGTCTGTCACCCCCAGCACTGAATTCAGTTCTTACCCTCGCTCACCTGTCCTGGGCTCAGAGGTACATCACTGTAGACCACAGCACCTGGGATTTCTTCCCTCTGCTTTTCTGTTTGATTTTAACAATGAGGTGCATTGTCAGGAGATGCAAGGGCAGAAAGAGAAAGAAGTTAAGGCATGTCTTTTCCCTACTCCATTCCTGCTTTATAACCATGTTTCTGGCAGTGGTTAATCCTTCCATGACCACAGATCCTAGATGGAGCCTGATGGTTCTAGCTCTCATTAGGCCCCAGTAATGCCATTCCTCCCCTCCTGTCTTTATTCCTAGGGGATGGAGAGCTTGTTGCTAGTATTTGGATGTCTCAGCATCTCTTTTTAGTTTTCATTATCCCTACCTGTAACTCTATACACTGTCCCTATATTGTAGTCTCTTCATTGAACCATCTGGGGTGCCTTCCATTTCTCAATGGTAACATGCAGTCTAAGTTCAATAGAGCTAAGGAGCCCTGAGGCTGAAGTAGCCAGGGAAGTCTTTCCAAGAGAGATGGAGCTTGAACTGTGGCTTGGAGGAATTGTACCTATCTGGACTCTGAGTTTGTGTTTTACCATTTGCAACTGAACCACTTGGCTTAAGCAGAGGAATATTTGGTTTATGTAACTAAAAATTTAGGGGCTTCAGGCATGTCTGAATCCAGGACCTCAAATGAAATAAATCTCCTTCTATTTCTTAGCTCTCTTTTTATTATCATTATTATTGTGTCATTCCCTGGCAAGTTCTCTCTGACACAAAATTGACTCTAGGAAGCTCCAGGCATAATTCATCCCATTAGCACAGAGTCTCTGAAGGAAAGAGCAATGCTATCTCTTCTAACACGCAAGGCAACTTCTTTTACAGAACCCCATTGGTCTTATTCAGGTCATACCCCTCTTTTCTCCTCCCCCTGCCCAGAAAAACCAGTCTCCAGAGAACTGGGGCATTCTCATTGGCTGATGTTTTCACACCTGTGGCTAGGAAGTGAGGGCCTTTGGGTTGAGTATGTCCTCATGCTGGAAAAGAACAACTTCCTGAAGGAAGGAACGTGAAAGACAAAAAGAGTCATCAGGCTAGGTGCAGTGGCTCATGCCTGTGATACCGACACTTTGGGAGGCGGGTGGATCACTTAAGCCCAGGAGTTTGAGACCAGCCTGGCCATGGCCAACATGCTGAAACCCCATCTCTACTAAAAATACAAAAATTAGCCAGGTGGCATATACCTGTGGTCCCACCTACTCAGGAGGTGGAGGCGTGAGAATCGCTTGAACCCAGGAGGTGGAGGTCGCAGTGAGCCAAGATCATGCTGCTGCACTTCAGCCTGGGTGGCAGAATGAGACTCTGTCTCAAAAAAAAAAAAAGAGTCATTGAGATCCACTACAGATCTCAACATTTCACCCACCTGGTCTCAAAGCCAGCCAAGGCCCAGTGGGATAATGGTTAAAAAGCCTCTTCCCTGAAAATGAGCTGATTCTGAACCCAAACATGGGCCTCTAAGTTGAATGGTAGGGTTTGTATGAGTTGTCATGACCTGGAAAGGCACTTTGCTGCATGAATCGCCTCTGTCCCTGGGACTATCTCTAAAACTTCTAGTCCATAGACCTGCTTGACACAGAGGCCCGCAATTCAACTCTGAAGGTCAAGGAATTGAAAGTAATGGCAGAAGATCAAGCATCTCTTCCACCCCCATCTTTTAGGATCACCCAGAGAAAAGTGTTGCTAATAGCAGCCTCTTTGTTTCTCAAAGACCAACAAAGCTTGTGTTAGCATATGGCCTGTACTTATGGCCAAATGCATCTCCCAAGCTTCTGCATCTTATCTTTATTTTAATAATTTTTATTTTTAACTGATCATGCAGTGACTTCCAGGGAAGTAGACTACGACTTCCTGGAACATTTGCATTTTTGTACATTTAAATTATTGTTAGCTTTGAAAGCAGGGCAACTGCCTTAGGACCACAAAGCACTCTACTCACCCTACTGAAACAGATAGTGGCAGTTTCTGACGAATTCCACCTAAAAATTTTAAGATAGAAAATGTGTGTGTGTTGTATTGTGGGGCGATGGGGAAATGGGGCACAGTGGCATGGATTTGAGAGGCTCAAGACTCTATTTCTAAGATGCCACAGCTTCAAAGGGCACTTTTCTAGGTAATCTTAGGAGACAGCAGGCCTTAGAACTCTATGTGTGTAACTACTAGTTCAACATCTTGTTTCATGAGTTTGTGTCCAACTTTGATTTTTTCTTAGTCAATTCACCATCATTATTGCACTCAACGAGATCATAATTCCACTTTGATCTATTCATGGTGTCTGTGTTTACCTTAAGGACTGAATTTTTAGTGGATTCTTAACTTAGCTGCTGTATTTAAAGACTCATCTTGGCTGAATTACATCATAATTCTGAGGCTTCTTTGTTTTTCCAGAACTATGAACATTTATTGCCATCATGGGATGCCTTCACCAATAGGCCTTGAAATTCAGAAAAAGTTAAAGAAAGATCAGAGACTTGGTGCCATGTAAAACTTGAAATTCATGACCTTCAGGCCTGGTGCAGTAATTCCAGCACTTTGGGGGAATAAGGCAGGAAGATTGCTTGGTGTCAGGAGTTTGAGACCAGCCTCAGCAACACAGTGAGACCCCATCTATACAAAAAATAAAAATAATTAGTCATAGTGGTGTGCACCTGTAGTCCCAGCTACTTGGGAGTCTGAAGTGAGAGGATTACCTGAACCAAGGAGTTCAAAGCTTCAGTGAGCCAGGATCACACCACTGTACTCCAGCCTGGGTGACAGAGAAACAACCTGTCAAAAAAAAAAAAATCATGATCTTCAGAATTCCCAAAGATGATTGGGGACTTGCTAAGAGAGATATGATCTCAATTTGCTATGCATCAGAGACTTGCCAAGGGATTGCTGCACACTGGCTCTAGGCCAGCCCCACACCAAGCCCTTGAGAGGGAAAACAAGATACTCTTAGTCTATATTGGACACCAAGAGCTACCAGGAGCTCTCATTTTCCTTAATCTTCCCTGAGCTCTTTGAGGCAGGGCCTATTGTTACTTCTGGTTTACAAGAAGAAAACTGGGGCTTGGAGAGGTGAAGGAAATTGCCTGAGGCTAATGAGCTGATAAGTGGGAATGTCAGAATTTGAATCCAGGCTTTGTGACTCAGCATCTTGAGAGCCCACTACTGTATTTGACTCTTCTTACAATCTAGTGTCTAAAGCAATTTGTGAACAAGGCCATATCTTCCTAGTTGATGGAATGCTGACCATAGGTGTAAAAAGCTTTGATTAACCAGAGCACTTGTCAAATGGGCTTTCCTAGTTAATGAAGACCTTTTGTTAAGAAAAGTGAGGGGGAGAAGGAGGAGAGCAGATAGTGGTGATAAGCATAATAGCTTTTATGGTTTTAATGTCTCCCCCAAAATTTATGCTGAAATTTAATTGTCATTGTGACAGTATTGGGGTGAATTCTTTAGGAGGTGATTAGGTCATGAGAGCAGAGCCCTCCAGAATTGATGAATGCTGTTATCTTGGGAGTGGGTTAGTTATTAGGAGGATGGGCTCCTGGTAAAAGAAGAAAGCTCAGCCCTCTTCCCTTTCTCACTCCTACCCTTGCTTGCCTTTCTGCTTTCCTTCAAGTTGTGATGCAGCACAAAGGCCCTCACCAGGTGCTGGTGCCATGTTCTTGGACTTTCCAGCCTCTAGAACCATGAGCCAAAAAATGTCTTAAAAAAATAAATTACCCACTCTGTGGTATTCTGTTATATTAAGGCAAAATGGACTAAAACAATAGTCAACCTCCATAAGGACCTACTAGGCTAAATGATGGCCCTGCAGAGACGTCCACGTCCTCTGATCCCCAGAACCTGTGATTGTGTTACCTTACCCAGGCAATGAAAACTTTGCTGATTTAAGTTAAGGATCTCAAGATGGAAAAGCTTCTCTGAATTACTTAAGTGGGGAAGATATAATCACAATGGCCCTCATAGGAGGGAGGCAGGAGGATCAGAGTCCATGAAGGAGATGAGATGATGCTGTGTCACTTGCTGGCTTTGAAGATGGGGGAAGGGGTCGTGGGCCAAGGAATGTGGGCAGCCCCCAGAAGACAACCAGAGGTAGGGAAACAGATCTTCCCTAGAGCCTCCAGAACAAGCCAGCCTTGCAGACACCTCGATGTTTGACTAATGACATGGATTTTGGACCTCTGACCTCCATAACTGTAAGATAATACCTGTGTGTTGTTTTAAAGTTTGAGATAATTTGTTACTGCAGCAATAGAAACCAATACAATGTGCTGTATATCAGTGCTTCTAAACCATAATGTGCAAAGAAATCACCCAAGGTATTGTTAAAATGCAAGTTCCTGTACAGCAAGTCTAGGTGGAACCTCGGAGTCATCATTTCCAACAAGTTTCCAGGGTTGCTGAAGATGCTGCTGTGTAAGTCATGCTTTCAGAAGCAGGGCTTTGCACAATAATATCTCCCTTAATTGTCATAACGACTATGAAGTAGCTTTTAATTTCCATTTTACGGTTGAGGAATTGAGACTGAGAGTTTAAATAAATGGTCTAAGGCCAGAAAGATAGTACATGGCAAAGCATGGCATTGAATCCAGTTTAATCAGAGTTCAAAACCTGTGTTCTTGCCACCAACATCCAAAGAACATGAAAAATGTAAATCAGGGAAAACAAAACAGCAACATCATCATTTTCACGTGGACACTGGCAAACTTTCTCTTCTCTAGGGTAAAAGTGGAGAAGGTTTGGGATGTGAATAGCAGTATTTGTTGGTAGCAGAAGGCCATGATATGATTCACACGTTTTCCTGCTCTCAGAGAAATGATCACTCCATTCACACATGAAAAGAGCCTGAGGCTCAGCACTTTTAACTTACCTCCAACAAAGGCAATGCTTAGTTTTTAATTGTGTGACTTCAAAGCCAACCATTGTGTTTGAGGGATTAAATTAGTTATAGAGAACACTGAAGGTTTTTTTTTTTTTTCCACTCTGCAATGTTTTGCAATGAGACCTTTTGGAATTCTTCTTCGGATTATTAAGAAACAATAGTACGTACATGGGAACTCTTCAGCTAAAAAGCCTTCCTTCCTTTCTTTCTTTCTTTCTTCCTTTCTTTCTTCTTTCTTTCTTTCCTTCCTTCCTTCCTTCCTTCCTTCCTTCCTTCCTTCCTTGCTTTCTTTCTTTCTCTCTGTCTCTCTCTCTCTTTCTTTCTTTCTCTCTCTCTCTTTCTTTTTGCTACCATCTCAGGGGAGCTTTGCTCACTGTAGTTTTCACTACAGTCACATCAAAAGTTCCTTGAAAGTACAGCTGCATTCTCATATTCACATCATCTATACCTGGGTTTTCCATACATACAATTAAACATGAGCCATCATTTGGGTTTAGAACATGCAGTAACTGTTTCTCCATGTCTTTGCAGTCTTCTTTTGGAAACACCAGGTTGTGAATCTCTGCATTTGACAGCAGAAGTTCACAGTTTAAACCTTGGATTTGTCACTTTTTCACTGAGTAGCCATGGCCATGAGGTTTCACTTCTCTGAGCCTCAGTATCCCCAGAGGTCATACACAGAGGAGCTAAGGACCGGGGAGATGTAAAAGTGCTTTGAAAGCTCTAAAGCAATAAAGAAGTTTGAGTTAAAACTCCCTCTAGCGTTTTGTCTGCAGTAAAGTGGCATCAAATGTGTTTATAAAGGTTGACCTTTTCGGGCCGGGCGCAGTGACTCACGCCTGTAATCCCAGCACTTTGGGAGGCCAAGGCGGGCAGATCACAAGGTCAGCAGATCGAGACCATCCTGGCTAATATGGTGAAACCCCGTCTCTACTTAAAAAAATACAAAAGATTAGCTGGGCATGGTGGCGGGTGCATGTAGTCCCAGCTACTTGGGAGGCTGAGGCAGGAGAATTGCTTGAACCTGGGAGGCGGAGGTTGCAGTGAGCCGATATTGCATCACTGCACTCCAGCCTGGGTGACAGAGTGAGACTCCATCTCAGAAAAAAAAAAAAAAAAAAAAAAAGGGTTGACCTTTTCCTGCTTGAGTTAGTGAAGCCCCATGAACATTCCTGGTTCTTTCTCTAACACCAGCATTTCTTACTAGGTTCTCAGAGCTCCTGATATATTAGTTTTTCACAGTCCTGAATTGAAGGAGAAGTTGAGGGCAGCATTCCAGAGGCAAAGTTAGGTCACCCAGATTTGCATCCTTGCACTGATGTTTTCTAACCATGTGATCATTAAGAAAGTAACATGTGCTTTGAGCCTGGGTGCTGCCGTCCACCTTATAAAGATAATATCAGTGCCAATCTTACCAGGCTATTTACATATAGTACTTAACACCATGGCTGGCAAAGATGACAGTCAGCAAGTGGTAGTTACCAATGGTGGATCACAACAACGCTGACTTGATTAATTGAGGTCTAGCTTTGTTTCTGCATCTCTGTTCGATAGTTTCCTCATCTGGTCCACACTCAGCTTCCCTAGGAAAATTTAAGGTCTAGCATCTTCTAAAATTCTCTAGCACCTCATTTGCATAAACCAAGTTTAAGAATTATTTGGGCAATGGGGGAAGACACAAAACGCTTCCTTATATTTCTACCTTAGTAGAACTGATGATGACAAACAGGAAAACAACCTTACTTATTTATTAATGCAGAACAAATAATCAAAACATTGAAAACCAACCTTACAGGAAGTTTACAAATGTAGAAAAGAAATAAAGAGTACTCTGGAAACATAGGAGGTGATGTCCTTGTTCCTTTGTCTGAAACAAAAATGTGCTGCCTGTCTGCAATTCCCTATTAGCAAACCATGTGGAGAGAGATGACCAGGTGAGTTCTGACTATTGACTTCCTCCCATTCCATTGAAAAGAAAAACATTTAGGTTTTTTTGTTGATATTCACGATTGGACTTTTTATGCACTTGAAACCTCCCCAAGGGGGTTAAAACCCCACCAACATTCCATGTCTAAAGCAAACATTTGTTCTTCTATGAAGGGCTCTCAGAGGCATGTTTATTGTCGAGGTCAATATCTCCTGCCCTGACTTTCCCTTGCCAAAACACGTTTCCAAAGCATCAGATCTGACACTTCGTTGTAGCATTTGCAGTGTGACAGTCCTGCTGCTTTCACCCATGGACAGCTAGCTTGCTAGTTTTATTTTGCACTTTGTCTTTTTTTTTCCAATCAATAAAGTTATATGAGTAGTGTTTAAGATGCTACAGTAGATACTGAGGCTGCCAGATAGTACATGCTAATTAATTTTTAATTATGGCTTTAATTTTATATGATGCCATTTAATTTTATTAGATGTATTAAAGTGAAGCTGTCAGATCACAGGATCTACTGCTTGGGCCAGGGTGAGAAATGTCCCAGGGGCTGCATGCAGGTGTGTGACATCATTAAGAATGTCGTAAGTGGGTGTCTGCTGCAATGTGCATATTATGCACATAAATGTCACATATGCCTGAGTGGATGAAGCGGCTTCCTCTCAGGCAACCTGTGAAGTTCTGGAACCACTTTGCTCAGTGCAGTTCAAAGACTGCCTGGGACACTGAGCTGCAAGCTGCAAGTTAGATCCTGTGTTGCCACCGACTGGCCTTGTGGCCTTGGTTAACCATGGTATTTTGCTTTCCTGAGCCTCAGATTCTCCATCAGTAAACTGATCACCTTATGCTTTTGCTTTTTGAAAAAAATAAAAAGCAATACACTAGCTATGATTGTTGGCATTAACCTCCCTGCCCCTAGAAATTGAAAGGAAAGAGGGAGGGAGGGAAAGAGGGAGAGAGGGAAGGAGGGAGGAAGGAAAGGAAGGGGAATGAGCTCTAAGGGCCGGTGTCGGTGGTTTGCTCCATCTCTTGGGATTCCCTCCCCTCGGCTTCCGTTTGCTTTATCTTCCAGCAGCCCAAATGCTGCCTTCAGGTTAGGGCCACTTTACCTTCAAGAGCAGAGGCTGGAAGTGTGTTTGTGCCACATCCACAAATTCCCAGGTGTAATTTATATAGCAGAGTCCTCCTCAGCATCAGGCTGCAGCTGTAACTTCTGAAGCACCATCTTTGCTGGGCTCCTCTTCTTTGAGTCCACTCCCCGACTTCCTATGGGGTCCCCCACAGCATATTTTCTTAGTAAATTCCCTGCATACAAATCCTTGACTCAATAAATGTGGAAAAGTGTGCCTAAGACAGGGAAAAAGAACTGGGAAGACAGATCAGGTCACAGGCCAAGAGAAACATTTTTTATCCAACCACAGCAGGAAAAGCAGAGACATTTTACACCAAGACTTCTTCATTAATTGACATGTTTGTGTGTGTGAGTGTGTAGATGTGCATGTGTGTGCTGAATGCTGAACACTGTTCTCTTATTGTAGCAGGCTTTAAAGCTCCCAACAAAGGAATCAAGAGGGATGGAATGGCATTGAGATAACATCCGACTGTCTGATGAAATGGTGCTGTCAGAGGGAATCTGTATTCCTGTGCAAGAACTGCTTGCCTGGATTTCCAGGACTGGCCACAAAAATGCTGCATGGAGTCAACCATTAATCAAACAGAAAGGACTCACCTGCATAGAAAATAGAATATGGAGCTTCCTATAGTGAAACATAAATCAATTGGTCAGAGCAATGGCATAAAATTGTATTGAATGTGCTTCAAAATGGCAGAGAAACGTGCAAGGTTACATACTATCTTAATTTCTACCTTGCTTCATTTCCATGAGGCAGAAGCAACACACTCTTCAGACGCATGGAATTTGGAAAGACTACTTTCAAGAGATCTTTGATAGTCCTCTGTGAGCATACTTATGTCTGCCTGAGAGACATCCATTCAAGGCTTGTTTTGCTGCCTTCTTTTTGCTGATCTCTTTTGATTCAGATGGATGATTCATGCTGTCTCCTCCAGGAAGTCCCTGATCTTCTGGATAGAATGAATGACTCTCCTGCCATGTGCCCTCCCACTTTGATTGCATTTTTCTGGAGGCACCCTGTCCTTACACTATTGACTGGGTACATGTGTGTCTCTTAAAATAAAACTCTTCTCAATTCATGCGTTCATTTAACTGACAGTTACCAAGGACACTGAATGGTAAACATGCAGACCCTTCATCCAGACACACTACTCTGTCAGCTGTGTGTCCACACACCTTCCAAGCATGGGGTTATCAGAGGTGAACAAGGCACTGAGGTTCCTGCCTGGGGAAACCTACTGAGGGGAGAAAGTCAGTAAATGAAATAATTCCTGTGGGTGATAAGAGCCACAACAGAAATGAAATAGTGATGTGATAGGAAGTGGCTATGAAGAATTTAACTGCTTGACAAGTTCTTCCTGCCCACTGCACCCACGAAACCATTCACCGAGACTGTGGTGTTGCAGTAAAGAAAGCTTAATAGACGTGAGGCCAGCCACACGGAAGAGGGAGTTATCACTTAAATCAGTCTCCCCGAAGGCTTGTGGAGGTTAGAGTTTCTCAAGGATAGTTCAGCGAGCAGGAGAGGGAAGGGGGAATGTTGGTTGGTTGGGAATGAAATCATAGGGGTTTGAAAAACAGTCCTCATGCACTGAGTTCTCCTATGGGTGGGGCCACAGGACCAGTTGAGTCATGAGTCGAGGGTCTAGGTGGAGTCAGTTGGTTGCCAAAACTACAAAAGTATGAAAACGCATCTCAAAAGGCCAAACTTGGGTCCTGCAATAGTGATGTTATCTACAGGAGCAACTGGGTAGGTCACAAATGTGACTTTGGAAACAATGGCTGGTTATTGTTTGACTATGCCTATGTCTTAGCAGAATTCAGTCCCTCATAATCCTAATCTTGTGGGCTTTTATTTTTTTAAAGGTGGCTTCGTTTTAAGAAAGGTTATTATCATCCTTGTTTTAAACTATCAACTACATTCTTTCCATGGTTAGCCTGGCCTATGCCCAGGAATGAGCGAGGACAGGCTGCAGATGAGAAGCAAGATGGAGTCAGCCATACTGTTTCTCTGATGGTCATATTCTTTGCAGAGGTGGTTACAGGAACTGGGGTTCAGGAACAGTTCAAGGAGGGGACATTTTAGCTGAGAATGAGGCAGCCATGAGAAGGGGGTGCAGGGGAGAGTGAGCCAGGGAGAGGGAAAAAGAATTGAAACTTCCTGGAACAGGGGAGGAACAGTATGGCTGAGGCCTGGGGGCAGGGTGAAAGTAACCAGGAAGTAAGGTCAGGAGGGTGGGCAGGGGTCAGCCTGGCAGGACCTTGTGTCCCTGGGGAGGAGCTTAGCTTGCTGGTGCCAAATGACCAGGCTGGACATCTTTTTTGTGTCCTTTGCATGATCTGTCCTTGAGAGATGACCAGAAAGGTGTGACCAAGTACCTGGATAGTTTCAAGTGCTGTAAGTTAACAGGTGAGGACAGATCAGAGCGTAGGCTACCCCTTCAAGCTGGCAACATTCCCTTGACTAAAGCTTTCAGCGGAGACCTATGATTTCCACAGTCAGAAGACACGCTAGACGAAGGGCGTCCATCCAGTCTCAGCCCAGAGTGTATAGCCTCCTCGCAAGGCTCTCACTCCAGGTCACACTCTCCAGACTCATATCCTAGCCTGAATTTTTTTTTTCCGTTGCTTCAACTCAGAAGTAGCGACTGCATCTTGCTGGCTCCTATGCCAGGTGTGCAGCAAACACTAAATCAGGAGGTGCAGACTCACATGCTGTGTGGGACCAGGTGAGTGGCATGGACGAGCAGGACCTGAGCATCTGGGAGGAAGACCCTGGCAGCAGGAGGAAGCTTGCCGACAACTCGGACATGTCAACCCAGCACTGGCAAAACTTCTGACTTCTCATAGAAGCTGGAAATCCATGTGATTACATAAGTTCCTTGGATTCGTAAATATTGATAATTAGTTCACATTCTTAACACTGTGTGTGTTGAATATGTCTATTTGCCAAATAGTAAGAAGAACAAACATAGTAGTAAGAAAGTGCCAGGCGTTCTTGGAAGCATTTCCACATATAGCAACCTAAATAACCCTGACAACTCTCCGAGGAGGCACCAAGAGTGCCTGGCACTTTTTAATAACTCTGTTTTCATGTTACTCTGCTGTTACTTAGGGCATAACATTTTCACTAGACTTTCTGGAGAATATAGTCAATTATGAATGCTCCAACGCTCTGCATCACTATCTAGACAAACTGAATGCCATTTCACATGTGCACTAGTCTGCATGGAGAAGTACTAAAATTTTAAGCTTGGACTTGTGTTCCTAATTTCCTATTTCTAGTGCATTAAGAGATGATGGGCATTTTAATTTTCCAAAAGCAATGCTAGTATTCAGCGGCAACATGCTACGTCTACCACACAGTACAGTGAATAGCAGAACTACAAAGGTGGGAGGTGTAAGTGAATTCCTATTGGACCTTCCCAATAAGTTGTCTTTTTTGTGCCCTGGGCACTTCTCTTGCCTCACCTTAGCATCTCCTCTTCTGTAGGAAACAACCCTGCAAGGTAGAAATGATTATGCTCATTTGCTGATGAGAGGATGAGCTTTGGAGAGTGGCTTAGCTCACCCAAAGACACAAAATTAGGTTCCCAGTCCTATGACCCTATCCACTGTACAACCCTTTTGAGATGTCTTTTTAGACGTTTGCAATTTTGGCAACCAACTGACCCTACCACCCACACCTCAGACTCATGACTCAGCTGGTCCTGTGGCCCCACCCAGAGGTGAACTCAGTGCATGAGGATTGTTTTTCACACCCCTATGATTTCATTTTCAACCAATCAACATTCCTCCTTCCCTCCTCTGCTCATCGAACTAGTCTTGAAAAACTCTAACCTCCACAAGCCTTCAGGGAGACTGATTTAAGTGATAACTCTCTCTTCCATGTGGCTGGCCTCATGTCTATTAAGCTGTTTTTACTGCAACACCATGGTCTTGGTGAATGGTTTCGTCAGTGCACTGGGCAGGAAAAACTTTTCAAGAAGTTGTCAAACTTAAATAGTAGCAAATGAGTGAATAAGGAAATTCCCTGCTGTCATACACATAACCTCCATAACATGTGACCTAGGACACATTTTCTAGATGGGGAAACTGAAGTACAGAGAGATTAAGGAATTTGCCTCAGCCATTCAGTGAGGCAGTGAGATCCTGGGATTTGAGGAAGCTATGTAGCTCTAGAAGCCTGCTCTTTGGGGCTAAACTGTCTGCAGGTTCAGTGTGGACAGCCTCTGCCTAGAGTGCATGGCACCCGTGTGGCAGGAAATCAGCCAAAAAACCAGAGCTGCATGAGCCTGGGCCAGAAGCCTCATGAGTGGAGAGGGGCCTTGGACACTCAGGTCTTCTCAGGGCCCAGAAAGACAGGTACATCACACAGGCTTCCCTGCCAGAGTCTGAACTCCTCAAAGCAAACACCTACTTTCTACAATTGCCAGGGCAGTGCCCCATTCACGTGGCATCTGTGCTGTTTCGGCAAGGCAACATGAGGCCATCATGAGCTCCATCATGCACCTGCAGAATGACCTTGGGTTGTACAGTGGTTAGGGACGTAGGGCTGGGAGGCTAACTCCAGGCTCTGCGACCTTTGTGTCCTTGGATAAACTAAGCCACTCTCCAAAGCTCATTTCCTCATTAGTAAATGAGTATAATCATATCTACCTTGCAGGGATGTTTTCTGGAAGGGGAGATGCTAAGGTGAGGCAAGAGAGGTGCCTGGGGCACAAAAACTGACAGTAGCCAGCCCTGCACTTGCAGGAGCCTAAGAGTGAGGGTCTCCTTACATTTCACACCCAGGGCAGCACTCTTGCCTTACCTCAGCAGGCCCTGAAAGTGGTGGATGATGCAGGTGGAGGGTACTTGGCATGGTGCATGGCGCACAATGGGAACCTGCAAAGGGCATTCCCAACCCCCTGGGAAGCCCTGAGCCTCCTGCCTCATGAACCAGGCCAGACCGTCATCAGGCACTGTGAGTGCCTGGAGTTGATGGCAGCCATGGCTCCTTTCACAGTGCGCTGCCGGCTCTGGGGATGCTGTTTGGCTGTGTCCTTCAGCCTGAAAAATAGCTCTGAGTGATAAGCCCTCCTGCCCGATTTCTTGCAGTTGACAAACAATGCTGCCTTGAAAACAGCTAATTTCGAAAGGAGAGAATTATACAGGGATGTGTTTCCTCCCTCAGAGCATTCTGGGAAAAGCCATGGCACCACTGCTTACCTAACAGGTTGAGGCAACAGGGAATACAGGTGGGGGGCTTGGGGGAATGGCTGTGATCAGTGCTGCCAATTCCCAGCTGCCGGGCTGCACTCCACCCCAAACTGCACACCCAGTACGTGGTGCTGTGCCCCAGAGAAAGTGCCCACATAACACCACAGACACCTTTCCCCATCCATTTGGCCCATATCTCTGGAGTGTGAGCTCTGCGTCAGGCAGTGGGCTAGGCGCAGAAACAGAATGGTACGGCCCTCGTCCCTGGGCAGCTCACAGACGAGACAGGCACTTAAATCAAGGCAGCACATGATTCACTGCTATGAGGGAGAGACAGACAGGTGCGTCACACAGGCTCTCCCCTGCAAGAGTCTAAACTCCTCAAAGCAAACACCTACTCTCTACATCTGTGCATGAGTAACGAGAGCTGAGGGCACAATAGACGGCCAACAAAAATCTGTCAATTAAAAATGCAGTGAGCAACAATGCAAGGGACTCCAAATTTAGAAACCACAATGCAAACAGTCACCAGATAAAGAATCATTTATAAAAAGAACCTTTACAAGTTTCAAGTACTTGAGATGTGGTCCCTGTAAATCCCCACCACCCTCACATGGTGTTTAAAAACAAAAGAGATACTGGTGGCATCCACAGCCTTCCAGAGCCTGGAAACTGGGAAATAAAGTTGCCCTTCCTGGTGGGGAGTCAAGGCCATGGTGAGATTTAGTGAAAATTCATACAAATTGTCTTGCTGTGAGACAAGGAATTAGCCCTTCTGGGGAGAGCTGTGCCTCCTTAAGGGCTTTAAAACAAAAACAAAAAACTGGGGTCAGAATAGTGGTAGCAACCAAGACACTCTGGAGGTGACTGTGGCTCCAAAGCACGGCGGGGAGACCAGCGGGTGGGGAATGACCTTCTGGCTGGGTTGGGTCCAAGCCTGCTTATTTCCTAGGACTCCGTGCAGGTCATTCCAGCTACGAGCTTTGGGCACATTTCCAAAGCTGATATCTTTGTGGCGGCTTGGGAAAGAGGCCAGGCTCTTGGGCCTCCTCTGCCAAAACAAGGTTGTAAAATGAGTCTGCTGGTTTCATACTGGGATGAGAAGAGGAGCGTGCAGGACGTAAAAAAAAAAAACAAAAAAAAATTAAAACTCTGAAGAACGTTGAAGAATTGAGCAATTACAAACATACGAATGGATGCATTAGGAATGACAGTCATAATTATTCCCTGAATTTATACAACCTAGACCACTTTGCATTTCACACATATTATCTCATTAATTCTCATTTTAATAGTTTAAAATTGAGTTTGTGTGCATGTGAGTTTTCCTGGAAGCTTCATAACCATGGTGGGTGATTTTCACAGGACCACGGAAGCCTTTGCAGAGGTTTTATAAAGATTAGTCCTAATTCATGAAGCAAACAAACATCACAGAGGGAAAAACATTAACCTACTGCTCCCTGTCCCCAGAAATCCATGTTGCCCCTCGGGGTTCCCGCAGGCTCTGCTTGGACTTGCCTTCCCCAAGACCCCAACTCCCATGCCAGGGCTGTGCATCTGCTTCTCACATCCTCAGGAACCCCAGCAAGACCCACGCCTTGTCATTTATTTCTGAGCCTCTGTGGCCTAGTCCAATGCTCGTTAAATCTACACATTAATAGGTAATAAGTGAGTGAACACAAATGTGATGAATGCTGTGGTGAGTGAACACTAATGTAATGAATGCTGTGGTATAAGTGAGTGGACACTAACATTGTGAATGCTGTGGTGTAACAAGAAATCTACTTGTGATCTTTTTCCAGTTCTTGTCTTAGAGCTCCTAAGACCCTTGAAAATTTCTGAGTGATAGGTGCATCTTTTCTTTTTCATAATCAGCCCCTTTCCATGACACCTGAATTTATGCTAATGAAGGACTTCTAGGGCCCCTAGATCTTCTCAGGATGGGGCTGGTCCCCAGATAGGCCAAATGAGTTGAACTCTCAGCCCCTTGAAGACCTCTGGGAAGGAGTAGGGGGCAGGCTGGAAACTAGGCTCTGTAAAAACTCTTCAGCAACAAGATTTGATGAACTTCTGGGTTGCTGAACCCTTGGAGGTGCTGAGAGGGGGGCACACCCAGAAAGGGCATGGAGGCTCCACCCCAAACCTTACCTTGTGACTCTCCTCCTCTGGCTGTCCATCTGTGTCCATGATGACATCCTTTATAATAAAATGGTAAACATGCTTCCGTGAGTTCTGTGAGCCATCCTAGCAAATTAAGCAAACCCAAGGGAGTGGTGGGAATCCCAACTTACAGCTGATGGGTCAGACGCATAGATGGCAACTTACTACTTGTAATTGGTATCTGAAGTGGGGGCAGCCTTCTGAGACTGAGCCCTTAGACTGTGGGATCTGAGTCTAACTCCAGGTAGAAGGAGTCAGCATAGAATTAAAATACAGGACACCCAGTTGGTGTCTGCTGGAGAATTGCTCGGTGTGTGGGAGGACACCCATGCATCTGGCCACCGAAGTGGTCTGCATTGAGTGTGAGAGTAGAGGAAAAGAGAACTTTGATTTTTCCTTGACAAATGCCCTTGCCATATTTTCTTCGTTAGGCAGTTTTTTTTACCTTTGAGGTGCTTAAGCCACACAGTCTCAGCTAGAATGTCTCCTGAGAGGACTAACCTTGTGTCACGCTTTCCCGTCTGGCTCTTTCTGCATTTGATAAAGTGACTGACGGATGCTAGGTGCTCAATAAACATCTGTTAAGTTAACTCTGACTTTCTCGTGGTTGGAACAGCTATCATCAGAGCACACCAAGAGACAGGTTTAGGAGCCTCCATCCTCTTGTATACGTAAGAGGATCTGAGTGGAGGTTCCCCAGAAGCAGATCTGGAGATGAAGATTTGAGGGCAAGTAGTTTATTTAGATGAAATTAGGAAGAAAAGGGAAAACCACCAGTCAGGTGCAGCTATGGAGCCAGCCACCACCATGGGCGGGTGGAGCTGAATCCCGTGGGGAACTCTGGGAGGGCACACAGAGTTTTCCCAGTTGACGGGCCAGCGAGCTGGGGTATTTCTCCACTGGCCCCTGTAGGTCATTTTTAGGCTACTCCTAAGGGTGCTGATTCTCAATCACTTCAAACCTGGTAGCATCCTAACAGCCAGAGAAAGGCTTCAGGCCAAAGAACGCAGGTCCTGGCTGTTGGAAGTCAGAGCAGAGAGCACCGGAATGAGGAGTCCTGTGGGAAGACGGGAGGACTCTGGTGGCATCTGCTACAACCACCCTTTAACTAGGACCCACGTGGTGCATGGGGCCCAGACCTTGACTGTGAGTCCAGGACTCCACCTCTGGGTAAGAGCTCTCAGGATTTTGCCTCTCTCTTTCCTGCCCCAGGACAAGCAGGGGACTCCTCATCTCTCTCTGGCTCCAGAGCTTCATGGCAGGAGTAAAAACTGTCTGCCAGGGCCCTGTGGTAGAAAGGGGAATACCAGCTCAGGATACAGGGGTCCTGCTTATGCCTTAGTCCTGCCTCTAATGAGCTGTATGGCTGGATCAATGGCTCACCCTCCCTGGGTAGAGACTGAAGGCAGTTGGTCTGGTTCATAAGAGCCCTTCCTTTTTGCCCTGGTCCTGGGCAGCAGACTGTATGGTTCCCCTCTCTGGATGGCCGTCTTTCTCCATAGATATTCTGTATTATCATTATTATTAATGAGGCAAGGTCTTGCTCTGTTGCTCAGGCTGGAGTGCAGTGGTGTGATCACTTGAGGTCAGGAGTTTGAGACCAGCCTGGCCAACATGGCAAAACCCCGTCTGTACTAAAAATGCAAAAATTAGCCAGGCATGGTGGCACATGCCTGTAGTCCCAGCTACTCGGGAGGCTGAGGCAGGAGAATGGCTTCATCCCAGGGGGCGGAGGTTGCAGTGAGCCAAGATTATGCCACTGCACTCCAGCCTGGGCAATAAAGTAAGACTCCGTTCAAAAGCAAATTACCCAGTCTCAGTTATTTCTTTATAGCAACAGGAGAACAAACTAATACCTTTAGGTTTTAAGATAAGCTGAAAATAAAATAACTCAAGTGGGATTCAAGGTGGTCTTTGGAAACTAAAGACAGAAATACCACTCGACCCAGCAATCCCGCCACTGGGTATATACCCAAAGGGAAATGATTCATTTTATCAAAAAGACACATGCATTCATGTGTTCACTGAAGCACTGTTCACAATAACAAAGACATGGAATCAATCTATGGTAAACTGGATAAAGACAGTGTGGGACATATATGCCGTGAAATACTATGCAGCCATAAAAAAGAATGAGATTATGTCCTCTGCTGTAACATGGATGGAGATGGATGCCATTATCCTAAGCGAATTAACACAGAAACAGAAAACCAAATATCACATATTTTCACTTATAAGTGGGAGCTAAACATTGGGCCCACATGGTCATAAAGATGAGAGCAACAGACACTGGGAACTACTAGATGGGGCAGGAAGAGAGGGGGCTGAAAAATCATCCACTGGGTACTATGCTCACTATGTGGGTGATGGGATCATTTGTGGCGCAAACCTCAGCATCGTGTAGTATACCCATGTAACAAACCTGCACCTGCGCCCCTTAATCTAAAATAAAAGTTGAAATTCTTTTTCTTAAATTAAAAATTAAATAAAATGGTCTTTGGCATTTGGGGCCTATTATATTAGTTTTTAATAATTTTTTTTTGTATCCCTAGTTTCTTAAACCAAAAAATAGAGATCTATGTGCTGGTTGCCAAAATACTGTTAAACACAAGGATAAACCAATTTAAAGGAACATTTAACCACTTAAAGCCAGAAACCGTCCTAGATTAAAACAGCAGGAGGAAGGGAAATCTGATCTGCATACTTAAGTGAGGGGCCTTGACCTGCCCTTTCTAAAGCACCACTTCCCCCTGTCCCCACCACACCTCACTCTCAGGGACTTTTTCCTACAATTATTTGGTGGCCTCCTCTCTCTTCATGAAATGCTCCCTCCCTTAATATCTCAGGTCCTGGCTCGGGTAACAGCTTGTCAGTGAAGCGTTTCCTGACAAGTGCATATAAAACACACACACACACACGCATGCACTCACAGGCGCTCACTCACACATGCACTCTCTCACACATACACACTCAACACACACAGATACATGCACACTCACACACACATACACACTCAACACAGTCATACACAGAAATGCACAAGCACACACACACGCACACTGTCTCTCTCTCTCACACACACACTTACACACGTGCACTGCGTTCCCTGCCTGCGTCATGGTTTTCCATGGTCTTTGTTTGGTTCCTCTCCCCGCAGGCTACACACTCCATATGGCCCAGTCTCAGGAATCCAGAACACTCCGGCACCCAAAGATGATCTTTATTATTGTTGCTGGAGAATGGGTGTCTCAAGCCAGGAGACGGGGACTCACTCTTTTCTCTATGGGGAACCCTGGAACCCTGGAAACACACCATTCTCTGTGAGGGGAGGTATGGGGACCTGCCCTTTTCTGTGAGGGGGACCCCAAGGACACGACCTCCTCTATGTAGGAAGCCCTGAGAACTCACTATTATCAGTGAGGGGAACCCTGGGGACAAGCCCTGTTCTGTGAGGTAAGACCTGTGGACCTGCTCTTTACTGTGAGGGGAACCACTGGGACCTGCCCTTCTCTGTGAAGGCAGTCTCAGAGACCCAAACTTTTCTGTGATGGGAGCCCTAGGGACCTGACCTCCTCCGTGAAGGAAGCCCTAAGGACACGCCCTTTACTGTGAGGGGAACCCTGGGGACCTGCCCTTCTCTGTGAGGGGAGCCCCCAGATCGGCCTTCTTTAGTAAGGGAAGCCCTAGGGATCCACCATCCTCTGTGAGGGGAATTGAAACCTGCCCTCATCTGTGAGGGAAACTCTGAGGACCTGCCCTCCTCTATCAGGGGAGCCCTGAGGACCCACGCTTTTGTCTAAGGGGAACCCCAAAGACTCGACCTCTTCTGTGAAGAAAGGATCCACCATTTTCAGTGAGGGGAACCCTGGAGACCAGCCCTCTTCTGTGAGGAAGGACCTGGGGACCCACCCTTTACTGGGAAAAGAACCCTGAGGACCCACCTGCCTCTGTCAGGGGAGCCCTGGGGACCTGCTCTACGTTGTGAGTGGAACCCTGAGAACCCACCCTCCTCTGTGATGGGAGCCGTGGGGACCCACCAGTTTCTGTGAGGGGAACCCCAAGGACCTGACCTCCTCTGTGAAGAATCCCTAAGGACCCACCATTTTCTGTGAGAGGGACCCCAGGGACAAGCTCTCTTTTGTGAGGAAAGACCTGGAGACCCACCCTTTTCTCTGAGGGAAACCCTGGGGACCCTCCCTGCTTGTGTGAGGAACCCCAGAAGTTCACCCTCCTCTGTGAGGGGAGCCCTGGGTACCCGCCCTTCTCTGTCAGGGGCTCCTAGGGACCTGCTGTCCTCTGTGAGGGAAACCCCAGGACCTGTCCTTTTCTGTTAAGGGAACCCCGAGGACCCACCTTTTCTGTGAAGGGAACCCCGAGGACCCGCCCTCCTCTGTGAGGGGAGCCCCGATGACCCGCCCTTTTCTGTGAAGGGAACTTGGGAACACGCCCTCATCTGTGATTGCCTCTGCCTGGCAATGAGCTTCTATAGAAGGGCAACTCCTCTTTGCCCTTCCTCATGACGTGGCCCTCCTGGTGAGGAGCCTTTTTTAGGATTTACCCTGGTCTTCTGCATGGCCCTTTCTATCTTGTCCTTCCCCTGGGCAGCCCCTCCTCAGTGACTCGATGTCCCCCTTGAACTTTCCTGTCAGAGTCTGCAGGGGTCACAGAAGGGGTGGACGCTATCCTGCCTAAGGCCAGGACCATGACCCTCGAGTCCAGGAGTCTTACGGCTGACAGTGGGGTCAAGCAGGGGAGGCGGGGGAGCACCTGAGGCTTGGACCTTCCCTTCATGGAGTTGTTAAAACTGCATGGGGACTTCAGGTGACAAATCCAGGAAGCAGCAACCGTCATTCAGAGCCAGCAGTTGGCACGCTAAAGAAATCTAAAGAAATCCTGGGGTCTCTGGGTGGTCTGGTATGGATTACCTCTGAAGCCCCGCTCTTTCTGTGTTGGTCCTGTTTAAACCTCCACACTGAAACTCGTTTTTGCTCTGACCATTATCAATATGGAACACAGGTGTGGGCTGAGCTGGGCGGGTTGATGAGAGCTGAGGGGAGGACATGCTGACATTAGAAAAGTCTCTGAGATTAGAACAAGCCCCTGGTCCACCAGGAAAGGAAACAGCAATGCCAGAAAGGCAGGAGAATCTGGATTCGGAGAGGACCTATGTCAGTTTCTAGATCTGGATTTGGGGAGGACCTATGCCAATTTCCAGGTGGACATAATGAAAACTGCAGGGTCCGCTTCTACATCCCTGGTGTTGGATCTCCACAAAACCTAGAACAGTGGCCTGGAACACTGGGATGGTTGTAGTCCCTCAGAGTTTAGGCTGGCCGGAACTGCACACACAAAATTGTCAATCGTCACTCCCAACTCAGGACTGGCAGGCACAACAGTCTCCATTGCCCAGGACAGTGCAGACACCACAGTCCCACACAGCCCAGGACAGTGCATACGCCACAGTTCCCCATGGCCCAGGACGGTGCCGACACCACAGTCCCACGAGGCCCAGGACGGTGCGGATGCCACAGTCCCACACGGCCCAGATGGTGCACACATACCCTTCCCTTATTCTCCAGGAATGGGCAGACCCCACAGCACCTCACAGTCCAGGCCTATGCACACGCTACATTCCCCACAGCCCAGGTCTGTGCAGATGCTGCCTCCCCTCATAGCTAGGACCAGGCAGACGTGGGAGTACCTCGCACTTTATGAGTGGGCAGACATTGTAGTGTCTTCCAACTCAAGACTAGGGCCAGAGGGATAAGGAAGTGGCTGAAAGAGGCCTTGTGATCAGAACTGCGAGCATTCAGAGTGTGTACATAATGGCTGAAGATCAGTCAGAACCCCGTAGCTCTGCAGATGTCAGTGTGGACAGAGGATGCCCAAAGGATAAATTTTTTTCTTCCCAAGACTAATATTTAAAAGTCACATGAGTCTTGCAAAATTAAATAACACTCTAGGAAAAATTTCTGGATTCATTGTATCTGGAATTAATTATGATGATCATTTTTGCAAAGATTGTTATAGAAAAAATAGATTTTTATCCTTGTGCACATTTGGATTTTAAGAAATTAGAAGAGCCAGTCTTCAACATCGTCCTGGGCTCCATAATCCCCTTGCATCCATGTTGGAAGTTCCCACTGGGAGCACACGGGGAAGGGTGCCCTGAATGTGCCTTTCTGCCACCTGCTCTGGGGACTGTCCCCATTGCCAGGGAACTTTGGGTTCTTTACCCCTCCATAGGCAAAGGAGAACCTTACACAGAAATCAGCCTTCTGTCCTCACACAGTAGCCTCATCACAGGGCTTCCAGGGGCCCTCAGGCAGGTGGGTGCTGAAGTTTCCCCCTAGATGATCAGCAGCCTGCTTCCACCCGAAATCCAGTCCCCCTGGCTGCCTGTGACAAGAGAGCCCTTCATGCTGAGTGCTGCTCTCATCGCACCTTTTTCTCTCCGTGTTTAGACAGAGAGAGTGGATTCATGTTTGATTAAACAGTGTGGGCCCAGGAAAATCAATTAGCAAGCAAAGTGATCCACAGTAATCAGGATCAGTGCCATCTACTAAGCTCCCACGATGTGCGAGGTCCCATATAAGGGCCTCACTGTATCATCTCCCTTAATCTTAATGAGATGAGATAGATAGTATTATCTTTCTCACTTTACCAATGAGTGAGAGGGCAGAGAGAGGTTAATGCAGAATTGCTAAGTATCTGATCAGGATTTGAAAGCAGGGGTTTGCAATTCTGTAGACCTTGCACTACACTTGTGGGGCAGAGCCAGGCATCCCTCACATCTTGGTGACCTCAGGGAGTTGCCAGGATTGGAGTCCAAGACCCACCCTTGTTGGGGTTGGGGGGCAGCTTGTGAGCAGCCTGGAATGAGCCCCATGATTGATCGCTGCACCTTCCTTCCCACAAGTGGGTAATTTGGTCTCCTTCTTTGTTGCAGTTTTTGCTTTTGTTTTTTAATTTGAAATAACACCATCCAGTTGGCAAAGCCTGTGGGGAGAACCATTTTATTACTTTTTCTAAATATAACGGGAAAAAGTTGCTGACCCAGAGCTCTGTGGCAGGAACAAATTGTGCAAGTTC
Source organism: Homo sapiens (assembly GCF_000001405.40). Classification (NCBI taxonomy): domain Eukaryota; kingdom Metazoa; phylum Chordata; class Mammalia; order Primates; family Hominidae; genus Homo; species Homo sapiens. Next base: position 28,873,129 of record NC_000019.10, read on the forward strand.
TGTTAAGAAGAGGATAGATGTGCACCTGGGACTGCAGAGAGGGGCTCCCAGGATGGGCTTCTGCCAGAGGCTGATGTCCACATTGTGTTCTCTTCCAACGCAATCATCACGTTAGACGAAGCATGAGAATTTTTCATCAGCTGTGTTTAAACTTGATGATGCTACTTGCAAAGGAGGGGCTTTGAGTCCCAACTCAAGTCATACTTCCTCTGGGAAGCATTCCTGGAGTTTCATCTGCCCAAGCACCAGCATTCTGCATTCAGAGGTTCAGTATACACTGTCTCACACTGGCGCTGTCTTTAGTATCTAACTGTCTCTCCAGGTTGTTTTCCTGGGAGGCAGAAACTGGCTCTCACCTTCTTTTGCCCACACTGTCAGCACCTAGAAGTGCCTGGCATGTTTCAGCCCTCAGCAGTCACTTGTTTGGTAACAGTCACCTGAATGTCAAATCTTGCTCTGTAAATGAGAACAGTAATACATATACACCCTTTAGGGCTGTTGGGAGGACGAGGGACAAAGCATAAAAAGCATTTATCACTTTGCCTGTATGTAGTAGGCAATTAATTAGTGTTGACTATTATAATGTGTTTCAGAAATGAATAGCTGCAAACAGAGCTCAAGTTGTCATCCCTGTGGGAGTGGGATTATGTCTCCTGGAACTCTATGGAGGTCAGTCTCCTGTGTCATCATTTAACTTTCTTATCGATCTGAATCCACCCGCCGATGAGACCTTCTGGTGATGCTGCCCTGGAAGGTGTAATTAAAATTAAAGCAAAACCAAAGAAATACATTAGAAAGGAGAGAAGCAAGGGCTGGGAGTGACAGGGAGGCAGGTTGGAAATGCAAACGAGGCTGTGCTAAAATAGTCTCCACGGCTGGGAGAAGGAAGAAACCATCCAGAATCTAAGGGTTTTCTAAGAAACGGTAATGGCAATGAGGAGGGCCGCTGGGGAGGACTCACAGATCTAGGTGAACCAGGTCTGTCGGGAGCATTTGCCGTGTCTAGTGGCCCAACTCACTCATAGTATAGAAGGCAGGAGGGGGTGGAAGAGATGGAGGGGATGGCAGGAGATCCCAGAAGAGGTGAGTGTGTTGTGTTTTTCTATCTTCAAGGTCAAACATATGGTCTCCCAGAAAACCAACACCAACTCCAAGCTTAGTCCACACGCTCCAGGTAGGCTCTGGGGCCCTCTGGTTCAAGGCGCCTGGAGCAATCAGCCCTTCAGATACCCCTGGAGATGGTGATTACTTCATGGCACATCTTGTAACCCAAGCCGGTCCCATGAGAATGTCCCCAGGATGAGCACAGGTGCTACTGAGAGCAATGACTTTTTCCCAGTGGACTGGATGCTGGGGGGATGGGGAGATGGTGCCTTTTTAAATCCTTTATCCAAAAGCTGAAGCCCGAGACCTAGGCTGGGAAGCCGGGTCAAGAGATAGACATGAAGCTCCAGTGACTTTTTTTTCTGAGTCCCTGGATCAAACCACACCTGAAAGTCACATATGTGTTTGGTTTTCTAGTTTTATGAAGCAGTAAATCTGCTTTGTTCTTGACCAGTTTGTGGTGAATTTACTTTGGACACTAAGCGTTCTGAGGCCCCAGGCCCCAGGAGGGATACAGTAGATTGGTTCACCCGACATCTGTTCTAGTCCTTTCTAGTGGGTGTTCCTTTACTGCAGGGGTGGGGGAAGCAAAACTCCAACTCCAAGGCCCCTCCCAGCTAGGGCTCTGTATCTGATTGAGGTTCCACCAACCAGGTGTCCTATGAGACTTGACTTGCGGCCAAGTTGCATGAAAGAGGGGAGGCAGCCGTTTCGCTGGTGTGTTTGCAGCAGGTGCAGAGGCGCTGCTTGATCCCCGTATCACTGCCAAGCTGGTGGAACCTGGAGCTAGTGCTTAGGATAAGACATGACGATTCACCTCCTGTGTGATTATAGCAAAAGCAGCATGCAGTTTTCCGGATGGGCCAGTTCTGCGGTGAGGTCCTGGGTCCCAGTCCTACAGAGCCTGCCCCTGCAGGCCTTCCAGGGGTTTTGGAAGCGCCTCATTTCCAGTATTCGCCCCCTTTTCTTGAAATAGCTGGAGTGGTTTCTGATTCCTGCATCAGTATCCTGACTGATACAGCAGCAATTCTGCCTTTGGACACGGTGTTTGCTTTCCGTAGTCAGGCGTTAGCACGTCAGGCTCCCCCGACCTTGGGCGTCTTACTGCCTCCAGGTGGCAGGAGGCTAGTGACTGCTCCCTGAACCCCCAGAAGTATAGATGGACCATATTTGTGATGTGGTTCCCAGCTGACCCAGATTTGGAGTGGAGGAAGGAGAGATGAGGAATGGAGGTGGGTGCAAAAGGATAAATTGACTGAACTTGAAAAGAGAAAATGCTGCCATTAGCATGGGCCATTCTCCCCGTGTGCCTCCTCGGGGTTTGTGAAGAACAGGAATTAAGTCGTTCTGAGCAGCCTCCACAGAGTTATCCTAAAGGCAGATATACCCGGGGTTCTTTGGCCATGGTGCATGCCTGTCCCACTCCAGAGGAGGAAGACAGCAGGCTGGAGGTGGGTTTGGGTTGTTTCTCAGGAATCACAATTTGGGATCCCTGGTACAAAGCCAACTTCCTTACGATTTCACACTGAGTGATTGGCACCACCCATGCCCATATCAAACAGCTAAAAACACAGCCCCAGGTATGTTCCAGCTTTCTGGGTCTTCTCAGATATATGGGTTGTTCCTGAGATCAAGGACAGGGCACTGTGTTCTCTCAGTGTAGTTGGGCCCCTATATTTGACACTTCTTTTACATTTGATTTCAAGCTCCAAATAAAATCCCCTACATATAAAGGTTCTGCAGATTCACTGACTGGATGCCCTCTTGACTTCCTGCTAGCGTGCCTTACTGTACAGTAGGACAATGGTCTCTGAGAGTGGGCTTTGAAACAGCAGGCTCAGCATCACCACGGAACTTGTTAAAAATGCAAATATAGGCTGGGCGCGGTGGCTCACACCTGTAATCCCAGCACTTTGGGAGGCTGAGGTGGGCAGATCACAAGGTCAGGAGATCGAGACCATCCTCACTAACATGGTGAAACTCCATCTCTACTAAAAATACAAAAAAAATTAGGCAGGCATGGTGGTGAGCACCTGTAGTCCCAGCTACTTGGGAGGCTGAGGCAGGAGACTGGCGTGAACCCGGGAGGCAGAGCTTGCAGTGAGCCAAGATTGCACCACTGCACTCCAGCCTGGCTGACAGAGCAAGACTCCGTCTCAAAAAATAAAATAAAATAAAATAAAAATAAATAAATAAATAAGCAAACATATGGCCAGGTGTGGTGGCTTATTCCTGTAATCCCAGCACTTTGGAAGGTCGAGGCAGGTGGGCCATTTGAGGCCAGAAGTTTGAGACCAGCCTGGGCAACATGGAAAATTCCCATCTCTACACAAAAATTTAAAAATAAGCCGGGTGTGGTGGTGGGCACCTGCAGTCCCAACTCCTCGGGAGAATCACTTGAGCCTGGGAGGCAGAGGTTGCAGTGAGCCGAGATCATGCCACTGCACTCTAGCCTGGGTGACAAAGTGAGACCTTGTCTCAAAAAAAAAAAAAAAAGAAAAGAAAAGAACACAAGCCTCACCCCAAACCTTATGAAATGTTAGCTTTCTCACAGGGTTATTGCAGTGATTAAATTGAAACAAGATGTGTAACACATCTAGCCAAGAATCTGCAGTTACAGGGCTGACACTCTTTGGGTCTGTGTGTAAGGGTGCATGTGTGTGTGTATGTACGTGTGTGTGTGCATGTATTTGCACACGTGGGTTAGTGTCTGTGTGTGTGTATGTGTGTGCATGCGTGTGTATTTGTGTGTGCACTTATGTATGTGTGTGTATTTAGGTCACTGCGCACACCCTCAGCTCTGTCTGCGATGGCTCTCTTTGTCCATGATGGACCTGTATTCATCTTTCAGAGTTTTACTCAAGCATCCTTTGGTCTATTTGCCTGTGAGCTCTTGTCTTGTCTTACTCCCCCCGCTTGTACTAGCCCCTCTCCCAGAGCTTCCTCCCTATCCACATTCCTTGTTTGCATGAGTAGAGTAATCCCTGTGGCTAGTCTGGGACCCATTCACCCTTCTCCTGCTCATGGCATCCTGGTTTTATTTTGGGAAATTTTGTGCCACCCAGTCCTAATCCGTGTGGTGTGGTGGGATTGATCCTACAGCATATTGTCTGGGCTGACCAATCTTATTCTACTTCAAGGCCACAGTGATTGATTCACAAGTGAGCACGGGACATACGTGGGTCCAAGGCGGGTAGGTCTCTAGATCTGGGCTTGAAATATTGGCCCATTTTTGGTTGGGATGGGAGAAATCCTGCCCAAGCACAAAGCCAACTTTGAGTAAAGCAGAAGGAGGCAATGGAGACCAACTCCCGGCTCTGAATGCCTGAATCTGTCAGTGACCACCTTTTAGACCCTGTGAGTGTGTAGCTGTGTGAATTAACCAAGACCTCTTTTTGTAAATTTTAGGGGATTTTGTTCTTGTGTTGTTTTCCCAAGTCACTGTGATTGTGGTTTTTTCCCCTTGAAAAAGAACGAGTTGGGTTTCGTGACCCTGTTAAGGGACCTGGTCTTACAAATGCCTGGTTCCTGCAAAGTCCTCGGTCTATGGTAGACCCCCAGGAAGTGCTGAATGATGGAATGAATGTCTACCAAAAGAGAAGGGCTGAGATCTTTTCCTTCAGCCTTTTCTTCACCTCTTCAGCATGCATTCATGCGGCACTGCCCATGCTCCAGGCTTCTCTCCACTGTGCAATTTGCCTGGCTGACAAATTCCCCTGACCACCTCAACCTGCACAGTATCTGTGAGATCTCAGGGGATGAGCAGAAATGTCTGCACCCAAAGGCCAAGTAAGGCCCCTCCACAACCCTCTGGGCTGAAAGTTGTTGAGTTCAGATGGCTGTGCCATGCAGCTGTCTGCTAACCATGCCCCATAGAGTGGAGCAGACACTTGTAAAAACGTCCCTCTGAAACTGGCTCTGTATGGCCCCAGCAGGAATTAATTTGCTATTGTAAATGAGATTAACCAGCCTGTCTTCCAAAACTCATTTGTCCATCAGATGGTGAGGTGACTGGTGGCCAACCTACTGGGGGATGTTTTGGAGAGGGGGGAGCTCTCCACAGAAAACGGCCTTCTCTGCCCTTAACTTCTTTTTGAATTAGGATTCCTCTTCCACACAGCAAATGTTGGCTCAAGCTTTTGGGCAGCTGCAGGACTGCAGTTAGTTAGGGGTAGGAGGCCCACCTGGGATGGGCTTCTGGCAGCTCTCTGAAGGGTGGAGAACATGACCTGGATGTTCCTGCCTGAGGAAGGAACCATGGCCACAGACTGGGCCCTTTTTCCTGCTGCTGGTCAGGGGACTTAGAAGCCCTCCCCGAGTCTCTGGAAATCTTGGATCTGAACTCCAGGCTCTGGGCTTCTAAGCCGTGCCTCCCGCTCCCCTGTCACCTGGTGAGGAATATGGGATGAGGGAGAAGACAGGGTGAGGCTGGCACAACGGGGAGAGGGTCGGAGGAAAGGATGCCAGTGATGTGCTTCAGACCTTTTCTAAAACCACAGGTTGAATTGTTGATTTCTGGTCAGGTGTGGTGGCTCAAGTCTATAATTCTAGCATTTTGATAGGCCAAGGAGGGAGGATCACTTGAAATCAAGAGTTTGAGACCAACCTAGGCAACATGGTGAGACCCAATCTCTATTTAACAATAAAAATAAAAATAAAAAACTAAAGTGTTAATTTCCAAAGCCATGTGTCTGTCTCCTTAGAAAACCTCTCAAACTCACTGGAGCAAACAGCACCTGTAGACTCAGCGCGGGAGCGCCTCTTCCCTCTACAGCTCCACAGACATCACTGCACTCCCAGCAGCACAGGCAGGAGCCTGCACCAGGAAAAGCTCAGGGATGTGCTGGCCCACTCCTCTCCTCTGACCCTTGAGGACCCAGGTCTAGGGGGGATTAAGAAATATGCCATAGGAAAAATAAATGCAAGAGCTGAATGGAACTAGAATCTCTGTCGCTGGACTCCTAGCTCAGTCCCTTTCAAGCTGTTATTTAGGATTATCATCGGACTGCCCTGGGCCTCCAATTTTCAGGAGTTTTTCACCCCACCCAGAGTTTTAAGGCACTCATTGTGAATTACACAAATCATGGATGTAGCCCTGCTAGCGCTAAGCAATAAGTTGTCCTGCATCGCCCCCTGGTGGGCTTTTGAGCTATAGTCATATTAAATATATTAAATTTCTAGGAAGGACTGAAGTGGCTGGACCCTACCTCTGTGATACCTTAATTCCTCCAAGACTGTAAGACGGTCGGCTCCATCCACGCACTCCCTCTCTCCCACCTGTGTGGAGCGCCCTTCTCTTTTCTCAAACTGGATTTGATTATTATCCCAATCCTAGTTGCCTTTCTCAGGCACTCAGTTCTCTTTCACTGAAGCTCTCAGCAGAGTGTGGATCTAGGTGCACTGTGCTTCTATTGGTTTCCACCTTAGCTGGGCTGCCTTCTGGAAACAAGAACTTGGCTGTTTTAAAAAAATACATATATATATATATATATATATATATATATATATATATACACACACACATACACACATATACATATACATACATACATATATATATACATATATATATACATATACATACATACACACACATATATACAAGCATGCGGTGTATAATAATCCCATCAGGGTAAGTGGGGTGTCCATCACCTCAAGCATTTACCTTTCATTGTGTTATAAGCAAAATACTCTTAGTTATTTTGAAATGTACAATAAATGATTGTTAACTGTAGTCACCCTGTTGTGCTATCAAATACTAGATTTTATTCCTTCTATGTTTTTATACCCATTAACCATGCACACTCTCCCCTCCCCCAACCCTTCCCAGCCCCTGTAACCATCCTTCTGCTCTCTATCTCTGTGAATTCAATTGTTTTACATTTTTAGCCCCAACAAATAAGTGAGAGCAGGCAAAGTTTATCTTTCTGTGCCTGGCTTATTTCACTCAACATAATGACCTCCAGTTCCATCCATGTGGTTGCAAATGACAGAATCTCATTCTTTTTAATGGCTGAGTAGTAAGCACTCCATTGTGTACATGGACCACATGTTTTTTATCCATTCATCTGTTGGTGGACAGGTTGTTTCCAAGTCTGGGCTATTGTGAACAGTGCTGCAATAAAAATAGGAGTGCAGAGATCTCATCAATAGCCTGATTTTCTTTCTTTGGGGTCTATGCCCAGCAGTGGGATTGCTGGATCACATGGTAGCTCTATTTTTAGCTTTTTGAGGAACCTCCAAACTGTTCTCCATACTGGTTGTAAGTTTGTTGTTTTAACCTTATCACTGGATACTTAGCACTGGGCACAGTGCTAGGGCGTAGATAAGACACTCAAATATTTCTTCAAGGGAGGGAGCAAGGAAGACAAGGAGGCCAGAACACTTGCCTTGGACATCCTTGAACCCTCACCACACATGATGTACAGCCTGGAAGAATAGCATTAAATCATGGATGGACAAGCAGATGGATGAAGAAATGACTTTCTCCTGGGGCTCCCTCCTGTCAAACTCCCACTTCTAATCTCCAGTGGCACAGGCCCCTGTCCTGCCCTAGCGCCTGTCCAGGTCTAAAGTGGCAATCCTGGGACCCCATTGCCTGCAGTTTCCTGATGTGTTTTTTGCATATATTTTTAAAGACAACGGAACCCAGAGATTGGGTATCCTATTTTTTGGTTTAAAACTGTCAGAGATGTTTGAACCAGAGTGACTCCATCTTGAATAGGGGCTGGATAAAAATGGAAACTGAGATCCGCTGGCCTGTTCCCGGGAGGTCAGGCATTCTTAGCCACATGAGGTTTATGGTTAAAGGAATAGTTGAATTCATGTTGACCAAACAGACCCAAGACTTAACCGACCCAGGAAATGTCCTAATGTCCCGATATCTTAAGAACAAAAGCATTCTTAGTTTAAGAATAAGTTTCGCTTTAAAGATGCAGATTCTTGTGAAGATGGTAGTTACACAAAGATTAGCACTCCTTTGACACAGCCCTGGTAGTGGAGCACATCCCCCACAGCTTTTGCTTTGTTATTCTATATATAATCAAGCATTTCAGCTAAGATGGATGCGTTCCTCCTCTTGCCTTTGGGAGCGCCCTGCTGTGTCTACGAAGTAGCCCTTGCTTTATTCCTATACTTTCTTAATAAACTGGCTTTTGCTTTACTCTGTGGACTTGCCCCCATTTTTTTCTTGTGCAAGATCCAAGAGCCCTCTCTTGGGGTCTGGATTGAAACCCCTTTCCAGTAACAAAACCACAGTGGCCCTGATTTTCTTAGAGAGAGTTCCTGAGAGTTCATAAGAAAAGATTTGAGTTCTGATTGTATCCAGATCAACCAGCCTGACCTGGACATGTTGACAATTGTCGGTGCCATTACAGGAAAGTCTCCATCCAGGAGAGGTGGGGGACAGGGCCGGTGCCCATTTGCCTTCTAAGCAAATGCGTCAGAGACTGTTCTAATAGGGAAAGAAAGTATAACTAATGAAATTAAATTCAGGGAAAGAAGATGAGCTCTACTAATGATTAATGTTCAACTTAATAGATCAGCAAGACATGCTGAGTTGAGAAGCTGCCCAGAGGGTTCCAGCCCACTGCCCAAGCACAGGAGGAACAATGAGAGGAGCGACTTCCGCTCCCCGCACCCGCGGCTTGTCTCTGGGGAAACACAGTTATTAATTGCTCTAAAATGTCAGTCACTTTGCTTCAAAGTAGCCACTTCCCCGGCTGCTTTCTGATCTCCCCCTTGAAAATGACTTCCAGTGTGGACATTGACTCTAGCTTGTGTTTAAAACAGAATTTGGGGCTGGGCTTAGTGGCTTATGCCTGTAATCCCAGCACTTTGGAAGGCCAAGGTGGCCGGGTCACCTGAGGTCAGGAGTTCGAGACCAGCCTGGCCAACATGGTAAAACCTCATCTCTACTAAAAATACAAAAATTAGCTGGACATGGTAGTAAGCACCTGTAATCCCAGCTACTCAGGAGGCTGAGGCAGAAGAATCGGTTGAACCCAGCAGGTGGAGGTGGCAATGAACCAAGATCACGCCACTGCACTCCAGCCTGGGTGACAGAGCGAGACTCTGTCTCAAGAAACGAATTTGGGGGCTACCTAACCTATCAATGCACTAGGCTTTTACATCTTTTTTTCTTTTAAAGACAAGAGTCCCACTCTGTGGCCCAGACTGGAGTGCAGTGGTGCAATCATGACTCACCACAGCCTCCATTTCTTGGACTCAAGTGATCCTCCTGCCTCAGCCTCCCAAGTAGCTGGGACCACAGGCCCAACACCATGCCTACCTGAAACAAGCTTTTTACAAAGTGACAAATCAGCTCAGTTCAATACATGTGGGTGGGATCCTGCTGTTCTGCTGCCCTGCCCCTGTGGCTGCAACCTCAGAAGGCAAATACCCACAGGGAACAGACGCGCCCAGAACAGTGTGAGGCAGGGTCCGCGGGGGCTTCCAAAGAAGAAGACAGAGAGCTAGAAGGGGCCTCAGCTGAGGCAGTGCCCGTGGGCCAATGGTGGCCGCACTGTCTTCCTGGAGGGACAGGCCCTGGGCTCAGAGCAATGTGCCAGCTGGGGCTGGGATTTTCTACTCTCTCTTTTCCAGGCACCAGTGGCAGATAGGAAAGGACCACTCCCCCAGGGTTCCCCTTTGGGACACATGGCCTCCTTCCCTCTCCATCCCTTCCTCCTGGGGTTTCATGGAGCCCCGACTGTGTGCTGGGCCCTGCGGCAGCTAAGGTCACCAGGCTCCAGGCCCTGCTCTTGCAAGAGATCCAGACAAGCTGCCTGGGAAGTGAACAGTGGGAAGCCACACACCAGGAGAACTGGAGCAGGCAGGCGTCACGGTGCGGTGTGGGGAGGGGTGGACATCTGTATGACAACAAAATCCTCCCTCTGTTTTGAATCTCGCTGTATTGAACTCTGCAGTCTTTAAAATAATGTAATCTCTAGGACTCTGCAGCTTCCCAAATCCTATTGACCTGTGATTTGGATAAGAACTGATCTCATTTGTGTCTGAATGAATGAATGTTGTCTGTGCAAGCAGCTGACTTCAGGGCTAGGCTGGTCTCCAGCATCATAAGAGCAAAGGCATGCTTTGTGGTTACAGATTGGCACTGGAGCGGCCCTCCCTCCCTCTCTTTTGGGGACCTCGAGGGTCCAGGGGCGAGGGGAGCCGTGCCAGCAGCCTGCCTCAGTGTGTGTTCTCTGAGCACCTCGTGACCTTGCTGGGAGTGTGTCTGATCAGCCGCTTCCCTTGTGACCAAATATTTGGTCATGGCAGCAGGAGAGAATTCCATCAGTGGACAGCTCTATTTTTAAGGCTCTGGCTTTGTTTTCTCTTTCCTGAGAGGCAGTCCCTGCAGCAGGCTTGAGCCTCTCTCACTGACAGCCTGCCTCGCATAATGTTAAGCAGGCATCGGACACTTGCTGGAAGGCAGGGAATTGCAATGAAAGAGCACGGAGGTGAGAAGCTGTGCTCCTTGGGGTGAAGGCAGCTTCTGTGCTCCTGGGATCTACTGTTAAGCCAGGGTGACGCCAGCTTGCATGCTACCGGAGGGGTAAGTGTGTGTGTTTGCGTGTGTGTGCACGCATATTCTAAGATGACAGCATCCTGTCTGCCTATCACTGCCTGAAGCACCCCTTTCTCCAACCCCACTAATCAGCTCATTCGCTCACCTTCCCCTATGAATGTATCTCTTTGCCCACCCCTTTGCCTGGGACAACCTGTCAATTTCCAGCCCTCCTCTCTTTCCTTCTCTTTTCTGCAAAACCTCGTGGGATGCCACATGAGTCTGTTTTGTGTTGCCATAAAGAAATATCTGAGACTGGGCAATTTATCAAAAAAATGTATAATTGGCCATGGTTCTGCAGGGTGTACAGTAAGCGTGGTGCCCTCATCTGCTTCTGGGGAGGCCTCAGGAAGCTTTTACTCATGGCAGAAGGGAAGTAAAGCCGGCATCTCACAGAGCGAAACAGGGAGCAAGAGAGGTGCCTGGCTCTTTTATTTTATTATTTATTGTATTTTTTGTGTGATTATTTTTAACTTTTATTTTAGGATCAAGGGCACATGTGCAAGTTAGTTATATAGGTAAACTGTGTGTCATGGAGGTTCGATGTACAGATTATTTCAGATAATGGGCATAGTACTCTGTAGACATTTTTCCTGATCCTCTCTCTCCTCCCACCTTCCACCCTCAAGCAGGCCTCGGTGTCTGTTGTTCCCCTCTTTGTGCCCATTGGTTCTTATCATTTAGCTCCCATTTATAAAGAAGAACATGCGGGACTTGGTTTTCTATTTCTGCATTAATTCACATTGGATAAAGGCCTCCAGCTCCATCCATGTTCCTGCAAAAGACATGATCTCATTTTTTATGGCTGCATAATATTCTATGGTGCATATGTACCACATTTTCTTTATTCAGTCTACTGTTGATGGGCACCTGGGTTGATTCCATGTCTTTGCTGTTGTGAATAGTGCTGCAGTGAACATATGTGTGCATTTGTCTTTATGGTAGAGTGATTTATTTTCCTTTGGGAATTACCCAGTAATGGGATTTCTGGGTCAAATGGTAATTCTGTTTAAGTTCTTTGAGGAATTGTCACACTGCTTTCCACAATGGCTGAGTTAGGTCACCCTCCCACCAACAGTGTACAGGAATTCCCTTTTCCACGCAACCTTGCGCCAGGCTCTTTTAAACCACCAGCTCTTACATGAACTCATTGCTGCAGGGAGGGCACCACGCCATTCATGAAGGATCCACCCCTATGACACAAACACCTCCCACCAGGCCCCACCTCCAACACTGGGATCAAATTTCAACATGAGATTTGGAAAGGACAAATATCCAAACACATCAAGCACCCTCTAATCTAGTAGCTCAATCTCAGCTCTCCTGCGAGCTGGCCCTGTGGTTTTTGCACATGCGCTTCGTCAGTCGAGGGATCCTTTCTCCTTTGTGACAATGTGACCTCTCATAGGGGACATGCTGCCTGTCCAGAGCCCCATCAGAGGCTTAGCTGCTCTTGCTATCCAATCTCTCCAGGGACATCGCAACCCTCCTCTTGCACACCCGCCGCTCATGCCCTGAGTGATAGATGGTGTTGTGTGGGCTGTGCTCCTGTTACGCACCTGCCATTTGTGCCCTCAGGAATAGGTGGCGTTGTGTAGGCAGTGCTCCTGGTTTCTGCTGGAGAATAACTGGTCCATTTTGACCTTCTCCAACCCCACAGTTTTTACCTCTCTTGGACTGGTGCAGGGGAGCATGGCTGGAGGCCAGCCAAGTAGACATTAATTCTTGGTCTGTCCAACCCTTGGGAAATGCTCCTTTCAGCAGCGCCTCCAGGAGAATGTCCCCTAATTCATAGGGTCCCACCCTTTAGGCTTTCTTACTACCTACTCCTGGACACAATGGCTGATCCACACGTGAGCACTGGAGCCATTTGGGACAATCATGGAATCACCCGGGGATTTTTTGAATGGAGTTGATGGTGAAATATACAGTCTCTGTGCTATCAATAAATATCCTCCTGTTCTGGCCGGAGTCATCCTGGGAGAATGGGGCTGTCATGCGGGGAGGCAGATAGTGGGCTCCTGGTGATACCTGAACCTTGAGCCCTTCTCCACTGCCATTTGCTTCTGTCGGCACATCCACGTCCCTCTTGAACCACAGCAACCAGGAGGAGGCCAGGCAAAGACCCTGAGAGGGAGGTGAAGTGGGGCACAGTTGAAAAAACAACACGATTTGGTAACACACTTCAACATTGATCCCAAGGGAAGGTGGATTTTAAAAAAACATATAAGAACAAGACCTTTGCCACTGCTCTTGTAGAAGTGGAAGAACAGGACAGTGGGGCCAAGTGAGAGGCCACCTAATCCATGGGTAGTGCCTGCGAGGCGTCTGCAACATTGACCTGGGGCTCTCCCCACTGTGGGTGTGTTTCCTGTGAGTTCAAGGGTTAGTGGAAAAGAAAACAGCAAAGCAAGGTCATGTTAACTGGAAAATGTGATTATCTTCAAAGAGGTAAGACACCGTGTGGGCTTCTCCAGCTCACCTCCAAAGAAGACACATTCATTCAGATTTGCCTGGATCCCCAAAAGCCCCCTTTTTGTAAAGGTCAACAGGAAGAAAAGTCTCTGATGCACCTTAGTTCTGGATTCAAAAATATTTCTGACATTTGGGCTACATGGCACGTCTGGATGTTTTTCTACTTTCTCAGCCTTCCTGGATCGAAATCAAGCTTCTCACCTTTAAAGATCCAAATATCTAACCTTCACCTGCCAATGGTAATAGGGCGTTTTCAGGGTCTAAAATAAAAACAAACAAACAAACCCTAAAAGTAAGCAAGATAAAGGCAGTAGCAGGGACACCCTACAATCATTGTGCAGGCGCAGTCACAAAGCAGAGGCCCCTGTTGGGTCCAGTCCCACGGCATTGCAAAGTGACCCCAAAGTGGCAAGTCTCGATTGATTCAAAGTTTCCCTGGCCAGGCTGAGGGTGCACCCAGGCAGAAGAAACAGAAGTCCCAGCAGGATCTGTGGCCTGTGTTTTTTCTAAAGAGGGTTCCAGGAGCTTCAGTATTTAAAGGGGAAAGATCAAGTGGGAGGGGAAGAGGAAATGAAAAAAAAGGAAGGAAGGTAGGCAATGAGGGCAGTGTTACCTTCTTGAAAAGCCCGGATCTGTGCTCAGTGAACATTCATTTCACATGCGAAAAGGAAGGCAAAGGGTAGGGGGTGGGCAGTTAATGATGCTTTTGTCTGATGCCCGGTAAATCTACATTTTACATAAGCAAGCATGTGAAATGACAGCTATCTGGGAACAAAAGGATGGCAGTTTTTGCATGACTGGGTTCCCAAGCTTTACCTTCCCTTTGGCATGGTGAGTTTCAGGTCCTGAGATTCGGTTTTTCTTTTACAGCATTAGAAAAAGAAGATGGATTTCAATGTATTTAGACAAGGCAAGCTGGTCTAATTCCACCCACACTACACTTCTCTCTGCTGTCTTGGTCTAGTAGCTACACTCAGCAACATTTCCTTTTGGCTCGTGCAAGTACTTAAACATTAAAGTATCAAAAATTTAAATACAAATGTCAAATATTCACTTGAACATAAATTAATATCTGAATATCTAGAGGTGGACGTAGGGTGTAGGGTTAAGGGGAATTCTACTGTATTCTCATATCCCTGGTCACCTTCAAAGTTCATTCCAAGTAATTTACTTATTTATTTGTTTATTTATTTATTTATCTTTGAGACAAAGTCTCACTCTGTCACCTAGGCTGGAGTGTAATGGCGCGATCTCGGCTCACTGCAACCTCTGCTTCCTGGGTTCAAGTGATTCTTGTGCTCAGCCTCCCAAGTAGCTGGGATTACAGGTGCGCACCACTATGCCGAGCCAATTTTTTGTATTTAAATAGAGATGAGCTTTTGCCATATTGGCCAGGCTGGTCTCGAACTCCTGGTCTCAAGTGATCCACCCGCCTCGGCCTCCCAAAGTGCTGGGATTACAGGTGTGAGCCACTTAATGTAATTTAAATAGTAGTTTCTATAATACTAATTCATGAGAACAACCCCATTTTACTGATGGGAAAACCGAGGCCCTGAGATCTGAGATGCTGAAGCTATCAGGCTACAAGTGGTGATCTGACTCCTATAACAGTGCTCCTTGCTCATTTAAAAACATGATAGGCACCTTTTCTGTGAAGAGGGTGGAAAATTGCTTCAAAAGGGCTTTGAAATGTGCTACGTAAAGTGCCTTGGAGAAAAGGCCGCTAGAATACAATGTGAAATGCAGTGAATTTTGTATTTTAATTGACTCGAAGGCTCACACTTGTCAAGGTGGGGAAATAGCAAGTCAATGACTGTACTGCACACAGAAATTACACAACTTCTGAAAACAAATTGTGTTCCTCTAATGGATTTTACCTATGAATTAAAAATTGAAAATTCAATTTTCTCTTTGGCCAGCTGTGAGCTTTTGCCTGATAGGAACTGAGTTCCAGCTCACACAGAACCCCAAGGCTCCCTCAGGACCCTGGGCAAAGTCCGGCTCGCAGAGGAACCCTGGCTCCCTTAGGACCCTCACACAGGACCCCTGGCTCCCTCAGGACCCTGGGCAGAGTTCCGGCTCACACACGACGCCCCTGCTCCCTCAGGACCCTGGGCAGAGTCCCGGCTCACACAGGACCCGCCTGCTCCCTCAGGACCCTGGGCAGAGTCCCGGCTCACACAGGACCCCTGGCTCCCTCAGGACACTGGGCAGAGTCCCGGCTCACACAGGACCCCTGGCTCCCTCAGGACACTGGGCAGAGTCCCAGCTCACATAGGACCCCTGGCTCCTTCAGGACACTGGGCACAGAGTCCCAGCTCACGCAAGACCCCCGTCTCCCTCACACCCGCTGACTGATGAATTCCTGTGTGTTTTGTATCCGTGACCCAAATCAGGTAAAAGCTGCATAGAGAAATGGGAGGCGGTGGGCACAAGGATCGTGCGACGCCCCGCTGTGGGTGTGGGACCTGCAGCCTCAGGGGCATGCGGGCTGGCAGCCACTGTCTCCATGCCGGGTACGTAGATACTGCCATCACCTTGGGGTCAGCATCTAGGGCCCTATTGGAGCTCACACTCAGCTCTACTGGGCATCAGATTCTGTCTGGGATGCACGGCGGGAATTAGAGACATGGGTTGGAAGTGGGGCTCAGAGATCAGAGACAAATGTGGCCAACTGAAAATCAGGCTGGGCTCCAGCTCCGGCTGCAGATGGGTGGAAAAGTCAGAGGTGCAGCAGCTGCTCCCCAGCCGCGAACGGCTGGTGAAATGGGAATCTGATGGAAAGAGGCTGCACGGTGCTCACCTGAGTGGCCAGGCCTCCAGGCCCGGCGAGGGGGACTCTGAGGTGAGCAGGTCGGAGGTGCTCCTGGTTTTCCCATCAGCCCTGGTCAGTGTCTGGGGGATGCCCAGGAGAAGCAGCAGAAGCCCTGGGTCCCTGCTACCCATGGAGTCTAGAGGGCCGAGCCTTTGCCCTGGGATCGGGGAGCCAGGGCATCACAGACACCTCCTGCCTCATGCTGTCCCTGCGCCCCGGGGCATCACTCAGAGACTCCTCCATGGCAAGGGCGCTCTGTCTGGTGCCAGCCAGGAGCCAGGGGAAGATTCGATTAGGAGACTATGGGTGCCTTCGCAGGCTTTCAGGAAACTCTGATGGACTCATGAGGCCTCTCTTTCCTGGTAGTGGCTCAGGGGTGCTGCAGTGTGTGGCTGGTGTGCTCCACGTCTGTCTTGTCTTCCAAGGGGACTCCCTGGATCAGAGTTAGGCAGGGACAGGCGACCTGTTTCTGGGATCTCCAATCACTGCCACTGGAATCTAAGGGGACTCACCCAAACCCACCCACAGGGCAAGCAGCTCTCCTCGCAAATCAATGATGTTCCAAATGAGTTTTTCCAGCAGAGCACACAGAGACCCCTCTTCAATAACTGCTTAATATCTGTAATAGGTCTTATTAGTGTTTTCTAAGATAGAGTCCTGTTGAGAAGGCCGGCTGAGCTCCCGTGTGTCTGGCATCTGGCTCGGCAGAAGGGATTTCCATGTCTGCTTGCAGGCTGGGGCCCAGTCTGGCTCTGGATGGAATGCTGGCCTTGCACAAAGGAAGGGAGCTACAGAAGGCAGGATTCAGAGGCTGAGTCCCCCAGGGATGGAGGACACAAGATGTGGAATGCAGGTGTCCTGTGAGCAGGGGCAGGGAGCACGGAAGAGGGCAGTCTCAGGCTGTGCAGAAGGAAAGGCAGCAGCAGCTGCCCCGGCCCTCTAGGCTTCCTGGGTGAAACCCTTGGCTTTACAAAGACCCATCTCTTGAGGGGCATTTGGGGTGAGGCAGGATGGAGAGGCCCTGGAGTAATGATGTCAGGGCATGTGAAGGAAGAGAAGAAGTGGTTCTCTGTGCTGGGTTTTGGCAGAGAAGACTTGGAAAGGATTTGAGTTAATACATTTTAAACAATGAGTTTTCAAAGGTTGTTCCAGGCAGTCTCTGTAGATGCCTCTCACGGGAGGAAGACATCTCCAACCACATTTCAGGAGCCAGCCCTGCAGCTTTATCCATGCCAACAGCTGAAAACAGCGCCAGGCAGCAAATGTGCAAAGAAGCGTGTGGAGATGCCATGGGGATTCAGGCCTTCAGCCTTGCCCTCCAGGAGATGACCACATTGGAAAGTTCTGCTCCACCGAGCTTTTGTAGGCGTTGTCAGAGAGCAGAGCGGTTCCACACCCTGCATTGCAACGGAGGCTTAATGCAGTGGCTGTGACTGTTCCCTCCACTGGGGAGTTCAGCGCAGAGCTCCCCGCTGCAAGGATCTGTCTCTAAGCACCTGCCTCCCCGGAACAAGTCATCACGACAACCAAGAGAGCTTGCAACCGAGACTACACAGCCCTCATCCTTGTAAGGAAAAAAAGTGACAGGTATTAAATAGTGGCTATTTGAGGAAATAATAATAAATATCTTTGGCAGAGTAAGGCTGATGGCTGCTTGAGTCTCAATGGCTGAGACTCTGTCAGCCTTCCCATTATGAAACCCATTTTTCAGGGTTTATAACTTGAAAGTAAAAATGTGCTCCAAGCAGAAGAAACCTGGCACACGAGGTCTTTGACCAGAAAGAGGGACCTGAACAGATTAGTTCAGATCAATTTGAGATTGTAAAGAAAATCTGTCCTGAGTGTGCACATGGGTCTGGCACTGGGACGAATCACCCAATTTTGGTTGCAAGCAAGTTAACGGTAGGGGAATGTTCATGGAAATCTTGCCCAGAAAGTACCTGCCTGATGTTTAACTGGAAGTGCCTATAGGTGGGTCAAATTCTGGGCAAAGAGCATTGGCCCAGTGGCTGCTGGAGAGTAGAGGAGGGGGCACCTTTGCCCCTAGAAAGAGCTCAGATAGGATCTGAGGCTCTAGGAACTGTGCCCGGTTTCCTGACCTTTCTGAGGGAATCCATCGAACCTGGCATCTAAAGGCCATTCAGTGCTGACTGTCCTCTCGATGTCATAAGTCAGATTCCTGCTTCTAGGTCATCCAGGTCCCAAAAGAATTACTTTGCCTAATAAATGAGTACCCAAATGGGGAACCCTGGTTCTCCATCATCAGATGCCTCCACTCCATTTCCCAAAGCCCTTGACAAACAAGGTAACTGGATTCCTGTCCAAATGCAATGTTCAAGGTCTAGAAAATAATCAAATGAAATGAAATATCCTGTTCAACACTGAACAGCCTTTAGACCGTCAGTATTGCTAATAGCTCGTGGTGTCTTCCTGATAGAACTGTGGATTCAGCAGTGGGCACGCATGCCATTTGCATCGATTGTTTGTCATTAGAGGGTGGAGATAAGTGAGCTGTGGCAGCACTCATGCTTTCTGGGAATTCTCAGTTCCAGGGCACGTGGTCCAAACTCTTAGCTGGGTTTGGTTGGGAACCTCCACAGTTGAAGCATCTTATGGACCAGCTTAGCAGTTTAAAAACATTCTTCTATTTTATTTTATTTTATTATTTTTGTATTTTTTAGTAAGTAGGGATGGGCTTTACCATGTTGGCCAGGCTAGTCTCGAACTACTGACTTTAAGTGATCTGCCTGCCTTGGGCTCCCAAAGTGCTGGGATTATAGGCGTGAGCCACTGTACCCGGCCTAAAAGCATTCTATTTTTTTTCCTGTGGGAAATTTGGAAAGTATAGAAAAAAAACAGGTAGGAAAAATTAAATACCCAGGCTGCATCATCTGTCCATAATCTGTAGCTAGCCAGTGATAACATTTTTAAACTCCATCCAATCACTTCTCAGTGATACAGAGCAATATGCTTTACAAAAGTGAGATTCTATTGCATGTTTTTTACATTCTGATTTATGTACTTAGCATTGTATTAGGTGCATTTTTCTGCCTCCATAGATATTCTTAGAAAAATACCATTTAAAAATTAACTCCATAATCTTCCCTTGTATGGATTTTAAATATTCTATTTATGGACGTATTGTTGTTCTTATTTTTTGCTATTACAAAAAATGCCTTGATGGGCACCTTTACACATAAATACTTTTATGCTTCTGATTATTTCTTTAAAATGCACTCCTGGAGGCTCCTAAAAATGACTGCATCAAATAATGAACGTATTACAAGTTGTTCTGATACAAAGTAAGACACCAGCCCCACCACATACAGTATAAAATGCTTCTGCTTTCCTGAAGGCAGAGGGTTTCCAAAACAAAGCTGAAATTCTTGGATAGGTTACTATGGCCATGCCTCTTTTTGCTTTTTTTTTTTTTTTTTCTGTTGTGGAGGTAAAAATACCAAAATAATATTAGTCCACTTTTCTGTGTTGGTTGGTAATATTTCTTCATAATTCCTCCTTCCCTTCCTTTCCTAGTTTTGGTTCATTGAGAGCAGTTCGCAGTCCCACCCTCCTGCCTTTGACCATGACCATATGACTTCCTTGGCCAATGTGACATGAACAGACACGTGCCAGAAGCTTTAAACGTGTGTGTGGAGTTTCTGCCCATCCTCTTTCCCTCCTGCCCTCAGCCATGACGAGAGCATGCCCCGCGAGTCACTGGGCCCAGAATGAAGAGACATATGGGACACACTTAAGCCCTAGTGTCACTCTGGAGCCCAGCCGGCCGAGCAGCAGCTGATGAGCAGTAGCTTATCCATGAATGAAATCTAAATGAATGTGATTTCAGCCACAGAAATTTGGGAGAGGTTTGTTACACAGTATTATCACAACAAAACCTGATTTGAAGAGCTTTGTTTTTCAGAGGAGGAATATGAAGCTTAGAAAGATGAAGCAATTTGACCAAAGTTACCCAGAAATCAATCGAAGAGTCCTGTTGAAACTCAAGTCTGCCCTAGTTCTCCAGGCAGTGTTGCAGCGTGGTTGGTGCACACAAGCATGGTTTTATAATATCCTGTATGCTGGCTGGAGTTTTAGGGGTTTCCACTGATGCCTATGGCAGCTGTAGGCCTGATATCCTGCCCCACTCAGGAAGACAGCAGCTATCGTAGACGAGGTGACGGACAGGGCTAGAGCAGGGCCTGGGGAAGATGGCAGCAAAACAGCCGGTGTGAAATGACTGGCCCTTTAAGTTACTTATTACAACGAGTAATTCATTTAGAATTTG
This sequence comes from Homo sapiens, assembly GCF_000001405.40. Taxonomy (NCBI): domain Eukaryota; kingdom Metazoa; phylum Chordata; class Mammalia; order Primates; family Hominidae; genus Homo; species Homo sapiens. Next base: position 28,893,379 of record NC_000019.10, read on the forward strand.
AGAAAACGAATGTCAGAATGTGGTGCTTCACACACATGTGGATTCATATGTGTGAACCTGAGCTAGGGAGTCACACTGCTCAGTGTTAAATTCTAGTTCCTTCGCTCCCCAGCTTTCTGACTTATAAGTTATTGGGACATCTGTGTGTTTCAGCTTCTTCTTCTATAACATGGGATGACAGGAGTGCTTTCCTCATACGAATGATGTGATGATTAAATAATACTTATAAATACATGGAAGAGTGCCTGGCATATAGTAGGCACTCAATAAATATTAACTAATTACTAGTTTTAATATCTGCCCTTCATAGCCCAGTGGACTTGATCTAAAGCACTGGCCACTTTAGCTTACTTTTTCTGCTAATTGAACCAATTAACCATCCCATGGTTAAGGTATGAGAGTTTCTGAACATAAAATCAGCCCTGATTATTTGGAGTTGTGTTCCTTTGATCATTAGTAAGTTTGGACGTGCAAATTGGCAAGTGGTGTGGCTGGGGACTTTGCCAGCAAGCAAGATGTTTAAAATCATATCTCAATCTCATCTCCAATTTTGCCTTTATCAAAATCCTCTGATTATAATCCAGTTGCACAGAGCACGAGACTGATGTGCATTAGGAATCCCATTGGCCCTGAAATCTCTAAAGCCTCTTTCTGTTTGGACTCCACACATGAACACATGCCATTTGCATGTTTCAAATATTGAGTGTCAGCTCCTTAAAAACCAGTCAGCAAATAAATGAACAGGAAAGAAAGATATGGATCTAGGCCTGGATATTATAGGTGATATGAATTTATGGCTGTGGCCAGATTGCCAGAGTCATCTAGGATTTAGCACAGTTGTCAGCAGCAGGTTAGCTCACAGGGAGTCTTCTGGAGTCTGGGATCCAGCCAAAGGCCAGCAAGACAACTAGGGAACAGAGGTGGAAAAATTGGCTAGCTCTGCTGATTGGTCAGATGCTTGGCCCCACCGCAAGTTAGTTTTGTTACTTTGAATGGATGATGCCGCTTCCTGCTGACTGAGCTCAGCCTGGTTCCTTTCTCCTGCTCCCTGCAAACTCCATTAACTGCTGGAGGCTGAGACTGAGGCCTGGGCCTCTCCTTGGACCAAACCTGCATGTGCTCCTGGTGATACATGAAACAGGAGAAGTGGGGTGGAGGTGCAGAAAGTGAAGAGTCCTAGACGTCAAGTGGAAACTTGGTGCCAATTACCTTCTTTTTTTTTTCCTGCCACATCCACCAAAGCCAGGAAATTCCTTTCTTTGTGGAATCTGCTTTTCCAATGGAGTTTCCCATATGATTAAACACTTTGATTATATATATATATATATATATATATATATATATATATATATATATATATATAGTTTGTTTGTTTTGTTTTGTTTTTGATGGAGTCTCACTCTGTTGCCCAGGCTGGAGTACAGTGGCACAATCTTGGCTCACTGAAACCTCCACCTCCTAGGTTCAAGTGATTCTCCTTCCTCAGCCTCCCGAGTAGCTGGGAGTACAGGCGCACGCCATCACACTTGGCTAATTTTTTGTATTTTTAGTAGAGATGGGGTTTTGCCATGCTGGCCAGGCTGGTCTCAAACTCCTGACCTCAGGTGATCCACCCACCTCGGCCTCCCAAAGTGTTGGGATTACAGGCGTGAGCCACTGCACCCGACCCAATTACCTTCTTATCCAGAGGAAAGGAAAATCTCCCAGTCAGTTGCCATCCTCTTGAAACCTGGAGGTGTCTGTTCTCTGTAACTGTTTCCCCTGCCTGTACCTATTATAGTGCTTACTGTATAACGAGTCCTCAATCATTGTTTACTTTTATCTTTTTCCAGGACTGATAAGTGTGTTGTGCTCAAAAATACTTAGAAAGAATTAAATAATCACATAATCTCTGAGTGAAGAGGGACTTTGTAGGCAGCTATTGCCTGTCTTCCGTGATGTATTTAACTGGCTTCTAATGCAATTAATTCCATTGATGGGCAGCCGTGATGCTCAGATGCTCTTTATTATTCTGAGTGGAAACGTCCCTATTTTTTAGCAGAGTGAGGGGAGAAGGTGGCCCAGGCCTTGTAGACATATCCTTTACCCCCTTCTCCATCCTCTCTCATTACAGATGAGTCTTTGGCTCAGCAGAATGGGCCTAGGTGGAGCTTGAAATTAATGAAGAGATGCTGCTTCCAGCTTTTTGAGCAAGAAGAAGTTTGGCCTCCAGTTATTACACCTTGAGGTCAGCGGGTATCTCAAGTCTGAGTAGTTATAAAAGTGAGCTGATGTAGAAACACCACCAAAGCAACGTTTTATCTAAATATTTCAGATCCCCCATTATAAATCATTTATTATGATTACCCTTTTGGTGTCATGGAATGAGATGATGAGCTTTTCTTAATGAAGTATTTCATAGACATATTTTTTCCATTTATCTTGGTGTTGGATGCTATGTGACCTGAATGGCAAATGAGGAAATATTTGTGCAACTCCTGAAATGCACACATCTCCCCATGCCAGAGTGCAGGAGCGGACAGGGCTTTCCCTGGCAGCAATAGGAGCCCGGTCCTGAGTAGGGCCTCTCCAGCCTGACTGCACCATAGCAGGTGACATCTGACTTGGGGTGTGCCATGTTCCCAGAGCTGCTTTTTTAAGGAGTTTGGTGGGAGCTGGAGGAAGCATCCACATCTTTAAAAACAAACCTTAACTCGTGAGAAGAAAAGTGGTAAACATTCAAACACAATTTGAACTTTTAATTTAGCCTTGTGAGTTCATCTATATCCATTTCCAGGAAAGGTCATGGGCTGAGGTGTGGTGCTTCACTGAAATAAATGCACTTTGGAGTTGACAGTAACCAAGCAAGGCCAGGGACCCTGAGGAGACCCCTCCCCACACTTGCAATGATCAAACATGCTACATCTTAGAAATTGGATCTGCCGGTTTATGGCAACTTGACGTAAAATGTGTATCTCAGGTCAGGCTGATCTGATTTAAATATCTTAGTGTTAGGCATTCTCTATCTGACATTGTGAAAACGCATATAATGGAACCAAGATTAGAATATCAAGATGACAAGAAGGATTGTACCTTGAAGACAGTAAAAGTCACTTGCATTCTGGGGTTACACATTTAATTTAAAATAGTTTTATTCCCTGTTCCTAGGGTCCTTGTAACTCTCTCCTCTGCTATATTTATATTAAATAAATAATTTTAAATGAGTCAAAGTGTCTTGCTCCTTGGCCCACTATAGAATGTCAGTGTTCCTTTTCAATATTTCTACTTCTTAGATCCTGCCTTCACCACAATGGGGGTTCATACAGGGTTGGAGTAGGTTGTTCTTCTCACCAAGTTCCCAAGCCCACATAAAATGGCAGCATCATATTTCACCGGACCCAGCTCTGCAGAAAGTAGTGGAAAAAAAAGTCTGTGATGGACTTAGGACCCAAGGAGGCAAAACAGAGTTTGGCTTTTCCCTTAGGGCTCTGTATATGTCAAAGAGGACCACACATGGGCCAAGTGACGTGCATATTGTGCCTGGGTGATGCTGCCCCAGCTTCTACCCACCATGGATGGGACCAACAAATGCTTCCCAGCTGAGAGGCAGTCACAGTGCCAGGGTGATCACAAAATTGCCCAGTTGGATGAAGACTACCCAGAAACTGGAGGATAACCTCACCCACTCTCAGCTACCAGTAGGGTCAATAGTAAGCCAGAAGTGAAAGCTTTCTTTCCATTGCCTCTTACTTTGTTTCCCCATGTCACAGTCAGCTATACCTTCCTAAGCCATAACTCTGATCATGCCCCCTGCCCCCGTTTCAGACCCTTCAGAAGCTTCACTTTGTCTCTGGAATGAACTGGAGCATCCGCTTCTCAGCCTCTGAGGCCCCACGTGCACTGCACCCGCCCTTCCTCAGCCTCCCCATCACATGGCTCTTTCCAAACCCATGGGCTGAGCCTGCTCTCAGGGCCTCCATGTGCCACCCTCTGCTCAGCCTCAGAGTTTCCACGTGTGTCTTAGCCTCCTGTTCTGTGCTGCAATAACAGAATACCTGAGACCAGGTGGTTTATAAATAATGGAAATATATTTCTTACAGTTCTGGAGGCTGGAAAATCTAAGATCAAAATGCCAACAGGTTTGGTGTCTGGTGAGGGCCCACTCTCCACTTCCAAGACGATGCCTTGAACACTGCATCCTCCAGCGTGGAGGAAACACAGTTCCTCACATGTCAGAAGAACAAAAGAGGAAAGAGAGAGCCCACTCTCAAAAGCCCTTTTGTTTAAGGTATTAAACCCACCATGAGGGAAGAGCCTACATGGCCTTACCACCTGTTAAAGGCTTCACCTCCCAAGACCATTACATTGGCAATTACATTTCAACGTAAGTTTTGGAGGAAAGAAACATTTAAAACATAGAAACATGTGTTGTCCTCTCAGCCTGGAACCAGGTCCTCATTCTTGTCTTTGTCGTTCTAGATCAACCTTCAGGCCTCCACTTAAGCGAGTTCTGACGTCAGTGAATACTTCTGCAGCATGGAAGTGCCAGGACCCTCGTTGGCCCCTGATGGCCAAATAGCCTCACTCTCCATTAGAAGAGAAAGCCTCACTCTCCATTAGAAGGCCAGGAGAGCGAAATCAGGGATTGCTTTCAAAACAAACAGTGTGGCAATAAAGAATTTCAGAAGAAAATAAAGAATTTACCACTGTTCAGTCATGAACGCTCATAACAGGCTGGGGTGTAGGAACTGTAGTTGTCACAACCCCTTTTTTGATAGAGAAGGGAAATTGTCCAGAATTATGCAAAGCGTAAGTGGCCAAGCCAGCATTTGAACTGGGGCCCCCACTTTGCTGTGCTGTCTCTCACGCCTTCTGCAGGGAAGTGTCCTTGGATAACCTTCACCCATCTTCATACCTCTCCCCTCCACCTAGGCCAGGACTACACGCTCTAATAGGCCCAGCTCCTTTTGCTTCATAATGCACAGTTTGCAATGTCCTAATCATCATGACAATGACCGTTTCCAGTGCTTCTTGCCTGCTGAATGGTTAAGTTCTTGTGGGCAGAGGCTTGTCTGTTCTCCCCGCTATGCGTGTCCCATTGCTTGGCAGAGTCTCTGCCCTGCGGTCACTGACTAGGCTGAGCATTTTTTTCTTCCACTGGGTGAGCATCTCAGCTGTCCTGCTAGCTGGGGATAGGCTGAGGGAGTGCTACTTCCAGATGTCTTGTCTGAACTTCTTTTTTTTTTCTTTTTCTTGAGACAGGGTCTCATTCTGTTACCCAGGCTGGAATGCAGTGGTGCAATTATGGCTCACTGCAGCCTAGATCTCCCAGGCTCAAGTGATTCTCCCACCTCAGCCTCCCAAGTACCTGAGACCCAGGGTCTGCTCCAAGGGCCTCAACCATGTCAGCTAGTTTTTGTATTTTTTTTGTAGAGACAGGGTTTTCCCATGTTGCCTAGGCTGGTCTCAAACTCCTGGCCTTAAGCAATCTGCCTTCCTCAGCCTCTCAAAGTGTTGGGAATACAGGCTGAGCCATGAGCTACCACCCCCAGCCTTGTCTGCACTTTTGAGTGGCTCCCTTGGCAGGGTTCTGTGCACGATGGCAGTGGGGAACAGAAGACAGGACTCCTGCCTCAGAGGGTGTCTGGGGGTATGGGAAGAGAGATGCTAACCCCACACAGTGGGCATGAGAGGCATCAGCTCTGCTCAGAGGGCCTCCCTGTGCACACCGAACTGCTGAGTCTTCTCTCTGAGGATCACACAGATGTGAGCAGAGCAGTGAGGAGGCACAGAAAAAAAGGGAAAACTGGGTTCCTTCTGAGATTCTTTCTTGCTACACTGTTTGTTTTTAAAGCAATCCGTGATTTGGCTCTCCTGGCCTTCTAATAGAGAGTGAGGCTGTTTTGCTACAGTATGGGCTGTTGGGGGACAAATAAGCCATTTCTGTTTGCTAACATTAAAAGAAGCTTCCCTGCTGAGGAGGTGCTAATGCAGCTGGCAGAAGCTCTGTGATGGGCATGGTAGGTTAGCTATTAGGCTGCCAGGAGCAGGCAGCAATCTCCCTATTTAGACATTTCAGAGGAGGCCTTCCAGAGGCCCTGGGTTCAAATCCCAGTTCCACCTCTTCCTAGCTCTGTGAGCTTAGGGCGAATCTCTGTGTCCTCACAAACAAATAGTGGGAAATAACACTTTTCCCCATTGCATTTACAGGTAAGTGTGGTGGTTTGAATGTTTGTGTTCCTTTCAAAATTCATGCTGAAATTTAATAACCAGTCTAACAGGATTAAAAGTTGGGGTGCCCAGAAGAAGATGATTAAATTATGAGAGTGGAGCCCTCATGGATGGGATTAGGTGCCCTTATAAAAGGGACTGATAGAGGGAGTCTGTCCGCTTTGCACTTCTGCCCTCTGCCATATGAGGACAAAGCATTCCTCCCTTCAGAATGATGCAGCAGTCAGGAGGTCCCCTTTGAGGCAGACACTAGGCAGCCAACCTGCCAGGCTGTGGTCTTGGACTTCCTAGCCTCTAGAACCATGAGAAGTAAATGTGTATTTGTTAAATAAATAACCCAGTCTGTGGTATTTTGTTACAGCAGTTTATGAACTAGACAGCAAGTTAACTGAGCCTGAACTTGGGAAACAGTTTAACACACGGTTCACTCATTCTCTTACTTTCACCCACTGGGCTGAGCATTGAAGATACGCTTGGTAGACACGAGGCAAATCTTACTTTAAGACAGTCTTCTTCTAGGACAGTTCAGATACCTATGAGGCCAGATTCTTCTTTTCACCCTTGCATAAGCCCTTTTGAGCAACTTGCTGGATCCCAACTCCAATTCCTTTCTCTTGTGGAAGACACCTGGCATTTTCACTGGCGAGCATCCATCCTCCCTCTGCAATACTTTCTTTTTTTAACTAGTGGAACTAAGGAAACATTACATTTTTTACGTCTCCAATTCATGTGCACAAACACGGCATCCATGGTGAAGGACACATTGTGGATGCTTTTCTAAGTTCTTTCATATGACTGGTAATACATGGGGAAGACTGCTGGGCCCACGGTGGGCCTCCCTGCTCCCCTAGACTGAGCCACTCAAAGCAGATCTCCACTTCTCTGCATCATTATAACAGCCTTTTAACTGATCTTTGGGCAAGTGACAGAGTCATGTCCTTCAAATTGGCAGAAATAACCGGAAAGTATTCTGTCTCTTCTACTGGAGGCTTCTTAGCTGGTGAATTGGAAACCTGGCACTCCTGGATGCCACCGTGTGACCAGAGCCAGCCTGAGAAAGAAGCCACAGAAGGAAGCAGAGGGAGAGATGGAGAGACGGCATTTGGGGTCCTGGCGTTAGACCCACCTCTCAATTTCACAGCTACATGAGCACCTAGATTGCCTTGTTTGATTAGCTAGTTTCAGGCTGACATTTAACTTTTAACCCAAAGTGTCCTAATACATCTTTTTCACTCATTCCTTTGTTGCTTAATTAGTAAGTTTTACCCTCTCTAAGAGTCTATCCTGGATGTATGTCAAAGTCGGGGGGATGAAGACACTGCCCTGCCTTTGGGGAACTTGTCTTCTTGTGGATAAGGCATGGTCAGGCCCCAATCAGCATAGCAGAAAGCACCATGAGTAAGTGTCCCGGGGCTAATGTAGAAAATAATGAATCTGGGAGGCCAAACAGGTGAATGGGTGAGAGTCTTTCAGACTGCGGAGTGAATGAGGGCCTGTGCAGGAGGTCACAGTGGAGCAGAGGCTCCTTCCAGAGCCCCCAGCTGGGCCAATTCAGTGCCTGTGCACTGCTCAACTGAGATGTTACCACATCCTCCTTCTCCCAGCCCTGGGATCCAGAAACCCAACACCCAGTAATTTCCAGGAATCTGATGGCAATCAGCTGGGCAAGGAATCACTCAGTTCCAGAAACAGGCAGTGTCAAAAAGGAGATTCAGGCTGGGCACGGTGGCTCATGCCTATAATCCCAGCACTTTGGAGTGGGCAAGACCGGCAGATTACTTGAGCTCAGGAGTTTGAGACCAGCCTGGGCAACTCGGCAAGACTCCATCTCTACAAAAATTAGCCGGGCATGGTGGCTCATGTGTGAAGATTCAGTGTTAGAATAGCAAGTTAAACTTTGATGGTAGTTCTGGATGTTTGCCTCCCACTTCTGCTCCAACAGGAAGGTAGTCAAGATTGCATGGGGCAGACTTTGAATTAGACAGTAAGCTTTCTGAGGACAGGGCCAATTCCTTCTCCTTTCTCTCCTGTGTACCTAACATTAGGACATACACATGTGCATGCACTAAAAATATTTAATAAAGATTTGCTGACTCATTTTCTAAAAACCTCTTTGTGATATTTCTCAAAATATTATAAACCAGAGAAATATAGTAAACCAGAGATACGAAATGAAAAAGAAAATATACTTTCAGTGTATTTCCAGATGTGGATTGTTAGAAGAGAGATCGTATAGCATATTGGTTCAGCCTGGTGCCAGATGTTCTGGGTTTAAATTCTCACTTCTTCATTTACTTGATATGTGACCTTAGGCAAGTTACTACATCTCTCTCAGCCTACATTTCCCCCTTGCTAAGATGGGGACAGTCAATAGGCCCTGTCCGGTGAAATTGCAGTGTGGATCATGAGGCAATGCGCAAAGTGCTGAGAGCAGCACCTGGCCCATGATAACCATCACGCATGTGTCAGTTGTTGCTGTCATTATTGCTATTGAAAGGGAGAGAGAGAGTGTGTTATTAAAGATGGAACCCAGGAGCACCAAGATTCCATGTTCTAAATAACAGCTCTCATAGACCTAGGGAAGCATTAATTCATAGAATGAAACTAGGAAGTCTCTCTGATCAACCTTTCACAGTGAGAAAACTGAGGCACAGAGAGGGAAAGTGTCTTACCCAAAGTCACATAGCAAAATAGCAGCTGACCCTAAGAAAATGCCAGAGCTCCTTATATCCAGTCTAGAATTCTTTCTGCTTCTGTTCTTCTTCTTCTTTTTTTTTCTTTTCTTTTTTTGAGACTGAGTCTCAATCTGTCACCCAGGCTGGAGTGCAGTGGCATGATCTCGGCTCATTGCAACCTCTGCCTCCCAGGTTCAGGTGATTCTCCTGCCTCAGCCTCCCTAGTAGTTGGGACTATAGGTGCGTGCCATCACACCAAACTAAGTTTTTTGTATTTTTAGTAGAGACAAGGTTTCACCATGTTGGCCAGGCTGGTCTCGAATGCCTGACCTCAGGTGATCTGCCTCCCAAAGTGCTGGGATTAAAGGCCTGAGCCACCGCGCCCATCCCCTGCTTCTATTCTTAACTCTTGGGTCTGACTATTGACCAAACATGTATAGATGCAAAAGCCACACCTCCCAATGGAAATCTGGACCTAAATCCCATAGTGGGCTCTTCCCTAGGAGGGTGACATGCACAAGAGACAGACCAAGAAAAGCACCAGGGCTGCAGCAGGCGAGGGAGTAATTTCCAGCAGCAAATAAATCTGCCCATTGCCGAAGGTCATTCCCGCGTTCCCTTGGAAAATGTGCACTTTGTGTTTATGCAGCTTTGAGGCAATTATTTCACAAGAAAGAAAATCTCTTGATCACATTACTTAATGTTTTCTAAGTGAACATTTGGTATTTAGCGGCTAAGCAAATTTACTTTTCTATAATGAACAGAGAGTGGATGATTGAAAAACATTTAATATACTGAGGTGTGGGTACTGCTGTCTAAAGGATTACTTAACTCACAGTTTAAACTCTCATTTTTTTTTTGAAAAGCAAACAGATTTCCTTTATACTGGAGAGTTGGGGATTAACTGTTTTGTTCCCATTAAAATCTGACTAAATACATGAATTGTGTGTTTTTGCTTATGAGCTCTTGGGGGATATACGGATATACTTTTGTCAATATTGAATAGCCTTACCATTTTGTCAGGATTTCCCATTGGTACATGCCTGCTGGATGGAGAGTCAGTTGGTAAGTGCTACTGATTTAGACAAAATCCTAGACTGCTAGAATTGCATTCAGGTTATAAGAGTTTTTAACATTGAGACTACATAAATGCATATTAACATTGTATTCATGGAAAGCAACAGGAACAAACCGTGGTTCTCTTCACAACTAGCAAACAAAGAATTTATTCAAAGAGAATGGAGTGGGAAGAAGAGCTTGAACAACCAGGAAGGTGAAGGAACAGGGACAGGACAGCAGCGAGACTCTCAGCCGTCAAAAGTTTACGGACTTTCTGCGAGATTCACGTACAGTGACTTTAAGTCCTTGTGTCTCCTTGTTTTAAATTTCAAATTCATAAGAGAGAAAGTTGGAGTGGCCCAGCTGGAGGCAGGTACTTGCCAATGAATTGATGAGCTAAGACCAGAGAGGCAGGGCCATGCAACTGTGTAATTGCTGGGGCCATTCCAAGGAGAGGAGTTGATTGTGAGTTAGGCAGCAATCCCCAACATGCATTCATTGAGCCAGGATGGAAATGTCAGCAAAAACCAAGTTGTTTTCCTTCTTTGACAGACACTGTCAGTGTCTCATCAACCCCTCCCGCCCATCACCCTTCTGCACTCCCTATTCCAGGCACGCCCATGAGTCCCTGCTTGCTTCTTTCCTTGGAGATCAACATTTAGATTTCTCATCCCTCAGATGCAAAGACCCCAAGTGGCTTCTACATCAAGTCCCATAATTCCCCAGGGCAGTGAAGCCCCCAGTTCCCTAGTGGTCCCCAGCAGTAACCTGCTCCTTAGTGTCCTTCCTTTCTTCTTCCACTTCCCCATCCCCTACCTGTGCCATCTGGGATCACGTCCCAAGAAAACCACCTGCCCCCTAATCCTTGTTTCAGCATCTGCTCCTGAGAGAGTCCAGCCTAAGACACATTCTCTCTAGAGGCAAACACCAATGTGCTTATAACTGATGGCTGCTCTCTTTTAATGGACTTAACAGCAGCCTCACTGCAGAGGGAGTCTGGCCGTCCCCTGGTTTTCCAGCTTCAGCATGACTAGGGAAGGGTCTGGTGGTGAAGAAATGCCCGTGCGCCATGCCTGGCCAGGGAGAGGGTCACAATTTTTCTCGTTTGGAAAAAGGCTGACTGCGCTGCTCACAGCCAGTTTTCAGCTTAGCGTCAGCTTCGTGGATTGTTTTGGGTCTGTGGATGTTGCCTTTCCAACTGCATAATGAGCTGCTTGAAGCCAGGGATCACATCTTCCCTTCTGTTTGTTTCTCCCACTGTACAAAACAGAGGGGCGGATACACTGAAGATGCTCGGAAGAGATGTGTTGCTTAATTAAAGAACCGAAAGAGGAACAGGCATAACCATTTCATTTTCTAGGCCGGGGGTGGGGGGCTCTGCTCGTGGAGTATGGTGATGGTCCGTGGAGTTTTGAGTGGGCTGTTGCAGGCACCCTCAGAGACGTTCCCTTTTCCCTTTAGCACTCACTGTGTGCAAACCAAAGGCTTCTTACAGCAAATACCAGTGGCTCCACACTCAATCTTGCACACAGGGCAGACAACAAGAGCCAGGGAGTAAATGTACCTTGGAACAGCTCTCCACCAGCCACCACTGGGATATGGCGGGTGAGCACTCCAGCTTCTTTGCCCCGCGGCTAGAACAATTCTGAAACGTGTTTCACAGCATGCACCAAATCCAACAGGATTAAACTCCATTTTCCCGCAAGGCAAGCTGCTCTAACACACCCTGCATTGGTTTTCTTTCCTCTCCATCTCCCAGCTCCCTGCTCCTCACTCAGTGCTCCCTGGAGTCGCTCCTGGCCCCCACATCTTCATCACGAGGTCTGCTTCTGGTTTAATCTGAGATAAAGGGAAACTGGTTTCTGCAGGTGCGGAAAGTTCCTTCAGAGCCCAGGAAATGATTAAGGGAGACTTAGTGTCAGTATCCATTTACTTTAGGTTAAATTCATTTCCTATGTGGACCAATTTCTGATAGAAGCCTCTCCTTTTTTGTTGTTGATTTTGTTTGTTTTTCATCCTCCAGTACGTGCATGCTTCCCTTCATGCAGAACATTCTTTTACAAGACAGACAGTATTTCCCCAGGCTGGTGTAAATTATTATCGAACAATGAAGCCCCTTCTCTAGTCATCATTCCGGTGCCACCTGGCCAGGCTCAGATAAATGGCCTATTCTGGAGGTGCAGGAAACCGGATGAATCATGACGTTATCCCAGGAACATGGCAGCCCGGCAGCCGGGGGATGGAGTATCTGTAAGTGTGGCCCCATGGAAGCTCCTGCAGGACAGAGCTTCACCATTATTAAAATCCATCCTATTGCCAAGTCCGGGAAACACTGTAGGCACAGGACCAGTGGCCCAGGTCTGGGTTTAGAAGATAACATTTTCCTCATGGCCTTTTTCCAAATACCTAAGTTTCATGATGAACAGGCCATCCAGAATCCAGTTAGTAGGGAAACAAGTGGCTTACGTTTCCTAATTTTACATTTAGTCTGTTGGTATTAAAACTCATGTGCTGAACTGGGCATTGCTGCTATTAACCTCTTTCTCAAGTTGATATTAGATCAGTTTTCAAATGGAGACTCTATTTGGAGATGGTCTTGTATATGTTTAGGTTATTTTACAGCCACAAAGCCTCAAATGGCTTCACTTAACAGGAGTTCTTAAACTTTGGAGATAACTTTGAGATTTGATAAAAGGCTGGTCCGCTTCCCCCAGACCAATATCATTAGGTCCACAGTCAACATTTTGCATACAGATATAGTGGGTAGACCCTCAGAGCCCATCCATTGAGTCACTAGGGACTTCTGGATCTCCAGCAAAGACAGCTGTTGGTTGTGACTGGTTAGTGACTGTGGTAATCTTGGGGGTGAAGCTCCAGCCTGAGTCATCCTTCTGATGACCGGGACGAATAGTATGTCTGATGATAAACATTGCATGTATGAGGACGCTGTGTGAAGAATGCCATACGCCGGTCTATAGGAAAATCCATCATGAAGTGTTTGGGGATAGATACTAGACTTGAACAGTGCGTCTAATGCATCTTCGTTCTGACCACATGGACTACTTAAAAACGTTAAATTCAAGAAGTGGAATTTTGAATTTAATAACTGTAGGTATTAATGTTTCGTAAGTTAGAAGGATGTTGGTACCACCAATTGCATTTAATTGTCTTCTGTGTTTGCTGTTATAATTTATGTTTATTTTTCTTCAAAACTGATAATGTAATACAATAGTAAGTTGTATATACCTTGAATATAGCATTGGACAGTATAGATTGTTATATAAAAATAACATTAAATTTATCTATAAATCTATAACCCCCTATTCAGAGGCTAACACTTCAAATAGTTTGATATTTTTCTTCTCATTTCCTCTGCATATATGTATACAGTTTTTATTACTTAGCTTAATATATTATTTGTTTTTACCTATCATCAGATGTTATTTTTAAAGTCATCTTTGAAGATTTAGTAAATTCTCTGACTGGAACCATTCTTCTATTGTTGGGGCTTTTGAAGTTCACAATTTCTCACTCTTTTTTTTTTTTTTTTGAGACCGAGTTTTGCTCTGTCACCTGGGCTCTCTGCAACCTCTGCCTCCCAGGTTCAAGCGATTCCCCCACCTCAGCCTCCTGAGTAGCTGAGATTACAGGCACTGGCCACGATGCCCGGCTAATGTTTGTATTTTTATTTGTAGAGACAGGGTTTCACCATGTTGGCCAGGCTGGTCTCAAACTCCTGACCTCAGACGATCCACCCCCCCTTGGCCTCCCAAAGTGCTGGGATTACAGGCTTGAGCCACCGCACCTGGCCACAATTTCTCACTTTTTCTATTACGCTTGATACCCAAACTCTTTTCTGTTCCTCCACGATGCTCTGACATGATCCTAAGCTTCCTGAGGTCACCTCCCAAGAAAATCACCTGCCCTCAAATCCTGGGCAATCCAGTGGCTTATCAGAGAATGTATTTTTTTTCCCCAAACAAGCATGGTCTTTCCTTGGAAAGACTGATGGTGAGTAATTTTCTCTTGCTCTTTACAAATGCTCTGTCTCATTTAACCTTCACAACAACCCAGGGAGGCAGGTACCACTTTCCCCATGTGGCAGGTGAGGAAGCTGAGCTCAGAGGGGTCACTGCCTTTCCCACAGCCACGTGTGGAGTGAGCGGGATTTGCTCTCAGCTCTGCCTTGGCTGAGTCCTGTCTTCTCGCCAGCGCTTCTCGACTGCCCTGGTCTGGGTGCCCCACCACTACCCTCTGTGAGTCCGTGGGTAGTTGATTCCTTTCCTCAAGGATCTACTTTCTCACCGCCCCTTCCATGTGGAAGTTTTAGAAACCTTGGGCTACTTTAAACAAAGAGCCGCTGGCTGACTGCTCCCTGCCCAGAGGGCAAATCCCGGTTTCGGAGTTGAGATAGACAATTATGTAAAATGAATTCTGGGTGCACCCAGTTGTCTAATTAATGACACATTATCTATGTAGGAGAAAATGTATCTTTTGGGGCTCAGCTCAGACTCTACATCTCTCCTCCTGGGCCTCCTTGATGAAATTAATTGGGGCAGGCAGGGGGAAATTGACATTTTAGAAGCCAGTTTTCATTCTTGGACTGAAAGAAACTGTTCCAGTGCCTGTTTACCTGGGCTGCAACACACACACACATGCACACACACATACACACACATGCACACACAGATGACATGAGCCCCTGAAGTTGCTGTAATCTAGGAGGCCACAGTCCAGAGCAATTGCATTGAAAGCAGCCACCCATCTCAACATTGCAGCCGACGAGAGTGAAATCAGGGAACACATTCCAGGTCCAGGCAATGAAGGAGAAAATGTGCCAGCTCTTGCCACAGCCGTTACTTACAAAGGTTTTCCACCTGTAATGTATTTCCCAATGCTGTGTTTCTCTGATGCTGGCTCTGCCTACACCCACAAAGCAAGATAAGAGGGAAAGTGGTGGCTGGACACAGTGGCTCACATCTGTAATCTCGACACTTTGAGAGGCTGAGGAAGGAGGATGCCTTGAGGCCCGGAGTTCGACAATATAGCAAGACCCCATCTCTACAAGATATTTAAAAATTATCTGGACATAGTGGTGTGCATCTGTAGTCTCAGTTACTTGAGAGGCTGAGGTGGGAAGATCCCTTGAGCTGGGGAGGTTGAGGCTGCAGTGAGCCAAGATTACACCATTGCACTGCAGCCTGACTGACAGAGTGAGACCTTGTCTATATTTAATAAAGAAAAAAGGAAAGCAGAGCCTTGGACATGGCTTGGCCTAGTACACACCTGTCTCCTTGGTGCATTCATCCTATGGAGCCCAGGGGGTCTTGAGCTGTGAACTTGTGAGGGTTGGACAGAGACCCCAAGCCTCTGCTGCTTTATTGTGAATACAATTTGCATTACTAGATTATGCTCCAGGCATCGTTACAACTACTTGCAGATATTAACTCATTTAATCCTCACTGATGTCCACATCCTGGTTTATCAATGAGGAGACAGCCATGGGGAGGTTAAGTATAGTGTGCTCAGGTCACATTGTCTGGGCATGGTGGGGTCGTCAGTGAGTGTCTTGCTCTGACTTGGAAGGGAAGTAAGGAGTTTCCCGAGGTTCCTCTTGCTCAACTGCACCCTCCCTCACCGCTCACCTCTCCAGGGTTCCGATTTACCAACAGACACCCTCAGGGCACAGCTTGGGAGTCATTCGGACAAATGAATGCTCAACTGAGAAATGGGTAGAAACACCAAATACATGCTGAATACCAGCTCTATGCAGATATTGAGCTAGACGCTTCTCTCAACATGGCTCATGTAGCCCTGCTAAAAACACAGCGGGAAGGGGGAAGAACGAAAGTAATGCATATAGACCATGCTACGCATTCCATCCTATATAAGCGAACTAACTTCTTAGCCTATGCTAGGGTTGGTGAACCATGACCTACAGGCCAAGTCTGGCCTGTCACCTGTCATGTGAGTAAAGTTTCATTGGAATCCAGCCACAGCTGCTCAGTTATGGTTGTCTATGGCTGCTTTCACACTGCAGTGTGGGATAGAGACCTCATAGACAGCAAAACCTAAAACATTTACTGTTTGGTTCTTTACAATAAAATGACCCCTGATTTATGCAGTCCTTATAACAACTTTGCAAGGTGGGTATAATTTTGGAGATGGGAAAACTGAAGTTCAGGGAATTCGAAGGGTTAGTTTGAGACCACCCAGACCATGGCAAAACCGTGACTTACACCTGCAAGTGGTTGCTTCTCTTGCTGAATGATAGGGTGACACAGCAGCCCAGTGTCCCTCAGGGAGTCGGGGGGATGGCCCCGCTGTGTTCCAGGGAGAGGGAGGGACTCTGGAGCTGCTGCACTCTGATCTGCCTGTTCCCTCGGCTCGGCTGGCTCAGCCACTGTGTCTTGTCTTGCTCTCTCCAAGAGCACAGTTGACCTTCCCTACAGCTGGCTTGCTAAAACCGTCTGACATGGGAACAACAATACATTCTATCACATTCAGCACAAGAAATGAGAGGCCACACAATTACTTCAAGAATGACCAAGAAGAAAGAAGTGATTAAATTTTTGGCCCCCACTTTTTTTCCTCCCCGAGATGATGGCGTTGATTTTGAGTTATCTCCCTAAATGGCTCGTTTGTGGGAACTTCCCCAGGCTAATCTGAAGAAGGGCGATGATTGCAGGCAGAAGCGAGTCCTTGCCCTGCAGCAAGATCTCACACCTCACATCCTGATGTGGGCCGCAGGGAGTCCCAGCATCTCTGAGACCGTAGGCACGAAGCTCAACTCCTCCATCACCTGCTCCTCTTGCCGGACACAGGAAAATCCCCCAAATGGGCTTCTTTCTCCGTTATCTCTGGTTCAGCTTTAATCAGCTGAACACTCTAATCAGTTATGACATGATTTGTTACTAAAAAGAGCACCACAGTATAGAAGTGTAGACATTTACAAATTGTTTACTTTCCTTTCTTTTTTCTTTTGAACTTTTGCTGAAGTACAACATGGATACAGAAAAATCCACACATTGCAAGCCTATGGCTTGAGGGATTTTCACAGACTTTTGGCACACATAAGTACACATTTTTGGCACACATAAGTACACATTTCTGTCAGGCATATGTCTAAGAATATAATGGCTGGGTCATAGTATAGGCATAAGTTTGGCTTTAGGAGATATTGATGAATGGTGTTTTTTAAAGTGGTTGCACCAATATACACTCCCACCAGCAGAGCATGGGAGTGCAGTGTGTTCCACATTCTCACCAACACTTGGCAATTTCAGTCCTTTAAAATTATTATTTTAGAAAGATTCAAGGTCTTTCTCATAATAATACCTTTCATACTACTTTTATCTATCTAATTTTTCAAAGAAAAGAAAGTTGGATTTAGAGAAAGTTCTCCAGGGTATGCACTGTTTTGGGATGAGCTATCCCACACCCAGGTGTGGCCCCCAGTGCAGATGTATTTGCTCCTATTGACAAAGTAACAAGTCACAGCAGTATTCTCCCTCCAACCTTTGAATGTCAGCAAAACATACCTGCCTGCAAGTGTCCCCTGTTGTGAATGCCAGGCCCCCCAGTCCCCGGCCCCAAGCTCCTCATCAGCCTCCTGCCTTGCATCTTCCTTCCAGACACCCTGGCCTAGGACAGACACAAGCCAGCCAGCTCTCTCCCTGCCTCCCCTGCCCCAGCGCTTCACACTTGTGCCCCTTCACAACTGGTGTCATGATTACCTTCCAGCTGTGTGCTTATTTATCTACATTGTCTAAATAAAGTCTGCGTTATCATGGGTGTGATATGTTAGATTCCTATTTTTCTAAGATACAGGAAAATAAGCGCATAGCCTCTGACATGTGTCTGTGTCGTATCAGATGTCATCTCTGGGCTGCCCACTTTGGCTGACATGGCTCTGGCCCAGCTGGTGCTGCTCCTTGGCCACGGAGCTGTCTCCACTTCCTCCACAGGTCGGGGCCTTCTAAGACAGCCGTTCTGGGCCCTCAGTGGCTCACAAGCCCACCCTAAGAGCATCTCGCCCCCTCCTGCTGTGCATATCTCTGGTTCCTGCCCTGGAGTTTCCCCGTTGCTGTGGAAGTGTGAGATACTGAGAAGTCCACCCACAGTGCCCACACCAGCCCCCAGGGATGGAGTGTTGGGGCGTTACACCCCATAGAGTGAAATTTGGATGAGTGGGAAACAGGGGCCTATGGCTGAATCCTTCCCCTTCCTATCCCACTCCCCAGCCTCTATGCTGTGTTGGGACCCAGCAGTTCCCCTGGCCTCCCTAAAGACTTGCTAAGATACTGAGCAGTCCACTTGTGACAAAGCCTCACCCTACTCATGATATTCTCACCAAACACGAGCAAGGCAGACACAGCTCCCCTCTGCCTGCCTCACTTTGCTTTCCTGGGACTGCACTCGACAGCAAAGTGTCAGTAAAGTCAGCTTCTGCCTCAAGTTCTGCTTTCTAGGGAACCCAGACCGCAACAAATGCGCAGCCTAAAATCATCTCCCAGCCCACCAGGGTACACACCACCCTTCGCCAGGTACACCCATGGCCTTTCCCATTGCTTCATGGTATTATCCCATCAAGGCTGCTACCCTGGGGGCCACCGTTCCCGGACCTGCAGCTCCTCTCTTCCACCATTTCTGAGGTGGCTCCCAAGCCTCCTTCCCTCTAGCCTGGAAGGGACCCACCTCAGGGTCCCTGTGGTCCCAACTCTGCACTTCCCTAGGGGCCTCAACCCTTTCTTTCTTGTATGTAGATAGTCACAGTCCATGCCATCCTCCTCTGATAGATGTGGTCCTCTCTATGGCAGGGACTCTTTGAGCCTCATTGCTTTCTGCTCCACAGACATTGGTAGAGGAAGAAATGAGTTACCAAGAGGAGAAAAGTGTTCATGTGTGTATAACAAGGGGCCATGTGATTTAAAACTGCACCAACCTATCCAGGAAGATGGGTTCTCTCAACTGGATTAGAATGTGATGGATGTTGATCTGCCCAGGTGAGCCTAAGCCAATCTTGAGAGCAGCTGTCTCAGGCCAGGCTGCCCTGGGAGCAGACCACAAACAAGGGAGGAGTGTAGTTGGTTTACCTGGAAGGCGATTCCCGGAAGTACCATTAGGGTTCTGGGAAGCAGGAAAAGCGGGGATGAGGAGCTAATTGGAATTGAGTTGTCGGCATGTTTGGGTTAGGGCATGGGTCTCTGGCCTGAATCCCACTGGAGAATGTTGAGAGTCAGTGTGGAACACAGCACAAGGTGGTCACAGCCAAGGAGTGAGGATTCTCGGGGTATCCACCTGTCGGCTTTCCTCCAGCATTGGTGAGGGCTGCTTCTGACGTGTGCAAGAATGGCCAGAAACAAAAACCCCTGGGAGGTGGAGTTGCAGATGTTGACTGTCGGCGACTCTGACTTCATGGAGGTGCAGTGGGAAACCAACAATCTCCGCCTCATTAGGGCTCCACCTCCTTCATTGCCATCTCATGGTGCACACAGAGTTCGGCAAAGGAGAACCCCAGCTCTCAGAAGCCTTGCTGCATACCCAAGCGAACCACTGTAGGCATCCAGGATGCAAACACTTCTCTGCTTGATGCTGAACTAGCTTGCCTTAGGAGCAGCCCAGCGTGAAATCCCCTCCTTTGCTGAGACAGGCTCACACGTTCTTCCACTACACATGCCTGCTGCCTTTTCTTCAGCTCCATGGAGAACGCTCTGGGCACCAAGGCCTAACTTCTCAGCCTCAGCTTACCAAAGGCATATGTGGTTTTGCTAATTTCTAAAGAAGAAAAACCACCCTGCTTCCCTTGGAGCCCTAATAGCACCAAGACCCGGCAAGATGAAGGCCCCCTGTCTCTCTGCAGAGCTGCCATCCCCTGCTGGGCTGTGCAGTGACAGTGGCAGCTGGGCGAATTTCCTCCTTGCTGTTCTGAAACAGAAATTCATTCTGTCTCCAGGCCAAGCCCTCAGCTCACTCACTGAACACCCCGACCCCCTGCAAGAGCTCCAAAGTCAGAATTGCATTTAGCTTAGGGTGTCAAAGCCCTGCACTGAGCCTTGGAACACTTCAGTTTCCTCCTGTCAGGAAAGAGCACCAGGAAAAGAAGAAGGGCCCCCAGAGATCCGTAACTGGGGCTGATCTGAGCTCTCAGGGAAACGGGCTTGAGAGTCTGGGGTTTGTGTAGGATGTTTCAGGAAAGCAGTTCTTGTGTGCACAGCTTCAGGGTTGCCTGGCATTTCATGTGACAATCACCGTGTTGGGACTGAAATGATGTCCCTGCCCCTTCTTAACTATAGGCAGCCAGGAGGACAATGTTGACCAGGTTATGCCAGACATTACCTGTAGAATAGACTAATGTGTTTTTCTCAGAGTTGTACTGGGCCCTACCCTCAGGCTAAAGAGGTTTCAGAAATGATGATCAGATGGCTTAGGCCGAAGGTTGGAGACACATGACACAGGTGCAGTTACCACGCTGCTCTTCCCCGGGGCAGACATCACCAATCAATCCTGAGCCTGGAAACGGCCTTTCCAGCTCACCCTTCTGGGCAGCCATGACTGTAAGTCAGGTTACGCACACAAGCTCAGCTGGGTCCCTGGTGTGTTTCTCATTGAAACTGGCACCTGTAGTGAGTGCCACGGGACCTGGACAGCACCCCTGACCTGCACAGCCTCTTTCTCACATATGCCACACATGTGTATTCATGAGAATTCACTCACTGGTTCATTGGATAAATGCAGTTTATTAAACATTTACTGTGTGCCAGGGATTATGCTCAGATGATGAGGATTCAAAGGGAGTAAACACAAGACCAGAGCTGCTCCCTGGGAGAAGCCTGCATAGCCCAGCCTCATGACTGAAGGTAAAGTGCTCTGTCTACAGGCCCAGGGCACACCAGGCATGTCACAGCCACCCTCTGAGCAAGCAGAAGCCCAGAGAGAGAGGGCATGAGTGCAGGGAGGAGAAAGGAGAAAGCCAGCAGAGATGGATTGAGCCAAATCATATGTTCTTTATGACATCTTGTTTCCCAGACACTTCCCAGGCAAGCTCCAAGATCTTCAAGGAGGAAAGGGACAAACTGGCCCTTGTTGGGAGGAGTGAGCAGGCTGGCCACCCCTGTCTCCCCAGCCCACCCTCACTCTTGGGGGGAGCAGCACAGGTCTATTCATACATGGGGTGATGTGATCTCTGGATCAAGGGTCAACACCTGCACAAGGGCAGCCATCCAGAGGCCAGCAGCCTAGGAAGGGCCCCACCAGGGGCTCTGACCAACTTGGGGAGGAGTTGACCCATCCATAGCTCTGGAGCCTGCACCTGAGCTTACAAAAAGGACTGGCCAGCTGGAGTATGAGAGGCATATACCAGCCATGAGAGAGGGAGAGTGAGCAGCTGCACCCAAAACAAGTCCCCTCCAGAAGGTCTTCTGGCGTGCCTCCAGTGGGCCTGTGTCCTCCTAATTACCTTCTTGCTTTCTTCTTCTTTTTTCTTCTTCTTCTTCTTCTTCTTTTTTTTTTTTTTTTGACAGAGTCTTGCTCTGTCGCCAGGCTGGCATGCAGCGGTGTGATCATGGCTCACTGCAACCTCCGCCTCTGGGGTTCAAGTGATTCCCCTGCCTCAGCCTCCTGAGTAGCTGGGACTACAGGCATGCACCACCATGCCCAGCTAATTTTTTGTATTTTAGTAGAGATGGGGTTTCACCACATTGGCCAGGATGGTCTTGATCTCCTGACCTCGTCATCTGCCTGCCTTGGCCTCCCAAAGTGCTGGGATTACAGGTGTGAGCCACTGCACCCTGCCACTTTCTTCTTAAAGAGTCTCACTCACTGTTACCATAGGAATCTCCCAGTAACTGGGATGATGAGCCCAGGAACCAATTAATAGGGGTCATTGCTCAAGGATCCAGGACTTTTACTCAGGACAGGAGGGTGGCAACCTGGCACTTGGCAAAGGAAAGAAATGAGATGAATGGAGAGAAAAGGAGGGGCCAGTGCATAAACTGCACACTGGGCTGGGCTCTCTACACCCATCCCCTCACAGTATTCTGAAAATAGGCTTGCGAAGTGGGTGTATATAAGTGCTATTCCTTTACTTCAAGAAATGAGGCTTAGTGAGCCACATCATTTATTCATGCTCCGTGGCTGATCTGGGATGCAAATTCAGTGGATGGCTTCAGATCAGAAGGAATCCAGCTGCTGTGGTTCAATGCTCTCCCTGATCTGCACAGCTCATTCTGCCTTCTGTGGCTCCCACAGCCCCTGAAACCAAGCCTCGTGTCTAGAAGATGCCCCGTAAATGTCCAAGGAAAGGAAGAAGGAAGAAGAGGCAAGCACTTTGGGTAGGGAAAAGCCAGAGGGAAGGAAGAGCAGACAGCCCAGTACCTGGAGTCTCTTATCATGGCAAGAGTGGGTTCCCAGGGAGCTTTACCTTGCCCTGTGGAGAGGCCCGCCATCGGGGCTCCCCCCACATTCCCTGGCCCCTGTCACCCTCTGGAACACACCCACTCGGTGCATGCCCACTCCCCTCAGCCTCCTTGGGTCTCTGTGCCAGCTGCCCTGACTGACCTTGTTTGCCTGCACTGAGGGCTAAAAATGCCTCAGGAGTTACATCACCCCAGGATCAGCCACCACTAACAAAGGGGGGGGTAGGTGTAAATGTCCCCTTGCTTCTTTTTAATTGTTTTTTCTTTTTTCATTGTTGTTTGTTTTTGTTTGCTTGTTCTTGAGACAAGGTCTCACACTGTCACCCAGGCTGGAGTGCAGTGGCGTTATCACAGCTCACTGCAGTCTTGACCTCCTGGGCTGAAGTAATCCCCCCACTTCAGCCTCTCCAACTACAGGTGCATGTCCCAAAGCCTGGCTAATTGTTTTTTATTTTTTTTGTAGAGACAGGGTCTTGCCATGTTGCTCAGGCTGGTCTCAAACTCCTGTCCTCAAGTGATCCTCCCACCTCAGCCTCCTCAAGTGCTGGGATTACGAGTGTGAGCCACGGCGCCCGGCCCCCTTGCCTCTGATCAGGCTAGCTCTCTAAACCTTCCAGAGCTCCCTCTTGGGGCCAAGCCAGCACCCCCTGGGGCCTGTTCTTGATGCTGCATCCTTGGGTGCCATTTTCCTCTCTGCCCCACTTTCTCACTCTTCTATTAGTCATTTCTGAATAATTGTGTTCACACAGATCCATATTTTCAGTTCTTTTTCTAGGAAATCCATCCTAAGATGAGAATCTCATCAGAAACTTCCCTTCCAGGCCTGAAGCCTTCCAGTAGCCTCTTTGTGGACATGTCAGAGCTTTGGTAGAGTCTGAGGCTCAAGTTCAAATCCTGAGCAAGGTCTTAAATATTCCTGCTCAGCCGGATTCACC
The DNA here is from genome assembly GCF_000001405.40 of Homo sapiens. Classification (NCBI taxonomy): domain Eukaryota; kingdom Metazoa; phylum Chordata; class Mammalia; order Primates; family Hominidae; genus Homo; species Homo sapiens. The sequence goes on from NC_000019.10 coordinate 28,916,674, forward strand.
CTTTGGGATGTGAGTACTAGTGGTAAGTCTCGAATTTTTTAAGGATTTTGCTCAAAATCTTTTTAGGGAGTTGCCAAAATGCCCCAACCAAAGCACCTTATTACCTGTCTTGGAAAATTCCAATCAGGGAGATTTGGGATAAAGTAGACATCAAAATAAAGCTTTTATGAGTAGAAGAATTATAACATATTCAGCATTGTTTTAGCCCATCCAGAATGCCAGACACTGTGAAGTTCTATTTGTGAGCTACCATTTATTCCTGCCACAACCCTGTGAAGAATGAATGATCATATTTCTCTTCCCTCTCACAAATGAAGAGGAGACTGGAGTCAAAGCCTTAAGAAATCCATCTTAGCACACCTAGAGTCCAGTGAAAGAGAGAGGCTGGCGGCTGGCATGGTCTCTCTTCCTGGAGTGGGCAATGGCCATTAGCAAGACCTGGAAGAAGTTAGCAAGTTCTCCCAGGAGTGGCTGGTTCAGATGCCCTGCCTTTCAGGCCAGGCTGAAGCAAGAGGCAGAAACACTGGTTGATGAGGAGTCAAGGACTGCCATTCACCAACCAGTGCAAAACCCCGTGTGCTCAGAAGCCCCTCCTGGGACCTGACCTTCCACCTCGGTAAGGACAGAAACGATTTGGTAAGGTACATCCACCTTGGAGAAGGCTGGATTTGCTTACTCGAAACCAGAGAGCAATTCCAATTTGAGTGAAGAGGACCACCTGAGTGGGGTGAGGAATAAGTGCGAGCCAGCACAGAGTGAGCACCAACAGCATGAAGGAGGCTCAGGTAGCTCCATTTCCTGGCACTGACTGTATGCTGGGCGTCACGCTCTGTCCTTTCTCTCATCTAATCCTCAGGGTGGCCCTACAGGGATGTTCTGCTCTCATCCCTGTTGGAGTGTCAGGAAGGGTTAGGGAAGATGAGGCCCTTCCCCAAGGTCACGGGCTCCTAAGTGGAGGCTGTGGGATGGGACCTCAGCTGCCCCTGACTGGACTCTCAGCCGCTGTGCTGCACTAGTCATGACAGGTTTCCAGGAGCCCACAGAACCTCAGCTGGGGAAGGGGCTCTCTCGGGGTGGGGCCTGTGATGACCTTGACCCTGTCTGCAGAGAAGAGGAGAACGGGAGAGGCGTGACTCATCCCCTGCCAGTATGGCCGGACTCACAGGCAGCCTTGCCTCTCTGGCTCTCTTGGGACGGGCCACTGCCATGGTGTCAGGATTGCCACTTTCCTGTCCTCATCACTGCTGCTGTTAATAACACACGAATAATTCAAGCCATAAACTTTGAGGCACAGGCTCCTCTCTGGCCCTGGGGGAGCTGCCAAAGATAGCTCAGGCTCGGCAGCCCCGCAGCATGGGGCGAGTGAGAGAAGCGTGTGGGGGAAGCGCTTGTCCCTCCAGGCTAGGCTCTCTCAGTGCTTCCAGATGCACTCAGGGCCTCCTTTCCTCCACGGCAAGGCCCCTCATGCCGTCAGCCCGTGGGCAGGAGGAACAGCGCTGGGCGGCATTGACGTTCTGTGTTAAAGCCTAGAAGAGGAGCTCTCTTCCTTTTTCTTCCCATAGGGCATCTGTCTGGGAAGCAATGGTTGGGCCTGGAGGGATCTCTGGGGACATCCTTCCTCATGAGCTGGGCGTAGAAGACCAGGTGTTCACCAGAGAAGAAAAGCCCTGGCAGCAATCCTGGGTGGTGCTGGGTGGTCCCTGTGGCTGCTCCTGGCCAGCTCTGAGAGAAATCATTTAGCAGAAATGGTGCTTTTTCCACCCAAAATGTTGTGGGGGGCCCAGGAAGGGCTAAATCTGCAACTCGACCAAGAGGCCCTCCAAAGAGGTGTGGGTTTTTTGTGCTCCCAGTGAGCAGCCTGTTGCTGGGTGACAAGCCAGCTGGGCTCCCAGGACTACTCCAAGTTGTATCCCTCAAAGTTCCACATTTTAGGAGACTTCTCTGACTCGGACAAAGCAGGATGGGGAGCCCAGAGCCAGTGGGGGCTCATGAATGAGATGTCCAGAAAAAAGCTGTTCTTCAAGAAAGATTTTAACTTTAATTAATTAATTTATTCATTCATTCATTTATTTCAAGACAGAGTCTTTCTCTGTTGCCCAGGCTGGAGTGCAGTGGTACAATCTCGGCTCACTGCAACCTCTGCCTCCCAGGTTTAAGCGGTTCTCCAGTCTCAGCCTCCCGAGTAGCTGGGATTACAGGCCCACGCCTCCACGCCCGACTAATTTTTGTATTTTTAGTAGAGATGGGGTTTCACCGTATTGGCCAGGCTGGTCTCGAACTCCTGACCTCGTGATCTGCCCACCTCAGCCTCCTGAAGTGCTGGGATTACAGGCATGAGCCACCACGCCCAGCAGATTTTAATTTTAAATCTTGAAACACAACAAACCCCAGCCATCCTCCATGCCTGTGGGGTGCATGAGGTGGATCCTCACACACTGCACCAGAAGCATGACTGGCAGCAACAGGCAGCTTAGAAATGTCTGATCATTTCACCCAGAAGCTTTCTCCTGTGGCTTCTTAAGAAGTTATAAGAAACTGTGGCACAAATCTTAGTATTACAATGTTCTCCTCTTCCTCACATATTATAAAAAAATAAAAACAAAAACAAACAAACAAAAAAACCAAGGGAAACAGATCACTGATCAAAATACACAATGATTAAAATCATTGTCCTTTGACCATGCACAGTGACTGATGACTGGAGTCCCAGCACTTTGGAAGGCAGAGGTAGGAGGATCACTTGAGGCCAGGAGTTTGAGACCAGTCTGGGCAACATAGCAAGACGCTGTCTTTACAAAAAAAAAATGTTTTAAATAGCTGGGTGTGGTGTGCACCTGTAGTCCCACTTACTTGGCAGGCTGAGGTGGGAGGGTCGCTTGAGCCTAGGAGTTTGAGGCTGCAATGAGCCATGATCTCACCACTGCACTCCAGCTTGGGTGACAGAGCAAGACCTTGTCTCAAAAATAAAGAAAGAAATAGATCTAAGTCTTTCATTCCTGGGCAGTATTTTCCAGCAAAGAATTACCTTGTTCTGTATGCCTGTATCTTTTCTTTTTCCTGTCACTGAATCAACTGTACATATGGTATAATCCTAAATTTGTAAACAAATATTAAAAATATGCACATAAACCTGTTTACATGTCAGAAAAAAGACTAGAACAAAATATACAAAAAAGAGATGACTTTGACATTTTAAGAGACATCACATCTTTTTTTTTTTTTTTTTTGAGATGGAGTTTCACTCTGTCACCTGGGCTGAAGTACAGTGGTGTGATCTCGGTTCACTGCAACCTCTGCCTCCCAGGTTCAAGCGATTCTCCTGCCTCAGCCTCCTGAGTAGCTGGCATTACAGGCGCCCACCACCACACCCGGCTAATTTTTGCATTTTTAGTAGAGACAGGGTTTCACCATGTTGGCCAGGCTGGTCTCAAATTCCTGACCTCAGGTGATCCACCTGCCTTGGCCTCCCAAAGTGCTGGGATTACAGGCATGAGCCACTGCCCCTGGCCCCTTTTTCTGTTTTATAATGTAAGCAATATTGAAATTCCAGTGGAAAAAAATTCTCTTTAAAGTTAAAAAATTCTAATTTCGAGCTAAAGAAAACTGAGAACAATAACAAATATCAATACCACCAAAAATTTCTAAAACAATTACAGTTTCTGGAGTGCTATGGCTCATGTGACAGTGAGAGGACATGGAGCAGGCATTATCATCTCCAATTCACAAAGGAAGAAACCCAGAGGCCGTGTGGCTCCCTCCGTGACAACAGCTCACAGGTGAGACCTCGTGGGCCGACCTCAGGCCTCCTGGCATCTAGCCCGTGCTCTCTGTGATCTGAGTTGCCTTTTTAGACTTCTAGGGCAGTCGCTCCTTCTCTAAAAATCAGCTAGAAGCTCCCCTGAGTGATAACGGGTTGAGTTTGCCTAGCACAGCCCTAATTTTTGCCTATTTTTCTGGCATACTTAGTAGTACCCTTTTTACTCTCAGAAATAGTCCAATGAGGAAAATAAAATGCCTGGCCTCCTTTTCAAGGCATATTAACCTCTTCATGTTTCTGTCGGAATTTCACAAAGCCACCCTCCTGGGGCCAGGAGTGGAGGCCCGCGAGCTCCCGCCCCACGCCTGGTGGGTGCAGTCTCCAGCTTTGCGCTTTGTTTGTCATTCTGAACAGCTCTGCTCCCATCAGCTGGGGCTCTGTGAATCAGAGACGCTGCAAAGAGCAGCACTCCCAGGAGCTCAGATGAAATGCGACTGAGGGCAACTCCTCCCAGCCACAGACAGCTGCTCTGCAGGGAGGCTCAGCAGCGCCCAGCAAAGTGCCTGCTGTGCACTGAAAGATCCTCAATGGGCCCTGATTTTCCGTTTGTCCTTTCAGCAGTCACACATTCAACACATTGTTGAGGAGCAGCTAAGCGCCAGTCTTGGGCACAGATTAAAGAACAAGAAAGAAAATGCCGCTGTGCTTACGGTACTAATATTCTAGTGGGGATTCAGGCAACGCACAAGAAATGCACATGAATACATACAAAAATAGACAGGTGCTATGATAACACAGAATGGTGGTAGGTCGGCTTCAAATGGTGCAGTCAGGGAAGGACTCCGGGGAGGGAATTCTATGGTGAACTCCAAACGGGAGGAAAAGGTGGGCCTGGAAGGATTTGGGCTGGAAGAGAGCCCCACTCTCCCAGGAATGTCAAGGGCAAAGGCCCTGGGGTGGGACAAGCTTCTGCGCATTTGAGGAGGATGGAAAGGAAGCTGGGTGGCTGACCTGTGGAGTGAGAGGCTGGAGGGTCAGTCCAGGCAGCGCACAAGGGGGATTGCGAGGATTTGGGACTCAGCTCTGACTGCAGTTAAGAAATATTTGAGCTGCTAAGTGATAAGCCTTGGCGTCATCCACACAGTGTTAATTCTGCAGGCGTGCAGATCTCAAGAGTGGTGGGGGCTTTCCTCGTGGGTCACCAGGCGGAAACCTGCCGCAAGGGTGGAGCCCCCCACAGAGAGCCCCTTCTAGGGCAATTCCAAACAGAAAGGTGGGGTCAGAGCTGCCACAGAGTCCCCACTAGGGTAATGCCTAGTGGAGCCATGGGAGGGGGTCCACTTCAGGGACCCCCAGACTGCAGAGCAGCCAGCTTGCAGCATCTCATGGGAAAGATTCCAGCCCATGGGCGCAGGAACATGGAGTCCATCAAAGCCATGATGGGGTGCGGGGGTGCAGGGTGCTGCCCGAGTCCTTGGGGGCCCAAACCTCCCAAAGTGCATTGGATGCTGGACTGGGAGTGAAAACAGGTGATTCTCCAGCTTCGAGATTTAGTGTCTGCCCTGCTGGGTTTTGGACTTGCTTGGGCTCGTCACTCTCTTCTTCTTGACTATCTCTGCCTTTTGGGGTGGGGATACCCTGCCCTATTCCCATCCCAGCATTGTGTCTTGGAAGCAGATGCCTTGTATGATTTCACAGGCTCACAGTAGGAGGATTTGCCTCTGGATGAATTGAACCTTGAATCTCACGCACATCAGATTCAGATGGGACTCTGGACTTAGCACTTTCAACTTAATGCTGGAATAAATTAGAACTTTTGGGCAGGCTGCCATGGCTCATACATGTAACCCCAGCACTTTGGGAGGCCAAGGTGGGAGGATCACTTCAGCCTAGGGGTTCAGCATCAACTTGGGCAACCTAGTGAGACCCTGTCTCTACAAAAAATAAAAAAAAAATAGCAGGGCATGGTGACATGTTTCTGTAGTCCCAGCTGCTTAGGAGGCCAAGGGAGGAGGATTGCTTGAGCCCAGGTATTTGAGGTTACAGTGAGCTATGATTGTGACACTGCACTCCAGCCTGGGCAACAGAGTGAGACCACTTTTTTTGTTGTTTGTTTGCTTTGTTTGTTTGTTTGTTTGGCTTTGGAAGTACTGAGATGGAGTGAATCTATTTTGTATGTGAGAAGGACGTGAGTTGTGGGCGGCCGGGGCAGAAGGCTGTGGTTTGAATGCCCCCTCCAAGTCTCATGTGCACACATAATCCTCACTGTAACCATGCTGAGAGGCAGGACCTCTGAGCGGCAATTAGGACTAGATGAGGTTATCAGGGTAGAGCCCCCATGATGAGTCTGGGACTTTATAAGAAGAGGAAGAGATGTCTAAGCTGGCACACTCAGCCCCCTTGCTGTGTGAAGGCCTGTGCCACCTCAGGACTCTGCAGAGAGGCCCCACCAGCACGAAGACCCTCCCCAGAGGCCGCTCCTCCGCCTTGAACTTCCCAGCTTCCAGAAATGTAAGAAATACATCTCTTTTCTTTATTGAAAGAAAGAAATATTTGCAGTGCTGAGTGCCATGAGCAGGTCCCCTGGTTCCTCTAAGGAGGACACACAGAAGGAGAGAAGGCATGAGTGTGGCAGAAGATGACCGGGAGAAGAATGCAGGGGCTGGGAGCGCCTTATGCAAGAGGGGCTGCAGTCTAGATAGAGAAGTGTGGTGTCAAGGCTAAGTTTGAAATCTGAATACAGTTTGCACATTAAAACAAAAAAGACAGGGTTGTCTAGGCTGGTGGAAATTGGGAGGGAGGAGCAGAAAAAAATAACCAAGGAGTACATTTCACCATTAGTTTAAGTGAGTGGTAGATGGTGTGCCATTCTCTGAGATGTGATAAAAAGGGAGGTAAAGGTTTGGGGGTTGGGGTGTCCTGGCACTGAGGGAGGGACTACAGAAGCTGTGTTTCAGACATGGTATTCTGAGGTGTCTCTAAAACATCTGAGTACAGATGTCAAAGAGACGGTCAGATATGCAAGGCTGGAGCTCACGGCTAAGGTCTTGGCTAGAGGCATAAACGTGAAAAGCATTTGCATATGTTGAAGGCAAGATGGTAAAACTCCTCAAGAATAAGAAAGTAGTCACTAGTGTCAAAAATTTGCAGAGGGAAAAAATATAAGGACATTTTGCTTTTTGTCCATACATTTGGCCAAAGTAAAGGTGATTGGTGACATTGATGAAGCAGTTTTCATGGAGCTATAGGGCAAGGTTCACATTGTGGACACGGAGAGCCCTTTATCAGTACAGCGGCCAACTAAATAAATAAAAATTATTGCTAAGGCTTATTCCAAAACAAACTCCCAATAATGCTGGATAAAATGCATAAAACAAACCAAGTTTTCAAATGCATAAATTAGCACACAACAATAAGACAAATATCCAGAAAATAAAACTAGGGCAGAAACTAAAACTAAAGTTATAACCATGACCTGCCAGTCTCCCCAGCCAGTGAGCTTAGGTTTTCATGGCTTCTGGGAGATGAAGCCATGGGCCTGAGAGAGCTGGGCAGTTGGAGCTAAGATTTTCTCCTGCCCACCCCACAGAAAGCCAGGAGCTCTGGAGGGGTGCCATCCCCATGAAAGAATGGCTAGAAACACTGAGGCCACTACACAGAGAGAGAATAGAGAAGCCTGTCCTCCTTGACGTAGGCTCCAGGACATGGTAATGTTTTAAAGTGGTATCCACCATACGGTTAAGGAAAACAGCCTCTGGCCCCTAGCCGCGACACCATGAAATATGTATGGCTTCCTTCTCTGTTCATCCCCTCTCCGTCAGATCTCCCCTGGGAACACAGAATTATTATCCCTGAATCACATGAGACCTTTCCATTCTCCAAAGCTATGGAGAAAGCTACCTCAAATGTCAATGTCCGCATATCCAGTGTCAGAGTTCAGGCTCACCTCTCCTTCAAGGTGTCCAGCTGAACAAACAGCCTTTCACTCCAACACTTTCATCCCAAACCATGGCAATGTGAATATAATTTTTAAAAAAGCAAGCCAAGCCCAAACAAATTCTATGTTTATACCTTCCTCCTTTTTTGGTTAACCTCTACTAAGGGACCCAATAGTGTTACTTTTGCATGAGAATCTGAGTTTATAATAAAATAGTTCTGCTATGCTCACAGTCTTTCTAGTCTTTGTAGTTCTAAATTATGAATCCCTGAGGAGCTTGGCTGGGAGATAATCTACATAACAGACAGCACACTCCATCAGAATTTCTCCTATAAAACAACCAAGATCACGGAGTGTTCTTACTGGGTGATCTTGCCATGCCTGGCTCCCTCTCCCCTATAGTGGGGACTCTAGCAGAAAGATTCTTGGAACCTTGAAAAATGGCCACGTAGGGAGCCCGGCTACCAGTTTACCAGTTGTACTTGGATTGCAGCTGTGCACAGTGCTTAGGCTCAGGCCCCATTCATACTAAGAATTCCTTTATTCCATCATACAGGAGCTCAAGAGCACATTTAAGTTTACTTTATTCATTTACAATTTGTATTCTGTTTATTTATTTACTTTGAGATGGAGTCTCGCTCTGTCACCCAGGCTGGAGTGCAGTGGCACGATCTTGGCTCACTGCAACCTCTGCCTCCTGGGTTCAAGCAATTCTCCTGCCTCAGCCTTTTGAATAGCTGGGATTACAGGCGTTCACCACCATGCCTGGCTAATTTCTGTATTTTTAGTAGAGACAGAGTTTCACCATGCTGGCCAGGCTGGTCTCAAACTCCTGACCTCGTAATCCGTCCCCCTTGGCCTCCCAAAGTGCTCAGATTACAGGTGTGAGCCACCATGCCTGGCCTGTATTCTACTTATTTTTTAAAAGATGAGATTAACTCAAAATTACATAAATGTATTAAATATGTTTTTAATCTCTCAAATAATGACATAAGCTATATATGCTATATATATATATGTCATTGGTTTGAGAGATTAAATATATTTAAAAGCAGAATTACAGTTGAGAGATTGAGATCATTTCTGTAATTGTACACTAAATATAACACAGCACTTCCTGGTAGCCAAGGCAAAATCAGAAACAAGTTCAGTTGCCTGGCTCTTTTTTTATCTTATCAAAGGAAGCATACCTGTTGTTTAAAAGAAAGACTTGATAATAAGTATGAAAACATTAATATCACCAGAGAAAATAAAGCAATTTTTAAAGGTAATGCATGTTAAAGATAAGGCATTATGTATATAAAATGCGTAAATTTTGTATATGTTGCTTATGCCTGGAACCCCAACGACAATCTTCCAGTTGTGTCGATGAAATTGTTCTTGTTGCATTTCAGTAGCTTCAGGTTCCCGGAGGGAGAATGTGAATATTCATTTATTTATGACTTCCTTGGGACACTGCTAAAATAAAAATTATCTGTTGAAAAAGGAGTAAACAGCAAAGAGAAAAAGGCAATCACAAATAAAATTATCATCAAATTTTAGAAGACAAATAGTTTTACGTAACAAGTTCATGAATGAAATGGACAGAGAAAGCTGCATTTTAGAAAAGCAACTGGACTGTAGAGGAGATGAAAGCCAGTCTGTCGTCCAGCACCCCAGACAAGACTGGGCTCAGGGTCCTTCAGGAGTGGCTGGGATCAAGAGAATTCTTAGAAGTCTGCAGTAGTACACCAGCAGGTTACCTTCCCCACCCACTGGTCCCCAGAGGAGGACACTCAGTAGGACAGCTTGCTTCTAGCAAAGCCCAAGATGGCTTTTCTCTAAAAACATTGAAAAGATACATGGTGGATGCAAAAGCATTTGGGGTGGACAATGGCAGCCCAGCGTGACACCCTCCTCATTCTGGCAAGGAAAGGGATGGACAGAGGCCTGACACTCAACTCTAATATTCTCCCCCACCCTACACAGGGCTCCTAGTCAGACACTGTATAAGTGGGGGGCCACCCAGGCATCACCAACTGTAGGAAGAGAATTGGCAAGCAGGAAGGGAAGGACCAAAATGCACAAATAGAAAACATGACCCCAGAGAAAGTAGTCAATTAAGGGAATAGAAAAGAAAAGAAAAGAGAATGTGATTCCGAATTTACTCAACAAGATTCAAAACATGTATTAGCTATAAAATAAAAAGAATAACTGAAATTGGTAAATCAAATACAGATAATGAGAAGGAATGAAAAATATGGCAAGTAAAGTTGGAAGAATCTTCCGGAATAAAGATCAAAAAGTAAAAAATAAATAGGGAGAGAAAACTGTGCAGAATATCCCATATCTAATCAAAGCCCCCAAAAGAAAAGAGACAATGGATGGGAGAAAATGATCAAATAAATATCAGAAAAGGCTTTTCTAGAGCTGAAACACTTGATCTTCAGATTGAAGGCAGGACGATCACTTCAGCCTGGGAGTTGGAAGCTGCAGTGTGCTATGATTGTGCCACTGCACTCCAGGCTGGGCAGCAGAGCAAGACTCTGTCTCTAAAAAAATTTAAAAAGTGTCTACCAAGGTCCCATGTCTGGACACATTCTCATGAAAGATAAGGAGACTATCTTAAAAGCTTTCAGAAAGACAAAAATAAATTCACCTATGAAGAGTGGGAATGAAAAAGCAGTATTTCTCATGAGTAACCTTAGATGTTAGAAAAGTTAAAAAGAGGCCGGGCATGGTGGGTTACGCCTGTAATCCCAACACCTTGTGAAGCCAAGGAGTTTAAGACAAGCCTGGGCAACATAGGAAGACTCAATCTCCACAAAATTTAAAAAATCTCTACAAAAATTTAAAAATTAGCAGTGTGTGGTGGTGCATGCCTGTGGTCCCAGCTACTCAGGAAGCTGAGGCTGGAGGATCTCCTGAGCCCGGCAGTTCAAGGCTGCTAGAAAAAAACAAAATAAAAATAGAATGGGATAGAGATTTTTTATTGTTATTGTTCATTTTTCTTTAAGTTTTTAATTGCCTATTAAAATATATCTGTGACTTTAAGTCCAAATATGAAACAAACCAAATGAAGCATACTTTTAAGCAATTAATAAAGAGGAAGAAGAAAGACCATTTGACCTTAGTGTTGGGAACAGCCGGTTGTGGTACAGGAGTGAGGTAGCTGGACCCAGGGAGAGTGACGTGCAGCCCTACTCTCCATAGCACAACACTTCTTTAAACCATTGCGTGATCCCCCTGTCTTTTCCCTTACTGTCTGCATCTCACCCCTCACTCCCAGGGGACTCCTCCTGTCTGTTCATCACAGTAACTTCAGCAGCTGGAGCACCACCTGGCACTTTTCAATGCATAAATGAGTGCTTATACTGCCTTAATATTACAAACATTGTTTATTAGATTTCAATTTTAGAAACACAGTTGGGCAAAGAATGGGAGACTTAATAGAGGTGGAAAGATGTACTAAGGCCCGGCCTGGTGGCTCAAGCCTGTAATCCTAGCATTTGAGAGGCTGAGGAGGGCAGATTGCCTGAGCTCAGGAGTTCGAGGCCAGCCTGGGCAACACACTGAAAACCCACCTCTACTAAAATACAAAAAATTTGCCAGGCATGGTGGCATGCACCTGTAGTCCCAGCTACTCAGGAGGCTGAGGCAGGAGAATTGCTAGAACCCCAGAGGTGGAGGTTGCAGGGAGCCGAGATGGTACCACTGCACTCCAGCCTGGGTGACAGAGTGACACTCCGTCTCCAAAACAAAAACAAACAAACAAATAAAAAAACCCAAGATGTATTAAAGTGTGAATGGCCTTCAGATGTAAAAGTAGAAACATGGCTGATGAAGGATGGATCCTGGAGGGGGAGGCTGGAGTTGATGGAAAAGGCAAAGAAAATGTTAGAAGTTCTGAGATTCTCATCCAGAAAGTGGAGGGCAGAGAACTCCTGGAGCAAGCAATAGCGCTGAATTATATTTAAAGTTAAATTAATTCAAGCTGTTGGCCGTTATGAATAATGCTGCTATGGACGTTTACTTACATGTCTTTTCGTAGACATGTGTTTTAATTATCTTGGGTAAATTCCTGTAAATGGAAATGTCTAGAAAAGGCAAATGTATGGAGACAGAAAGCAGAGTGGTGCTTGGCTACTGTTGGGATGGAAGTGATGTTGGCTTTAAATGGGTAGGAGAACATTTCTAGGATGTCAGGGATGTTCTGAAACTAGATTGTGGTGATGGTTGCACAGCTCTATAAATTACCAACACCATTGAATTGCACACTTACAATTTTATGGCATAGAAATTATATCTCAATATTATATTTTAAAAATATAATAAGTAAAACTTCTAAAAGAAAATTATAGGAGAATAACCTTATGACTTGGGCATAGGCAGACACTTCACACATACACATGCACACACAGACACACACACAAACACAAGTGCCAATAAACACACAAAAAAACACTTAACATCATTAAGTCATCAGGGAACTGCAAATTAAAACTATAATGAGACACAACTACCAGAACAGTAAGATATCAGCAAAGATATTGAGGAACTAGAATTCTGAAGCATTATTAATGGGAACATAAAGTCATACATTCACTTTGGAAAAATGTTCTGGTGGTTTCTTATAAAGCTAAATACACACAACATTTCTGCTTCTAGGTGCATATCTGCAAGAAATAAAAACATATGTCTGCCAATAACATACTTGTACAAGTATGTTTCTAGCAGCTTTATTTATGATGAGCAAAAACTCATGGAAACAGGCCATGAGTCCATCAGTAAACAACCAGATAGACAATTGACATAGGCAGTGTCATGAACCATCTCAAAAAACATTATGCTGAGTGAAAAAGAAATGCTGTTTATAAAACATTATTTATTTTACAGATTCTTTCTGTATGAGTTATGGAACAAGGAAAACTAATCTACCATGGAACAAATCTGAACAGTCATTGTCTCTGTGCTGGGGACAGTGTAGGGACGTGGAGAAAACCCTGGGGCAGTGGTAATGTTCAGTACCTCGACAGAGGCTTCGGCTACACAGGAATATGTGTTTGTCAAAACTCATTTGAGAGTACACTTAAGATCCGTGTATTGAATTTTATACACATTTCATTTCAAAAAGATAAAGAAGGAAAAGGATTGCCCTGAGAATGAGAGTGGTATTGACTATAAATGGGTATGGGAAAGTTTTTTTTGTTTGTTTGTTTTGTTTTTTTTGAGACAGAGTCTCTCTCTGTCACCAGGCTGGAGTGCAGTGGCATGATCTCAGCTCACTGCAGTCTCCACTTCCTGGGTTCAAGCAATTCCCCTGCCTCACCGTGGGGTGGTGGAATGTTCTAAGACTGGATTGTGGTGATGACTGCGTGGCTGACTGAACTCTGGATCAGTATTGCAGGCTGAAGTGTTGACAGGTGGAGTGCACTGATGTCTCCAACTTACTTTGAAACTCATCAAAAATTAATATGGATTGATGACAGAGGCACAGACAAATGAAAAGATGTGCGATAAAGCAAGTAGAGTAAGATGTTGATGAAATAATCTATGTGGTGTGAGTATGGGTGTTCTCTGTGAAATTCTTTGAACTTTGTGTATGTTTGAAAAGAGTCATAATAAAATGTGGGGAACAATGTAATCAAGGGAAGAGCTAAAAATAATACAACTATTAAACATAAAGAAGAGAAACAGAGGAAGAGGTACTGGTGAGCTAAGTCCTTATTTCTTATTTTTGAGAGTCAATAGATATTCTCTAAATTTAATAAATCTTTTAAATTATTTTTATTTTTTTCTTTTTTCTTAGAGTCATGGTCTCACTGTCACCCAGGCTGGAGTGCAGTACTGTCATCACAGTTCACTGTAGCCTCAACCTCCCAGGCTCAAGCAATTCTCCTGCCTCAGCCTCTCGAGTCATTAGAACTACAGGTGCACATCATCTTGCCTAGCTAATGTTTCAAAAGTCTTTTTTCTTTGTAGAGAAAAGGACTTGCTATATTGCCTAGTCTGGCCTTGAACTTCTGGCTTCAAGCGATCCTCCAGCCCCAGCCTCCCAAAGTGCTGGGATTACAAGTGTAAGCAACTGTGCCTGGCCTCAATTTAATAAATCAATACAGATATACATTCATATTATTTCACACAATGGAGGTAAAGAACAAAGGAAATAAGACAGAAACTATCTAAAGAAATTATCTCTGAGACATAAGATGGGGGAAGTGCATTAAATTTGGCTTTCATAATAACCTTTTGAATTTTTTTTACCATTCAATGTATTACTTTGATAAAAAAAAAAAAAAAAGAACACACAGAAAATGTCTCTGAGCCCACAGACACATTCATCAGCTAAAGGACTGCCGAGGACCTTAGCCCAAAGCTCTCTGCCCACTCTCTGGGTCTGAGTGATTGACGATGTCGGGAGTGTCACTGCTGGAAGGAATTCAGGATCAGAACCACTTTCATCTTGTGTCAGGAGTCTGAACTCCATGGCTGTCTGGTGTCTGCCAGGTGAAGTGCACAGCTAAATGTGTTCAGATTATTCCAGAATGGGTCATTATTGGAGTGGGGAAAACAAGTGCCCACACACAGTTGAAGCACACGCTGGGTTTTTACTGATTCCCAAAGTTATTCCCTTCCTTCCAAAATACAATAGTTTGATCCCTCTATAGTTTATAAGTGTGATGATTGGGTTTCATACTCATGTGTGAGATGTGCCTCCCTCAAACCCTCTCATGCCACCAGCACATAACCCATCCCATGTGAAGTAGAATAAGACAGGTTGCACAACATGGCAATTTGAAAGTTAGTCATCATCTCAATGCAAGCAGATGGGAGAGACCAAGGTGCCTTGCACTTGACCCTACTAGGAGATTTAATCTCATTGCAATGGAAGAAGATGGCTCTCATCTGAATTGTCTGCTTCTATACTTGATGGTACTCTGTGTGCTGAGAACCTGTTTCTTGCCAAGTGCTCTGTGGCTCTAAGGGCTGGAGATTCTTTGATTTCAAAATTTCCTAAGTCCAGTGCTTCTGGTTGAGGTTGGCTGCTTTCCATAGCATCTAGGAACTACATTCCCATGGACAATCACCATTTATCCATCCAGCCATCCATCCAGCCACTTATCTAACAAATACTAACAGAATACGGCACATGGCGCTCATTCTAGGAGCTCAAAAAATTGCTGTAGACAAGGATGGACAAGATCCTTGCCCTTGTGTGCTGACTTTCAGTTATTTAGAGCCTCTATAGATACATGTTTGAATGTCACGAAGTAATTTATCAGGGTTGCCTAGGTTAAAAACTGATTGAGGTGGAGAAGATATGGTGGCAAGAGAAGAACTCTTCGGGGAGGTGGCATTTTATCTGGGACAGAAGGTTGAGGATTCAGCTATGAGGAAAGTATGAGAGAGTATATTCCAGGTGACGGGGACCACAAGAACAAAGCCCTGGAATCAGAAGGAGCTTGATGTGTTTGAGAAACAAAATAAAGGCCACTGTGGCTGAATTTTGGTCACATGAGATGAGGTAGAGGAGGAGATTTGGGACAGGTCTTTTAGGACCAAACAGATCTTGGTAAGAAATTTGGATTTTATTCTCATTTGAATGAGAAGTCATCTCATTTGAATGAGAGGGTTTTAAGCAGGAAAGTGACTTAACAGAATGTGTATTTTAAAAAGATGATTCTGGATGCACTGTGGAGAATGGAAGACAGGAGGATATGGATGAAAACTGAGGACTGTTTTAGACTTTCAGGGCGAGGCAACAGTGGCCTGAATGCCTATGGTGGTGATAGAGATGGAGGGATGTGGAATAATTTGAGATGCCATGACACTGTTTTTCCAATTATTTTTTTGCCAAATCTGCCATTACTGCACCTTTGGGATGGAAGTCACTCAGTGTGGTGTTTCCTTCAGTGAATCCCGTCTAGTATTCCCTGGGTCCACTCTGGAAGGAGATATTGGTCTGCCATGCTTTTGGGAACCAGATAGCTTGCTTGGGGCTACAGCATAGCTGGAGGACACTTCCTCATTACCTACAAATTGTCCTCAGTACTTAGAAACTGTCACATCAGGCCAACCACTTGGATCTTTCCCAGCTCTAATCAGACCCTGCCCCCCTCCATCTCCTGGTTCTATTTTCACTACTTGACCACACTCTTGGGGAGTCCACCCCAGAGGCCTTACTGCCTAAGACAAGATAATTTCCCTTTTCCCAGTTCTAGAAAAATGTGTGGGATTGGTCCATAGTAGACTGACCTATTTAACATGCACGCTCCAGAACCAGCCACAAGGGTCAGGGGAATGGCACAGCTGTTGTCTTGAGTCAGCTGTCAACTGCTCAAGCTGGTGTGTACAGGAAGGAGCTGGGCACCAGACCCACGTTGTCTGAGACCAACAGGAGGATGATTCTTCAAGGCAAATTGAGATGCTGGCAGCAGCAGAAGGGAGAATAGATGGCCGGAAGGCAATCACAATGAGATCTCTGAAGTATCTTTCAAGCTGTGGCTCCCAAGCTCTCTCTTCCAGGAACCATTCTATATCTAGTCTGCCTTGGAGAACCAGCTTCATCATACAGTGGACTTTCTCGTCAAGGGGAAATGCAGACAAATCTTGTCAGTGACCAGGTCCGATCTTTCAGGGAAGTCTTGCAAGAGCCTAACCCATGGTCTACAGGTTTCTGTGCATGCACTGTGAACAAGCTCCCACTGGTAAAGACCGCACCCAGTGTTGCTGTTTCAAAAAGTTCCAGGAAGAATCTCAGCCCTGGAAAACAAAAATGAGTTTGACCCAGAGATGCCTGAGTTGGAGATGAACTTTGAAGAACTACCCTTGTTAGCATACTGAAATCTCCACCCAGGGAGGAGCTCATGCACCGTTTTCTGTACATGTGAGGTATGTGGAACATGATCAGTGATGGGCTTTAATCCATCTCCACATTCAATGACTCAGCTCAATAAAAGCCAGGCTTTCACCTTTGTTCTGGGAGGCACTGCTTGGGAACTATCCCTGATGTCCTCCTTACTTGCTGCAAGGCATCAAATCCCCCTGTTATACCTGCCTTGGCTGTCGTCATTGGACGTCACCTGCCAAGCCATTGAACCCACCTGTCATGTGGGTAACAAAATGAGAAACAAACAATAGGTCTGATTGTCTGACTGATCATCTGAAGACATGGTATGAAGATATTTATTCAACACATAATTTTAGGTGTATACCCTGGACCTGGAGCTGTGCAAAGTGTGTGAGACCCAAAGGTCCTTCACACTCACGTGACCTCAGAAAGAGCCCATGCCTGCCTCATGGACAGAGCACAGCACAGGCACAGACGGGCGCTCAGTGGAAGTTGTGAGTAAATAAATGACAGCTTAGCACACGCGTCGGTCTGAAAGAGGCAGTGAAGTTAAGTGATGGATAGAAATCGCTGTTCTCAGAGCCCTCAGAAACGCTCTTCTCACAGCCATGCCTCCAATCAGTCACTGTAGGCTCCTTCTGCCTACAGAAATGAAGCCTGGTTTCTTCACCTGGGAACACACCCCAGATGGAGGTCCCTTGGCATCACTGGTATGAGGCCCCCTGCCCAGTGTAGCTCCCTGGTTTGTCCAAATCCTGCTCACTTTTTAAGACTCAGCTGCAGGAAGCCTCGTTCCCTGCACCAAGTTCCACTGTGTCGCCTCCTGCCTGTGCACTTCCACTACGTGCGCTCCTGCCTGGGCCTCCTGCCTTGTGTTCCTGCTGACACCCCCTGTCACTCTCCCTGCCACCTGCATTACGGAGGACCCAGTGCTCACCTGCCTCTCACTCAGGATCTCAAGCACTTGAGAGCAGAGGCTGGCCTCCTGCAGCCCTGGCCAAGACCCTCCCACCGAAGACACAGACGATGCTCTCACCAGGTCCCCACTGGGCTTGATTGCTTTATTTTACTCTTAGAAACAGTGTTTCCTTTAAAATGCCCAAATTGGGCCAGGCGTGGTGGCTCACGCCTGTAATCCCAGCACTTTGGCAGGCCAAGGCGGGCGGATCACGAGGTCAGGAGATCGAGACCATCCTGGCTAACATGGTGAAACCCCGTCTCTACTAAAAACACAAAAAATTAGCCGGGTGTGGTGGCGGGCGCCTGTAGTCCCAGCTACTCGGAAGGCTGAGGCAGGAGAAAGGCGTGAACCTGGGAGGCGGAGCTTGCAGTGAGCCGAGTTGGCGCCACTGCACTCCACCTAGGCGAGAGTGTAAGACTCCGTCTCAATAAAAAAGCCCAAATTGTGTCAGTTGATGCAGTCTTTCAAATGCTATTATGCTGAATATTTGGTAGCAGCAAATACTCAGGCTCTAATCTGAAAAGACATCATTATCATGAATGCCTGTTCTTAATCAGTATGGACTGGGGCAAATGGCTCTGCAGAGTTTTCTGGATTTTAGGGTTAAGCTCCTGGTCTGCTGGGGAGAGGATGGGGCCAAGGAGAGGGTGAAAAAGAGTCCAGCTATGCTTCAATGAGTCACTTCAATGTTATTTGGTTCATTGAGGTTTTATTGGGGAAATACTTATCATCAACAGCCAGAGAGACTTTTGGAAAAAACATGCAAGTGATTGATGAATTTTCAAAAAGAAAAAAAAAAGAGTATGATGAAGAAAATGACACCAGGATGTGCATCCTTGCTGGCAGGAGGTCTAGGGTTTCAACTCACACACCAGATCTTACTGATTGAAAATGGCAAATATGCCAGGCGCGGTGTCTCACGCCTGTAATCTCAGCACTTTGGGAGGCTGAGGCAGGTGGATCACTTGAGGTCAGGAGTTTGAGACCAGCCTGGCCAACATGGTGAAACCCTGTCTCTACTAATAATAAAAAAATTAGCCAAGCATGGTGGCCCCTGCCTGTAATCCCAGCTACTTGGGAGGCTGAGGCAGGAAAATCACCTGAACCTGGGAGGCAGAGGTTCCAGTGAGCAGAGATCGCACCACTGCACTCCAGCCTGGGCTACAGAGCTGGATTCTGTCTCAAAGAAACAAAACAAAACAACAACAACAAAAAAAACAAAAGAAAGCAGCAAACAAATATTCCATGACTGACTAGTGATGTCTGCCATGGTTGTGGAATAGACAAATGAAGACAAAAAGAAATTCAACTACATCATTAAACAACAAAGAGTATTAATCCATCAAAAAAGCCTATGAGAAAAAAAAAGCCTTCACTTATAAATTCTTCTCTAAAACAAAGTATGTTTTATGTTGGAGAGCGGCACATGGTTTCTATTGAGGTTGCTCAGATGAAGAGAGAATTCTGAAGCTGCTGGTAGCCATCTTGTCACCAAGAGGCAAGAAGCTAGCTGAAAGTGAAGACAAATCAAGGAAATCAGAGCCAAGAGACAGAGAGAGACTAATTTCTAATGATGTCCTTTCCAAACCTGGACCTAGCTATCCTCTTGGTCAAAAAGATCTACCCTTGGTCTTTAGTTACATAAGCTTATTTTTTCTCTGTTTACTTAAACTAATATGAATTGGGTTTACGTTATTTGCTACCCAAAGAATCCTAATAGATTTATTAAAAGAGCCGAGAGGGAAATATCTTGTAGGAAGATCACTTAATTTCTTTTGAATTTGAGTGGTCTTATCTGTCAGTGGAAAATAATGAACTTACCTGTATTTGTTTAATAGGATTGCAGTAGAAACCAGCCAGGATAAAAGATGTCAGAGTTCTTGGAAAAATGTACATGAAATTTCAAAAATTAAATTCCAGCAGGATATGTGAGTGTGTGTATGTATGAGTGTGATTTGTGTGTATTCTAAGGAAGAGGACTAGGTGATGTGTATTTCAGATGAGGTAGATAATCCACTACCTTCTGTTTTTGATTTAGGTTTTGGAAACCCTGATCCATAAAAACATGCTGCTATGTATGTTATTCCTGCCACATCCACCAAAGCCAGGAAATTCTTTTCTTTGTGGAATCCACTTTTCCAATGGAATTTCCTATATGATTGAACACTTTGATTATATATGTATTTTTTTTTTGATGGAGTCTTGCGCTGTTGCCCAGGCTGGAGTGCAGTGGTGTGATCTCAGCTCACTGCAACCTCTACCTCCCGGGTTCAAGCGATTCTCCCCACTAAGTCTCCAGAGTAGCAGGGATTACAGGCACCCACTACCATGCCTGGATAATTTTGGGATTTTTAATAGAGACAGGGTTTCACCGTGTTGGCCAGGCTTGTCTCAAACTCTTGACCTCAGGTGATCCACCAGCCTTGGGCTCCCAAAGTGCTGGGATTTCAGGCTTGAGCCCCTGCACCTAGCCAGATTACATATGTATTTTTGATTATGATTTTCTTACAGCATCCTGAAACTTTGAACTTAGTGATTTATTCATGTTGCCTGCAATGCCCCCTGTTTAGCACTGCAATGCTCTGGCAGTGTTATGGGCTATCCCCCAAAAATTCATAACAGCATGTGACTGCATTGGGAGACAGGGTCTTTAAAGAGGTAAGCTGAAATGAGGTTACTAGGGTGGACCCTAATCCATTATAACTGGTGTCTTTATAGGAAGAGAAAATTTGGACACACAGGGAGAAAACCACAGGGAGGAGATGGCCATCTACAATTCCAGAAAAGCAGCCTCAGAAGAAACCAATCTGCAAACATCTTTATCTGCAACTCCCTGCCTCCCAAATGGTGAGAAAATTAATTTCTGCTTTTTAAGCCAACCAGACTGCAGGACTTTGTTATGGCAGCCCCAGAAAATTAATACAGACAGCAAACGGCCAGATGTCCCACTTGAAAAATGGATCCAGGAACAGAAAAGTAAATGTTGTGAGAATGACGTTTGATGGCAGGGTTTTATTCTGCAGTTGCCTACAGGAATGACAACAGAAAACTTAAGATGGTATGTTCCAAAATAAGCTCTGTAGAAAACCAGTGTGACTGCTACTTTAAAGAAAAATTGAGGAGTGTTTTACTTCCAGTTATGTGGTAAATTTTAGAATAAGTGCGATGTGGTGCTGAGAAGAATGTATATTCTGTTGATTTAGGGTGGAAAGTTCTGTAGATGTCTATTAGGTCCACTTGGTCCAGAACTGAGTTCAAGTCCTGAATATCCTTGTTAATTTTGTGTCTCATTGATCTGTCTAATATTGACAGTGAGGTGTTAAAATCTCCTACTATTATTATGTGGGAGTCTAAGTCTCTTTGTAGATCTCTAAGAACTTGCTTTATGAATCTGGGTGTTCCTATATTGGGTGCATATATATTTAGCATAGTTAGCTCTTCTTGTTGCATTGATCCCTTTACCATTATGCAATGGTCTTCCTTGTCTCTTTTGATCCTTGTTGGTTTAAAGTCTCTTTTATCGGAGACTAGGAATGCAACTCCTGCTTTTTTTTGCTTTCCATTTGCTTGGTAAATATTCCTCCATCCCTTTATTTTGAGCCTATGTGTGTCTTTGCACATGAGATGGGTCTCCTGAATACAGCACACAGATGGGTCTTGACTCTTTATCCAATTTGCCCGTCTGTGTCTTTTAATTGGGGCATTTAGCCTATTTACATTTAAGGTTAATATTATTATGTGTGAATTTGATCCTGTCATTATGATGCTAGCTGGTTATTTTGCCCGTTAGTTGATGCAGTTTCTTCATAGTGTCAATGTTCTTTACAATTTGGTATGTTTTTGCAGTGGCTGGTGCCAGTTGTTCCTTTCCATGTTTAGTGCTTCCTTCAGGAGCTCTTATAAGACAGGCCTGGTGGTGACCAAATCTCTCAGTATTTGCTTGTCTGTGAAGGATTTTATTTCTCCTTTGCTTATGAAGCTTAGTTTGGCTGGATATGAAATTCTGGGTTGAAAATTCTTTTCTTTAAGAATGTTGAATATTGGCCCCCACTCTCTTCTGGCTTGTTGGGTTTCTGCCAAAATATCCACTGTTAATCCGATAAGCTTCCCTTTGTAGGTAACTCGACCTTTCTCTCTGGCTGCCCTTAGCATTTTTTCCTTCATTTCAACCTTGGTGAATCTGACGATTATGTGTCTTGGGGCTGCTCTTCTCAAAGAGTATCTTTGTGATGTTCTCTGTATTTCCTGAATTTGAATGTTGGCTTGTCTTGCTAGGTTGGGGAAGTTCTCCTGGATAATATCCTGAATAGTGTTTTCCAACTTGGTTCCATTCTCCCCGTCACTTTCAGGTACACCAATCAAATGTACATTTGGTCTTTTCACATAGTCCCACATTCCTTGGAGGCCTTGTTCGTTTCTTTTCATTCTTTTTTCTCTAATCTTGTCTTATCACTTTATTTCATTGAGTTGATCTTCAATCTCTGATGTCCTTTCTTCCGCTTGGTCGATTTGGCTATTGATACTTGTGTATGCTTCATGAAGTTCTTGTGCTGTGTTTTTCAGCTCCTTCAGGTCATTTATGTTCTTCTCTAAGCTGGTTATTCTAGTTAGCAATTAGTCTAGCCTTTTTTCAAGGTTCTTAGCTTCCTTGCATTGGGTTAGAACGTGCTCCTTTAGCTTGGATGAGTTTGTTATTACCTGTCTTCTGAAGCCGACTTCTGTCAATTCATCAAACTCATTCTCCATCCAGTTTTGTTCCCTTGCCAGCGAGGAGTTGTGATCCTTTGGAGGAGAAGAGGCCTACTGGTTTTTGGAATTTTTAGCCTTTTTGTGCTGGTTTCTCCCCATCTTCGTGGATTTATCTACCTTTGGTCTCTGATGTTGGTGACCTTTGGATGAGGCCTATGAGTGGACGTCCTTTTTGTTGATGTCGATGCTATTCCTTTGTGTTTGTTAGTTTCCTTCTAACAGGCCCCTCTGCTGCAGGTCTGCTGGAGTTTGCTGGAGGTCTGCTGCAGACCTTGTTTGCCTGGGTATCACCAGCAGAGGCTGAAGAACAGCAAAGTTTGGGAAAGTTTACACACTCTAATGCCCTGCTACCCAGCCTTTAAAAACTGATTTAAAGATTTTAGGAATCCTAGAGAAAAACAAACCAGTAGTATCTTATTACAAAGAGAGAAAAGTGAATAGTCCATGGCCTCAATAAACAGTCTTTAGCCTGCAGCTGAACTGGCATTCCATGGAGCACACTTTCTGACATGCATACTCAGTGGTTCCTTCAATGTGCAGAAAGTCAGCTGGAAGGGGAGTTGAGTTTCAATGAGAAGTGAAGCATGTCATGCATGGGCAGCCAGCAGGACCCCATAAGTCTGCATGAAAATGCTGCCCAGAGCACAATTTGCAATTGCAAATATATGGAACCAGCCCAAATGTCCATCAATCAACAAGTGGATAAAGGAAATGTGGTATGTGTGTGTGTGTGTGTATATATATATGTATATATATACATACATATATATATACACACACACACATATGTTACATAATACACACACACACACACACCATGGAGTACTACTCAGCAATAAAAAGGAATGAAATAATAGCATTGGCAGCAATCTAGATGGAATTGGAGACTATTATTCTAAGTGAAGTAACTCAGGAATGGAAAAGCAAACATTGTATGTTCTCACTTCCAAGTGGGAGCTAAGCTATGAGGACACAAAGGCATAAGAATGATACATCGGACTTTGGGGACTCAGGAGAAAGGGTGGGAGGGGGTGAGGGATAAAAGACTACACACTGGGTACAGTGTACACTGCTTGGGTGATGGGTGAACCTAAATCTCACAAATCACCACTAAATAACTTATTCATGTAACCACACACCACTTGCTCTCTAAGAACCTATTGAAATAAAAAATAAATTAAAAAAAAAGAAAAAGATTGCTTTTCAGAATGGAGAGGGCACATTTCAATAATTAGCACAGATGTTAACAGCAGCTCATACCTGCCACACAGACAGGAAATTGCAACTTCTGTGTACTGGAGCTTTGTTCATAACTGTTGTCAGGGTTAACAAAGTACCTGCTTAATTATTGGTAGCTGGGAATACCTGGGGTTGTGCTCACGTGTTCATAGGCTTTGTATTCCTCAGAGCTCAGAGACGACCATGCTCATGTGAGAAACGGCATGGCGTGTTGGTAGAGGGGAGCAAAGAGGGAGGCTGGGGGAGCAGGTTGAGACCAGATGCTGCAAAGACAGGAATCACCCTCAAGAGGCCGGACTTGCTCTGGCAGGGAGTTGGGAGATGATGAAAGACACTGAGGTGTAAGGGTGGCCTTTGGTTTTTAATCAAAAAGAAGCCCATGCCAGCATCTAACTAAGATCATAGCACCAAGGGAAGGAATGGGAAGCAGGGGAGCTAGAGAGCAGGTATAGTAGGAGAAAGTTCTGACCCAAAGGCTTTGGCCAGGTTTGGGGAATGCAGAGAAATTCAGGGATGAACAGGTTCTTTGTGGTTTGGTGGGACAGAGAGGAGGATGCATTGCCTGTCACTTGATCAGGGAGTCAAAGGAGAGCAGAGTTTGGACCAAGAGAGTTCTACATTAAACGCCAAGTGCTTATGAATCAGAGTGAGAGTCTCCCTTGCTGAATCTGCCTCTTTTATCTTGGCTGTTCCACAACATAGATTCCATTGTACAAATGATCATATAGACATTGTGTGATGTTCTAAGCCAAAAAGTGACTCTGGCAGTTCCAGCCTGTGAGTATCTTTTGGCAACGTTCTAGTGTGAGAAGGAGTTCCTGTGCAGCACTGTCTGTCTGACTCAGCTCTGCAGGAACGGCTGGAACCACAGAGCTCATGAGGGTACACTGCTCACAGGCAGGGCTCACACACACTCTGAACCCAGCTCCCACGCCTGAGCAGGTCACACCAACTTTGAGGCACTTCCCCGGCCCTAACATGTTTTAAAATTTGAATCATGCTTCAAGTGACTCTTTTGAGATTGGCAGTGATGGAAACAGTCTAAGGAAGGGAACTTAGTTTTAAAATAGTTTTAATTGTAGAGATGACAATTGACACAGATGTGTCAGGAAAACATGTTGGAATGTCTCGACTGGCAGTGGTAATTCTGTGAGCTCAGTTCACATTCCAAGTGCTCTGGCTTCTGACTTCTGGCATTTAGGAACCTGAGAAACATATGAATCTATGCACACGAAAAATCCAGGCACTAAGAACTCAGCCTTGATTAGCCATAAGTGTGCTCTCTGTAGAAGGGGAAAATAACATTGTAAGGAATATGTTTAACCTATGTAAGAAAATACATGATTTTAACATGAAATATAAAAATTGGTGGCATTAATTGTAGTCTTTTTTATCAGTCCATTGAAGTTGGCTCAGCAGGCTCTGTTTCTCCCACTCTTCTCTGGCATCACATTTAATTGTTATGTGTAGTGTAAGGTCTGCAGAATGAAACAGTCCTCCTTTTCAAATAGTGTCTAATGTGAACCTCAGTGATCCAGACTGGCCTCTGAGAAGATTGAAGAGTTTTCGAGGACAACGATGTCTTGAACGAGCCACAAGGAACACTCCAACTTTGTTTTTAGATGAATTTCCACGTTTTTCTTCTGCAAGGGTTTCGGAGAGGTAGCATGACAGACTTCTTTGTACAGAATGTTTTCAGAAGTTGTGTTAATGGAGAAGTTTCTTTTGGGGCTTAAGTTTCTATTTACCTTTTGTGACATGGTTTTTAAAAAACAGCAAAACAACCTCATTATCTTCCTCTCCCACAATCGTTGCCGTAGAAAGGAGATAAGGCAGATCCCACGTGGACTGGTGGCTGGGTGCGCTGCCAGGATAGCTAAGGCGCCCCTTTTACAAACAGTCTTTGACATGCAGTCACACCCGCAATCTCGGTGCTGGGTGATAAGAAGGATTGTATTCATTACACCGTTGAATACAGAAACATATTTCTGAAATAATTTTTCTTGTCTAGAATTCCGCAGAATTCCGCTGAGTGGCACATTCAAAAGAATTTTTATTAGGAGGGTTCCAATGAACTGCTCAGCGGCAGAGGGACTTTATATTTAATTTGATTTCTCAGAACCAGGTATTGTGGAGAAAGGCATCAGATAACCACGGAGTGCTGGTTAAGGGAGGGAAGCCTCACTAAGCAGGGTTCATGCGTTCAAGCCCCGCAGCCAACAAGCATTCTCTGAGACTCTCATTCTGGAGTGGGCACCAAGGTGCCTCGAAATCCCAGTGGGTTCATGAGGCTTCCCGCCTCTTGTCTCCTTGCATTTGGTTACAGAGATGGCACAGTATTTGTTATTGAGGCTGGATGAAAATCAACTGTGGCCAGACCTTCACAACCCACGTATGGGCACAGGACTTGGGTGTAGAGAGAAACCAAGTGAAAAGTTTGTAGTAAAAATTTTGCCACTGTGGAGAATTCCCCTTTTCTCATTTTGCTTTGGCATAAACAAAGATCTTAAAAAACAGTTTAACAGCACGTTGGGAGGCTGAGGCGGGCAGATCTCTTGAAGTCGGGAGTTCGAGACCAGCCTGGTCAACATGATGAAACCCTGTCTCTACCAAAAATACAAAAGTTAGCTTGGGGTGGTGGCATGTACCTGTAATCCCAGCTACTCAGGAGGCTGAAGCAGGAGAATCGCTTGAACCCAGGAGATGGGGGCTGCAGTGAGCTGAGATCGTGCCACTGCACTCCAGCCTGGATGACAGAGCAAGACTCCATCTCAAAAACAACAACAACAACAAAAAAGTTTAAAATACTAGAAAGTCCCATGAGACTATCGTGAGCACCTTTGCAGAAAAACAATCTAGTGGTAGACTCTGAGGCTGGTCAGTAGTGGGTTAATGGTGGCCCCTAAAACAATATGGCCACGTCCTAATCTCTAGAGCCTGTGGGTGTGATCTTATTTGCAAAAAGTCTTCACAGATGTAACTGAGTTAAGGGTCTCAAGAGAAGTAGATCATTTTGGTTTAATTTATGGGCCATAAATCCCAGGATAACAGACGCAGAAGAAATGAGGGCCATTGAAAGTGGAGGCAGAGACTGGAGAGAAGCTGCCCCAAGCCAAGGGGCACCTGGAGCCACCAGAATCTGAAAGAGGAAGAAAGAGTTCTTTTCTAGAGCCTTGGGAGGGAGCATGGCCCTGCCAACATCCAGCTTCTGGTGCCCAGAGCTTTGACAGATCACACTTCTGTCACTGAAGCCACGAACTGTGTAAGAATTATCCAACAGCAGTCTCCAAGGGTGCAATGGTTGAGTCTGCAAATCACATTTGAGAGTCAGAGGATGTCAGAGCTGGAAGGGGTCTCAGTCTCTGCTTAAAGAGAAGATGTTGGACAAGCTACTCCCTTGGACCTGAATTCTAGGCCTGCCCTGACACTCACAGGCTAAGTGCTTTTTCGAGAAGCTGGTGGATCCTTTTTTCCAAGTTGCTCTGGCTTAGTCTAGAAAGCTCTCAGGATCTGACCCCAATTGCCTCCCTCTGTAACCTCACCTTCCACCCCCACCTTCTGGCCCTCCGGCCACAGGAACTCTTCTGAACATGTTCTGATCCTGCTGTTCATATACTTGTCTCTATATCAGGCTGAGAGAGGGACAAGGCATCCTTTAAACCCAGATTCCTGTCCGGGGGCCTTGCCCTGATCCTCCAGCTGGGGTCGCTCTTCCCCCTGCTCCCTCTGTGCATTGTACGCACTGTGGATTCTGACCACACTTTAGGGCTACTCACGAGGCCCAGCAGACCTGCAGGGTCTGCCTCCAACCTTCCTCCTAGAGTGACCTCTCATCACTCCCACTGCAGCCCCTCAGATGCACCTGGACCCCTCCTGCCACGGGGCCTTCGCACACGCTGTGCTTTCCCTAAAGTCCTCTACTCCTGTTTGCAATGGCCTTGGATTATAGTTAAAATGTTCCATATCTTTGTTGGGTTATTTGTTCAATGTCTGTGTCTTCACTCGGCAGCAAGCCCTGTGGGGCATAGATTATGCTGGATTTTCTCCTGGTGTAGAGCCCAGTACATAGCAGATCTAACAAGCAAAGACTGTGGGTGACTATATGTTAGATCTATAAAGATGATACTCCACAACTTTAGGAGCTCCTCAAGGGTAGGGACTTGTTAATTTTATATCTCTGGTATTTAATAGAGAACCTTTGTAGAAACCATAAACTTTGATGCACCAAAGTCTCTAGAGGCCAGGCACAGTGGCTCACACTTGTCATCCCAGCACTTTGGGAGGCCGAGGTGGGAGGATGGCTTGAGGCCAGGAGTTGGAGACCAGCCTGGGCAACATAATGAGACTCCATCTCTACAATTTTTTTTTTGAATTATTCGGGCATGGTAGCATGTGCTTGTAGCCCCAGCTACTCAGGAGACTGAGGTAGGAGGACTGCTTGAACCCAGGAGTTCAAGGGTGCAGTGAGCCATGATTGTGCCTCTGCTCTACAGCCTGGGGAATAGAGCAAGGCTCTGCCTCTTTAAAAACAGAAACAAAAACAAAACAAAAAAACAAAAAAACAAAAAAAAAAAAAAAGAAGTCACCATCTGTGAAGAGCTTCTTCTTGCCCTTTAGATATGACACCAACTTCTACTGCATCTATAAACCCTCATGTTCCCTCTGCTCCTTTAGTTTCCAACCTCATCTCTTGCACTTTCCTTTCTGCCAGTCCTGCTTGGCAAGGCCTTCAGCTTTTCACACACTGGCCTCTGCCCTGCTTGGGGCCTTGAGCAGGCTCTTCCCTCCCCTTGGAACTCTTTTCCATTCCTTTCCCTGCCTCTTTGTGTCCTGGTTGATTCCCAGCTGTCTTTTCAGTCTTTGAATATCACTTCCTCAGAGAAAGCTTTGCTGACCTTCCAGTCTAGCTTCTGGTGGCTAGTGACCACCATCTAGTTTTCCTGCATGGTTTACAGAACTCCTAGCATGCTTTGGCATGCATGTCTTCTGTTGAATGCATGCCTTCCATAAGCTCACAAAGCTAGGCAGAGCTGGATGGTGGCTGTCTGATTTCAAAGATCTCTACTCTTGGCACTTCATTACCCAACCCTCCCTGAAGGAAGGGAAGTGAAAGAAACAGAAAAGCAGAAAGAATGCATGAAGACTCTGTGGAAGAGGGCCACTGTAATGACTTCCAAAGCCCCTGTGGGCTTTCTCCCTACCTGGCAGGAGAAGCACACTGTGCCCCGGAGAGCTCAGGGAGGAGGCAGGACGCTAGGCATGACTTTGGTGTGACCCTGGGTTGTCTCCCAGCCTCCTCCCTGGCCCATCCACAGCCCCTGCTTGCCATAGAGCCAAGTAGCTTCCTTATGCAGTAGGAACTGTTATCCCCATTTACCAGAGAAGCAAGCCAAGGTGAGCAATGGACAGACCTGGAGCTGCCAGCATGATCGTGTGGTTGCAAACCCCGAGCTCCTTCCAATAACCGTGTGTCTTATAAATAACGGCGATGGTGTGAGCTGTGTCCAGCACCCCTGAAAAAAATGCCCTAGAGACAGTGCTGTCAAATGGATAGACAAGTAGACAGACAGACAGGAAATCATCCCTTTGCTACCACCCAAGACGTTGCTTCCTCTCAGTCTATTTCCCAAATCCTCCTCTCCCGCACCCCATAATCTTGTCAGAGCTTACCTCCTCCCTACGCTCTGCACTTTCATTAATTTCTTATCACCTATCCCTCAGCTGTAATCTAGGACTTTGTAAGGACAATTAATTAAAGTGAGAAGGTTCTTAAAAAAAGGTATTGACCTGCAATTCAGCCCTTTCTTTCAGC
Organism: Homo sapiens; assembly: GCF_000001405.40. Lineage (NCBI taxonomy): Eukaryota > Metazoa > Chordata > Mammalia > Primates > Hominidae > Homo > Homo sapiens. Next base: position 28,945,959 of record NC_000019.10, read on the forward strand.
AAAATCAATCTTCAGATTACAGGTCAAGAGGAGACATCTTTAAAAACGTGTCCAGCCAATCGGTTCTTCAGATGCGTTCATGAAGTCACACCTGCTGTGTATGAACCTGATTGCATGTCCTGCTTTCTGCCTAAGAAAAGCACGCCTAAGTACACATGGGCGTGCAGCTTGTTTGAAGAATCTGTTGCTATAGAAAGATAAAAGGGAAGAAAAAGATAAAATATGTATAAAAGGAAAAAGCCTCTATTGATTTATCTATCTATCCATTATATATATATGCACTTCTGGTCCTTAATCCTGGGCAGGGTGTCTGCTGTCAGAGATGGGCAAGGATGGGTGTCAGCCATTGGAGAGCTGTTCCAGGGAGGGAGCCCGACCACTCTCTGGCCTTAGCCAGCCCAGTCAGCACTGGAGAAAGACCTCATCCAACGCTGAAATAGATGGTGCTAGTGTATGCATTACAATAGCAGGTGAGTAAAACTGTCTGTTGTACAACATGCTGATGTAGGAGCTTTGTGATTATCTAGCCTAATGTGTAGATAAGGAAATCAGGGCCCTGGCAGGTCGCTAGGCATGACTTTGGTGTGACCCTGGGTTGTCTCCCAGCCTCCTCCCTGGCCCAGGGCTCGGTCTTGCTGTATGTGGTCCATTCCCAAAACTGAAATTCAGGACCTCTGTCACCCAGGCTGGGCTCTGTCCAAGACAAGCTGCCATTTCTCAGAGGAGAAATTGAGAGAAGCAGCCAGGCATCTTCCTGTCTGACCCCAACACTGGGGTTCTAATCTCCCCTAAGCTCACACAGCAACTCCCCAACCACTTTTGCAGAGAGAACAAAAAGACAGATGTTGATTTACCCGGAGAGCATCTGTCACTAATAGTAACACGCGGCTTTCACTGAGGGTTAACTGTATCCAGGTGTGGTTCTTATCTTCTTACAAGTATTAGTGCATTTACAAATAAAGTGTGGGAGGCTTAGAAAGTTCAAGTGGCTTGTCTCAGCTCACAGAGCAAGTCAAAGTTGGAACCAGAATTCTGGGATTAGTCCTGTGTTGCCAACAATTCTTTATTGCCTCAACAGACAAGGTTAACATTAATTTGAATTACTTGAGCTAAGCTGAATGACTTGATTCCTGTTCCTTACATTGATGTGGATGCCAAGCCTGTGCCTGACCATTGCCAGGAGCTTAAGGGCAGAGATAATGGAACAAAGAGAAGTGTATGGCAGCAGAGTACAGTGAACAAAATTTCCCGCTTAGGTTAAACGGTGGCACAGTTGTGTTCTGCCGCATCTCGAGAAAAGTTACTTAGGCTCCGTGATCATCAGTTTTCTTATCTCTAAAATGGGCATAGTAGGATTAACCTCTTAGGGTTCCCAGGGATCTTGGGTTAGTCTGCACACATTTCCAGGAACATGCCAGGCACCTGGGGAGCAGCACAGCTCCTTCACAAGGTCCTCCATCATCATGAATGGATGTTAGTAATCATGACTGACACAGATGCTGCCTAAGGGATGATGATGGTGGTGATGGTGGTGATGAAGGTGTGGTTACGCTGCTGCTGTGACGATGGGATGACAGCAAGGATGCAGAAGAAAGAACACGGCTCTGCCATGTCAGGACCATTTAGGTCAGTGGTTCCGAACTAGGAGTGATTTCACCCACAGGGGATGTTTGGCAATGCCTGGAGACACTTTTAGTTGTTCACACTGTTGAGGGAGGTGCTATTGGAATACAGTGGGTGGGGGCCAGGGACCTTGTTAACCACCCTGCAATGCATAGGAAAGCCCCTGCAAGAAAGAATGATCCAGCCAAAATGTCCGTGGGGCCCAGGTCAAAAGGCCCTGGTCTACGAGGACGGGAAATCTGAACACTGGAGGTGAGTGACAAAGCTTCCAGGAGCCTTGTTGACTACTTAACATGCCTCTTTCAGCTACTGCTTTGAACTGTACAGGAATCTGCGCCTAAAAGGAAGAGGGCAGAATGCCCGACAGTTGGGAAGACTATAGTGAAGCCATTCCGCGGGACCTCCTCCCTCTACTTGCAGGGCGGCCTGGTGCAGCTGCGTCTCCAGCCCCTCCAAGTCCACGTGGAAACTGTCCCCTGGTTTTCTGGATGTGCAAGAAGGCGTCTGCTGGAGCAGTCTTGCTCTCCCAAGCCTCTCACGCTGTCATGGGTGCACAGAAGCAGTGGGGGAGGGGGAGGGCATGGGAGGAGGAGAGCCACCCATAAATGAAAGAACAGTGGAGCATCGATCAGCGCTTTTTCGCAGCGCGGGAGCTGCTTCGCTGAGCCCCAGCACCGTCAGACAGACCCCTGATTAAACATATGCAGCTGCACGGATGGATGGCCCTGCTCAGCTCCCATCAGCAACTCTGCCAGAAAGGAAGAGGCACCACGGAAGTTGTGAAGGGGCCCAGGGCTGGCGGCTGGGTATCTGGAGGGCTGGCACCCTCTTCCTTCCACCAGAGCTGGCTCCAAATTCCAGACTCAAAGCAGAAAGTTTATTCTATGTTTTTCCAGGAGATGGGGCAGGTTGGAGATGAGAGCAAGGGGAAGGCGCGATTCCCTGGGAATGCCCTGTTGTTTTCCTCTCTGGGAGGCCTTGGGGTGCAGGTTCCAGATACTGCCCTGGTTCTTGTTATAGGGACATGGTGAGTCCTCACCAAATTCCAAATGCCTCCACAGAGAGGGAGGCTCCGTGTGGTAATGAAGCCTGCTCTGTTCATTTCGTCATTTGGAATTCTCTTGGATGGCCTGTGAGTTTTCTATTATAGAATCAAAACCACATTTTCTTAAAACATGAGAGGCTGTGGTCTATTCTGCCTGAGATCCCCATGTGATGCCAGAGGAGCCACAACTCACAGGCCCTGCATCACCTGCTGCTGTGTGCGGATGAGGAAGTCTGTCTTCCTGGAGGGGGTTCTTATGAGCACAAACAGTGATGAACGACGTTAAATGCATGATGGAAAACTAAGCCACCACAGAAAGCTGGCTGCTCACCCCACAGAGGCACAGAAAGCTGGCTGCTAACCCCACAGAGGCACAGAAAGCTGGCTGCTCACCCCACAGAGGCACAGAAAGCTGGCTGCTCACCCCACAGAGGGAGAGCACTTTGTGGACAAGACCTGATTCTTCCTTCCTTCCTTCCTTCCTTCCTTCCTTCCTTCCTTCCTTCCTTCCTTCCTTGCTTCCTTCCTTCCTTTCTTTTTCTTTCTCTCTCTCCTTTCTTTTTCTTTCTTTCTCTTTCTTTCTTCCTTTCTTTCTCCCTTTCTTTCTCTTTCTTCCTTTCTTCCTTCCTTCTTTTTCTTTCTTTCTCTCTTTCTTTCCTTCTTTCTTTCTTTCAGCAAAATCTCACTGTCACTCAGGCTAGAGTGCAGTGGTGGGATCACAGCTCACTGCAACCTCGACCTCCTAGGCTCAAGCAGTTCTCCTGCCTCAGCCTTCTGAGCAGCTGGGAGTACAGGTGCACAACACCTCACAAAGTTTATTTTTTAAAGTGTTTGGTAGAGACAGGGTCTTGCTGTGCTGTCCAATCTGGTCTTGATCTCCTGGCTTCAAGCAATGATCCCACCTTGGTCTCCAAAAGTGTTGGGATTACAGGTGTGACCGCCATGCCTGGCCAAGACCTGCTTCTTAATCATTGCTGGAGTCGTAGAGCCTCACACTGTGCCATCCATGGTACCATAGAGAGAAAGGAAAGCACTTATAAATGTGTACATTACCACCCCAGCTGCCTCCCAGGGAGGTGAATCCCTCATCAGGCGCCCTCTGCTGAGTGAGTGATGGCTATGGAGATGGCGGGGAGGTGAATCCCTCATCAGGGCCCCCTGCTGAGGGGGTGATGAGTATGGAGATGCAGGAGAGGAGGAGTTGGTACAGAGCTGAATTTTCCAACACACAACAGAAAAATAAATGAAAAGTAAGGCAGTGGCTAATACAGGGTTGGGGTGGGGCCAGGGGAAATTGAGTGGCTGGCAGACGGGTAGCAGGAAAGGGGAATGACGGGGGCTGCAATGTTACAGGGCAGGTTCTGAAGTTGTCTGACAGGCGGTGAGTGATAGAGACCTTTTTCTGGGTCTCCCAGTGAAAACTTTGGTAAACACGTGACTGCCACTTTTTTAAAAGGAGCTTGCATTTGGGGGCTGCAAGGTTGCCGCAAGGTTAGACCCGAGGGTGCCCATGGGAGACCTGCCACAGCCAGGCTGCATGGGAAGAGGGCACTTGCTTCTTCCCACAGCTGCGCTGGTACACCGCAGCCCCTGACTCAGGTCCAGAGTCTGACACTGCCAGGTTCAAGGTTGGACTTTACCCCTGGCCCAGATCTCCCACGGGCTATTTATTCCTATCTCCTTTGAAATTCAGCAACGTATTATACCACCTTGAAGAAGATGGGGCAGAGCAGAGGGGAGGCTAGAGGGACAATCCCAAGCAGAGTCCTAAATCTACATCAGATTTTCCTTTTAACCAAAACCTACTTGGTATTCAGCAGAAATTTTGAGTCTAGTGTTTGACATAATTTAATAGTATGCGTTAATGACTATAATTTTCCCCTGTAGTCGAGATACTAAGAAAATGAGAAGTGCTTTATCTACACCACACACAACAGTAACCAGGACAGACTTGGAAATGACAGTGAAGAACAAAGTCTGTGAGGGCCAATGGCTTGTGGGGAACTTCAGAGACACGCAGCACTCCACGCAGAAAGCACATTCCACTCCAGATATAAGAGGGTGGGAGGCTCACTGATATTTGTTATGTTCTTTTACACTGACCACATTGCCGGGTGGTGGGTAATACTGTTCCCATTGTGCTGATACCAAAGCTGAGGCCAGAGGGGTTAAGAGATGGTCTATGTCCAGGAATAAAATTCAGATGTCGTAAGTTCAATTTATTTTATTTTATTTTTTATAGACAGAGTCTTGCTCTGTTGCCTAGGCAAGAGTGCAGTGGTGCAATCACAGCTCACTGCAGCCTCAAACTCCTGGCCTCAAGCAATTCTCTTGCTAAGCCTCCTGAGTAGCTAGGACTACAGGCATGCGCCACCACACCTAGTTATTTTTTTCATTTGTTGCAGAAACAGGGTCTTGCTATGTTGACCAGGCTGATCTCAAACTTCTGACCTCAAGCAGTCCTTCCACCTCAGCCTCCTGAAACACTGGGATTACAGGCCAGAGCCACCATGCCAGGCTATGAAGTTTTATTTTAAGTTTCGAGATGTGGGGATTTCTTTTTTAAAGCAGCAAGTACTACCTGAACTAAAACGGGTGATTTTGCAACTTGCTACGGATTATGGAAATAGTTGGCATCTATATTGGTGAGGTACCCACCAAAACTCAAACAGAAGGAATGCCATTTTGGAGAACGAATCTCAACTTTAACCTTCTTTCATCCGTGGGTAAGCCCTGCTTTTAAAAAATATATAAATAATAATAATTTATTTAGGGTAAGAATACATATTACCTATCAGAAAACATTTCCTTCTGTATGTTAGCTTACCCAGGCAAATGAAAACCTTAGTAAAAACATTTACACCTACGTCTGTCTTCTAAACTACACCTGTGTGTGTGTGTTTGTGTGTGTGTGTTTGTGGGGCGGGGTCCAACTTTCTAATGTACAAGACTCTGAGGCCTGGATTGTTTATTGTCGTAAATTGAGTTACTTCTTCTTTTGGAAAAAATGTAAATGTTGTGATTACAGTCTTCTTTAACTTTCATGTGTTTGACTTGCATTAATTATATATTGGTAGAATTAAATGTTTCACAGTCTGAATTTGGACTTTTGCGCATCAGTTGACAAGTGTTAGTAGCTTTCTCAGGTGCAGCAATGCCCGCCTCCTAAAGGTCCAGCTCAGTAAGCCAGTGTTTGTGCCACTATTTATGTGTCTGTTATTTTATGCTTCAAAAAATAAATTACAACAGAAAAATGAAGCTGCTGATACTAGTAACAAAGATGTTGGTCCCATCACTGTAATATAATTAAGGCCGAGATGGAATTGATCAATGAGCGGCATGCATAAGTCTCCATCTCAATAGACTTTCAGATGGTTGCATTATAAAGGAAAAGAACTAGATTCAATGAAATGTGTTAAATATTGTGCCTGAAAGGCACAATGTGTTCAGATATTTTAAGCTAGTTTTCAGTCTCTGGCAACAGAGCACATCCACCCAGCTGCCACCACAGCTAAAAGTATAATACTATTTGTTTTGAAATGTCTTTTATGCATGCTTTCAAGAACACATTATATACAAAATAAGTGTTTCTAATGTGCTTCACTCTTCCTGTGGCCTCCCAGAGGCCAAAAGCCACATTCGTAGCCCAGTTTTCATGACTGTAGAGGCCCTGAGGCCCTGAATGTCATCTCTTCCCCACTGCTCACTCCTTTAACTGGTGTTATACCTCAACTCTACTGAACATTTCCTTTGGGCCAAATGTTTTAGAACTCCACTGTCTTGGTTCAGTATAAATTTGTGATCTTGTCAAATCCTCTTGTGTAGTGAGGTGGGGAACAGGTGAAGGCGTGGGAAGATGCTGAGCATGTATCAGGTGCTGTGTGAGTGACCGTGAATGCTGGGAGGATGCTCCTGCCCATTCTGCCATAATGGCGGAGGTGGACAAGCAGACATGGGTGTGCAGTGAGACCACATCTACAGCACAGGTGTGCACAAGGTGCCTGGAGACCTGCGAGAAGGATGTGTAAACCAGCAGCTAGCCAAGTGTTCCTAGATAGCAAAACTCAAAGTATCCCTTCAGCATGGAATATCATCTATCTAAGAAGTAAAAATTTTCAGTTGAGTTTAGTGTCTGGTTCAGCTGACAGAGCAAGCACATATTTATTTCCTGCAGTGGACTGAATGTGCCATTCCAAAATTCATATGTTGAAATCCCAAACCCCCACATGATGGCAGTAGGAGGAGGGGCCTTTGGAAGTTAATGAGATCATGAGGATGGATCCTTCATGAATGGATTAGTGCCATTATCAAAGGGACCCCAGAACACTCTCTTGCCTTCTTTCTATTATGTGAGGATCCAATGGTAGCTCAGCAGTCTGCGCCCTGGAAGAGGCCCTCACCAGAACCTGAGTGTGCTGGCTCCCTGCTCTCAGGTTTCTCGCCTCCAGAGCTGAGAGAAATGCATATTTGTTGTGTAAGCCACAGTAATTTATTATTTATGATTACCATTATTTATTTATTTATTTTGAGTTCCCAAATGAGCTAAGACATTTTCTCTTTCTCTAAACAACAGGAGTAAAGAGACAGAAAGGGAATGAATTTCCAAGAAGACCAGCGTAGAACGGAAAAATATCAGAGGAGGGAGAATTGTTAAGGATTTCCAGTATCTCAAGTGTGGATGCTGTCCTGAGCTGACCCAAGGCTCTGGAAAGGTAGGAGCTCTCTTTTGGGGGAAGAAGGGAAGAATCCCATTCCTGAATGAGCAGGTGCAGACACTTGCAAGATAAGAGGCACACACAGAGATGTTTACCTGAAGAACTGCCTGGTGGATGGCTAAGAAAGTGGCCCTGCCTAACACACACGTACGGAGAGACGGAGTTTGCAGCAAGACAGTGAATTATCTGCTTCTCAGTGGTGGCAGGGCCCTGTGAGTAGAATCCTTACATGTCCTCTTCCATGGGCTTGTGGGATAAGAGCAGAGCAGCCTGTAGGCCTGTCCATCCCCAGCCTTGAGGTAAATCCCACCAGTGAACAAGATCCACCCATCCACCCAGAGCTCCCTATTAGCCTTGTGAGAGAATGGCCAGAAATAAAACAGAAACTCCTTTATTCACAAATCCCTAATTTATAAATACTTTGAAACAATGAAGAATTGCCAGCTGCTGTGGTAAACAGAGCACAGAAGAGAGGTGAGTAAAGGTTCTAGTTAGCACTCGCTGAGCACTTTGTGCTGGCACTTTTCTAAAGATTTTGCAAATGTTAACTGATGTAATTCTCACATCCATTCTCTGGGGTGGTTTTCTTTTTCTTTTTTTTTTTTTTTGAGATGGAGTCTCGCTCTGTCGCCCAGGCTGGAGTGCAGTGGCGTGATCTCGGCTCACTGCAAGCTCCGCCTCCCGGGTTCACGCCATTCTCCTGCCTCAGCCTCCTGAGTAGCTGGGACTACAGGCGCCCGCCACCACACCCGGCTAATTTTTTGTATTTTTTAGTACAGACGGGGTTTCACCGTGTTGGCCAGGATGGTCTCGATCTCCTGACCTCGTGATCCGCCCACCTAGCCCTCCCGAAGTGCTGGGATTACAGAGGTGAGCCACCACGCCTGGCCTCTGGGGTGGTTTTCACAAAGGAGGAAACCAAAGCACAAAGCCTAGGTGGCTCGCTCTAGGTCAACAACAAGCCAATGCCAGAGCTGGGATGAGAACCCAGGTTCTGTGTCTGTCATGAACATACACTGCGTGGCTCTGAAGAGAACAGAGAAAGTCAAAAGGAGATAATTTCTTATAGACTTTAAATAATTTTTCCAGAGAAATTCAAGAAAACATCACATCCATAGAAACAAAACAAAGCCAAGTTGCTATATAAAAGAAACAATATGTAAATGAGAACAAATCATTGGAAATGAAAAATACGACGGCCAAAATAAAAATGCAATTAAAAAGTTGTAGAAGTCATCAAATCTTTCAAAGTATAGAGCAAAACACAAAGGAATACAAAAGAAAAATAAAATTTGAGGAGCACTGGCAATAAATTTATTGAGAGGGCAGTCGCCATCTAATAAATGTTCTAGAAAAAGAGAAGTGGAAAAAAATTAGGGAGGCTACTGCAGAAAAAGAATACTGTTTCTTAGAACTGAGGTTCTGAGAGTATCTGAGGTTTTAGATTTAAAATGTCCACTGATTTCTTGGTAGCATGAATACAAAATGACCTAGACATAAACTTATTCCCAGGAAATTTCAAAGCACCAAGTGTCAAGAGAAGCTTATTCACTTCCAGAAGTGAACCAGAAACTTCAGACTGGTACAGAAATATTTCACTGCCACTAGTAGGCATGAGAAGGCAGAGACATGATGTTGTGAAGAAAAATTATTTTGAGCTTGGGTATTTCCAGGCTTCCCTGTTCTTGCCATCCTGCTTTGTGCCCCGGGAGACCAGCAGCTATGTGTTACCTTGCCCTCTGGCTTTCAGTTGGGTTGTAAGGATGAGAGACAAAAGTAGAAGACTGAGAGGAGAAAGAGAATGAAGTCAAAGTATGTATCCCCTCCTTATGTTCCTGCCAGAGAGTTGCAGATTGGCTGCCTCTCTCTACTCAAGACCACAGGTCAAACCAGGAAGCCCTCCCTGTTCATCTTCTCTCTCTTTGGGCTTGCAGTGGATCTGCCATGATCCCTTTGATTTTCCTAAATGTTACCCACATCTTGTAATACCCATATCTTTCCTTATCCAAATTTGCCCTATTACATAGTTAGGGGAACTATCTGAGACAGATAAACTCTGATAAAGAGTGTGGAATTTCAAATCTAGAAATTCATACTCTCTAAACTATTAATAGAGTAAGAAATAGAGATACATGTATATTACCTATGGTCATGAAAATAACTAAAACGATAACTAAATATAAAATTATAATGTCAAGAAAATGTATAAGGAAGACATGAGAGGGAACTAGAGTAGTGTAAAGAGATAAGTTATTTGTCTCCCAAATTCAAGTGAGGAAAGAAAAGAAGTTTTATAGGAGGAATGCAAGCCCTTTCAAATGATCAGGCCTAGAGAGACGTGAAAATGAGACAGCAATCACATCCTACTCCTGCCTTTAAGCTATGTATTCACCTATTGAAACAGCTTGCTATTGTCACAGATAGCTATGAATTAAACTAATAATGCTTCACCAGACACTGTATTCCACACCCCACAGTGTAAAGAATGTATAGCTGATCAGAGATCAGTTTTATTTCTGTAAACCAATAAGAATTCCTCACAGAACCTTGCACCAACACTCTCTCTGTCTCCCGTTCTCTCTCTCCTTTTTTTCCTTTAAAAGCCTGCCTGTAACAAAGGCCAAATAAAGCTCATATCCAAGGTTACTTGGACCTGAACCTCCTGGGCAGCTGTCCTTATCTTAGAATGTGAGCTAAAGACTCACAAGGCTCACAACTTTGGAAAGGAGATCTTTATTTCTCATGAAGGCCTGCAACCTGCAGGCTGGCCATCCCACGGGCTGGGAAGTGTAGCCTCCAGCCAAAGCCCAAAGCAAGCATGTTGAGGGAGGTGTGGAGGGAACAGGAATTTAGGCTCAACAGGCTGGCTAAACATAAGTATTTAACAAGCTATAGGAGACATCATGAATATCTGTGAAAGGAGAAACAAGCACATGTGCAACTGAGCTTCATGCTTCTTCATGGGTCACATGTTTTAAAAAATGGTGATGTTGGCATGATCTAAGAGTGGATATCTGGGCCCTCAGATATCCAAAAGGTGACACAGAGAAGGACACAAAAACTCTCACTAAGCATCCTCCACAAATTGGCCAAAACTAGTCCAGAGATGGTCAGTTTTTAGGTGGGGAAGCATCGTGAAACTGCTGAGCTGTTGGGTCAAATGTGTCTATGTCAAATGAATCCAGTTGTAGCCTCAGATGACTGGCTAAAGGTGATTAAAAAATGAGTTGTCTGTTTCTTGCTTTCTAGAGCTGGTTTCTGTTTACTCCTTAGGAAGGAATTCTGGTTAAAGGATAATGAGGAAGGGACTTACTGAGGCGTGTCTGACCTCCCATCCCATCATGGCCAGGAACCCAGTTTTTAAGGTTTATCTGGGATTCTCCTGGCCAACAGGGGAATCCGTTTAGTCCACTGAGGGACTTAGGATTTTTATTTCTCAGTCTCAAGTAAACTGTTTAAATCTCATTTTGCATTTCATTCTCTTCTTTTTAGGTGGGCAAAAGAGAAAAAGTAGGAGAATTCCTAGAATTTATATTTAGAGTAAGTGAGCAGCAGTGTCAATGCTAAAAAATTATATGGTTATCCTAAAAAATTTCTTTCTGCAAAGCTGTGGCTGAGTTGGTAATAAATTATTAACCACTGGAAATGACAAGATGTGTAAAACCACCCTCTATTTTTTAAATATTTGGCTATTCCACTCCTCCCATAAGCTTCCTTTGTCCCAAGATTAATTATTCTAAAATGGTTGGGCCATTTCTCCAGAATACAGAATATGTTAGCTGTCATTATTGCAGACTTGTGAAATAGTAGCGTTTGAATCTCTTGTCTGAGCACGGCTGTGAGAGGTATTCAGAGGATTCTGTGGGCAGGTAATGTTTTGGTTTCATGAGCAGGAGCAAAAATCCAGAAGGCTTTAACACTTCAGTGCATCCCAAGGCACCCCTATTGAGTATTGTATAGAGGATCTCAAAAGATAACAGCCACCTGAGGAAGGAAAGCAGCTCATAGCAGACTGAGCTGTGTGAGGTCTGCGAAATTTATCAGGCCCAGAGAGGCATGAGCTTTGGACTTCAGTCCTTCCCCTGCATCCATTCCCAGGGGCAATTATTTTAAGACATTTTTGTTCCTGAGTAGCCGCCCAGCCCATTACCTTCATGTTCCTGTAATATATGAAGCAAAGAACAATGAATAGCCAATTAATAACATATTATTTCAATGTAAACTCTAGAAACTATCTCTTTTTTTCCTTAAAAACTCACTTGTAACTGCTACAGTGAGAGTGTATATTCAGGACAACTTGAATCTATGTTCCCAGGTGGCCATCTTCAAGCTCAGATAAACTCTATACTTAATCATAATTTCTGAATCCCATTGTTTAAGGTTGGTACACCACAATGGCCTAGCATCCTTCTGTTCCATGAGAGCAATAGACACCATTCAAAGGGCTATTCCTCTCCACTCTCTAGACTCTCTTTGTACCAGCAAGTTAACTGTTGAGCAATTCTTTGGTAATTAAACAATCATTACAGCATTATTAGCTCCACACTCTGGATGACATCTTTAAGCCTCTCTCATGTGTTAAGCATGTCTAATGTGTTTTTCCACTTTTGGATAACTTAAGAGACCAAAATATACCACCTCAAAATATGCCTCTTTGGCATAAGCATTATTTTGAGCCAACTATTTTTGAGAAACAGCAGACACCGGAGAAACAGAGTAGAAGTTACTCTTTTGCAAGGAAGACTTACTTCTATAATGAAAATCTCCTTTTGTAATGATACCTTCCTTTCAGTACCAGGAAGGAAAGGATGGCTAAATCACAAAAGACTCATCTATGGAGAAAGCACCAATTTAAATCTGCATAACAAACCTCACCCTTTTCTATCATGCTTTCCCTGGTCACCTCCCCAGGACTGGCTTCCCCCCCAGTCTTCTTTCTTTGTTTTAGATGAAGATGGTATTTAAGCCTAAATTCTAAGCCATTTCTTTTATATTTCCCCTTTTTTCCTGAGTATCTCCCATGCACACCTAAAGAATACATGTCAATAAACTTCTGTTTGTTTTGTCCTTTTTTTGTTTGTTTGTTTTACAGGGGATCCTAGCTAAATAGAAGAGTAGAGGAAAAACGACTGTTTCAACCCTTACCGTAATCAACTTTATTGTGATAAAGATTCACATATTTTGCAATATGTCTTATCTTTATGGAAATTAAAAAATCCAATCACAGAATCAAAACTTCAGAAATATAGCCAAATATAAGTGGAAATTTAGTATACAATAAATGCAACATCTCAAATTAGTGGAGAAAAATAGAATTATTAAAAAGCAGTATTGGAAAAACCATATACCTATATGGAACAAGATAAAATTAGATCTATTCATTACATTCAATACCAAAAAATTCTAAATATATCAGATATTTAAATGTAAAAAAAAGCAACAAAATAATTTTTAAAACTTCGATGAACTTTTCTATTATCTAGGAATAAAGAAATGTTTTCCTAACATAAAATTTTAAAACGTAAGAGAAATGTTTAGTAAATTTAAATAAATAAAATATTTAAGATCTTAGTATGATCGTGTCAGAGGCATTTGAACCAGTGTGACTCCATCTTGAGTAGGGGCTGGGTAAAATAAGGCTGAGACCTACTGGGCTGCATTCCCAGGAGGCTAGGCATTCTTAGTCACAGGATGAGATAGGAGGTCAGCACAAGATATAGGTCACAAAGACCTTGCTGATAAAACACGTTGCAGTAAAGAAGCCAGCCAAATTCTACCAAAACCAAGATGGCAATGAAAGTGAGCTCTGGTCATCCTCACTGCTCATTATACACTAATTATAATGCATTAGCAGTCTAAGGGACACTCCCACCAGTGCCATGACAGTTTACAAATGCCATGGCAGTATCAGGAAGCTACCCTATATTGTCTAAAATGGGAAGGAACCCTCAGTTCCAGGAATTGCCCACCCCTTTTCTGGAAAACTCATGAATAATCCACCCCTTTTTAGCATATAATCAAAAAATAACTATAAGTATCCTTAGTCCAGCAGCCCAAGCTGCTGCTCTGCCTATGGAGTAGCCATTCTTTATTCCTTTACTTCCTTAATAAACTTGCTTTCACTTTACTCTGTGGATTCACCTTGAATTCTTTATTGCTTGAGATCCAAGAACCCTCTTTTGGGGTCTGGATCAGGACCCGTTTCTAGTAGCAATAGAAAAAATAAGCAAATAGTCAAATGGCAAAACAGGATAAAATATTTGCAATGTATATTTCAGGCAATAAGTGAATATACCTACTACATAAAGGACTTTTTAAAATGTTGGGGTGGGGAACTAATTACTTTATAATAGACTAGAATTATGAACACACATTCCACAGAAACATAAACACAAATATCTCCTTAAAATATTTTGAAAGGTTAAACTTAACTCGTAACTTGGAAATGCATATTAAAAGTGTACTGAGTTTTGTGTCATCAGACAAAAAAAAATCTAAAAGTTTGATGACATATTTGGTTGGTGATTCTATGAGAAATGGGCCCTCTGATAAATTGGCAGTGTAAGTGCAACGTGGCACAACCCAGGAAAGGAAAATTTGGCAATATATAGTAAAACCATGTATATAGTTATCCTTTGACCCAGCCATCCCACTTCTAAAGACCTTGCCCAAAGATGTACTGGGAAAGAAAAAACAAACAAACATGAAAAGCCATGTTAAAAGGCTATTCACTGCAGCACTATTAGAAATAGCAAAAACCCAGATGCTCACCAGTAGGGAGTCGGTTGTACAGAGTACAGTGCACAACACAACTGAGTACCATGCAGCTGTGAAAAGGAATGAGGGATCTCTTCATACACTATATGCAGTGACCTCCAGAATATTGTCAAGAGAGTCTTAAAAAGGAGAGTCATGTGCTAGTATGCTGTCATGTACTAAAACAGAAAAATACGAAAACTAAAAAGGGGTGATATCTATATATTCATCACCCCCTTTAATATATAGATATAGACATAGATCAATGTATGTATATATATATACACACACATAGATAATGCATGTGTGATTTCCTTATATTAAAAAAGGAAAGATAAAAATGGTTACTGTATCTGCCAACTATATCTACAATAATGCTACGTGACAAACTACCCTAAACTCACTAGCTTAAAAGAATAGCCATTTACTCCCAAGTTCCCAGGCTGTGGGTCACACTGGGTTTGTCTTCTTTCTTTGAGATGTGAGTCTAGGGTCCGCAGGAGAAGCTTTGCTTTAGGCTGTGGGTCTTCAAGGCAGCAGGTGGAGCTCTGCTTAGGTGTCTCACTTGGGGACCCAGCTGAAAGACAGGGCTACCAGAAATGAAACTGCCTTTGCAAAGATGATGACAGTGAGAAAAGTCTAGCATGGCTGACTCCATCTTGCTTCCAGCCTCACAGGTTGGCTGTCTTTGCTCATTCCTGCAGAGGCCAAGCTAACCACAGGAGGAATTTAGTTTATAGTTTAACTTTGAAGGAAGGATAATAACAGTCTCTCCCTAAAACTGATTCCCCCTTGTTTAGGGGCTGAAACCACCTTTGTAAGACTAACAAAAGGCCACAAGATTATGGGAGAAGCCTGAATTCTGCTAGGATATAGTTGTAGTTTCTATAATTCCTTATTGCTCAGGAGTCATGTGGCCAGAGGTCACTAGATTTGTAACTTCCCCAGTTGCTCCAACAATACCACTATTATAGAACCTAAGATTGGTCTCTTGATATATTTTTTAGACTTTTGCATTCTGGCAACAGACTGACCCCACCTGGACTTGTGACTCATAACTCAACCGGTCCTATGGCCCCTACCCAGAGGCAGACACAGCACATGAGGACTGTTTTCCACACACCTATGATTTCATCACCAACCAGTCAGGGGCACCCATTCCCTAGCTCCTGCCCAATAAACTATCTTTGAGAAACCCTAACCTCTGAGCCTTCAGAAAGACTGATTTAAGTAGTAACTTCAGTTCTCCCATGTGGTCAACCTCGTGTTAATTATACTCTTTACTGCAACTTCATAGTCTCATTGGACTAGTTTTGTCTGTGCAGTAGACAGGAAGAACTCATCGGGCAATTACAGAAACACAGTCTTCCTCATGGCAGAAGCAGCTCCTGGAAGGGTTAATAGAAGCATGACACACTAAGGGTTGGGTTTAGAACACACACAGTCACTTCTGCCTGCATTCCACTGGCAAAATCAAGTCATCGGGCCTGGCTCAACATTAGCAGGGTAGGGAGTACAGTTCTTTCATGAAGGTAGGGTAGGGGAAAGGGGTGAATATTTGTATAATGATAATATAATGTAATATAAATAGGTATAAGGAAGGTAGAAGATTGAAAGCAAAATCAATGTTCTTAATTGTAAATTCAATGATTGACATAATCCAGGGGTGGTAAACTGTGACCTGCAGGCTAATTCCATCCCAGGTCTCTTTTTGTACTGCACATGAGCTAAGAAGAGGTTTTACATTTTTTAAAGGCTTTGTGGAAAAGGAGGAAGAGGAGAAGAAACAGAGACTATCTGTGGTTCACAAGGCCTAAAATATTAACTGTCTGACTCTTTACAAGAAACTATTTGATGACTCCTGGCATAACCATGCACAGAGGAAATATTCTAAATGCTTTTGAACACAATAATTTGATTGCATATTCCCAGTGGAATCTACTTTCTGATAAAAAGAACTTTAAAAAAGAATATTAAACTGTTTTCCATCATATTTTTGGTATTAGCAATGGTATTGTTATGAGATTATCATATATGTAATATAGAATTAAGCAAATGATTAACCATGTGGTTTTTTTGGAAATTTGCATTTTTAACATTGGGGAAAATACAGATATAAGATCAATAAGGTAAAGTAAAACCATGTAGTCTTGAATTTGAGTTAAGAGTAGCAGTGTGACCTCATTTTATATTTTATCTTAACATTTTTTTTTCCTGGATCCTTGAAAACAATGACAAAGCAAGTATCCTAAACCAATAGAAAGGTAGCCCATGTTCCTGGTTTGGAAGACTCAATTATGGTTAACATGCCGTTTCTCCCCAAATTTATCCAAAATTCAATCAGTCCAATTCTAGCATCAGGAATTTGCAGAAATTGACAAGCAGATTCTAAAATTGATATGAAAATGCCAAGTACCTGAAATATTCATAATAATTTTTTTTAAAAAAGAAACATTTAGAGGATTGACATCTGATTTGAAGACATATATAATATGTATTGATATAAAGCTGCACTAATCGAGAAAGATAATATTTGTGTAAAAGATAAAACAAATAAATCTATGGAACAGAATAAACTATCCAGAAATAGATCCACATATGAATGATCCAATGATATTCAACAAGGATGCTAAGGTAATTCAATGGAGAAAAGACAGTCTTAACAGCAATTGCTGCCAGAAGAACTACATATCCATATAGAAAAAAATATTAATCTTTCCTTTACACCATATAAAAGATAACTCAATGCATCATAGACATTAACTTAAAAACTAAAACTATAAACTTCTGAAAGAAAACCTAGGGAAAAAATCTTTGCAACCTTGGAGTCGGAAAGTTTTTTTTGATAGGAAACAAAATGTATACGTTTCAAAAATCTGCTTTTTGAAAGACACCTGTGATACTGGTCTTCAACCCGGTTTTCTGACATACAACTCTTTTTGAAGATTAGAATCTCCAAAATGATGTCTTTTGTATGCTAATGAGTTGACTGGTAGCTGGGGGACCCTAGGTAGCTTCAGAATGGGGGCAGTTATCAGAAAGACCAAGGCAGGGTTCCAGGGTCAGGACTTTTAGCCACACCCCACAACCACTGGGAAGAGAAGAGATGCTGAGAGTTAAGTTCATCACCAATAGCCAATGATTTAATTAATCATGTCTATGTAATGAGGCTTCCATTAAAACCCAAAAGAACAAGGTTTGGAGAGCTTTGATAGCGGAACATGTGGAGGTTCCTGGAGGGCGGTGCGCTCAGGGAGAAAGTGGAAGCTCCACGCCTCTTCCCCACTACCTCGCCCTATGCATCTCTTTCTCTTTATTCTTTGCAATATCTTTTATAATAAACTGATAAACATAAGTGTTTCCCTGAGTTCTGTGAGCCACTCTAGCAAATTAATTGAACCCAAAAAGGGGGTTGTGGGAGCCCTGATTTATATAGCTAGTCATTCAGAAGTTCTGAAGGCCCGAACTTGCAACTGGTGACTGAAGGGTGCAGTGGTCCCCCTCACAGGCTCAGTGACTGAGCTCTTAACCCATGAGATCTAAACTGTCTCTAGGTAAACAGTGTTGAATGGGAGGAGGCCCAGCTCCTGTCCACTGCAGGCTTGATTACTTGCTCACTGGTGGGGAGAAATTCCCACACGTTTGGTCACAGAAATCTTCTGTGTTGATTATTGTGTGGAATGACAGCAGAGGAGAAACAGCTTGAGTTTTTCCACCTTCAACACCATGAAGAAAATTAAAAGGAAAGACCCAGTTCAGGAGAAAATATTCTTTAAACGTTCATTTGATAAGGAACTTGCCTTAAGAATATATGAAGAACTCTTAAAACTCAATTTAAAAAAAAAAACTTTGATTTAACTTTGATTTTTTTTTTTTTTTTTTTTTGAGATGAGGTCTTGCTCCATCTCCTAGGCTGGAGTGCAGTGGTGCGATCTCATGATCTCAGCTCACTGAAACCTCTGCCTCCTGGGTTCAAGCAATTATCCTCCTTCAGCCTCCTAAGGAGCTGGGACTACAGACACATGCCACCACGCCTGGCTAATTTTTGTGCTTTTAGTAGAGACAGGGTTTTGCCATGTTGCCTGGGCTGGTCTCAAACTCCTGTGCTCAGGTGATCCACCTGCCGCGGCCTCTCATAGTGCTGGGATTACAGGTGTGAGCCACCGTGCCCAGCCAAACTCTAATTTTTTTTTAATGAGCAATGGATTTGAATAGATACTTTACTAAGTAATATAATAAACAGCAAGTAAGCACATTAAAAAACCTACAATCAGATGATCTTCAATGGGTGAACAGATTATTAGCACATGATGGTACATCCATACCATGAAATCCTACTCACCAATAACAAGAAATGAATTATTGACAAATGCAGTAACTTGGATGAATCTCCAGGTAATTCTGCTAA
Source organism: Homo sapiens (assembly GCF_000001405.40). Taxonomy (NCBI): domain Eukaryota; kingdom Metazoa; phylum Chordata; class Mammalia; order Primates; family Hominidae; genus Homo; species Homo sapiens. Next base: position 28,964,506 of record NC_000019.10, read on the forward strand.
GTGAGAAAAGCCAATCCCTAAAGGTCATAGACTATATAATTCCTTTTGTTCCATATTCATAAAATGACAAAATTATAGAAATGGAGAACAGATTGGTGGTTGCCAGGGATTGGGGACTTGTGGGCAGGAGTCAGGGAAGTGTGGCTATGAAAGGGCAGCAGGGGGGAGCCTTGTGTTAATGGACGTGTTTGGAATCTTGGCTGTGCTAATGTCAGCTTCCTGGCTGTGTATTGTACTATGGCTTTGTAATGTGGTACCATGGGGCGTAAGCAGGGTAAAGGGTGCACAGGACCTTTCTGTATTTATTTTCTAAAACTTCATGTGAATCTACAATTATCTTGAAATTAAAAATTTAATTAAAAAAAGCCTTGCACATAAAGGGGAAAACCAAAGCATGTGTAATACCTTCCCTATAGGCACACTTTCTCAGTGGAACCACAAAACTGATAGGGGAAAGTTTCGTTTTATGAGCATATTCCAGCTGACAAATGAAGAAGGTGCGATGAGACTAGACTATCCCCATTTGGAACCTTCTGTGAGGTGACAGATTATGATGTAATCATTGATGGCTGTTAACATCACACAATAAGGCCTTATGAAACTCACACAGCACCACCTCTAAAGCAGTCTTGTCACAAAATATTAAACCTGGACCTGATCAAGCATCTGGACTGGCTTATGGATATAGAGAAAATGTAGGGGATAGATGAGCACGGGAAATGTCTCCGTGGGGCAAAATTCACGAAATTCAGATTGTTGGACACTCTCCAGGACAAAAGGTCTAGATTCTTCAAAAACAACAACATCGAAAAAAAAAAACTGCCAGAAAGAAAAAATACAGAGGGAGAAGGTAAATTAAAAGAAACATAAGAGTTATACCCATCAATTACAATGAGTGGGTCTGTTTTGGCCCCAGGTTCAAACAAACTGTAAAAATTTTAAGAGCAGCCATATGACAATTGGGAAAATGTGAACACTGACCCCATGTTTGATGTTATTAAGGAATTATTAATATTTTAGGTGTAAAAAATTGTATTGTGGGTATAACTTTTTAAAATCAGGTATTTGTACCTCATTTGTACATTTGTACGTTTGTACATTGTACATTTTGTACAATTGTACAAAAACATTTGTATAGATACATACTGAAATATTTATAGATCAAATTATAAAAATCTGAATTGGCCATTCATCCATAATTGTTGAAGCTGGGTGATGAGAACATGGGGGGTCACTATACTATTCTCTCTACTTTTGCACATATTTGAAATCTGTAGTAAAATTTTTATTTTAGGAAACATAAACAAAGTAATTTAATATTCCCCATATTGGCCTCTGCAAAAATAATATCTCATATAACTTGGGGAGCTTGGAGCTTTTTATGCATGGCATAAAAATGACAATGTACATCCCTCTCCCTGCAGGACACAGAACACATTTATGAGTCTTTTCACCCTCATTTCGTTGAAGATTTTATTGGCCGAAGAACCCTCAGTAGGCACGAAATTCATTCTCACAAGCAGAGAGATGCATTATGCTCCATTTATTGCTCATCCTAAATTATAAACATTTCCAGTGAATGTAAAGGAAGATATGATTGAAAAGGACTCTGTGAAGACAGGATGTTTCTGTACAGTCCTTGTATCTGCTCACCTATTCCAAACTTTCCAGAGATTTTACCAGAGGTTTAAGATATTCTCCTGAGGGTTTGCTGTAGAGAGATTTTTCTTAACTAAGGAGTGCAAGTAGCAAGCAATAGCCCACCCAGTTGGAGACAAAAAAGAAGGGTGTCAGTGTTCCCACTGTTAAAAAACAAAAAAAAATCACCCTGGACACCTCTGAGAATTATACAAGGGGATGTACACAGCCCTGCTTTATTTGAGTTCAAAAGGAAGGTGGGTTTTGAAAGAAGAACAAGGAGAGTAGATCTCTCTGGATCTTCTGATGCTCACAGCAAAGAGCTCAAGGTATCTGAGTCAACTCTTGAGGCTTCTTCGAACAGAGGGATGAAGAGAGAATATGGCAAGCTTGCCAACAGATCCCAGAAGTTTTAAGAGAAAAGAACAGATTGCTCTTTGCAAAACAAACCGAGCTGGGTGCATGGAGCCCCAGTAGACAGAAAGTGAAGAAAACATCAACGTTCTGAAGTTTTAGATAGGTGCACCATCCCTTATGGATACCAATCTGTGCTCCCCATAAACTTCTGTGCCCAGGGTCAACTGGCCAGGGACAACTGGCTCACCAGGAGGCCTACATAGCCTCTTCTTCAGGCCCTAATTACAGCTCTATGCAATAGGGACTCTGCCATCTGACAGCCAAGGAGGTGGTTCGGTTTCTGCACATGGTTTTTTCCGCTGGGTCCCTTGAGGTCCATGGTAACCTCTTCCTCATTCTCTACAGGCAGATCACACTTTGTAATAAGATCAGAGGCAGAGAACTTTGACCAGATCACACTTTATAATAAGATCAGAGGCAAAGAACTCTGACCAGATCACACTTTATAATAAGATCAGAGGCAGAGAACTTTGACAACTATCTCCTTGCCCTCTGGCCCTGGGGTCAGGGCTACTCAAACAACACCTGCTGTCCCAAACCCGGAGAAGTGTAGATTTTGGCACTGGTAGAGGAATAACAGCTATTGTTGACACTTAATCTTGTGGGCCTGGAATTTCAACTATGTTTTCACAACTCGGAGCCTATTGCTGCCACCTCTGTCAGGGAAGATAAATGGGCATGAATAATAGACAGATGAGTTTCCCAAAAGCCCAGACAGGCTGCAGGGAACACGTAATGAGCAGACAGTGTGGTTCACGCCGGGGAGCCCAGGTTTATCCAGGCCTCATCCTCACTCCCTTTCTCTACTGATAATTGGACCCAACAGGACCATTCCGAATCATTTTTCTCTCTTCAGTTATTCTTCAGTTCTACTCAAAGGGTCAGTTTAGGGCATAATTAAAGTCAATTACTTTCTGAAAGGCCATCAGGACAACTGTTAGAGAAAATGATAGCAGCCCCGCACTTGCTGTAGGAATTATTAGCTTGTCAGCCTCCAGGCTTATGGAGACAAAGGATCAAAAAGTTAGAGAGATCCAGGTGTTCACCTATTTGTTCACTAATTCTTTTATTGTGAGTGTGCATGTGTGTGGGTGGGTGTGACATTTATTATGAACCAGAGGGCAGGAGCCAGTGACACAGTGGTGCAGAGAATAATCATATTCCCTGCCTTCCTGGGGTCATACAGCTTGGTGGAGGACACAGATGTGAATTCGGTAATCACTCCAATAAATATTCTCCTACAGATGAAGAAAGATGATACGATGTGATGGACAACAGAGACTTATATGGTGGGGTCTGGGCTGGTCTTTCTGAAGCTAAGACTGGCAGGATGAGCAGGAGTTTGCCAGACAAAGAGGAGTGGAGTTGTTTTCCAAACACATCTCAGCACAAAGTGTTGTCTTTGCTGGGAGCTGAAAAAAGATAGTGTGGGCAGAGACCATTAGGTGAGACGCTTGATATGAGATACAACCTCAACAGGTGGAAGAAGATCATGAGAGATGAAGAGAGGAATATAGTACAGCAGAGAGGACACAGAAGCTGACGTCAGGGTGTCTCAGTTTGAAACCAGTGGCCACCCTGTTCCTCTCCCATGTGGTCCCATCATGGGCCTCTAGGGTCTGGGATAAGAGGTTAATGAATATCTCATACCCTAAGCAGGGGTGGTCCCTGCACTTTAGCAAAAAGTTAAGGAACTAGGGAAAAGAGATGGAAATAATAAAGAGATGGGACAAAGACTTTGAAGACCAAAGCCCCTGGGCTATTCTCTTTTTTAAATTTTTTTATTTAAATTTTCATTTATTTTTATCAAGATAGGGTCTCACTATGTTGCCCAGGTTGGTCTCAAACTTTTGGCCTAAAGCAATCCTCCCACCTTGGCCTCCCAATGTGCTGGGATTACAATGTGAGCCACCACGTCCAGCCTCCTGGGATATTTCTCAATGAAACATTGGATGCCAAGATTGGTTTTGTGCCACATGCCAATTTCACAGAAGCCAGTCTATGAGCCACCAGCTCTACTCAGCAATTACAGTTTCTGGAACTTTGGCTAAATTCCTGTAGATGCACCACTGCTTGTGGCCTGACTCTTTGCCACCCAAGTGCGCTCAGCCTCCCCTGGGGAGTCTGCCAGGCTTGCATGGCTCCCACTGCACTTGCTGTGCTGGGACCGAAAACAGTTTTTGTGCCCCTAGCTTAACTCCACTGGATTCATAGAGGCTTTGGCCTCCTCAATGGCTGTCCTGGGACAGGGAGGCTGGTTAGCACAATTAACACAACCTGGTCATGCAAGGCATTGATGGTCCGTAACATGAACTTTGACCAGTAGGAGACAGAGAATGGAAAAAAGCCAGCAGATAAATCATCTGGCCTTCCTCCCCTATGACAGACTGTTCTGAGCCACAGTGTTTCACATGTCTTCCTGGAGATGTCCCACATGACTTGAGCAACCAGCTGGAGCTCTGGAGAAACTGTGGCCATCCTGGTAACATATGACCTTGTATTTGCTTTCTCTCCTTCCTGCTTTATTTCCCTATGTCCCTTACTTTGGTTGTTGGGATTGCACCTCCCAATAAAGCATTAGCATGTCCGCTCTGCTTGGGGCTCTGTTTCCTGGGTTAAGACTCTGACTCTTGAATGCTGAGGCATTGTATTGAGAAGGAGTTCAGGCTGGACTCACACCTGGTGAACAAGAGTGCTGTGGTGCGTGAGTGAGTTCTTCCACAGGTATAAGAAAAGATACTTAGTACCTGCCACCCCTGAACTATCCTTTTACGGCAAATGTTTGCTTAAAGTCAGCAGTCCCCTAAACATACTTGAGATCACAGATGAAGCAAAATCAGACTATCTCCCAACATAGAAAAGCACAATAGGAAAGAAATATTTGGTGGTGAGAAGATTATAGCTATAAGCAAATTAGGCAATCCATCTGTGAGACCCAGCATGCAGTATGGTAGAAGTTGAAAATAAAAACATGGATAAAATTGCTTAATGGATTATAATAATATGCATGACTGTGTGCCAGGCAGTGTACTAAGACTTTCTTGTTTCATCCCATTTGCTTATTATAACAGTACTATAAGACATGCACTCTTACAAACCCTTATTTTACAGAGGAAGAAACAGGCCCAGAGAAGTTGGGTAACTCATCAAAGGTCACAGAGCTAAGAGTGGCAGAGTCAGGCCTGGAGCCCAGGAAGTCTGGTTTCGAATTTCATGCTTCTAACCTGAGCACTGTACTGCTTGGTGGAGTTCTCTGCTAGTCCTACCTTTCAGGCAGAGGTGAGCATTGCTGAGATTACATGCCTGTTCCTGGGGGCTAATACCAGGAGGGAGATTAGACTGTTCTGTCTAATCTGTAGTTTGGCTCTTCCATGAGTCTTGGGATCAGAACCCTGAATCAGAGAGAGATGGACACTGGCCTAGGCAGATGTGATGGTCTGAATGTGTTTCCCACAAAGCATGTATTAGAAATGTAATCCCCAACTCAACAGTGTCAGGAGGTGGGGCTTAATGGGAGGTGTCTAGGTTATGGGGGCTCCACACTCTTGAATGGATTAATGTCCATTATAAAAGGACCTGAGGCTGTGAGTTCCATCTCTTGCTTTTTCTCCGTCTTTCGCCCTCTTGCCTTCTGCCACAGGTGATGCAGCAAGAAAGCTGCCACCAGATGCAGCCCCTTGATCTCGGACTGCCCAGCCTCTAGAACTGTGAGCCAATTAAATTTTTCCTTTGTAAATTACCTAGTCTCTGGTATCCTGTTATAGCAGCATAAACAGGCTAAGATAGTAAGACAGTAGGGAAACAAGCTCCAGATGTACTTGAAGTCTCTTGTTCTTATTTTAGGAGTTGAAGAGCAATTCCCTCCAGTTTCCATTAGAAATGCTTCTTCTTCCATATCAAATATTGTGAGATAGCCTGAAACACCTTTCAACACTTTACTACCCTTCTCCAAAATTCAACAGATATGATTTCCACGGACTTTACTCACAGGGGCTTCAGTAGAAGAGGAAGAGGCTTGGGTTTAATTGAAGGTGGCCTGAGACATCTGTGAGGAACAGCCCTTTTAGAGACATATCCCCTACAAATAAAGCATCAGAATTATTATCCTAATACATGAACATCCATGGTTCCTTCAGCACCATCGTAATGCAGAGACCATGGGGAGATGCAGGGAGAGGGCTCTGCACAGCATGGCCAACTTGCCGGGTTGAAAACAGACAACCTCCATGGAGCAGGGACTTCAATTAGTTAATTCCCCATCCCCACTGTCACTTACTAACATGGGATTCTGATTAAAAATTAGATTCTCTGCAAGAGGCTTAACTTATAATTTAAGAACTTTTGCTGTATAACCATTGCAAAAACAATTACATAAAGATTAATTAGCAAATTCCCAAAACAGTAGTAAACGGCAAAGTAGTTTAATTAAAACCATTATCTCCAAAATCTGAACGTTAATAACAGTTGTAGCTCAGGGAGAAATAAGAGGCACACTGGCACAGAGTGGGGTAAAGGGAGGGTGTCCTTCGACACCAGCATTCAGTCAGCCCAAGTCTCCACGGCTGCTGTCCTGTTAATTACACTCCAGAACTCTGTGGCCACCGCGTCTTGAGAGGCCCTGGGCTCCTCCTATGAGCCTCTGCAGCTGTAGCCTTGACGAACTTGTCATTGCTGGCCTGCCTCCAACAAGAGGCCTTTAGCCCTCAGAAGAGAGGGAGGCAGCAGGGGGCACGAACAAGACTTTTAAGTGGGGAATTCATAAAATTTGGAATTGTCAGAAAACATCTGTAACCATGACTCTTGTCCTTCAGAAGACACTGATAAATTTAACCCAACCCAGACCCCTTAACACAAACTCTGAAGTAAAAGATTGGCAAAGGAAGCCCATGAGAATGAAATGTAACAATAGCAACTATGTAGTTAGCACACACACCATATGATCTCACACATTCACAAGATCCTCATGAAGCCACATGGCCTTCATTCTGTTATTATTTACTTATTTATTTATGAGACAGGGTCCCACTCTGTTGCCCCAGTTGGAGTCAGTGGCACAAGGCAGTGTGCAGTGCTCAGTGCAGCCTCTAACTCCTGGCTCAAGTGATCCTCCTACCCCAGAGTCCTGAGGGGCTGGGACTACAAGCACATGCCACTAAGCTCAGCTAATTTTTTTTCTTTTTTAATTTTTTGTAGAGATAGGGTCTGACTACATTGCCCAGGCTGGTCTCAAACTCCTAGCCTCAAATGATCTTCCTGCCTCAGCCTCTCAAAGTGCTGGGATTACATGCGTGAGCCACTGCATGCTGCCATATTATTTTTATTCTTAAGCTAAAGTCACTCACTTAGCCTCGTGCATGGGGACCCTTCTCTTTTTAACTCTAAAGCCCATTTGTTTACCTGGATACCACACAGATGCCCTTTGTGGTGCAACATTTAGCCCATTGAAGGCTAATTATGTGAGTCTCACAATTGTGTGAGTCTGTCATGAAGTATAGCCTAGACTTGACAATGATTGATTTCTCCAAAGAACCCCTTCAGCAGGGAGATCCCAAATCAGAGAGCCCTTGCCCTTACCCAGGACAGCCAATGTCTCTGCAGCTCCACACGGAGCACCAGCTACCGTGGAGGGGTTGACCTGGGCCTGGAGTCCAGGACAGGCTGAGGAATGCCCTTCCCCCAGCCCTCTCCCTGAGTGTCAGTCCCTGAGTTAGACACTGTCACAGGAGAGGGCTTGGAAGCCACCTTCTGACTCACCACACCCATCCCAGCCATGCCCCCTCACCCTGGCAAGCACCCAGGGGCTGTATGTTGATTTGTCTCTCCCCTAATACAAGGCCCTGACCTCCACCAGCAGAGCCAGACTGTCTGCCTGCAAGCCTGGCTTTTTATTCTGCTGCACTACAGAAATTATGCAAATCACAGCTATTAGTATAACAGCTTTTGCAGAATTCAGAAGAAAAAGGCAAAAAAAAAAAAAAAAACCACACAATCACAAAATCCCTATGTTTGGTTAAAAGACCATGAATTTCCCCATTGTCCTCACTCACTCTCTTGTCAATATGAGATGTATACATCTGAAGCCTGCTTTTCAGTCTTATGAACATCTATAAAAGAGACATCAGTCAGCAGAAACCTCTGGTACTGCGACATGAAAGAGAATGAGGGAAAAACCCAACTCTAGCCAGGATGGAGAAGAGAGGAAAGGCAAGATGTGGGAGGCAGCCCCAGAAGGCCCAGGCGGGGTCTCTAGAGGAACCTAAGAAGACTCTGGTGTGGGACAAAGCTCCAATGTGCTCTGAGCACTCTCGCTGTCCTTCCAGAGGGCCTCGTTCCCCTTCTCATTCATCTCACTCACCACACTGGAAGGCTCCTGAAGGCAGAAGCTGCACACCTGTGCCCCGTCCCTTCCACAGTCCTGAGCAATGAGCAGTCACAGAGCTGGGGCCGGGGGAGGGCATGGAGAAATTGAGCTCCTTTGCTCACCAACATTTCAGGGAGACCGCAGTGGTCTTGGTGGATGTGAATGGACTGAGTTGCTTCTATCACTCAAAATCCCCGAATGAACAGGTGGCGCATGGACATCAGAGGATTCAATAACCTGACAATTTGCAAAGATTTCGGTGGAACAGTGACACCAGAGGGAGGAGGGAGCACATGATTCCAGGCGCTCAGAAGGAGGAAGCTGCCTCAAGAGGAGGGACTCAGGCAGCCCGAGGTGGCCCTGCAGGGAGGACGCAGGAGGAATGAAGGCCCTGTCTCCCTCGTCTCTCCTTCTGCCCTCCTCCCAAGGGCCCCCCCGGGAGCTGAGGGAGCAGAAGCAAGAAAGCCATCTGGGTCATCCCTCCAGGTCACCTCCCGAGGCACAGAGCAAGGCAGAAAACTTCTGGGCCAGGCTCTGGCAGGACCACTTGCATTTACTCTGTAAGATGAAGACAATGGTCCTGGGAGAGCATAGCTGACCACCTGGCACCCTGGGCCACATCGCCTTCCAGCTCTCCTCTCATCTGAGGTCCATGCCAGCTCCTGCCCCTGGCTCTGGTGCTGTCCCACCTCGGGGTCATTCCACTTTCTGCTATGGGGCCCTGTCTGATTTCATGAGACACCTCTAGGTCTGCACTAAGACAGCCCAGAGTTATGGGCTTATCAACGCTGGGGATAGGCAGTAGCAGATGGTGGATAAACCACCCTGCCTTCCATCTTTCAGGTGGAGAATTCTGGAAGACATCCTGTCCATGTCTTGGTGGGTCCTGGTGGACTTGAACCCCTGCTGTCCATGGCAGCAACTTAATTCATCTGCCTTCCCTGTCTCACTGTCCTTATACCCTCACTCTCATTTCCTGCAGTCACCCTCAAATAAGCAACCTGCACCCAAGGCATTTTCTGGGGCTCTCCTTTTTGAGGAACTCAACTAAGTCAAGTGAAAGAGCCAGTAAATGGCAATGAGACAGTTGATCACCGAGATAAAAAACTATAATGTCAGATTGCTACCTCTTGCCATACATACAAACCATTTCTTGATAGATTAAAAAGTTCAGTGTAAAAACCCAAAGCCTAAAATGTTTAGGAGCATATATTTATGAGCTTGGAGTAGGGAAGGATGTTTTAAACAAGACATAAAAACTGCTAACCACTAAAAAATTGATCGTGATTAAGACCTCATAATTAAGAGCTTCTGTTTATCAAATGATACCATAAAGAAACTGAAAAGCAAGCTATGAACTAGAGAAGGTATTTGCAACACTCCAATAAGGGATGATTATTTAATATATCCTAATAAAAATCAATAAGGAGAAACATTTTTAAATTGTAGGTCACAGAAGAGGATAAATATATTAAAAAACTCAAAATTAGTTATCAGAAAAATGCAAATTAAGACCCAAAGTAACCATCAAGAAAGGCAATAAAATGTGGCAGTTGAGAGCAAAGTCATTATGTCTGGTGGAGTTGAGCCCTGGCTTAATCCCATGGGTGCCAGCTATGTGATCTTGCTGGCATCGCTTCCCCACTCTGTGGACAATAGCTTTCCATGCATTAAACAGGAATAACAGTAGTTCCTGCCTCCTTAGGTTGCTGTGTTACATGGAAGAAGACATGCAAAGCTCTTAGCATGGGTACTTCACAAACAGTAAACATGCAAACTATATTTAAAAACCATCTCCAGGTGACTCAGAGATTACATAATGGGTGCTTAATAGGAGCACAACAGTACAGGTTTTTATTTTGTGTGATCCAAAGTACTGCACTTAAATAACATGTGGGTGACCTCCACAGGAAGGAATGGGTTCTGCCAGCGGTGGGTCTATGTACCGTACTGCAGCCTCAAACACAGACGAATGCGTTAGCTGCATGTGAGCCCTCATGATAAAAGAGATCTGAAAATAAATTGTGTATTTAATTCAGAGCGACTCCAGAGCTGCTGTTCTGGGATTGCAGCAGAAATCCTGGAGAAAGCCTAAGATTTGGGATTTTAGATCTTTATGCATCACTTACATCCACACAGAAAGGGCGTTCCAGGGACTGCGCACCCATAGAGCAGTGCAAGCTGGTCCACCCTGCGGAAGCCAAGACCTCCCTGAGCAGGCAGCCACGCTGAAGGGGAACAGCAGCTCCCCGATGGCCTCCAAAGGACTCAACACGGAAAGTGAAGATATATCTATGGCCTGAGACAATTCTGGCAACGATATTCATATAGACATTACGTTCCTGAACAGCAAGGGAATCCTGTGAAAGGAGGGAACAGTGAACTAGAGACCCAGATTCCAGCCCTCTCTACTCTGAGGAGTCTCTATGACACCTTTAAATCAGGGAGAATCATTTCTAGACTTCCTGGGGTTGGATCGAGGATCCCCAGAAGCAACCAACTTGTATTCAGCATACACCAGATGCCAGACACGGTGTGAAATTATTTGTATACATTTTCTGGTTCAATCCAAAGAACTGCTCTATGAACAAAGCTACCAGGACCTGCAGAGGATTAGGTTTAGGAAGTGGTGAAGCTGGTATTTGATCAAGCCTAGGTGAAGTCGTGTTTGAGAAACAGCTCTGTGAGCTGAGTACAACCAGAGGATTGTTTCCAAAGTTAGGCCCAAGTGGGCTTCCAAGAGCAGGCATCACCACTAAAACAAAACAGTGACACTCAAGGCATTGGAGGCAGACCCCAAGCAAACCTGCACGTGTTGGAAAAGGCCCGAGGCCAGGAGGAGGAGGTGTTCTCTGCAGCTGCTCAGCCTGTTCATTCTGCACCAGGAGCAGCGCAAGCTGCTAGGATACCCTAATGGGGCAAGCAGGGCACTTACTCCAGGCTCTGCAGCAGGAATGCCCACCATGGGGAATGCCCACTATGCATAGCCATCTGGGGTCTCATCCTTCAAGCCACAAGCCTGCTCCACCTGGGCCCTCAACCCCACTCTTAAGGTCGGAGCAAGTATTCACGCTTACCCCCCTTGGAAATGAGGGAGAAAATCGCCCATGGTGTGTAGGGGTTTGTGTGTCTGTGCATGCGTGTGTCTGTGCATGCATGTATGTGTGTGCATGGGTGTGTTTCTGCATGTGTGTGTGTGTGTGTGTGTGGCTTTAGTTGATAATGGCAGTCCAGGTCTGCAAGTCTCTAAGGTGCAGGCCCACATCTCTCTAGAGAGGACAGTCAGAACCACATTAATCGTTGCGTCGCAGGTACTCCATGCCTCGCGCTGTTCTCAGCACCTCACATAAACTAATTCACGTACTTCTCCCAATAACCCTATGAAGCAGGTGTTATTTTTATCCTGCTGTGGCTTATGGAAAAATGAAGGTGCAGAGAGATTTTGTATTTATCCAAGATTACACAACTAACAAGTGGCAGCGTGAGATCTAAGCACGAAGAGCCAGGCTCCAGAGTGCTTTACCTGAGATGGAGACACTCTGAACTTCTGCCACCTACTCTCATATGCCTGGGTGATGGAGGATACACAGGAGGCTGATTTTAATTGTACTTCCTGTGAATGCACAATTCACCAAAATTGTAAGAATTCCATCCAATGTGAAAAGCACACATTTGCAACTCACTGGGGTGTGAAATGTCATGAAAATAAAATAGTGATGCTGCCCTCGGGAGGTTCAGGACAGAGGCGCAGTCAGGGTTGCATGAGGGCTCCAGGAACCCTCCTGAGGACTGAAGGCACCCCTGGCTCCCATGCCCCAGACCTCGAAAGCCCAGTGTTCTGGCTCCTGACAAGGCACCGGGGCTCTGGGGACAGGTTCTCTACTTAGGAACAGGCTGAAGGCTGGCTCCACTCATGCCACTGCCAGGTACACACTCTGCTTGGTGCCAGGAAGATCTCATAACAGGAAGCCCTCCTGGAGGGGAAGGAGGAGACGCTACAGTCCAAAGACAGTGTGGAGAGAACAGGGGGCATGGCAGAGAGGGGCGAGGAGAGGCGCAGAAGGGCTGGAGCCTCGGCCCTGAGAAGAGCTTGGGAACTGCCCTTGTTCCTGCGTGCGTTCAGTTGGCCAACTCGCTACTGAATACCACTGTGTTCTGAGGCCTGGGGAGAAAGTGGATTTAAAAAGGCAAGCTTCCTGCTTGCATGAAGCTAACATTCTAGAAAAGAAGACAGGCCATAGGTAGACCGTCCCGCTGGCCTGTCCACCGTCCTCATCTACTCCTCTCTCTGAAGGTCAAATAGGGCCACTCTGAGTGCAGCACAAGGGGAGGGGAAGAGACAGGCACCCCCAGATCACCAAAGACGAGTTAAAATGAGAGAAATGGGCACACTGGAAGTCCAGTCCCCACCGTATGCAATATTCCCATGGAGCAAGCAAGCATCTAAAATATAACAGTATTTTTTAAATAGAGAAAGAGGCAAGAATAGCACCAGGAACACATTCTGCAGAGAAGTGAGCCCTGGTATGTGCTATGTTGTTCAAAGAAACATTGCAGCCTTACCTGACATTCTTAGGTATTCCCTGGCTTCTAGGAAAACCTGTTACTGGTGAGCAGACATCAGGGCACAGATTGGGCCTGGTGTCACAGTCACTGTGGCCAGGGCTTCTGGCTACAGTGGTTAAGTGAGCCCAGGAATCTGTTCTGGCCCCATCTAAATGATGTTATTTTAATGCTAGATTTCCTTGAGGTAATAAAACAAAAACAGGGAAACTGAGGGAAAGGATAATAGACATAAATCACTAACCTAGGAGTCCAAACCCCCATTTAAAAGTAACTCAGAAGGTTAAAATAAAAAGGCAGATGTAGGGGCGGTGTTGAAATCCACAAAATCAAAAACTTTGCTGTGCCAAAGACAGACTCAAATCCACTGATTGCCAGGGTCTCTGGAGCCCCAGCTAAAATGAATGAGGAAAGGCCACTACTTCCACCAGGGAGGGCAAATATGCGCCCCTTCTAGGGCCAGTTCTCCCAGAGAGCTGCTGGGAACCTTGGACTCATCTTCCCTGTGAGAAAAGAGGCTGCAGTCAGCTCAGTGCCCACCAGGAGGACCGCAGAGAGGACAGTGACCACCGCTACGGGTGTCATTCTAGACCTAGTCGATGTTTTGGAATCTCAGAGAAAATGAAAATGCCCATAGACATCTACACAGGAAAAGAAATAAGAAGAAAATGAGATTTTCTTATTTTTTAAAAATAAGAAGTTTAAAAGAAATAGAAATCTTTCTGACCTCAGACTCCTCTGCAGTGTCAAGTGTCAGGAAGCAGTGGAGTCCTGTCCCCGGAAAACTGGGAGGAAGAAGTGTAGCAAGCTGCCTGTCATGTCTGAGAGGAACAGAAAGGGCAGTTGGAGAAGTGGAGAAAGTTAGGTGAGACCAGCCTGTGGAAATCATGAGAAATGACAGAGATTAAATCAGAAACTCACACATTTGGAAAGAAGAACATTAACATGATTTAGTAAGTTGGAGAGTTGACCCTTTGAAGAACCCAATAAAATACAAAACTTTAACAAATCTAATTAAGAAAAAATAGAAATAAAGAAAATTGGAACTAAGGAAAGAGACGTAACATATGCTGATAAAAGTAATTATAATTATGAGATAATATAATGCACAGTTATATGCTAATAAATTCCATCAACATGTAAAAATGGAACACTTAGTGAAAATAATAAATTAGGAAAAATAGCTCAAGAGGAAGTAGCACCCTAGAACGGAGCCATAGCCATGGAAGAGATGGGAAAGTGTTGTTAGCACACTGCCTTGGAAAATATTTGGAGGTGATGAGACTTTATTAGTGCATGTTGTCTGGACTTCATGGAATATATAAAATGCATACTATAAAATTTATAGCAGAATATAGAAGAAAATGAAAGGCAAATCCATTTACTTTATGAAGAAATTCTATTAACCAAATTTGGCAAAAGTAGCATGAAAAATAGACTCGCCAGCACTTCCCAAAATACAGTGGCAGGGAGGCTTTTCTTAACAATAATGGCAAAGGAAGAAATCATTAGGAACAAGATGGATACATGTAATTAAGTTTAAATGGAAAACCTCGTATCAGAAAACACTGTAGTAAAATTCCAAGGGAAATGGCAAACCGAAAACCATTTGTAAGAAATACAAGAAAGGATTAGTTATTAACAAATTAAAAAAATCCTCTCACAATTACAAAAACACTATATAACCACAATAGACAAGTACATTGAGACAATTATACAAGCAACATAAATGAGCAATAAGCATGGAAAACAAAGGCTCAAGCTCACTAGAAAGGCAAAGAATTACAAGTTAAAATCAGGGTGTCATGTTTTAGCCTATTAAATTGGCAATGATATAAGGGTTCTCTGCCATGGGCAACACCGTGCACTGATAATGGAAATATAAATTGATGAGACATTTTTGGAAAAGGATGTGACAACATTTTGCAAGAGTTTTAAATGGGTTCAGACGCCCTTTGACCTGGTAATTCCACTGCTGGGAATCTATTCTAAAGAAATGGTCAAAGATAAACAGAAAATGCATGTTCTTCCCTAGCACAGCTGTGAGTTCCCCTAACTCAGAGGCCTTCCTATCCTCCCATGGACTCCTCCTCTATCCGATCTCTAAACACTTGGGACCCAGGACGTAGTACCTGGGACTACTTTTGGCCACACTCTTCCTGAGGGATCTATTACTGTCCCATAGTTTGAAAAAGTCATCTGCACCTTGATGACTTCTAGATATCCATATCCAGTCCCAACTTCTCTGAGTTCTAGACTTGTCTATCCAGCAGTCTAGTAGACCCAAATTCTCTGAGTTTTAGACTTGTCTATCCAGCAGTCTAGTAGACCCAACTTCTCTGAGTTTTAGACTTGTCTATCCAGCAGTCTAGTAGACATCACTACTTGAATATTTAATAAGCACCCCAACGCAACAGGTTCCAAATTAAACTGCTGGTCCCCTCCCAAGCCTTCCTCTCCTTTCTTATCTATTTCAGTAAATGGCACCACTGTTTACACAATTGCTTAGACCAAAGACCTACAGGTTATAACTGAGTTATCTCTTGCTCTGCCACTTTACCTCCAACCCACCAGTGAATCCACATCATGCTCCCTTCAACATCAATTCTGAATGCAGCCACCCCTCACCAACTCTTCTGTGACTGTTCACATCCGTGACATGCACCTGAAACAGTGCTCTAAGCTCCTACCTGGCCTCCCTGCTTCCAATCCAGCCGGCCCTCCCCAGTCATGAGATTCTCCATCTGCAGTCAGAGTAAGCTGCTTAAAAACCTGTGACTCTCAAGCTTCCTTCACACTTAGAATAAACTCTGAATTATTTACTTTGGCCCTCAAGACCTTGATTGTGTGGTCACTGCTCACTTTCCTAGACTCTTGCTGTCTCTGCTCTCTCTGGCTCTCTCTAAACCAACCACACTGCCCCACCACTGTCCTCCAGTGGCCAAGTTCATTCTTGCCTCAGGCATCTGCACTTGCCTGCAACAATCCACACCTAGATTTAACCAGATTTCGCCTGCTCTGGAAGGACGTTCCTGGCCCCTGGGTGAAAATGACTTCTTCCTTTTGCTCCTATTTCCATCACCCTCTAGTCCCTAAATCCATCTCACTTTTCCTCATAACGCTGATCACAGCCTGAAATGATGTTTGCTGCATTTCCTTTCCGTTTTCTGTCTGGAATCCCCTGGGGATGGGATCTCATCAAACCCCATCATCCTCACTGCTGTCTCCAGCACCTGACACGGAAGAGACAGCAAATACTCGCTGAATGAGATTAACAGTGGTGAAAACTGAAAACTGCCTGCATGTTCAAAAATAGTGCCATATTTTTTAGAAATATAGTGGAATCTCCATAAACCCATTAAAATCGTGTTTTCAAAAAAAAGTTTTAAAAGGAAAATTTTCATTGTTAAACAAGGTAATGTGATAAAAAGTAAGATGCAGAATCATATATTTTGGTGATCCCAATTTTGTAAAATTATTTATCTAGCTAGGTATTTAAATATAAAGAAATACACTAAAACATTAATAATGTTTGGATTTGTATAATAGAATAACAGGAGACTTTTTATTTTATTATTTATACTTTTGAATTTTGCAAATTTTATTAAAAGAAACTGACATTGATGGACATTTTTTCTATTTTTTTTTATTCATTTATTTTTGACAATCATTGTGTGTATTTAGTGGGTATAATGTGATGTTTTGATCTATGTATACATTGTAGAAAAATTCAATCAAGCTAATTAACATATCCATCACCAAGTTATCATATTTTTGTGTTGAAAGTGTAAAAAGATCTATTTTTAGTAATTTTGAAGTATATAATACATTCTTATTAACTGTGGTCTCCACACATCAAAATACATCAGTAAAACTTCCTCTTGCAGTAAACTTTGCACTGTCTCATCAGTGTCTCCCATCACCCCGCCCCTCACCTGCCCCACCTCTGGTCACCACTGTTTTGCCCTCTATTTCTATGCAGTCAACTTTCTCAGATTCCACATATGAGTGAAGCCATGCAGGATTTGCCTCCTGTGCCTGGCTTATTTCATAGCATAATGTCCCCCCTTTCCAGCCACTTTTATAGAAAAAAAACTTCATACTCTGAAGTGAGAGAGAAAAATGACTCCTGCCTGGCTAACAGCCAGGAGGGAGGAAGGTGAAGGAGGCGGGTGAGCCAGTTCTAGGGCTGGTCCAGAAGGTGGCCACTCTTGACCAAGAGATAGACGGGAGTGAGGCAGCGGGCCTCACTGGAGGAGCCCGCGCCATTCTCAGGAGCCATCACGGGGACAGGAGATGCACACACTTCTCTGGTCCTTGACAAATGAACAAGTGAACGCCTCAATGGTAAGTCCACGTAGCCCATAAGAGAGGATACTCCAGGATGCCAGTGTGGCAGAAACAGCAAACACAGCCTCTGCGCTCCGCCCCCGTGCAGGTTTTTTTGACCACAGGCTCCTCACAGCCAGCCTGTGAGCAAATGCTGCCTCATGTACTGTGCACAGAGAGGCCACAGATGACTGTGGCCTCTGCTGATTACTTTGGAATTAAAAACACCATGAGCCCAGGCCTGGAAACACAGAGGCCTTTTGTGCCAGTTAAGCACCTTCAGGGGGAAGGAGAGGAAGAGGAGGAGGAAGAAGATGGGGAGGAAGGGAGGAAGGGAAGGAGGAGGTGAAGGAAGGAAAGGAGAGGGAGGAGAAGGAGGAAGGCAGGTGAGGAGGAGGGAAGGAGGGGCAAGAAGAAGGGAAAGGGGGAGAGAGAGGGGTAGAGAAAGGGACGACGGAGGAGATGGGAGGAGGATGGATTTGGAGATGGGGACAAGACCCCTGCATCCTGGCCCTCTGGACACTGTATCCTAAAAGCTGGAGCTGTTTATTATCTGAGTGATATTATTTGGGGGGCATTAAGGAAAAATGAGCAGAAGAAATTGTGCTCTTGAGAGATGAGGACAGACAGAAACTTCAGACCCATTCACTAAAGGCTGAGGATACATGGGAGGGCCAGGCCCTGGATGTGTCTCAAGAATCGGGGCTGTGCTCTGAGATGACCAGCTGGACAGCCAGAGGCCCTGGCTTCCCCTGTGTCATCTACTGTTGGACCAGCTTATTCTAGAGCAATGTGGAAAGGAAGGATGATGGAGGCAGAAAAAAAGAAGAAAGAGGAGAGAAAGGAAAAATGGACAGAGAAGGGGAGGTAGAGAAAGAGAGAGGCAGAAAGACTGAAAGATTTCAAAGGCAAACTACAGCTGTGCATGGTGGTGCATACCTGTAGTCACAGCTATTCGGGGGGTGGGGGGTGGTGAGGCAGGAAGACCACTTGAACCCCGGAGGTGGAGGCTGTGGTGGGTTGTGATCGCACCACTGCATTCCAGCCCAGGCAACAGAGTGAGACCCTGTCTCCAACAACAACCACCAACAACAAATTGTTTAAAGTAAACCTCCTCAGTATGGCTTAAAAGGAAGTAAAGAGAATGGATCAAGCCATGCAGGGTCCTCACCTGGTTATCAGAGAGAAATGGACAGCAAGAGGGGCTTCTCCGAAGTGTAGCTCCCAACTCTGCACACTCAGGCCTTTCACAAGCATGGATCCATGTGACCCCAACAGTCCTACAGGGTGTATGGAACATTCCAGCCCCTTTGTCAGGTGAGAACTGAGGCTTTGGAGAGGACAGAGGAGTCAAAGAGCTTCAGCGGGTAGAGCCAGCCTCTGGTCCTGCACAAGCCCACAGGTGTGTGGAAGGAGATGGAGGTAAAGCACCTGCCGGGACAGGAAGGGCCTCTATGGATTAGGGATGTTTCCAAAGCTGGTCAGAGAGCTAGGACCAGAGTGGGAGGGCTGCAGCTGAAAGGTAGTGTATAATAGGCTTTGGGTATTTGTGTTCGTGGTTGGGCGGGTAATGTTTTCCATTTCCAGATGCACTGCAGCCTCTGCCCACACATCAACACAGAAACCCCGCCATTTGGAAGGTGTTCTGTGCAGACACCTAAACGTCATTATCCCAAAACACCAAGCCAGCCAGCCAAGGCTTCAGAAAGTACCTGAACAGCTGAGCTTGCTGTTTTGATGAAACGCTGTTTGACAGAAAAACAGGCCACCCCTGGTAATATGTAGAGAATGATAGGATTCATGAATATGCATGAAGTCCTCTTTCTAGAGACAATTGCCGCAGCGGTTATTGGAGCAGAACAGGCCGGGTGGGAAGACAGCTTATTCCCAAAGCCACTCTGCCTCCCTGCTGGGAGTATATGGAACTTAAGATCATTTCCTGGGGCCCCATGGTGTGGTCTCAGCACTACCTAGGCCCACAGAGGCCCTCTGAGGGCCACCTGATGAGGGCCACCTCACCCTAGCCCACCACACATTGGTCAGAGCAGAAAATAGAGCTGAAAGGGAAGAATGGGTTTGCCCAAGGTCACACAGCAGCTCCTGACGGTCAGGACCTCTGCCACCAGGTCAAGTGGCCCCCACATTGCAGGCCCCTGGGAGGACACAGATGCAGACCAGAATCTGAGCAGAGGACAGCTCTCAGGACAGCTCAGCTGGCATGCCCACCCTGCAGGGGAAAGACTGCCCATGCCCACACTGAGGCAGGGGAACCACGGTGAGGAGCTGAGTGAAGACCCCCCACAGAGCTAGGCCCAGGACTCCCAGGGGGAGAGTGTGGATGGGTATCTGCCTCCACCCCGAGCTGTCTGCAATTTCTTTCCATGCAAAGGATAAGGTCTGACCAACACAGTCACAACAAGGCATGAGTGATTCTCAGGTTAACTCTACTTTTGAAGAAGAAGAAGAGCCCACAAAGAACTTAAAACAGAACTACCATTCAGCCCACCTATCCCATGACTGGGTATCTACCCAAAGGAAAATCAATTGTTCCACCAAAGGGACATCTGCACCCGTATGTTGATCACAACACTATTCACAATAGCAAAGGCATGGAATCAACCCAGGTGTCTGTCAACAGTGGACTGGAGAAAGAAAATGTGGCACATATACACTGTGGAATACTATGCAGCTGTAAAAAATGACCAAATCAGGTTCCTTGCAGCAACATGGATGTAGCTGGAGACCATTATCCTAAGCGAATTAATGCAGAAACAGAAAACCTGTTTTCACTTATAAGTGGAAGCCAAACCTTGGTTCCACATGCACATAAAGATGGCAACAATAGCCGGGGGAACCACTAGAAGCGGGAGGGTGGGAGAGGTGTGTGGGTTGAAAAACAGCCCATTGAGTACCATGTTCACTGCCTGGGTGATGGGGTCATTTGAGCCCAAACCTCATTGTCACTCAATATACCCAGGTCACAAACCTGCACACGCAGCTGCCAAGTATAAAATAAAAGTGGAAATTCTAAAAAGAAAAAGGAGAAGAGGAAGAGGAAACTAGAAAGGCAAAGGGAAGAGACAGCAATAGTGGATGATGCTCAAGTATTCCATAGATTACCCCAGCCACACCCCTAGTCCACTGGCAGCAACATGGTCCAAAGCCCGAGGTGGCCGTGGCAAGAGCCACACCCCTGGTCTGAGTCCCCATGCAGCCTCCACACTTCAGTAGCAGGAGCAAAGCTGGAAGTCAGACATTTTCCAAAGAAAGCCAGGCATGCTTGGACAGTGGGATCTGGCCACTGTCAGCATCCAGCGCCTGGTGCTCTGAAGTCTGAGGAGAGTACAGGGCAGGACAAACCCGCTGTCGGGTGCATCTCACACTGAAGAGGCAGGGGACAGCAGTTCCCTTTGATGGAGCTACGCAGATCTGAGGTTGCTGGAAGCAGCAACCCCCGTTTCATCTGCTTTTGAAGGAGTCTGAGGTAGACGGCTGGCGGGAAGGCCACGCCATACTGAGCACAAGGGCCACTCACTTGCAGAACCTGCTGTGAAGAGGGAATCCAAACCCACTTTGCTGGTGCAAATGGTGCTCTGCAGGCCCAGGGCGAGGAGAGGCCATCTGGAGTTCACAGGCATTTAGGAAGCAGAGTGGATACATGAGGAGCACTTCTGGAAACCTGTTTTGTACCACGGCACCCCAGAGACCTAGGAGTGATCTCAAGCTCTGCCACTTTGGACAACGTTTTTGTTAGCTCTCTGGGCCTCATTCTCCTTCTCTGCAGCTGGTTGCATGCCGTGTGTTCTGCCAGCTCGCTGCCTCATTCACACTGGCCAGTGCTCTCTGCCCAAGAGCTTCTCTGCTTCATGTGCCAATCCAGAGATGCCAGGGATCGCGCACCTTCCGTGACAGCCCTGGACCGATGGGGATGGAGCCAGTGGATAGATATGCCCCCAGGTTCACTTTCCTTCCTTCTGTCTTCCTGTCTTCCCAGTTCTCTATCCCAAATTCTCTAAAGTCACTTCCAAAAATCAACCTTCTGCCCACAGGCCCTTGTCCCAAGTTCTTGGGTTCTGAGAGGAATCCAGGCTAAGACTGAAAGAACTACAGACCCACAGGAGTTCCAGCCATGGCATTCACGACCCTCCTCTGCTGAGGGCAGGCTGGGGTTTTACTTCCCCTTCTTGTCTGTGGGTGGGCATAGGTGGGGAGAGGTGCAAGCTCAGGAGCTGGGCTATTCCATGGCCTCGCCCCACCTGGGAGTTATATCATGGATTCCTGGGTGGGTCTTCCAGGAAGAGAAACGGATCCGGAACTGTGGACGCAGGGTCGACTCTCTGAAATCCCTTCTCGGGGCTTTGGAATTTGTGGTCCCTTAATGCTTCAGTCTCAGCAGCGCCTCGACAGTCATGCCTCTGGCCTTCCCAAGACCTCTCCCCAGCATGATGAAGGGTCTATGCTCTCCCAGCATCTCCTCCAACAGAAATGGTCTCTGCCTCTGAGATGTGGCAATACAGAGACCGTGCATCATGGGGAAAATGAACAGAAGGGAGTAACCATAGGGAGCCAGCTGGTTCAGGGATGGGGCAGAGAAAATAGAGGAAGAGCCTGGAGTATCCTGTGGCCACTAGACAGTAAGAAAGTATTAAATAGCCAGGAGATCGGACAGCCTGGGCAACATAGCCAGACTCTGTCTGTACAAAAAATAAAATAAAAAATAGCCAGCTATTTGGGAAGCTGGGGCAGGAGGATAACTGGAGCCCAAGAGTTTGAGACTGCGGTGAGCTATGATTGTGCCACTGCACTACAGCCTGAGCAGCAAAGTGAGACTGTCTCTAAAAACAACAACAGCAACAACAAAAACATATATGTATGTGTATGTGTATTTCAAAAGGCTACAGGAAGCAAACCGAAGGGGCTCCGAATGGCCAAAGTTAGGACAACTTGAGCAAAATAAATAACTATGGTATTGAATTATAGCCCAAGACATAATGTAAATATCCATAGGTCCATCCTGATTAAATGCGTAACTGAATACATAAATAAATGAGGGAGAAGCAGCAATTCTTCCTTACAGAAGAATTCCGAATAATAAATGTAGAAGAAATAAGGGAAGTAGAAATTCATCAATAGCACACCACAGTAATAATTGTTACAGCCAAGATCTACTGATGGATATGAAAATGAGTGGGGGAAAGTTTAAGCAAAAACAGGATATTTACATAATCTCAAATATCTGCTTTCCAATACTTAGTAATTTCAAGATAAAAATAGTAAGTTTGCAGTAGACCATTTTGGTAGATACCACCTTAGCCAAGTGATCAAGGACTCACCAATAGTAAGACACATTGAAGTGACATCATGTGTCCCCAGGATGAGGCACTAAGAAGGGCAAGTCGCTGCTGTGGGATCCTTCCCAATAAAGCATAATGTCAATCAAATCAGGAGTAAACCAGCAGACACACCCAAATAAAGGGGCGTTCTACAAAATAACTTACCAGTTCTTTCTTCCTTCTCCTCCTCCTCCTCCTTCTTCCTCTCCTTCTTCTTCTCCTTCTTCCTCCTCTCTTCTTCCTCTTCCTCCTCTTCTTCCTCCTCCTCCTCCGTCTTCTTCTTCTTCTTCTTTTCCTTCTCCTTCTCCTCCTCCTCCTTCTTCTTCTTCCTCTTTTTTTTAAAGACAAGATCTAGATCTGTTGCGCAGGCTGGAGTGCAGTAGCCTGATGTGCAGGGACGCGATCATGGCTCACTGCAGCCTCAATGACCTCCCAGACTCAAGCAACCCTGCCACCTCAGTCTGCCAACTACCTGGGACCACAGGCGTGCAACACCACACCCAGCTGTTTTTATTTTTTTAGAGATGGGGTCTTGCTTTGTTGTCCAGGCTGGTCTCAAACTCCTGGCTCCAAGTGATCCTCCTCCCTTACAAAGTGCTGGGATTACAGATGTGAGCCAACATGCCCAGCCATCTTAACAGTCTTCTTCAAAAAAAATATTTTTAATACAAGGTCTTGCTTTGTCATCCAGGCTGGAGTGCAGTGGTGCAATCATAGCTCACTATAGCCTCGAACTCTTGGGCTCAAGCAATCTTCCCACCTCAACCTCCTTGGTAGCTGGGACTATAGGCACATGCCACCATGCCTGACTAACTTTTATTTATTTTTATTTTTTGTAGAGGTGGAGTCTTGCTATCTTGTCCAGGCTGTTCTTTAAAATTTTGAAGATTAAGAAAGACAAGAGAAGAACAAGAAACTGTCACAGATTGTGGGGCGGAGAGACTGAGGGGGCAGGTGGCTAAATAACATGTGGGAGGCTGGGTCAGATGCTGAAACAGAAAAATATTTTTATTTTTATGTAAGAAGTAGGTGATAGAAGAAAGAAAAGGAGAGAGAGGAGGGAAGGAAGGAAGGGGAAAGAGGGAGAGAGGGAAGGAAAAGAGAGAAAGAAAGAAGGAAAGAAAGAGAGATAAAGAGAGAAGGAAAGAAGGAAGGAAAGAAGGAAGGAAGGAAGGAAGGGGAGGGAGGAAGGGAGGGAAGGAAAAGACAGAGGGAAAGAAAGAAAAGAGGAAAAAAGAAAGAAAGAGAGAAAGAGAGAAGGAAGGGAGGGAGGGAGGGAAGGAGAGAGGAAGGGAGGGAGTGGGGGAGGGAGGGAGGGAAGGAGGGAAGGAGGGAGGAAGGCAGGGAGCGGGGGAGGGAAGGAAGGGCAAACAAAACAAGATTGTTAGAGGAAAACCCGGTGAAATCCGAATGAGTTCTGTGCTGTGGTTACTAGCACTGTCCCAAGGCTAATGTCTTAGTTTCGATAAACGGTCTGTGGTTATGTAAAATGTTAACATATTGGGGAACTAGGTGAAGGGTATGAAGGAATTCTCTGCACTCTTTTTGCACCTCTTTGGTAACTTTATCACAATATTCAAAACAAACCCTAACTGTAAAAATATTTAAAGGAGCAAGAGGGAAAAATCACATAAACATGGACACTTGTGCCTGCCATTCCCTTGGCAAGTGTGAGATCAGGAGTGAATCTGTGTGCAGGCCTCAGCGTGTAGGCACCTCAGAGCTGTGGCCCCGAAACTCAAGCTGGTTATTTCCTCTGTCGTCCCAGAGAAGGAGCATCCCACAGTTCAGTCACGAGATGAGAATCCAGTGGTCTGGAGGGATCCAGTGCTCCTGGTCTCCCAGGTGATCCCCTCGTCCTGCACTTTGGACCAGGGCCTCGTGTTCTGAGTGGAGACCGCCAGCCGTGTGTCAGGCAGGGTTCCACGGTGGCCCCCGGGGTTCCCTTTTCACTGTCCTTAATTCCTGCATAAGCCTGGGCTTGGAGGTGGACTGTGGAATCACCCTCAAGCTTTGCCCCTCTCCTCTGGTTCCACGCTTCCCCGGGGCCCGACCGCTTCCCTCCAGGCACTCACCCTGACCGACGCACTCAGCACTGCCACGCCTGCTGATGTCCAGTGACGAAGCACTCCGAGTGTTTCAGCCTGGACCGTGCGGGGACTATGAGGGCCATGTGCTGTCCTTGCTACTCCGATGAGATCAGGTAGTGTAGGGTTGTGACAGACGTATTTATATTGGTGTTTGACAATGGTTCCTGGCTGACAACCTCCGTAGCCCTTGCAACAGTCTTTTGTGGTCATGTTGGGTGTGTCAGGCCTCAGGAACAGGCCTCAGGAAACAGTGTTTCTCCAAGCTCTTCCTGCCCTCCCTTCGCCTGCCTCAAAGCAGGACTCGAATCTTCTCCTGCCTCTCTGATTTGGGGTCATAAGACCCTCCCCAGAGAGGGTCCCACCCTACTCCCTGGGGGAAGGAATGCACACGTCTTGGGGCTTCTCCTAAAAACCCGAGAGGACTGGGTTCGGGAGCTTTAGGGCGGCTGAACATAGGCAGGCTCCTGGAGGGTGGCCTCCAGGGAGGGCACGAAAGCTCCATGCCCCTCCCTCAGGTCTATCTCCCCTGTGCATCTCTTATCCTTTGTAACATCCTATATAACAAACGGGCACACGTGTTTCCCTGAGTTCTGTGAGCTTCGGTTGGTCAGAGGTTCTGGAGGCCTGGACTTGTGACTGATGTCTGGGGGTGGGGCAGTCTTGGGGACAGAGCAATCACCCTGTGGAATATGACACTCTCTCCAGGTAGACGGTGTCAGAATGGATTTTGGACACCCTGCTGGTGCCTGCTGCATAATTCATCACTCGCTTGCTGGTGGGGAAAACGCCCCACAAGTTTGCTCACTTCTGTGTTGATGATTGCTGCTGCAGTGGTTTGAGGGCAGAGGAAAAACATAGTTTGAGAGTTTTTCAAAAACAGGCATTTTCACTATATTTAGGACAGAGGCTGCTGAGAGCAGGTGGGATTGTCTTGGAGCCCTGCTCCTCTGTGCCCTCAAGATCCAAAGTCAAAAGGCTACTCAGGCCAGGGGCAGTGGCTCACGTCTGTAATCCCAGCACTTTGGGAGGCCGAGGCGGAAGGATCATCTGAGGTCAGGAGTTTGAGACTAGCCTGGCCAACATGGTGAAACCCCATCTCTACTAAGAAAAAAAAAAAAAATTAGCCAGGCCTGGTGGCACATGCCTGTAATCCCAGCTACTCAGGAGGCTGAGGCATGAGAATGGCTTGAACCCAGGAGGCAGAGGTGGCAGTAAGCCCAGATCACGCCATTGCACTTCAGCCTGGGTAACAAGGCGAGACTTCATATCAAAAAAAAAAAGGCTACTCAGCCAGCTCCTATGACCACTGACCCTCTGTACTATGGCCAGACTCCACAGATGAACCAGGCATCTTGGGTGGTGTTTTAGGATATGACCTACAGGAGGAGCCAGGGCCAGGGAGACTGAAAGCCAGTGGGGCCAGACAGTGTCAATAGCACCAGAGCACTCTAACACCTGGCAAGCTTCACCCTGAGCCAGGGCCCCCACCAGCCAGCGGGAGAATCTGTCATCGTGACAAGCCAACCTGCCTTCCGCCTGTGCTGCTTCACTGGCCTGATGGTTAGGGAAGGAAATTTGATCTCTCCTTCCTGCCCAGTTCCTCTTAACTGCAGGCCCAGGGCGGGGTGACAGCAGCAGTTGGCATCTTCCAGGCAGGACCCTGTGCACACTGACTGCGAGGCCAGAGGGAAGGGCCAAGCTTGGGAGCCTGCCGAGGGAGGCAGTTAATAGGTGAGCATCTCTCAGCCTGGAGAGCCACGATCCTCCTGGAACCCTGCAGCCAACGGCAGCTCCCCAGCATCAGGAAGTAGGAAGAACTCTCCCGGCTGTGGAATCTGTACCTGGCATTTAAAGTTTCCTCTCCCAAGTAATCTTTGAGACACTTGCTTATTGTTAAAGGAAAAACCTGGACCGTGTAGGAGAACATCCCCCCACACTGGGAAGGAGCTGAGACCAAAGAATGACTGGGACACACCCAGTATATGAGTTTATTAGGACTCCATGCATGGCCCCCCTGGGTGGTGGCAGGACAGCTCTGGAGATCCGCCCTGCCTCCCATCTCTAAGCTGCTTTTGAGCTAGTTTTCTGGCTCTGTGTGCAAAGAGACTGTTTCTCTTGGTCTGTTCCCAGATACACTCTGGGATGTTTGGGTTCTCAGGGACACCTGCTTCTCAGCTGGGCTCTATGGCCTTGATTCATAACCCGGTCTTCAGGGTTCAAGCAGCAGACATGCAACCTTAGATAACCTGGTGGGGGACCTGTCACCCTACACGTATGATCCCACACTTGGACTGAAAGGGAGGGTAAATAGAATACTTCCTAGGCAAGCTTGGGTGTGGAGATTTAACTCTAAGGAAATTTGCAATAGGAAAAATCACTGAAAAGGCACTGGTGAAATAATGGATAAAGCACACTTGTTGCTTATAGCATCCAGTCCCTCTTTGTTCAGGAAATAGGACTCGGGGAGTGGAGAATGTGGTTCTGGAATTCGAAGAGAGTTCTGGGCACTGTGCTCTCCCTGTCACTTAACCTACCTTCAACTACAGAGGTCCCCAGTTGCCCATTCCTTCATGAATCACAGTTCCCAGGCCACAGGGATTGGCTCATGGTCGAGCCTGTGACCCAGGCTTATCTGACAGGAGGACACCTGGGACTTTCTTCCTGGGAATGGTGGGACGTAGCTCGTCTTCCCATGAGCCAGGCTGCCATGGGCTATTGAGATTGCTAAAATAACTATTGCAGCTATAAGGTGAACTGGTCTGAAGGCACAGTTAACACCCAAAGGAGAGAGTCTCTGAGAAATAGAGCTGGAATCCTGAGGACATTTTGAATCTCTGGATTGAACTGTACCTGAAGCCAGTCCATATTTAGAATTTTTGTTTCCATCCATTTGAGTTTTTTAGGCCAGTTTAGATTGGGTTCCCTGTCACTTGCAACTGAAATAACTGAACATCTAGAGGTTGGCTATAAAGCACTTTCCCCAGCAATCATTTCTGGGTGGCCAAAATCATGATGTTGTTTTACAACTTCCTTTCCCTGGCCTGAATTCTTGAATTTCTCTCTAATAAGCTTGGATTATATTTTAGAGAAGATAATAATGTTATTTTTACCTTGATATGATATTACTTGTCTTCTGTACTCAGGTGCCCTTCAAACCCAGGGGAAGGCTCCACCTGGATGTCCTAGGAGCTCTGATCCACATGGAACTTGCCTGCCAGGGCTCCTTGCTCTGGAACTTTACAGCCTTACCAACTAACACTTGTGTATTAATTACACCTTTTTATTTTTTGTCTTGGAACTTGGCAGATCCTAGAGAGCCTACTCCTCCTAGGGCTAGCCAATGGCTGGAGATAGTAAATGAGCATCCCTTTCATATGAAAACCACCAAATGCAGAACCCACATCCCCCAGGCCCCCTTTATCAGGCTTGCAAGGGCCCATATACTTTGGGCCACTATTCCCTTTCCCTGATCATCCCAGGGCCAGGCGCCTGTAGCCCAGGGGCCTCTGAAAGTACTAGAACGAGCCAATCCTGAGCCCCAAGTCTGCTTACCCCGCCCTGCCTTGCCTTTTCCATGGGAACCACAGTAAAGGCTCTGGTCTCTGTTTCTCCCTTGCTCTCCCTGCCTCCTGACCGACTTTGGTGCCTCCCCAGGAGGCCCTGCATGGCATGCCTCCCACTTTGGGAACTGCGAGTGAAACCGCCTTTACAAAATCTGACAGTAAGAGGCTCCATCTTGCTTCTACCCTCCAAACTATCCTTGGTCATTCCTGGGCATAGGCCAAGTTAATTTTGGGAGGAATTATACTTTCTAGTTTAAAGCAAGAATGATAATAGCTCTTCCCCAAACTAAACCACCTTTCTAAAACTAATGAAAATCCACAAGATTAGGATGATGAGAGGGACCTGAATTCTGCTAAGATATAGGCATTGCTAAATGATAACCAGCCATTGCTCCAGAAGTCACAAGATTTGTAACTTCCCCAATTACTCCTGCAGGTAACATCACTATTGTAGAACCTGTGCCTGGCCTTTGGAGATGTCTTTTCAGACTGTAAAAAGTGAAGTAGAGGTTCCTCTTCAAAGAGACTCTCCTCCCCATCTGATGAAGAACAAGTAGTAACTTCTCTTAGAAGCGAAATTTATACAAGACCTGTGCTAACATTCTTAAATATCTGCCAGCCATAATAAAGAAATCAATATACTTTGTGCTCTTAGCTCCCACAATTTAGCCTAAATATTTGCCCTGGCATGCTTATACTGCTCCAAGCAAGCATTATGTCATGGCCTGTTCCTCTTCCTTATTTGGAGGTATTTTTACCTTTCTCAGCATTCCACAAGTTACTTCCTCCTTCCTTTGTTCTCCTCTGCCTTTGCCTCTTTTGAAAAGTTCTAAGTTGCTAGCCAATTGGGACAAATACAAAATGTGAGGTCCCATTCCAAGCAATGGAAACCAGACACAGCAGTAAGGTGGACATGTTAGGTTATAAATGACCCTGTCTCCTTTGTTTGGTGTATTCTCATGGCAAAACTGCTGGGGAGTGTACCCTTTCTGCAGAAAGTAAAACTGGCCTTGCTGAGATAATGAAATTTGTGTTCAAGTGCTATTTCTTTGTGGCACCGGAGAACAATCATTTGATTTTTACATATAACAAGGCTTTTGCATTTCTGAGATCAGATGACTCCACCCGGACCTGGACCTGTGGCTCACGACTCAGCAGATCCTGTGGCCCCACCCAGAGGCAAATGCAGCACATGCGGACCATTTTCCATACTCCTATGATTTCATTCTTAACCAATCAACAGTCCCCATTCCTGGCCCCTGCCCACCGAACTGTCCTTGAAAAACCTTAACCCCCAAGAGCCTTGGGGAGAATGATTTGAATGATAACTCCATCTTCTGCTTGGCTGGCCTTGTATCAGGTAAACTTTTTCTTTACTGCGATGTTGTGGTCTCAGTGAGTTGATTGATCTGTGCAGCAGGCAGGAAGAACTGGTCAGGGAATTACAGGAGTAACGAATTACCATTTTAATGGCAATCCTCTTCTGATCCATTGACTTCACCTTATTTAAATAATAATAATAAAACTCACATTTTAAAACAACGTTCATCTATTAGGTGCCACACACCCCACAGGGTGCTCAGACAGACCCTGTAAAGCCACCAGATTTTCCTTTCAGAAGCCCTTCTCTTGCACCAGGAAGAGAGCTGTTCCCCTTTCTCTTTCTTTTGCCTGTTAAGCCTCTGCTCCTAAACTCACTCCTCATGTGTGTCTGTGTCCTTAATCTCCTTGGCGTGAGACGATGAACCCTGGGTATTTACCCCAGACAACGACACCACTTAAATGTATTTTTGTAACTGGTACAACGTTGAGCAAACAGTAGGCACTTAACCAAGGCACACTGGTTATTTGATAAAGCAGACTAATCAGGCCACACAAAAGCCACAGTCACTATATAATATATTGCTGGAGGGGCCTCTGATAGCTTCTAGATCAGGATTTATACAGTGCCTCTTCCATTAGATGTTATGAGGGTCTATCTTAGGCTGGGTTCCCCTAGAAGCAAACCTGAAACAAGGGTTTGCATGCCACGTGGCTGATTTGGGAGGCAATTCCAGAAAGCACAGAAAGGAAGTGGGAAAGTGAAATAGAGAAGAGAAGACAGCCCACACCAGGAATGTTGGTGAACAACTGGGGCTTAGTCCCCTGGGGACCTCTGAAGGGCAGTGTAGGGCAGTGATCCTCATACATTGGCACATGAAGGAATCCCCTGAGGGGTTGTTAGAGTCTGTGCCCCACCCCAGAGTCCCCGATTCAGTGGTCCCAGGTGACATGGCTACTGCTGGGCCCAAGACCACACTTGGAGAACCACAGGCTCACACTGTACATGACAGTTGCCTCTACCCATCCCCAAGGAAGAAGAAGTTTTTTTAACTTTTATTTAAGGTTGAGGGTTACATGTGCCCCTCAGGTACATGTTTGTCATATAGGTTTGTTACATATGTAAACTTGTGTCATGGGGGGTTGTTGTATGATGTATTTCATCACCCAGGTATTACCCTAGTACCCCGATCCTCTCCCTCTTCCCACCCTCCATCCTTCATTAGGCCCCAGTGTGTGTCATTCTGCTCTATGTGCCCATGTGTTCTCATCATTTAGCTATCACTTATAAATTAGAACATGTGGTATTTGGATTTCTGTTCCTGGATTAGTTTGAAGCTTGGGTATCTACCATCCAAGTAACTTTCATTGCTGGTGGAGGGCAGCCCTCAGGGGCAGTGGCTCTCTAGCACTGGTGGCCTGTATCTGTATGGGGGGAGAGAAAGTCCTTGTGCAGAGAAGCTGGCACTTGCAGTAAGGCACCATGAGCTCGCCTGGGGAGAGTCAGCATGGAGCCATGTGGGAACCCCAGCAGTGTCTGTTACAGCACCCTGCCTGTGATGGTTAATCTTATGTCAACTTGACTCGGCTACAGGATTCCCAGTTAGCTAGGAAAACATTATTTCTGGCTGTGTCTATAAGGGTGTTCCCAGAAAAGGTCAGCATTTAAATCAAGCAACTGAGTAAAGACTGTCTTCACCCACGTAAGCAAGTATTACCCAACCCATTCAGCACCAGAAGGGGATTAAAAAAAAATGAAGAGGGGGGATTTGCTTTCTCTTCTTAAGATGGGATATCCACCTGCTCCTGCTCTTGGACACTGGAGCTCCTGAGTCTCGGGCCTTTGATTAGAACTTGTATTAGTTTGTTCTCACACTGCTGTAAAGAACTACCTGAGACTGGGTAATTTATAAAGAAAAGAGGTTTAACTGACTCACAGTTCCATGGATATACAGGAAACACGGCTTGGAGGCCACAGGAAACTTATATCATGGTGGAAGGCAAAGGGGAAGCAAGCTCATCTTACCATGGCAGAGCAAGAGAGAGTGCAAAGGATGCTACACACCTTCAGACAACCAGATCCCATGAGAACTCACTCCCCATCACAAGAACAGCAAGGCAAGGGGGGAATATGCTCCCATGATCCAATCACCTCTCACCAGGTCCCTCCTCCAACATGGAGAATTACAATTCAACATGAGATCTGGGTGGGACACAGAGCCAAACCATATCAGAACTACACCCTAGTTTTCCTGGGCCTCCAGCTTGTAGGTGGCAGACTGTGAGGGCTCCCTAGGCTCCACAGTCATGTGAACCAGTCCCCCATGTTAAATATCTCTCTCACGGCCAGGCATGGTGGTTCATGCTCGTAATCCACTTTGGGAGGCCGAGGCAGGCAGATCACTTGAGGTTAGGAGTTCGAGACCAGCTCGGCCAACATGGTGAAACCCCGCCTATACTAAAAATACACACACACAAAAAAAATTAGCTGAGCATGGTGGTGCACGCCTGTAGTTCCAGCTACTTGGGAGGCTGAGGCAGGAGAATCACTTGAACCCAGGAGGCGGAGCTTGCAGTGAGTCGAGATTGTACCACTGCACTCTAGCCTGGTGATAGAGTGAGACTCCATCTCAAAACAAAACAAAACAAAACAAAAACTTCCTCTCTCTCTCTCTCTCACTAGGTATATAGATAGATAGATAGATAGATAGATAGATAGATAGATAGATGGATGGATATGGATAGATAATAGATAGAGAGATAGATACATGCTGTTCATTCTGTTTTTCTACAGAACTCTAATACTCTACCCTAAAACAAAACTTCTGTAGTCCAAGAAGCCCCCATTCTAATCAGAACACACAAAAGCCACAGTCACTAAATAATATAATATGTAATATCCCTTTCTGGAAAGTCACAGTATTCACTCACATAGTAAGTGTTCTCAGAAGTTCTGAAATGAGGAGATACCTTGAACTCAATATTTCCCACATTTATTTGACCCTCTTTTGGGAGAAGGCAGTTTGGAAATTGTTGTTCTAGATTGGGGTTTGGCAGATGAGTCCTGTAGGCTGAATGTGACCTGCAGCCTCTCTGTGTGTGTAAACTGTGGTTGGAATGCAGCCATGCCCATTTGTTCCTATGCTACCTATAGCTGCTTTCAGCTGCAACAACAGAGCTGAACACTTGTAATAGAGAATGTGTGGCCACAAAGCCCAGAACATTTACAATCTGGCCCTTGGCAGAATAGTTCTAGACTAACAGACAGTGAGACTGTGACCCAAAGAGGGAAGGCATTTTCCCCAAGGTCACTGAGGAGATAGTGGTAAAGTTGGGACAAGAGTGCCTGGTTCCTGATCCTCCCCTTTTCCTGAAGACCCTTCCACCACTCTCAGCTCTGCCTCACAGTTCCTCTCCTTTATCTCTTGGTCTCTATCCTTGGCTCACCAAGGTGAGTGATGATCATTCTCCAGAAAGCAATCCCCGTGCTTCTGTCTAAAGGCTCCCCTGGAGGCCACTGGACCACTCACCCATCAGGTTTGTGTGAGGAGCCAGGCCTGTTTTAGGAAAGGGGATGATTCAGGAAGCAAGACCTGGATGGCATGCTTCTGTTCTGGGTGCAGGCTAGTGGAGAATGGGAGACCAAGACTCTCTGTAAAACAAAAAAGAATATCGTTTGTGCTGAATGTTTTGGAGACAACTGTAGCAGGACGAGCCACAGACAACACCCCTCAGACACTGGGTTAAAGAAGGAAGTGGCTTTATTCAGCCAGGAGCATTGGTAGACTTGCTCTCAAGAACCGAGCTCCATTAAGAAAGAGTTCCTGGCCCTTTTAAGGGCTTACAACTCTAAGGCGTCCACGTGACAGGGTCGTGATAGATTGAGCAAGCAGGTGGTACATGACTAGGTGGGGGTGGTTAGCAAGGCAAGTATTTCTCCACACCATTGTCTGTGATCTATAGATAGCACAAGCTCTAGGGTGGGGGTTAATGTTTAACCTACAGTCCTGGCCAGTGGCACCGATCAGTCTGTTATTTTTCAGTTTTTACTTCCTCCTTTTCTTTGGAGACAGGAGACAGTAAGAGAAATGGCCTCTCTCCTCACAATGACACAAGTAAGCCAGAGGCCGGGGAGTCTGTTGAGGATGGCTGGGAATTGATGGCCATGGGAGCCCTTTGCAAGGAGGGACACGAAGCTAAGATGCAAATCACAGAGCTAAGACACTGTGTGAAAGCCGAAGGACAAGCATCCAGGCAGGAGGAAGAGCAAGTTAAATGGGTGGAGAGGGAGCACCCTAGCAGGAGAGGAGGGAGGGAGCATTGAGTCAGGGAGGGTTGTGGCCTGACCATCGAAAGCCTTGCGGGGCATGTTCAGAAATTTGGACTTTCTCCTCAGGAAGATGGGGAGCTGGTGAGTGCAAGAGCAATTCCCAGGAAACAGACTAAAATTCTAACACATGTGCAGGCTTCTCCATGGACACCGATGGTCCCAGAGGCCTAGATCATGCAAGAAAAGGCACATGCCTGCCTGGGGATGCTCCAAGGGACGGGTTAAACATTCACACATCTACACCTTAGATGAGGCAGCATGTGCCGTCCTTAGGATGCCCTACATCCCAGCGTGCCCGGGTCAGTCCCCACTCGCATATGTTGCCCTGATATTGATTACTCATAACACCCCCTTTCACTCTTAATCGTTTCTTGGTGTGAATGATAAATTATATGGCTACCTAATTATACCATTTGCGTCCACCTAATTTAAGCCTCAGCTCATGAGGCCCATTACTATTGGGTCGATGGTTTATTCTACCTTGAAATATAAATTCCTTGCAATTAATAAAAACTGTCACATGTTTATGTCTTATTTCTCCTGCTGCACTGTGTATTCCCAAGGGCAAGACACGTGTGTTTATCAGTTCATTTTGATAAAGAGCATGTATTAGTCCATTTTGTGTTGTGTTGCTATGAAGGAACACCTGAAACTGGGTAACGTACAAAGAAAAGAGGTTTGTTTGGCCCATGGTTCTGCAGGCTGTATAAACATGGTGCCAGCATCTGCTTGGCTTCTGGGGAGGCCTCAGGAAGCTTTTACTCATAGCAGAAGGCAAAGGAGGATCAGGAGTGCCACGTGGTGAGGAGGGAGCAAGAGAGCGAGGAGGAGGAGGTGCCAGGCTCCTTTCAACAACCAGCGCTCCCATGAACTCATTACCACTGGGAGCACACCCCGCCATCCATGAGGGACCTGCCCCCATGACCCAGACACCTCCCACC
Source organism: Homo sapiens (assembly GCF_000001405.40). Classification (NCBI taxonomy): domain Eukaryota; kingdom Metazoa; phylum Chordata; class Mammalia; order Primates; family Hominidae; genus Homo; species Homo sapiens. The sequence continues at coordinate 28,999,391 of NC_000019.10, forward strand.
AAGCTCCATCACCAACACTGAGGATCACATTTCAACATGAGATTTGGAGGGACAAACATCTAAATCATATCTGAGCTTTCCCACATCTAACATGAAAGTAATACGCAGGCTTAGGCACATTACTGCTCATAAATGAGGTCATTTTGTCTTCACAACAAAATTATTGGAGTATGGAGAGTCATTTCCCATTTATGAACTGGAGAGGTAAAGTGAGTCGCCAAGGTCTCACAGCCATTAGCTGTCAGAATCAGAACTTAAACCTGGGTGTGACAGGCTCCATCCCTAGGCATCTTTCTAAGCCACCACCCTGCCACTGAAGGCCTGGCTGACCTCTCTCCCAGGGCAGCTCCTGACTGCCTAATAAGACAGAGGAGAATGCACAATAACCTTTCCTGTCTGAGTTTTGCAAATATAAAGCGCCCTGTAACTGCTGAATAACAGCCGTCAGCCTTGGCGGGTGATCAGGACATAGTGAGGACTGTTGACGGTGTTGAGATTTTTATGACTATTTCCTAATGGGTGTCAGGTCAGATGTAATTCCCTGTAATGTCAGAGCTTATCAGTCTCGCTCGAGGCAGTCAGACATGGCCCACACAGCCAGGGTGTTCTTGGCGCACGTTCAAACCATCTGAGTCTCTTCTCAGAGGGTTTTCTGAACACTAGCCCCCAGGGAGGTACACACGGAAGATGCAGGTATCCCTGGGACTAGTTGGTTGAGGGAGCCACAGCTGGGGCCTTCACTAGCAGCCTTCACCTGTAGCCTCAGGGAGACTTGTAAGGTACTTTGTGCTCTCTCGGGGGCAGAGCCATGGTGCCAGGGGAACCCCAGGGACTGGAGAGTCCTCATGTTCTTTCCCTCCCTCCTGAGGCAGGCTCAGAGCTGTGGCTGCCAAGACCATTCTCACCCTAGCTCAGCCTACAGCCACCGGAGAGAACTGGGTTTCAATACTGCCAAGTGCCACTTCTCAGTCCCTCTAGGCCTCAAACTCTACCCCTGTAAGCCTCGGTGACAGGGGCCACCTCACAGGGCTGCTGTGTAGTTGAAATGCCTGGGGGCTTGCACACAGTAGGTGCTCAGACTAGGGGAGCCATCAGCATCCTCATCATCACATCCTCGCCCTCTTCAGGGGCTGGAGCTCTGAAAGAGCAGAAGGTGGGCATGGAGGAGGTGACCTCCCCCCATAAGCTGCCTTCTATGTCTCTGTCCTGGGACACCCCAAGGGGCAGGGGAACCCCGAGCTGAGAGGGTGACACACAGAAGGCTAAGTTGTCTCCTGCAAAATGCTTCCCCGGGCCCAGCTCTTCCCCTGGTTTTCTGCACCCTGCAATGAGTCCACAATTAGGTTAATGAGTAAATTGGATTCGGAAGCCTGGAAAAATGATATCCTGGACCACCCTGCTCTAAGCAAGAGCTGTTTATCAATGCCAGTGGGGTACACACATCCTCCATTCAATTCTCTGTTCATAAGTTTTCATTTTATTTTTTACTTTCAATTACGGAAATTTTCAAACACTCCCCAAAGTAGAGAAAATAATATAATGAATCCTCATTTTTAACAATTACGTGTTTCTGTCATTCTTCTCTCAGCTGCCCCATACACATACATTTTTAAGGCAAATTCCCAACATCGTGTCATTTCACTCCTAAATACATCCTTGTGGTGCCCCAGCCATCTTTGGTGCATGGTCGGGGAGGCGGGGAGAGGGGTGGGGGAGGTGGGGAGAGGGGTGAGGGAGGCGGGGAGAGGGGTGGGGGAATTCCACTTCAAAGACATGGGTGACCGGTCCTGGAATGGAACCAGAGTCCAGGGCCTCCAGAACTGCTCTTTACAAACATCCCATAATGCACCTGGAGTGCAGGGAGTTAGGAGTAGATGTGGGAGGAATCTACCTTGGAATCTTATCTTGGAATCTAACGCCAGCATGGAGGACATCACCCAGCCCTGGAAATATCCGGGTGTCTGGAGATGCATCCACGCCAGGACCCATGAGCAAGGGAGAGAATGCGACCAACTCCTGGGACTCTAGGGCAGCAGTCTTGGGGAAGTGTGGCATCCTCACTGTGAGAGAGAGAGAGCTGGAGGCAGCCACCAGCTCCCCCTCCCTGCCCTCCTCTGCCAAAGGAAGGCCCTGCTATTTCAACACAAGCGGCTTGCAGGAGGAGCCTGTTAAGAGGACGGCTGGTCCACTGAAAAAGCGGCAGCAGCTTCAGAAAGGTTAAAATGTGACTCCCCTGCCCCTGACAAAAAAACTGTTTTCAATTCAGAAAACAAGGTGTCTATGGCCATATTACCATGGACGTGCCTGGTGTCATCTGATCTCAGAAGCTAAACAGGCTCTGGATTGATCAATACTTGGATGGAAGAAAACAAAGTGTGCCCATTTTACAGATAAGAAAGACAAGCCTCAGAGAAATAAAAAATTTATCAGCCACCGGGTGACAGAGGCGGCTCTAATCCAGTGATTCCTTCCCTCCTTCCTCATCTTGTCTTCCTGGTTCAAGGTTAGCTCCCAGAGCTCATTCCCGGGAGGAAACAGTTCTGGGTGACTGATTCACTGATCAGCTTGGTTTGGGTTTCATAAAACGCTGTGCTGGAACACTGAGTCGGTACTTCTCCCAAGTTTCCAGTTCGGAGACACGAGGAGAATGCTAAAAGCTCGAATATGCAAATGAACATTTGGACAGATTTCCTCTAGAGTTTCGGCCTCCAGGCAAATGATTTATTCCCTGCAGAAATGCATTTTTGTTTCTGCTTAACGGGTGAAAAAGGAGAAAAGATTTTTCGGGACAACCAAGCTTAGGAATAAAAGTCTCCATGGGAAATGTACTTTTCTGAAAGCAAATGTTGGCTAAACAAGGACAGTGTTGACTAAACACGTGTTCCCCTCACCCAAAGGAATGGAGTCAGAGAATCCCCCAAGCTCCAAATTGTGGGGGCAGATGGATCTTTTAGAAGTTCACGGTTCGCCTTTCTCCTGCCCAGCCCCATGCCTTAAGCAAAGTGTGGGATGGTCTCGGGAGGACACCCACAAATGTAAGTAGGAAGGTGGGAAGCAGCCTCTCCTCTAATATAGAAAAACAACTGTGACAGACAGAACAAAGCATGTGGTTCAGACACGAGACCCTGAGCTAGCCCTGGGGAGGGAGACAGCAGCTTTGCAGCCGTTATCCTCAGGAAGCCCTGAGCGCTGAGAGGCACTGTTACAGAACCGAACTGGGGTCCACTCGCTAGGTGAGTAAAACCCGACAGCCACACCGAGTTTTCACAGCAATAAAAAGGAAAGTGTTTATTTGCAGGGCACCAAGCAAGGAGGATCTGGAAGCTACTGCTCAGCTCCTGACCTCCCACATGGCTTGAGGGTGAAGGTGTTTAAAGGTAGGGGTAGGCTGGGTGCAGTGGCTCACATCTGTAATCCCAGCAATTTGGGAGGCTGAGGCAGGCAGATCACTGGAGGTTGGGAGTTCAAGCCAGCCTGGCCAACATGGTGAAACCTTGTCTCTACTAAAAATACAAAAATTAGCCAGGTGTGGTGGCACACGCCTGTAGTCCCAGCTACTTGGGAGGCTGAAGTGGGAGAATTGCTTGAATCTGGGAGGCAAAGGTTGCAGTGAGCCGAGGTCACACCACTGCCCTGCAGCCTGAGAGACAGAGCAAGACTGAAAATAAATAAATAAATAAATAAATAAATAAATAAATAAATATATATATATATATATATATATATAGGGGTAAACTTCAGAAGAGCAGAAGCCACAGGCAAAATCAGAAATCAATATATGGAGGGTACACACTGATTTTGGCCTAAAAGGGTGGGGGCATCTTTAAAGGGGAGGAGCTTACAGGTCATAGGTAGATTCAAAGATTTTCTGATTTGCAATTAGTTAAGGAAGAGAAGCTTTGTTTAAAAATTGGGGGTCAGCAGAAAAACATGTTAACTGGCTAGGGGACAGGGTGACTCCCACCAAGCCTCTCAGGAATAAACTTAAAACAAAGAACAGTGTGGTCAGAGTTCTGCCTGCAATTCCCCCTTATCCGAGGTCTACCTGTCAGCGAATCCCACCGGGGTCTGCAGTGGGGTCTGGGTGTGTGAAAGAACTCAGGGACATATGTTGAGATGTTATCTTTCATTTCTGTAGAGAAACCAAAAATCTCTGGACTTATTTCCTTGGCTTTAGGTGACGATTGCTTTCTTGCTTACTTACTTTTCAGGCCTACCTAGGTGCCTGGAATTTCCCTTCGAGGAACGCAGGAGTTTTCTTTATTTTCATGCTTGGGAAGGCTCATTAGGCCCCTAAGAGAGGGTCCCTTCCCCATCTCAGGACTAAAATGCAATGAAGATGTTGCTCAGGTATGCTCGGGGAAGACAGGCTGGGAGGGCTGGGGCCACCTTTAAGGAGAATTCCTAACACACTGGGCGCCCGAACCCCTGATGGGACCTTGTGGTCTTGAATGAAAAGATCAGGCATTAGCTCTGTGTGCCCACTGACTTTTACTAAACAGGCTGCTGCCCAGCCTAGTTCAACGTGACCCCATCCCCACCCCCTTTCTCTGTGCTCCCCCATCACCCAGCCCACATGGTGGGACCTTCACTCTCATGACCAGCTCAGGCCATGCTGTGCACTCCTGATGAAGCCTCTTGAGCTCCTTCTTCAGAGCTGCTGATAATCTGGCATTGAATGGCCAGGCTGGAGGTTGAATGCTGAATCCTTTTGAATGCTGTGGTAAAGCCTGGCATGTCTCAGCACTGTCTCCTTTTGTGTTCAATCATCCTGACACTGCAGAGGCAGCTGGAGAGGGATGGGTCTGTGGAGGATGCCCCGCAGAGTGAAGTCGAGATGATGCAGCCACCAGGGCCGGAGGGTGAGTTTCCTAGTCCTTGTGTGTAACTGGGTCACTATTTTTAGTTGGAACCTCCAGTCAAAAATGTCAAACAGGGAAAATGAATGTGGGCTTGGCTGAGAAGAAGCCAGAGGTGAAGGTTTTGTTCCATCTCACTTAGCAGCTCACTCTGGGACTTGGAAAAGGCCTTTTCTCAGTTCTGGGCCCAGGCTTTCCCACTTGAACAGCTGACATTCTGTGGATCAGAGACCACCACTACCGCAGGGAAAAGGGACTTAGCCGTAGGAAGCCAGCAGCCTGCTGGAAAGTTCTTGCAGATGTCTGTAATGCTGAGGTTTGCACTCAGCTCTCCCGCTCTTGCCTGCGAAAGTCAGAAAATGTGGCCAGGTGCAGTGGCTTACATCTGTAATCCCAGCATTTTGGGAAGCCAAGATGGGAGAATCACTTGAGCCCAGCAGTTCAAGACCAGCCTGAGCAACATAGCAAGACCCCATCTCTAGTGCCTGTGGGCCTAGCTACTCGGGAGGCTGAGGCAGGAGGATCGCTTGAGCCCAGGAGTTCAGAGATTGCAGTGAGTCACGATGACACTACTGCACTCCAGCCTGGGCAACAGAATGAAATTCTGTCTCTAAAATATAAAATGAATAAAAAATTTAAAAATTCAAGAAGCAGAAAAGGGAAATGTTTAGCAGGGTCACAGGTGCCACAGATTTCAGCATGCTGCGGAGGAGCCCCACCTGCCACCGCCCCATCAGCCAGGCCCGCCGGCCCATCCCCGCAGCCTCAGGACCCCCAAATCTAGAGATCCCCAGGCCATGGAAGATGCATGGGACTCAGGACTGGAAGAGAGATCAGCAAGGCAACTTCCTCATCTCCTGGCTAACTGATGGAGCTATTGATGGAAAAATCAAACTCCGTAAGGTATTTTTCAGAGGTTTATTCTGAGCCAGTATGAGTGACCATGGCCCCGGAAATGCAGTCTTAAGAGGCCCTGAGAGAGTGCGTCCGGGACAGTTGGATTACGGCTTAGTTTTGTACATTTCAGGCAGGCAGGAGTTGCGAGTGAAGACATGAATTAATACATGGAAGGTGTATTTTGGATCAGCCCCAAAAGGTGGAATATCTTGAAGCAGGGACTTATAGATCATCAGTGGACCTAGAGATTCTTTAATTTGCAACTGATTAAAGGAGTAGAGCTTTGTCTAAAAATTTGGAGTTAGCAGAAAAGAATGTTTTAAGTTAAGGAAGTTTGTTAACCAAACTACTGGGTCAGAGTGACCTGTAGGGGTGCATGACTTACCCCTTGTCTGGCACGGCCTTAGGTCCTGTTTATAATTGGTATCCTATTGTCGCAAAGGGTCTGCTCTGTCAGTCTTCTGATCTCTATTTTAGCATGAATGCCAAGCAGTGGTTTTGTCTAAACTCCAAAAGGGAGGGAGTGTAACGAGGCGTGTCTGGCCTCCCTTCCTGTCATGGTCAGACACTCATTTTCTAAGATTTTTCTGGGGTCCCCTAGGCCAAGAAGAGGTACTCAGCTGGTAGGGGCTTAGGATTTTATTTTCAGTTTACAGAGAGTTATTGATAGAAATGCCTCCATGACTCTGATGGCTTGAACGAGAATTCTCTCTCTTTCAGTCTCTTTCTCAACACTCAAGGTAGAATTCTCATAAAATACATATGATGCTGCCAGGCGTGGTGGCTCACGCCTGTAATCCCAGCACTTTGGGAGGCCAAGGAGGGTGGATCACCTGAGGTCGGGAGTTCGAGACTAGCCAGACCAACATGGAGAAACCCTGTCTTTACTAAAAATACAAAAATTAGCCGGGCATGGTGCTGCATGCCTGTAATCCCAGCTACTTGGGAGGCTGAGGCAGGCGAATCGCTTGAACCCAGGAGGCAGAGGTTGTGGCGAGCCGAGATTGGGCCGTTACACTCCAGCCTGGGCAACAAGAGTGAAACTCTATCAAAAACAAACAAACAAACAAACAAACAAACAAAAAATGAAAAACACCATATGATGCAATACCTAGATATGTTCTGAACTTCATACTTATTAATTCTCATGTATAACATATGCTCCAGGCGGTAGCAAGAATGTCAGCTCAGGACAGCCTGGTCCTCACTCATCTGCAATGAAAGACTCTCATTCGTGGTGCTGGGGGAAGGATTTAACTGTAGAATGTTGAATGATCATGTGAATAAATTACATAGAGACCCAGAATACGTTATATGATGATCAGCCAACTTAATCAAGGATGTTCTGTCCATGAGTAAAGTATTTGGAATTTGTAGTATTAAGAAGGGAGGGAAGTCCATGAGATGTGGCTGCAGTGAAGTGCTATATCATGTCCCTGGTTCTGCTTGTAACTGTGAAAGCTGCTGCTTTTTTTTTTTTTTTTAACTTGCCTCCACAGAGAAAGTGAAAGCTCACTTGAGCATGAACATAGCTCACAGTAGCCTCTAACTCCTGGGCTCAAGTAATCCTTCCACCTCAGCCTCCACAGCAGCTAGAACTATAGGTTTGTGCCACCATACCCAGCTAATTATTTTATTTTATTTTTTGTTGAGATGGGGCCTTGCCATGTTGCCCAGGCTGGTCTGGAACTTCTGGCCTCAAGCTATCCTCCTCCCGCCCTGGCCACTCACCGTGCTGAGATTATGGGCATGAGCCACAGTACCTACTCAAAAGCTTCTTAAATCAGATCTGGGCTGGAACTGGACTCCAAAATGTGGGAACTAACACATGTTTTATCAGGCTGCCAGCTGAGGGGACTTTGCTGAATTTGTGGTCTCAAGACCCTGGGAGTGACAGCTCTCCTCCCTTCCCGCCCCCCACACACCAGACACACACACACACGCACACAGACACACACACACACACACACACACACACACACACACAGAGTCACCAGTCAGGTATGCAGAGATGAGAAATGAGCTGAAGATCCCACCTGCTGAGGTCCTGAGACTCCTGGCCACACAGAACAATAGCTCCTATTCCCTGAGCACCTACTATGTGCCACACACAGCTCTAGGTGGCTTTGTAAAATGGCCCGTTGGTCAAATTTACATAACAGGGATGTAGCACCTTCCCGCAGCTCATTTTCTAGAGAGGATGCCCCTCTTCCAGCCTGAGGAGCCGCTGTCAATGCCAGGGAGCTCTCCTCTAGTTGTAACCAAGTGGACGCTCATTCAGCCTGGGCCACTTACATTCTCTTTCTGGGGGATGGGGAACTGGGCTCAGAAATACATAGAGGCCATTGAGAGGCAGGCCCCAGCCACCCAAGCCTGGGCTGGTACTTGCAGATGGGAGCTCCAGGTTTCCTACCTACAGAGAGAGGAAAATGAACCAGCAAATGTACAGAGAGGATAAGGAATAGAGGAGGGTGCGGGATGGAGCTGTTGATCACCAAAGCTCCAGACAGATTCCAGCCCTCAGCTCCCAGCCTTCCTGAGAACCCACCTTCCCGTAGCTGCACTGACTCCATGGATGTTCTATTGTACTGGGTGCTGCTGGGGGCCAGGCCTTGTGGCCTTGTTCCAGGGCCCAGTGTGCAGTACTCCCTGTCCAGGGCACTTCCACTCTAATGGGCTCTGTGAGGCACGTCCATTCTTTTAAATAAATCTTTGTTTACTGGAGTGAGCCCAAGTAGATTTCTATTTCCTGCACCCAAGAGATGTGTCATGAGGACCAGGTTGGTATGGATTTTCTCAGTCTACAGAAGATGACTGGGAGGCTCCGAAGAGGCGAGAAGTGGCCCAAGGTCACCCAGACGCAGAGCTGGACATTTTATTTTTATTTTTATTTGTTTTTTTATGAACAAGGTCTCACTCTGTCGCCCAGGCTGGAGTGCAGTGGTGTGATCATGGCTCAATGCAGCCTCTACCTCCTGGGTTCAAGCGATCCTCCCACCTCAGTCTCCCTTGCAGCTGGGATCACAGGTGTGCGCCACTGTACTCAGCTAATTAAAAAAAAAAAATTATAGAAACAGGGTCTCACTTTGTTGCCCAGGCTGGAGTGCAGTGGTTCGATGGTGGCTCACTACAGCCTCAATCTCCTGAGCTCAAGCCATCCTCCTGCCTCAGCCTCCTGAAAAGCTGAGAATACGGGCACTCACCAACATGCCCAATTTGTTTTAATTTTTCTACAGGCAAGGTCTCTCTATGTTGCCCAGGCTGATCTTCAACTCCTAGGCTTAAGCGATTCTCCCACCTTGGCCTCCCAGAGTGCTGGGATTACAGGTGTGAGCCCTGGCACCTGGCTTTGAGCTGGATTTTGAAAGCAGCACATCATCTTGAAGCACACTCACTTCCCACAGGGCTGTCATTGCCTCGCAGGGGCTAAAAGAGTTCATTCTGCCAAAAGAGTTCGGGGCCCTGCACCCAGGGTAACCCCTGGGGTCAATAGCAGAAACCCCAAAGGGTGCTGGGAAAGCTCTGCTCATAGCAACACACCCTCCAGGGTGTTTTGAATGCTATATGATGTTGATTCCCACCACAGCCCTGCTGGAGCCACAGCACAGGTGTTACTTCGCTTTTACAGTTGGAGAAACCCTGAGCTTGGAGCAGCCAAGGGGCCTGGTGCAGGAGGGGCAGGACTCCACCCAAGACTCCTGACCTCTGCTCTTTTCACCGCCCAGCAATACTTTAAATCTGCACCTACCTTTTACATCATCTCCTCTGATCCCTTCCCTCCTTGGGCTGTTTGCTATTTCTTCTTGGCCCAGTCTCCTCTACAAATTTGCCACCCAACTTCTCAAATATTTTTCACCCCTTCCCAGTGAAGCCCCCATCTCCCCTAAAGTCAGCCTCCCCTTGTCTTCCTCACACACTCTCTTGAAACACACCACAAACCAACCACTGTGTTCTCCCCTCCCCTAAACCACTCTATCCAGGTGCATGGTACCCCATCAGTATCACCGTCTCCACCTAATGGCCAGGAGAAACCTGAAGTCAGCAGTGGCTTCAGTCTCTTTCTCTTTCTACGTCATTCACAACATGTCAGCATCACTGGCGAAGTTTCTGTCCAATCCAACCACTTCCATTGCTTCAATGTATCTCTGTCCTGTCTCAACTGGATGGCTGCAGTGGCCTCCGGAGAGGTCTTTCTGCTTCCTCCATTGTGGCTGAGTCTATTCTGTAAACAGCAGCCAGGGGCATCCCCGTGCATCCTTTGGATAAAAGCCAGGCTGGCACCAGGTGCAGTGGAATCCCCAGGGTGATGTTCTCCCAAGACCAGCACAGGAGTGTCGGGAAAGCCTCATGCTAAAATGCTGATTCCCGGCCCTGAGCCCATCCCTGCAAGTCAGAGTGGCTTAGGATGGGGTGGGAATTGCTGTTTAAGAAGGTCCCAGCTGATTTTTCCGCACGCCAAATGTTGAGGGCCATGGAGGATTCTGACAGGCGAGGAGGAAGGGCTTTGGAAGGAAGGAGCCCTCGGTCCCTGCAGCCACTGAACAAAGTCAGAATCTAAGCTCCTGGGCTGGGGCTGAGAAGCAGCTGAGGGTCAGGAGCCCAGCATCGAACATCCGGCCCTACTACTGCCTGGACGTGCAGGCTCCAGCTGAAGGACTCTCTTCGAGAAACCCATGTTCCAAGTCACAAAACGAGATACTGACATCTGCCTGGCAGGGCTGCCGTGTGGATTAATACCTTTGCAGTTTACCCAGTACTTAGCACAGGTGCTAAATGCCTCACAAATGTGGGCATTATGGTAATTAGTGATGTGTCTTCCCGAAAACATCAGTGATTTTCTGGTTGATGGATTTACATAACTTGAAGGCCAGTGGGGCTTCCCTGTGGAATGTGCCTCGGATTCCCAAGGAACATTATTCTCTGTTACCCTCTCCTTACACACACACCCCTAACACACATATGTACACATGTACCTGCACACATACACCCGCCTAACTCACATATGCACCTAGCACACATAGACACATGCACATTCACACATATACCCACCTAACACACACCTAACACAAATATATACACATACACACGCCCACCTAACTCACACACACCTAACACACATATACACGTGCGCCCTCACACATACACCTGCCTAATTCACATGCACACTATTGGCACACATATATACACATATACCTGCACATACACACCCATCTAACTTACACATACACCTAGCACACACACATAGACACTCACACACCCCTCGATACACACCTATCCACGAGCCCCATCTCAGTCCCTGCGAGGCTCCTGCTGCGCCCAGCACCGTGTGTGGTAGGGAAGGACTTGGCAGGGGTCTGGAGTGGGAGGCGCTGGCCCGTGGTCTGGATGCCCAAGGCTGGCGCTCTGCTTCCCTCTCTTTAACTCCTCAGGGACTAGGAAATCCTTCCTTTCCCTTTCTGGGGTTTCCTAAGTGCTGTGAGTGGTGCTACCTACTTAGGAATCAGTTGATTTCATTCTTCTGACAATAGTTTGCTCCAGGTCAGTTTGGGACTGCAAATAAAAGATTTTCTTTATTTTTTGGCAGGGAGGGACATTCCACTTTTTAAATCAGCTTTCTGAAGCATGATCTCCATATAATCACCTAGAAGCGTACAGCACAATGATCTTGACAGATGCCAGCATCCTTGGAACCACTGCCACCACCAACGTCTCAAACCATTCCATCAAACCCAGAACACTCCTGGTGCCCTGAAGCGTCTCCCTTCAGTGGCAGAACCAGCAGAGATTCAGTGGTCACAAGGTGAGTGAGGCGGCCTGGGTCTGGCTCCTGGCCATTAATTTTAAATAATTTGCATTTAACTTTGAACCACCACACCTGGCCATATTGGATAGTGCAGGAGGAATAAACTCACTGGCACATCCTTCTGGGGCGTCTACTGTGTGCCCCCCTCCAAGCGGAGTGTGTGGGAACAGAGAGCAGCATCCCTGCCACAGTGGGTGGCGGTCTGCTTGAGAGATATTTTATTTTCTTGAAACAAATAAAAAAGACAAAAGGATGCATGGTGTAAACACTGGTGGTCAGGCTAAAATCAAAAAACCATTAGTGGGCAACACAGCACAGAGTGGGCTCTGCCCAGGCCACATGTGTGCAGTGCCAGGGCTCGGCTTCAGACCCAGATGTCCACACCCAGCCCTGCCTATTACACAAAGGCGGACAGAGCTGTGGGCCAGCGGCTGGCAAAAGGCCTTGGGGCAACCAGAACTCTCCATCAGGGCATTGCAGCCTTTAAGAGAAGGTGGGAACTGCTGCATTTGCCCCGCCCTGGATCTCAGCCCAGGAAACCCACTGTCACAGAACAACAGTCTTAGGAGCTTTCTTATCGAGACAGTAGGAAGCTTTTAAACACATCAGTGGTGAACGCCAGGCGGGTCTCTGGAACTTTTTCATCTTGGAAAACTGAAACTCTCTACTCATTGAACACTGTACACTTGATTGAGAGCAAATTGTATGTGTTTTTGCCAGCCTCTTCCTGAAGGCGGACATTTGTCTTGATCTGTATTGGAATTCTTTATCTATGTTTAAATTTTGTATGAGATTGAATTCATGTGTATGTGAACTGAAATGAAATTAAAATGTCAAACTACAAAAAGGGGGATATTTTTATTTAAAAAGACAACAGTCATCCCATAATCATACCTTGTGCCCCCCTAGGCTGGCATGAGGCAATCCACTATTTGTAAGCATAGACTTGGGGTCAAGGTCCGCATTCCACCTCTTCTTTAACTTCTCTCTAACTCAGTTTCCTCATAGAAAAATAAAAGCCCTGACTTCATAGGACCATGGTGATGATTTACTCAGTAAGGTACTCAGCACAACATCTGATGCAGAGTAAAAATTAATGCATGTCTAATGTTTACTATATTCCAGCCACAATGTTAAGCTCTTCATACAAACATCAACCCTCCAAGGTGGATGTGATTATTAGTCCTACTCTCAGGATGAGAAAACTAAGGCATATGACTAAATTGCATGGTGCTAATAAGTAATTGCACCGGGATTAACACTCAGGCACTCTGATTCCAGTGCTGTGTTTTTAACCATTAGAGTTAAGTGCCTGTATTTGTTTCCTAGGTCTGTGTAACAGGAATTATTTATTTATTTATTTGAGTAAGGGTCTCACTTTTTTGCCCAGGTGGGAGAGCAGTTGTGTTATCCCAGCTCATGACAGCCTCAAACTCCTGGGCTCAACCAGTCCTTCTGCCTCAGCCTCCCAAGTAATTGGGATTACAGGGATGCGCCAGCACACCTGGCTTTTTTTTTTTTCCAATTATTTGTAAAAATGATATCTTGCTTTTTTGTGCAGGCTGGTCTGGAACTCCTGGGTGCAAGCGATCCTTCCACCTCGGCCTCCCAAAGTGCTGGGATTAGAGGCATAAGCCACCGCGCCCAGCCAGGAATGGATTTTCTCACAGTTCTCGATGGCGGAAGTCTGAGATCAAGGTCTTGGCAGGGCTAGGTCTCTCTGAGGCCTTTCTCCCCAGCTTATAGGTCGCCGCCTCCTCTCTCTGTCTTTCCTTGTCTTCCTTGTGTCCACAGTTGTGTCCAAATTCCCCTTTCTCATAAGGACGTCAGTCATGTTGGATTAGGGCCCTCCCTCCTGACCTTGTTTTAGCTTAATCTCTGCAACTTAACCCTTAACCTCAGTAAAGATCCTATTTCCAAATGTGTTCACATTCTGAGGTCCTGAGGATTAGGACTTTGAAAGGATTAAAACAGGCTCTTCTGGCATATTGACAATTTCAGCTAAAGACTCTTGAGAAACAGCAGGTGCAAAAAGATCACAGTGACCTCCATGCTGTACCTTGAGATGAAATTCCAATGCGAAAGATGCCCTCTCCACCCTAGAAGGGAAAGCAACATCCTTATCTTTGGGAGTGAAAAGTCCAAACTGAGAGCATACTGTGAGTACCTCATTAGCATCATTCCATTCTCTGAGCTTCCCCGCAGACTTCAGTTGCTTCTTCACAGCTCTGCTCTTTGTCCCGTCCAATCTCTGAGTAACTAACTCACTGCTTCTGCAGGTCTTCATTTCTGCAGGAGGGCTCCCATGCTACATAAATCCTGCATTACACTTTTCTCCTGTTAGTCTATGTTATGTCCATTTAATTCTCAGGCCCAGCCGGGACCCTAAGAGGACAGAGGTGGAGTTTTTCCACCCCTACAACTTTACCCAATCACAATTCAATCCTAACAGTGCCTTTCTCTGGAGGGGCTCTGCCAGCATGAATTCCTTTACGGGTGGAAGCCTCACAGTCCAGTCTACCAGTGAGGTCCACATGGGATTGGCTGGAGGGAGCTACGAAGTCAAGCGGCGTCAGGTACAGAGAAACAAATCCCACATCCAAGGGCCAGGAGGCGGTAGAGCAAACCACGCACAGCCGGGTGACTTAAGGGCAAGGAAGTCTTCCTGCAGGAGGTGAATTTGGCACAAGGGATACGTTTTTAGGCCCTGAGTGGAGGATCTGGGTTTCAAACTGGACTTTTGAAAAACACACTCTTATTGTAGAAGGGCCTGCGGGTTTGTTTTAATCACTTCTCAAAGCTACGCTAGGCATTCGCAGCTCAGGATCCCCAGTTTAGCCTAATAAAAAAAAGTAATTACATCATATTACAGATAATTTGATTGTGTCTGAGACGATAATTGAGTTAAAACGCTTATTGTAACAGACACATCAGATTGGCAAGGAGGAAGCTCGGCTTAAATACAAACAGTGTTGAGAGTGGAATTAAAGGATTGCCATTGCAGTTAATCCAATAGTAATTATTTTCTGAACATAAATTCCTGAGTAGTGAGGACACAATTATATCTACAAACAGTCATAAGAAAATAATTACTCCACGTTCCACCTGAAGCAACAGTCCATAAAAGCTCTGGTGCCGCTCTCCAGGAAGCCGGGCTCTTTCCATCAGAAACTCACGGCCGATGCCAGTACTGAGAAAAGGGCTCCCAAGCACTGCGGGACTCACCAGGCAGCTTATGACAGGCTTTCCAAGTGTGATTGCTCTGCCCGCGTGACACCCAGGCCCACCGTGTATATGACCACCCCAACAGGCCGACACTTAAGACACCCCAGAGGATGAACACGCACGTCTTTCGTTCACAGACTGCAGTCTCCAGCCTCACCCCCTGGGCCACCCACCCTCCCCCGCTGGACTGACAGCCTTCCCGTACCATCCAGAGGCCATGGCCTACTTTGTCAACCCTCCCTTGTGAAGATCCTCATCTTCCTGCCATGCCTGCCCAGCCAGACTCTAGCCCTGCATCAGCCAGACCCACTGGTAGATGTCGGGGCGATCTCACACTCGGTCCTGGAGCTGCCCAGGAACCTCACTGTCCTCCTGTAATCTCCCTCGCTCTCCTTGGCCACTTGCTCACCTGGTGAGCTTTCCCCTCTCCAAAGCGACTCCACCTCCTACTCCAGATCCTCTCCATCCCAATCCACAGAGGGCATGGGATAAAGGAGAAGCCCCAGACAGGAACTTCTTCAACTTCTGCCTCTGGCCCTCAAAGACGCCTGCAAACAGTGTCACCTGTAAAGCTCTTCTGCTTGGGTTTTGTCCTAAGGAGATGCCTGTTCTCCTCCTCACTCAGGCTGGCTCCTCACAGTCTCCAATCCTGTCCCATCCTGACTCCTTTGCAAGCCTCCTATGTGGGCTTCGGTGCCCCCCACCTCGAAAGCTTATTCCCTCAACTCCACGGGCACCTCAGTCAAACTTCCGGAAGATCTCCCTCCTTGCTCAGGGCAGCCTCTTTGCACCCTAGCCTCTGTCTCAGCATCTGCTAGCATCGCTCTCGCAGCAGGAGCCGCCCTGCTCTGCTCACCAAGATGCTGCCAGTGTAGCTGGGCCGGAGCTCTGCACCGCGCTGGAGTCCCGCTCTCCCCAGAGCCCCGGCCCTGCTGTGTGCTGCTCCTCCGTTTCTCTGCAACTCCCTCCTGGGCCTCTGAGGTTCTTTCTTGTGGCTGCTCCATAAAACTTGGTGATGGCCAGTGTTCCACTTCTACCCCAGCCTCTTTGCTGCCACCTTATGGTATTCTCCCTGGTGATCAAATCCTCCCTGAGGTTTAAAATACACTGATGCCCCCAGTTCTGTATCTCCAGGCTGAATCTGCATCCTGAGCTCAGCTTGTCTGAATGCTGTGCCCACTGTGTTCTCTCCTGCGGGCTTGCTCTCTAGCTTTCTCTCTCTCTCCCTCTCTCTCTCACCCTCTCCCTCTCTCTCTTTCCTTCTCTCTCTCTCCCTCTCTCTCTTCTCTCTCTCCTCCTCTCCCTCTCTCTCTTCTCTCTCTTTCTTTCTCTCCCCTCCTTCTCTCTCTCTCTCCCTCTCTGTCTCTCCCCTCTCCCTCTCTCCCTCTCTCCCTCTCCTCCTCTCTTTTTCTGCCTCCTCTTTATCTCTCTCTCCCTCTCCTCCTCTCTCTCTGTCTCTCCCTCTTTCTCTCCCTCTCTCTCTCCTTTTCTCTCTTCCCCCCTCCCTCTCTCTCCCTCTCTTCCACTCTCTCTCCTTCTCTCTCCCCCTCTCCCTCCCTCTCTCTCCCCCCTCTCTCCCTCTCTCTCTCCTTCTCTCTCTTCTTCTTTCTCTCCTCCTCTCCCTCTCTCTCTGTTCTCTCTCTTTCTTTCTCTCCCCTCCTTCTCCCTCTCTCTCCCTCTCTGTCTCTCCCCTCTCCCTCTCTCCCTCTCTCTCCTCCTCTCTTTTTCTGCCTCCTCCTCTTTATCTCCCTCTCTCTCTCCTCCTCTCTCTCTGTCTCTCCCTCTTTCTCTCCCTTTCTCTCTCTCCCTCTCCTTCTCTCTTCCTCTCTCTTGCTGTCTCTCTCCCTCTCTCTTTCACTTTCTATCTCCCTCCCTCTCTTTCCTCCTCTCTTCTGTCTCTCCCTCTTTCTCTCCCTCTCTCTCTCTCTCCCTTTCTCTCTTCCCCCTCTCTCCTTCTCTTTCCCTCTCTCTCTCCCTCTCTGTCTCCTTTTCTTTCTTCCCCCCTCCCTCTCTCCCCCTCTCCCTCTTTCTCCCTCTCTTCCCTTCTCTCTCCTTCTCTCTCTTTCCTTCTCTCTCCCTCTGTTTCTCCTCTCCTCCTCCCTGTCCTTCTCTCTCCTCTCTCTCTCCTCTTCCTCTCTCTCTCCTCTTCTCTTTTTCTCTCCCACTTTCTCTCTCTCTTCCTCTTTCTCTCTCCTTCTCTCTCTCTTTCCATCTCTCTTCCTTTCTCTCTCTCTCCCTCTCTCTCCTCCTTTCTCTCTCTCCCCTATCTCTCCCTTTTTCTCTCTCTCTCCCTCTCTTTCCCTTTCTCTCCCTCTGTCTCTCCTCTCCCCCTCTCCCTCTCTCTCTCCCCTGCTCTTCTTCTCTCTCCTCGCTCTCCTCCTCTTTCTCTCTCTCCCCATCTCTTTCCCTCTTTCTCGCCTCTCCTTCTCTCTTTCTGTCCCTCTCTTTCTCCCTTTCTCCTCCTCTTCCTCTCTCTCCCTCTCTTTTCCTCTCTGTCTCTCCTTCTCTCTCTCCCTTTCTTTCCCTCTCTCTCTCTCTCTCCTTCTCTCACTCTCTCTCTCTCTCCCCCCACCCCCACCAATTTTCTTCTGACATTTTCTAATCTGAGGTTGCGTTACTCCATGTGCCTGGAGAAGACGATGGCAACATAGGATTCTGCATGTAAGGATTTTCCTAAGGGAAACAGGGTTGGAAGAAAATGGAGGGAAAGTGGGAAAAGCCTGGAGAATCATCAAAAGGAGGTGCAAACCTGACCCTAAATGAAGGGAAGTGGGAGGGAAGCTTGGGTGGGAGCCACCTAGACCATGGTACAGTCTAGGGAACGTCCACCAAGGCTGTAAGGGAAGCCTCCAGCCAAAATCAACCAGCAGAGTGGTGCCTTCTCCCAGTCTGCCAGGGCTTGCCTGTCTTGGGAGCCCTGCCTGGCTCAGACATGGGCTGGGAGCAGCTCCTGGGAAGCTTTGGTGTAAACGCTGCTCAGAGCACAGAAGCTTGGTCCAGATCCCTGACGTTGGAGATCTGTCAGGCGCATTCCCAGGTCACGGTAGCGAACCAGCCCCACTGACACGGGATGCTTCCTGCAGGGCTCCCTGGACACACATTCACCCCCAGTGCTGAATCCAACGGATTCTTTCTGTACTCACTGACCATCCTCCTTCTCCATGGAGGGGGTTAGGCTCCAGGCCCTAGGAGAGCCAGGCTAAGGGAAGAGATGGGAAAACATGAAATTGTTTGAGGTAGGGGGACATGGAGAGGGTAGATGCTCATTGGCTGAAGCTGAGGGGCAGGTTAATGCAGGAGGGGCAAGGAATGGCCCCCAGCCGCTGTGGCCTGAGGGAGGCTGCTTGCTACCTTGATGCAACTTTTAATCATTATCTCATTTTAGAGATTAGTGTATCTCACACTTTGTCATGCTGCAAGAATGCCGTAAGCTGCAGAACTTGGCAACCAGAGATTTCTGGGCTCTATTTCCAGAGAAGTTGCTTTTCTAACAAATTCCCAGTCATGCTGATATCGCCAGCCCAGAGACCACACTACCCAAATAATTTTGGTGAGAGCCACTTTGGACTGCCATCCCTAGAGGTGGCTTCTTCTTTTCTGAGGAGGACACCCAGGGCCCAGGGACATACGTGTTTGCCTTAGGGAGCTCCTGGCCAGAGCCAGGCCATCCTCTCATCCCAGGCAGCTCAGCTCCGTTTGCAGTGCCTCCATCTGGGGGAAGAAAAGGGAAGAGGTGTCAAGCCCAGTCAAAGGCAGGAGAGACCAATGTCCATGCCGGTCTCATCCCTGGGGCCTGTTGTGGTCACATTTAGTCCTGCCGCCTACTGGGGGCTGCTGAAGTTTGCCAAGGGAAGACATTCTCTTGTCATTGGGGTGACACTGCAAACTCTGCCTCCTGGGTTCAAGCGATTCTCCTGCCTCAGTCTCCTGAGTAGCTAGGATTACAGGCATGCGCCATCACGTCCGGCTAATTTTTGTATTTTTAGTAGAGACAAGGTTTCATCATCTTGGCCAATCTGGTCCCAAACTCCTAACCTCAGGTGATCCACCTGTCTCCGCCTCCCAAAGTGCTGTGATTATAGGCGTGAGCCATCATGCCTGGCTGCAAAGGGCATTTTGAAGCTCTTGTCCCTGATCAATCCCTCCATGCTGCAGATGAGGGCACAATCAAGGGCAGAGAGGGGAGAGGGAGGAGCAGCTCTTAGTAGAAACGGTTTTCTTAGTGCATCCTGTGCACCGGTGGATATGCACATGAGCATTTTCTCTTCCCGTTTTGCTCCAAAGCGTGTGAGATGTTTGTGCTATGGCAAATACAACACCTGTAGGAGTGTGTTATGGGTTGAACTGTGCGCCCCCAGAAAGACATGCTGAAGTCCCAACTCTCAGGATCTCAGCTGTGACCTCATTTGGAGACAGGGTGATTGAGATGTGATGAGTTGAGATGCAGTCATCCTGGAGCAAGGTGGCCCCCAGTCCATGCTCACTGGCATCTTTACAAGGAGACAGCCTTGGGAAGGCACAGGGTGGCAGGGAGCATGCCATGTGAAGACGCAAGTGGAGAGGGGAGTGATGTGGCCGCCAGCCGGGGTTGGACTGCCTGGATTGTCAGGAGCTGGGAGAGGCCAGGAAGCACCCCCCTCCTGAGGCTGCAGAGAGTGCATGGCCAGGCTGACAGCTTGAATGGTTTGGACTTCTGGCCTCCAGAACTGTGAGAGGATACATTTCTGTCTATTACAGAAGCTCTAGAAAAGTCATAACAGAAAGTGTCTGAGGAAAGGTGCCTGGGGGTTCCTGGAAGTGCCTGGGGATTCCTGAGGGTGCATGGGGGTTTCTGGGAGTGCCTGCGGTTTCCTGGGGGTGAATGGAGTTCCTGGGGGTGCCTGGCGCATAGCAGGCAGGGACAGTGCATGATTGTTCTGCTGGCAGTACTGGGGGCTGGGCTGGCCACCCCAAATGTTACCCTGGGCATCTGCTTAACAGCCCAAACAGAGGGAATAATAGACCCTCAAAGATGGCTCCGTCCCTGAGGCCTAGAGGGCTGTGTGAGAGCTGACCTCAAGGCCAAATTCTTGCCCCCTCTCTCTGTTGGTCCATGAGCCCCAGGATCCTCTTCCTGGCTCTACACTGAAGCCTGGACTTGGAAGCTGCCATCCTAAGGCCTGCATTTAATCAGGAGAACCTGAGGATGTCTAAGCCATTAGAATAAATCACACAGATATTCCTTTTGGGGTGTTTGCAATCACTTCATAATTAACTGACGGCTTCATAGCAGCCACTTTCACGTGTGTCCAATGGTCACATAACAACATCGCCTACTCTGTGTCTACACCACGGCAGCGTGGGAGGGCTGGACGCTGAGGGTGCATCCTGCCACCTCTGCAGCCCCGGAGCCCTCCCCCAGCAACAGGGGTTCGTGGGGGCCTGGGCATCAGATGGGTGCTCAGTGCGCCTCCCCTCTCACCTCATCATGAAACCTACTGTGGGTCCTCTCGCAACAGCAGCACCCTTGGTGACCGCCTGCGGATGGGCCACTGTACCGGACATTGTGCTGACAATGTCCACGTTGTCCTGTGGATTTTACAGCAACCCTGCAGAGGGGAGTCTGAGGCTTGGAAAGGTGACATGACCTGTCTGAGGACAAGGAGTCAGTGAGTGGTGGGGCTGGGGCTCAGCCTCAGCCGTTAGGCTCCCGAGCCCTGCTCACAAATCAGTGTCCTGGGGAGGGCAGCATGGATTTGGGGTTTAACCACCTCTGGGCTGTCTTTCTGCCCAGCACTAACCCTCGGTGTCCCCCTGTGGGCTGCAGAGGGGCTAGGGCTGGGGACAAGGTGAACTGCCCACTGTCTCTTAGTGAGATAAATGGAAAATGAATAAATTCCCTGAGGTAAGTGGTCAGGCAGGACTTGCAAAAAGTGAAATGATTCAATAATTTGATTTTTAAAATTAATGAATGAATTAGGACTCTTTTTGAGACAGGGTCTCACTCTGTTGCCCAGGCTAGAGTGCAGTGATGTGAACACAGCTCACTGCAGCCTCAACCTCCTAGGCTCAAGGATCCCCTCACCGTCAGCCTCCTGAGTAGCTGGTACTACAGGCACATGCCACCATGCCCACCTAATCTTAAATTTATTTTTAATATATTTAAGATGGGGTCTTGCTGTGTTGCTCAGGTTGGTCTCAAACACCTTGGCTCAATCCATCCTCCCACCTCAGCCTCCCAAAGTGCTGGGATTACAGGTGTGAGCCACCTCACCCAGCCAATAGTAAGATTTTGCTAATGATTTTAGATGCTCCTTCAATAGGTTCCCTCTCTAGCTTTCCCCAACTGTTGCCTTCCAGTGCAGCTGTGAAAGGGAACCAAGAGAGCCCCCCTCCCATCCCCGCTCTCCAGAACTGCCCACTGGTGGAACTATCTCCCGCCCCTCCCCTCTCCCCATCCCTCTCCCATTCAGGGCCTCCTGGAGGTCGGGTGTGCCACACGTCTACATGCGCTGTTCATAACCAGAGGGTCTGAAGTCACACGATTCGGGGTCCAGCCGCAACTCTGCCCCTTGTCAGCCAAGTGAGCTCAGAGAATTCACTTCTTCTCTCTGATCTCCACCTTCCCATCTAGAAGATGAAGACACAAAACAGTTTTCCTTCAGGTGGCTCATTGACCTACTCTACAAATATTTCAGAGCCTTTTCTGCCAGGCCCTGTTCAAGGCTCTGGGTATAAATCAACGAACCCAACAAAATCCCCTGCTCTAGCCCAAGGGAGGTGAGCACCAAACAAAGTAGAGTATAGGGTTAGAAGGAAGACAAAGCGGAGTGGAGGCGTGGGGTGCCCCCGCACAGTGAAGCCTTCTCTCCCGCGGCAGGAACCCCTGGGCTGCAGCTGGGGACCGCGGGACCGTGTGCAAGACAGGAGCACTGAGCCTGGAGAGGGAGTCCCAAGGACTTCGTTTGAGTCCCTGAACACAGCGTTGCCTGAAGGGACATCTGCCCTCCTGGTCTTTGGAATTCTTGAAGCTAATTCACTTTCCCCAACCCCTACCGGACTTTCCCTTTTTATCTAAATCAGAGTTGGTTTTCTGTCATCGTCATTTGAGAGGGTCCTGGCTCAGGCACGTGCTTAAATGCTTCTAGTTTGTTTTTCCTTCTATTTAGAGGGTACGATGATTTCACTGTGCACCTGCAGTGGGGGTCTGAGTCTGCAGGCAGGAGGAGAGGGCTCGCTGCTGAGTGATGAGCGCACCTCCCCGTCCTCTCTCTGTCTGGGGAGAACCAGGCGAGGGAGGTCCAAGCCCTCACACCCATTGGGAGCTCAGCCCCCTTTTCTGAGAGCACTTCCGTGTCACCGTGTGCCTGTGGACTCCTTTATTAATTGCTCCTTAGAGCCTAAAACCCAGTTCTTTTATGAAAATTATGAAACCATCAAGCAGCCTGACAATGAAAATAATGCCTCTCTAGTATCAATGTTGTAACACTCCCTCCCGTGTTTCTGAGCAATGCATTCATCCCTGTGAGTGTGGAGCAGGCAGGAACCTGAGTGGCGTGAATAATGGGGCCCTCCGCAGCCTCCTACAACCAGGGACAGGGCTGGGAGTGGAAGGCAAAGCGTTGTTCCATCAGGAATAGATTATTCATAATTTCATGCCCTTCGGACCAGCCAGGGTCATTAATCTACGGAGAGCCTCAAGTCCTAGAATGGTGGAAGCCTTGACCGCATGCAATGCAGTGCATCAGAGTCCTGGGGTGGAGACCATCCCATCCTTCCCAGGCCATGCTGGGGGCGGCCTCCAAGCTCCCACCTGCAAACCGGAATAGAGCGAGAATGTTCTATGGAGGTAACAACTTTGGACATAAACATCTGTCATTTGGGCTTGTGCAGGTGGAGTTGAGCTCCTGTATATCCTGTTCAGAAGGGGAGGACTTGGGGTCAGAGGAAGTCCGTGCTGTGCTCCTCCTAGGACCCCGCACCTTCCCTGTGCTGGGCCGCGGGTGTGCGCAGTCTGACTCCATGGCACACGCTCAAGTGGGGTGTGTGCAGTGCAGGAATGCTGTTTTGGGGGCGGGGGCTTTGCGCCACTCCTGCAGTGGGGAAGGGGGATGTCCAACTTCAGCGCACAGTGGGGAGCAGCTGGGGCACCGAGAGCTCCTTTTCAGGATTCTTATTTGATAGGCGAGAAAGGAGGGTGGGAGAGTCCAGCCGCTCGCATGAGGTTGCACAGCTGGTAAGGGTGGGGCTGGGAGACACAACCTGTGCCCAGGGCCTCACTCTTAGTCGCCACCCCTGAGGGCCTTCCTGGCACACACACTAGGTGTCCAGTTCTGTTCTGCATGCCGGCTGTCCCCAGCAGGGCCCAGGTGAGCACATGGTGGGGAGAGGGCTGAGGAGGAAGATGTGATCCAAAAGGTCAGTTCTAGGTGTTGGGAGAAGCAGTAGGTGTGGAGAGGGGGTGAGGGAGCCCTGACTTCCTCCCCAAGCAAGGCTTTCCTGCACAGGTTTTTATAGGGGACTCTGACAGTAGACGACTGTGGGGTGACTGAGTGCTGCCAAGCTCAGGAAGCTGGCGGCAGGGGGAGGACCTGGAAATGCCTTCCCCGGAGGAGCCTCCAGCGTGGAGCAGCAGACAGGCAGACTGTAAATAACAGAGGAGGGTAATGGGAATACAGCAGGGAATACAGGTGTGACGCCTGCAAGAGCCCCACCACATCCATTCTGGGAGATGCCCCCCCGCCACTGCCAGCCCTGTCCAGCCTGGAGGGGGGCCGGAGGAAGACAGCTGAACTACGCCCCTCTGATTGAGCAGAGGGCAAACATCCCCTGCCTTTGTTCTCCTTAATCTAAATTGAATCTGGGGAGGGGGACGATTGCAAGGTGGAAGTGAAAACCCAGCTGCATTTCAAAATTACACTGATCAAAATGGAAATGGTCTGGAGGTTTTGAGGAGGGATGGCTGATGCAGGTACAAACCTTACTTCACATTAATTGGCACCCTTTTCAGGGAGGAAAGGGCAGGAATAACTTCATAATACTATAAACCAAGACTGTGGCCACTGCCATCTGTGCTAAGAAGCCAAGGGAGACTTTGAGGCTGGAATCCTTGACCCTCATTGTCTAGACCCTGAGGCCTGCAGAGGTCCAGAGGCATCCCCTGCTGCGTCTTCTCAAGAGTGAAGATCTCCTGCCCTGATCTCACAGCCTTCTCTGTCCCCTCTGACACTCTTTGACCCAAGTCTCAACAGTACCTGCCCGGTTGTGGAGGCAAAAGGTGTAGAAGAAGGGTCAGTAGCTTGGAACTGGCTGTAGCTTGGAGCCCAGCCCTACCTCCATCTGCTTCAAGGCCTTCCCTGAGTCATTGGCCCTTACAGAGAGCATTCTCCTCTCTCCACACCTGCCCAGTCTCCAGGGACTGCCCTGCCAACATCCTCAGGATCACTCATTTTGGTCAGCACAGCAAGGTGCGGGTCAGTGTCTCCAGGATTCCAGAATCCATCCCAGGAGCTCACCCTCACACTCCTTCCCTTAGAGCATATAGGAAGATATCCCCTATATACACACACTCTTATCTCTCCTTGAAATTAAGCAGTATTCACTCAGCCTGCAGGAAAGTAGTCCAAGACTTTTTTTCATGTTAATCTAAATTAAATCTGCAAATGGAAAGAAGGCCTCATGTGAGAAGAAGCCAACCTCATCCAGTTGCTGGCCGAATGTTGGAGGGAGAGCGAGTGCCTGGGTGAGCAAACGCGTCGTTGTGAAATGTGCATCCTGCGCAGGACCATGTGCACATGTGCAGGTGTCTGGGGAGGGAGCTTGGGCCATGATTCCCAACCTGCCTCCAGGGAGGTCCCTGGCATTCTAGATGTTCTGTGTTTAAAAACAGCCTCTCCAGTGGTTTCAGGAGTGAAAAGGATAAAATCTAAGAGCTGTGTGACCCCACCCTACCTAAACCTTTCCGCCTAATTAATCCAGGACTCAGAAGCCTCAGGACCATTGCTATGCCTCTGAGGCAGATTTGGGCTCCCTGAAGCCCACATGGCCCAAGATAGCTTGGTCTGAAACCTCAGCATCCGCCTCACTCCTCTGAGCTAAGCCGTCTTGGCTCCAGAGGGTCTTTGACAGAGTGTGAATAACCTGGGAGGTTTCATACTCATCAACACAGCAGCCTTGGGCCGGATAAGAAAGGGCTTGCTGCCTGGTCCTACTGGAGAAAACCTGGAATTTGGGCCACCAGATGGGTGCCCAGGGTAGGTGGGAAAACAAAGTTCTCCAAGTGCGTTAAGCTGCTGATCTGATGGGGCTGCCAGGTAAAGTACAGGATGCTGAGTTAAATTTGAATTTCATGTTGGTGATGAATCTTTTTAAGTGTAGGTATGTCCCATGCAACATTTGAGGCATACTTATACTGAAAAAGTGTTTATTATTTATCAGAAATTCAAATGTAACTGGGCATTTTTAATTTTTATTTGCTAGATCTGTCCATCCTAGCTGCTGAGGGCAATGGCATCTTGCAAATAAGATGCAGGGAGCAGCGATCCTAGTGAGTTTCCACCCAAGGATCCAGCCTTTCAGGGGACAGTGCACCCCACGCCAGCTGGGAATGGCTGAAACACTGGGCCAAAGCCACCAGTTCTCAAACGAGTTGACAGATGGAATCCTGTCTTTATTGATATCTGTCTAGTGAGGTCTTCCCTGAGACTGCTGTTTGAAGGCATAGGTGTGTCCCAAACGTGTCTGTGTGCCCTGCAGGGCCAGCTCAACCCCAGGCAGTGCTAAGGGCCAACACCTTGGGGCTGGGCGCCGTGTTGCATGTCTGTAATCCCAGTACTTTGGGAGGCCGAGGTTAGTGGATCCTTTGAACCAGGAGTTCAAGACCAGCCTGGGCAACATAGTGAGACCTCATCTCTACTAAATCAATAAACAAATAAAGGTGGTGCGTGCCTGAGTCCCAGCTACTCAGAAGGCTGAAGTGGGAGGTTTGCTTGAGCCCAGGAGGTCAGGAGGTTGAGGCTGCAGTGAGCCATGATCCACTACTGTAGTCCAGACTGGGTGACAGAACAAGATGCTGTCAAAAAAAAAAAAAAAACAAAACACCTTGGGTTTAGTTCCACTTTTACTGGACACAATCTCTCTAACACTATGTGTCCTCATCTGTAAAATGGGGTCAATCATCTCTTCTCTACTGGTCCCACAGTTGCTTGTCACGAATAAATGATAAGTTTTAGGAAAATAGTTGGTGAACTGTAAAATATTTCAAATCAAACATCCTACAGTATTTGTGTTGCTGTCAAAATACGACTATTACATTCCCCTGAGCAGAGATGTCTTACTTGGTTCCTCCCTCCTTGGTGGGAGCAGCCCCACCTTACCAAACGGGTTTCCCAGAAGGCTGTTACAGAAGGTCTCGGTGCAGGATGGGCTTGCTTCGGTCACAGTGGCATGGCAGCCCCACCACGGACATCAGCAGCCAAGCCTCCACCAGATGCTTTGACCAATGTTGCAGGCAATAGGAGGCACTAGGGAGGCATCAGCACACCCCAGCTTGGACTGTCTGTTTTTAAATAAAATAAACCCTGAGCCAGGCGTGGTGGCTGATGCCTGTAATCCCAGCATTTTGGGAGGCCGAGGCGGGGCAGATCACCTGAGGTCAGGAGTTCGAGACCAGCCTGGCTGACATGGTGAAACCCTGTCTTTACTAAAAATACAAAAATTAGCCGGGTCTGGTGGCGCATGCTTGTAGTCCTAACTACTTGGCAGGCTGAGACAGGAGAATCGCTTGAATCCGGGAGGCAGAGGTTGCAGTGAGCCGAGATCATGCCACTGCACTCCAGCCTAGGTGACAGAGCATGACTCAGTCTCAAAAAATAAATAAATAAATAAATAATAAATAAATAAACCTGCAAGGGATGCAGCATGTCAGGAACGGATATAATTTTAAGTGCTTCTAACTGAAATATGTAGATTGATAGCTGAATCACAAGGACATCTCAACATACATACGTTTATTCCCACACTTTCAACCGTGTACTCAACACACCTTTCCTCAGCCCACAGTGAGTCCGGTCTTCCCTCTGGGAAGCCGAGGCAGGGGTGCTCCAGGCTGCTCCACGGGAGATCGGGGGCTCCTCAGACCTCCCCTCCCCAGGCCTAGCGATTCAGTGTCCAGCTTCAGGTCAGGCCCGGCCCCACTCCCCACCTGTCTTTCTGTCTCTGTCTTTCTCTAGGGGTCAGGCGGAGCTCCACCAGTGTCTCCAACTCAGGTGCTGGAAACCAGTCACAGCACTGGGCTTGGTGACACCAGGCCAGGGACCTAGCAGACCCTGTGTAGAGCTGATTTCTTGCTCCTCTACACAGGGGGTGGGGCTGCTGCCCTTCAGCAGAGCCTCGGCTTTCATTTAAAGCCAGCAGTTTGAGCCCTGCCACAGGACATAGTCAGAGCTTTGCCGCAGCCTGCTGCTCCCGGGGAGGCTTCCCTGATTGCTGCAGCTTACACCACGCTCCCTGCTTCCTTTCTGCTTCTCAGTGGACACGGGTCAGCTCCCTCATCCTGCCTGGGGCGTCCTCAGCTCCTGGGCAAGGCCAGCAGCTGCTCTCCATGCCCACCGCAGGGGTGGGAACACAGAGGTATTTAGGTTGCGACTCAATTAGAATTTTTAGAAATCTCCCCCTAAGTATTTTCCAAGCTAGTGAAGAAACAGAAACCCATAACAACCACGAAGCAGCCGTGTGACAGCAGCACGCTATGGTACTGGAGCAAGGAGATCAGCCCTGTGCTCAACAGGATAAATTTTTTTTTTTTTTTTTTAAAGACGGAGTTTCACTCTTGTTGCCCAGGCTGGAGTATAATGGTGCGATCTCGG
Source organism: Homo sapiens (assembly GCF_000001405.40). Classification (NCBI taxonomy): domain Eukaryota; kingdom Metazoa; phylum Chordata; class Mammalia; order Primates; family Hominidae; genus Homo; species Homo sapiens. The sequence goes on from NC_000019.10 coordinate 29,027,020, forward strand.
CTCACTGCAACCTCCGTCTCCTGGGTTCAAGCAATTTTCTAGCCTCAGCCTCCTGCGTAGCTGGGATTACAGGCGCCTGCCACTTAATTTTTATATTTTTAGTAGAGACAGGGTTTCGCCATATTGGCCAGGCTGGTCTCGATCTCCTGACCTCAGGTGCTTTGCCCACCTCAGCCTCCCAAAGTGCTGGGATCACAGGCGTGAGCCACAGTGCCCGGCCAACAGCATGAATTTTTAGGACCCTGCAGGAGGAAACTGTCTGGGGCGCAGAAATGGGTTCATTTCCACCCAGGAAGCTCAGCTGCCCAGGAAGGTCACAGAACTGCTCGTGCCTGCTAGACTGGGATAGGACAGAGCAGGGACAGAAGGTGAAGGGCAGATGCCTTGTGCATTTGGGAGGAGAACGGAGCTGAGAAGTAGGCAGTGGTGGCCACTTTCAGCCACAGCTTCACCAGGCTCTAACATCAGGGGGCACAGGCCTGGTGACAGCCCCAGGACCTCACCACCTGGGTCAACTACCCCTTGGCAATCTTCTCTAGGCTTTGTGGTCTTTGTGTCACTCTGTCTCCTCTGTGGATTTTTCATTATGGGCGTAACAATTACTGGATTGATGCGTCGCCTTTGAAAGCCTTGTTGGAAGCGTGTCGCTTTGGAGAAATGTGCTCAGGGGAAGCCTTGAACATGCATTATCCGCCCCCCAGGTAGGCAGGCCCCTGTCTTGAGAGCACACAGGGCATCTTCTCACTCCTTAGATCTCCTGAGAGGTGCCTGGCGCTGGGGTGTTATCAACCATGGTGATGTGATGGGAGAGGCGCACCAGGGAGTGCAGGGAAGAGCAGGCTGACTTCTGGCTCTACGAAGCTGGAGAACCCTGCTAGCATAGCACAAAGAGCGCCGGACTGGGTGCCAGGACAGCGGGTCCCAGGCTTGACTCTAGCTGCGTGTCATTTGGCATTGCTTCCTCTCTCAGTGTCCTCATTTGCATAATTAGGAGACAGAATATTTTTCCAAGAGTTGCTCATTCATTCATTTAAGAATATTGCAGAGGCCGGAAGTGGTGGCTCACGCCTGTAATCCCAACACTTTGGGAGGCCAAGGTGGGCGGATCACCTGAGGTTGGGAGCTGGATACCAGCCTGACCAACATGGAGAAACCCTGTCTCTACTAAAAATACAAAATTAGCTGGGTGTGGTGGCACATGCCTGTAATCCCAGCTACTCGGGAGGCTGAGGCAGGAGAATCGCTTGAACCTGGGAGGTGGAGGTTGCGGTGAGCTGAGATCGTGCCATTGCACTCCAGCCTGGGCAACAAGAGCAAAACTCTGTCTCAAAAAAAAGAAAAAAAAGACATGTCTGTAATTCCAACACTGTGGGAGGCCGAGGGGGCAGATCATTCGAGACCAGTCTGGCCAACATGCCAAAACCCCGCCTCTACTAAAAATACAACAATTAGTTGAGTGTGGTGGCACGCCCTTGTAATCCCAGCTACTCAGGAAGCTGAGGTAGGAGAATTGCTTGAACTTGGGAGGCAGATCGTACCACTGTAATGCATCTCCAAAAAAAAAAAAAAAAAAAAAGAAAGAAATTGAATATTCCTGGGCGCAGTGGCTCACGCCTGTAATCCCAACACTTTGGGAGGCCAAGGGGGAGGATCACTTGAGGCCAGGAGTTCGAGACCAGCCTGGCCAACGTGGTGAAACCTCGTCTCTACTAAAAATACAAAAATTAGCCAGGCATAGTGGTGCATGCCTGTAGTCCCAGCTACTCAGGAGGCTGAGGCAGGAGGATCATTCGAACCTGGAAGGCGGAGGTTGCAGTGAGCTGAGATCACACCACTGCACTCCAGCCTGGGGGACAGAGCGAGACTCCATTTATGAAAATAAAGAATATTTATTGAGTGCCTTTTATGTCCCAGGCACTAATCTGGGCATTTGAGCTACAGGAGTGAACCAAAGAACCCTAGTGCAGGAGCAGGGGAGTGCTCAAAATAAAACTTGAAGCAGGGTGGTCTGGAGAGGCCCCATTGGAAGACTGTCTCTTAGCGACTTTCTTTTCCTTCAACCCAGCAAGGCCAGGCCTGTGGGTGAAGAGTTGTTCATTTACAAATAGACTAGGCCAAGAAAATCTTACCCTCTTTGCAAGTGAAGATCAATAACTCATGAATTCAAAACTAGGTTTGTGAACAATGATGCTTATGTTAATTTAATTTTATCAGTAGGTTTAATAATGTCTTATTAATTCAATAGAAGGCTTTTTAAAAAAAATAATGAAAAGCTGCATTTGAATTAGTCTTGAACCAAGCAGGGCGCTGACCTTGGTCTCCCCTGACGATCCACAAATAAGGCTTTTTTGTGGACGAGTCGTGCCTGCTCCCTGCCATGCATGGTTCTTTCCATCCCGCCCCACACTGGTTTCTGGCATCTGGCTTCGCCTGTCTGATGCAATGCAGAGAAAGAGATCCAGAGGGAAACGTGGAAAGTGGGAGATGGGGTGGAATGTGTGGAGGGAGACTTACTCTCAAGGAAGCAGAAAGCAGCTTCTTCCCAGAATCTCTTTACAATTGGAGAGGCCCCATCAGCTGTGGGGAGGGAGGGCTGCTCACACCTGCCTGTGGGCAGCAGGTAGAATAAATTATTTCTAGAGGCTCTTTGAGCAACACTGGAGTGAAATTAGGCCACCTTCCACAATTCTAGGATCCTGCTGTCTACCCCCAGAGCCTGATCAAAACATTACTCCACCAATCCCACCAGGTCTTCCAGGGCTGTGGGGAGAAATGTCTTTGTTCCGGATAACCAGAGCTGTGCTACGGCACCTCTGCAGGATGGGGTAGCTCAGAGTTGGGGACCCCAGCTTCCTCTCTCTGGCAGGGTTGGTCTCTGGTTAGACGTGCTACTAGGGAGCTAGGCCACGTGGACATCACAGACAGGTGCAGGCATTTGGAGGAGAGGATCACAGCAGATTCCGGGAAGTTGGTGCCCTTGGGGCCTGGCCTGATCTTTCCTGTTAAGCTGTATTGTAGGCTGAGCACCAGCCAACTCCTTCTACTGCCCAAGAAGGGAAGGCTGGAGCCTTGGAAGTCTGCTCTAGATAGGCCTGCTGGATGTGAGAAGAAACCAGGCAGGATCTGAGGAAACCACTGGTGCTGGCTGCGGAGTCCAGAGCTGATCTCCTGAAGATTAAAAGTTATATCAGTAAGGAGAAAGTTGGAGAGCGGCCCTTTGGGCTCCAGAATCAGCTGAATTCAGGAGACAGGTTTTGGGAGGAAAGATCCTAAGCCTAGCTAACTCACTGCTCAGTCAATGGTGGAGAATGACTCATCAAGAGTCAAGATAATGAAAGGTGGTGGAGATAAAGAGGATGGTGATGGTGATGATGGTGGGAATAAAGATGAGGACACCATTCCTTTCCTCTGTATTCAATTCCTTGCCACATGGGCCTACCCAACATCATGTGTTTTTTCATCAAAGCCAGCAAGGCAGAGAAGCAATAAAGTCAGCTAGCAAGATGGAAATTACAGTCTTTTGTAACCTAATTATGAAAGTGACACCACATCACATGTGCCATGTTCTTGCTTTTAGAAGCAAGTTACGAGTGGCCAGGCCAGCCCACATTCCAGAAGAGGGGACAACTCAAAGGCATGAATACGAGGACATAGGGATTATTGGAAGCTTCTATGGTTTGAATGTTTGTGTCCCTCCAAAATTCATGTTGAAACGTAATCCTCAATGCAACAGTATTAAGAGATGGGTCTGTTAGGAGGTGATTAGGCTATGAGGGCTCCACTCTTAGGGTTGATATCAGCGTCCTATAAAGGGGCTTGAGGGGGCAAGTTAATCCCTTTCATCTCTTCCACCATCTGAGGATGCAGCAAAAAGTGCTACCTTGAAAACAGAGAGCCAGCCTTCCACAGACACCACATCTGCTGGCTCCTTGATCTTGGACTTCCCAGCCTCCAGAGCTGTGAGAAATAACTCTGTTGTTACAAATGACCCAGTCTAAGGTATATTGTTAAAGCAGCACAGAACAGACTAGGACAGGAGGCAACTTAGTCTGTCCACTGCACTAACCCTCTAGTCAAATTCAGTGGTGTAAGGGACTCCAGATGAAATCAGCAGAGATGAACAGCCCAAACAACTCACAGAATGGTGAGAAAAAAAATGCTCTTTTCAGCTGCTAAATTTTGGGCTTTTTTGTTATACAGTCAGAGCTAAATGCAGTATTTCAATTTTGTGTCAGAAATGGCATCCTGCTTTAACAAAAACCTAAAACGTGGCATGAACCTTGAGACTAACAAGCAGACAAAGGCTGAAAAAGCAGCTTCTGGAAAATGGCTGGTGGAGGCTGAAAGTTCCTACAGGAAGCTGGGGGGAGGATGACATTTGTGGTGTAATCATGGAGTACTGAATAGCCATGCCTGTGGTCAGTTCAAAGATAGAAATATACCTCATGAATTTGTAGATAGGGCTCAGGAGATATCCAGGCAGTATGCAGAATATATCAGTTGGCTTTTTATTTCTCATATGCATTTGATAAGATATAGAAAGAGGGGGATAAAGTGAAGAAGGGACTGCTGAATTTGAAAGCAGAATTTAGAAAAAATACAAAAGAACCAGGATTTTCTGCAGTGGAAAATAAAACTGTTGCTCAACTTCAGTGTTTTTCAACTAGAAAAATATGCTCTGAGTACATTAAAACCTGGGTGAACTTGGAAGGGTGCTACCAGCAAAATATGCCCTCAGGGTCAAGATTAAATTAAGGGTATAGTAGGGAAGGTCAAATGCAAACTTCTGACACTGTCCCTTTGGTCAAGACAGTAAATAAGAAGCAATGCCACATTCCAGGTAAAATGTCAGGAAGCAGAGCTCCCCTCAAAGATTAAAAGATGCAATGGTTCCCCCTATATTCCTGAGTTTAATTCACTAATACAGCCATTTAAGAACCAGAGGATACATCAGGAACACAGATGGTCATGGTATATCAGAGAAGACTCCTGTGGTAAGCTTAAAGGCCCCTGCCTATACCTAGGCCCTAATCTCTGTGAGTGTTGCCTTTGTATGGCAAAAGGAATTTGCAGATGTAATTAAGTTGAAGGTCTAGAGATAGGGAGACTATCACCAGTTACCCAGGTAAACCCTGAATATAATCACTCATGTCCTACTAAGAAAGAGGCAGAGGGAGATTAGAATACAGAAAAAACATTGTAAGTTGGGCAAAGGACATGGACACTTCTTAAAAGAAGATATACACACACGGCCGGGCATGGTGGCTCACGCCTATAATCCCAACACTTTGGGAGGCCGAGGTGGGCGGATCGCGAGGTCAGGAGATTGAGACCAGCCTGGCTAACACGGTGAAACCCGGTCTCTACTAAAAATACAAAAAAATTAGCCAGGCATGGTGGCGGGTGCCTGTAGTCCCAGCTACTCAAGAGGCTGAGGCAGGAGAATGGTGTGAACCCGGGAGGCGAAGCTTTCAGTGAGCCGATATCGCGCCACTGCACTCCAGCCTGGGCGACAGAGCAAGACTCCGTCTCAAAAAAAAAAAAAAAAAAAAAAAAAAAGACATACACGCAGCCAACAAATGCATGAAAAGAAAAGGTACTCAACATCACTAATCATCAGGGAATCGCAAATTAAAACCACACTGAGATACCACGTTACATCAATCAAAATGGCTATTACTAAAAAGTCAAAAGACAAAAGATGGGGGTGTGGAGGTGGAGAAAAGGGAACACTTATATGTGTTGGTGTGAATGTAAATTAATTCAACCTCTATGGAAAACAGTATGGAGACTTCTCAAATAACTAAAAATTAAGTTACTATTCCACCCAGCAATCCCGCTGCTGAGTATCTACCCAAAAGAAAAGAAAGCATTCTATTAAAAAGACATCTGCACTCAGATGTTTACTGCAGCACTATTCACAATAGCAAAGTCTTGGATCCAACCTAAGTGTCCACAAACGGTGGACTGGATAAAGAAAATGTGGTACATATACACTGTGGAATACTATGTAGCCAGAAAAACTAATAAAATCATGTCTTTTGCAGCAACATGAATGGAGTTGGAGGCCATTATCCTACATGAACTAACTCAGAACAGAAAATAAAATATTAAACAAGGCCAGGCGCAGTGGCTCATGCTTGTAATCCCAGCACTTTGGGAGGCCGAGGTGGGCAGATCACTTGACACCAGGAGTTTGAGACCAGCCTGGCCAACATGGTGAAACTTCATCTCAACTAAAAATACAAAAAATTAGCCAGGCATTGTGGCAGGTGCCTGTAGTGTAGATGCTGAGGTGGGAGAATCACTTGAAACTGGGAGGTGGAGGTTGCGGCAACTGAGATCGCACCATTGCACTCTAGTCTGGGTGACAGAGAAAGACTCTGTCTCAAAAAATAAAATAAAATAAAATAAAATAAAATAAAATAAAATAAAATAAAATATTAAATGTTCTCACTTAAAAGTGGGAGCTAAACAATGGGCACACACAGACATAAAAATGCAGAGAATAGACACTGGAGACTCCTAAAGTGGGGAGGTTGGGAGGGGGAATGAGGGTGATGGGTGCATTAGAAGCTCACTTCCCTCCATTATGCATGTAATATCCATGTAGCTAATAAGCACATGGACCCCCTTAAATCTAAAACTTAAAAAACAAACAAAAAAGGAATACAGAAGAAGAAGGAAATGATACAACTGAAGTCAACACTATGCTACTGCCTTTGAAGATGGAAGGGGCCCTTAGCCAAGGAGTGAAGCTCTAGACAGTGGAAAAGGCAAGAAAACTTATCCACTTTTAGCACTGCTAGAGGCAGCATAGCCCACTGTCACCATCATTTCGGTCCGAAGAAACTAATTTTGGATTTATGACCTCCCAAACTGTAAGAGAATAAATGTGTGTTTTGTTTGTTGTTGTTGTTTTCTGAAATGGAGTCTTGCTCTGTTACCAGGCTGGAGTGCAGTGGGGGGATCTGGGCTCACTGCAGCCTCTGCCTCCCAGGTGATTCTCCTGCCTCAGTCTCCCAGGTAGCTGGGACTGCTGGTGTGTGCCACCACGCCCAGATAATTTTTGTATTTTTAGTAGAGATGGGGTTTCACCATGTTGGCCAGAATAGTCTTGATCTCTTGACCTCGTGATCTGCCCGCCTTAGCCTCCCAAAGTACTGGGATTACAGGTGTGAGCCACCACGCCCAGCCAAATGTGTGTTGTTTAACAAATTTATGTTAATTTGTTTCAGCAGCCATAGGAAATTAATACAACCACCCAAAACTTACCTAAGTGGTAGCCCCAATTATAGCAGCTGTAGCAGATATTGTATTTTTACTAGAATAGACCAACCCAACCTCTGACATAAATAACAGCTATTGGTCTAGTGAAAGCATCCGTTTCAATTCCTATCATCAAGACAGATGGAAGACATTTGCATTCATTTGAAAGGACAGCAGCAGACACTCACAGTGTTGGCAAACCTCTGGGTTAACGCTCCTGCTCTCTGTTGCAATATAGTCCAGTTAGACCTGTCCTGTTGGCACTCCACGGAATATCCCACTAGTCCATAACATTGATGACACCATGGTAACTGAATCTAGGGGGTATAAAGTGGCAAGTACTGTGGCTACACCAGGGGGTGGGAGATAAACCGTTTGTAGATTCAAGGTGACTTGTGGAATGCTGGAAAGTGCTTCTCCCTTGCAACTCTTACTGCAAGATAAAGGTGCAACTCTTAATAAGTCTCTTACCTTTGGAAGCAGCACACACCACACTTGGGAACCTACATCGCTCCACTCATTAAATCACTCAGAAGGATGCTGCTTTTGAATGAAACCCAGAGCAAGAGATACCTCTAGAGCAGATTCAGGCTGCAATACAATCCCCACTGCCAGTGAGTCACATGACAGAGGACTGGAGGTATCTGTAGCAATCAAGATGTGGTTGCATCTTAGGCAAGTCCTAACAGAAGAGTCTCAGAGAATAACCCTGGGGTTTTGCAGCAAGTCCGTGTCCTCTTGTGTTAGTCTGCTGGGGCTGCTATTACAAAATACCACAGACTGGGTATTAAACAACAAAACAACTAAGCATTAAACAACAAAATCGTATTTTTTCACAAGTCTAGAAGTTAGTATTCCAAGATCAAGGTGCTGTCAGAACTGTTTTCTGGTGAGGCCTGTCTTCCTGGCTTGCAAACAGCTGCCTTCTTGCTGTGTTCTCACATGGGCTTTCCTCTGTGCTTCTGAGGAAACAGAGAGACCTCTCTCGTCTCTCTTCCTTTTCTTATAAGGACACTGGTCCTATTGGATAGGGCCCAACCTTATGACCTAATTTAACCTTAATGATCTCCAAACAGGTCACATAAGGTTTCAACATATAAATTTGAGGGGGACTCAATTCAGTCTATGACATATCTGCAACAGAAAATTATCTACAATTTAAAGCTCCTGGCATACTATTGGACCCTAACAGAGGCTGCACACCTGATCATAGGGCATCAAATTTCTTCCCAATATGATTTGAGTTTTGCCTCCTGAGCTGGGTGTTGTCAGCCCACTAATTAATAAGGTTAGGCAGGTATAACATCATTTTATCATATAGTGGCAATAAAACGTTTGGGATTAGACTGAGTAGATCCAGAGGACACAAATAAATTAAACTACCACTTGGCCCAGACCCTCACATCCCCTATCTTTGCTGCACAGATGGGTCTTCCTCATTCCATATCTATGGCTTTATGAATGTTTACTACCACCAGCTGAAAAAGGAGGAAAAACATGTTTGGTCCACTGATAAGTTAGGACAATATGTTGTTACAAGCCCAAAATGGACTGTTGCTACCCTTTAGTTGCATTTCAGAAGTAAAGAAGACTTCTCAGTGGCTAGGCTTAAGCAGTACACCTGGTTATTAGCTTGTATTAGAGTGAGAAATGACCTAAGATAAGAATATTCAGGACCTTTGGCTATTATGAATGGCTTTGCTGGTTGTTCAGGAACTTTGGATGGGGTTGGGGGGCTGCAAGAGGGGAAATGTCCCAGGATAAAGTATGCAGATGTATCTATGAGAGTGGCCTTGAGGTGTGAAGATAGTTCTATCACATGCTCATACCCACTGGAGAGCACAGATGACAGAGGAGGCACTGATCAACTAAGTAGCTTAGATGATCAATCTTTGCCCACTCCAGTGCCTGTAGGATGGGTCCATGAGCAGAGAAGCTACGGTGGCAGTGGGTGGCAGTGGTGCAGGTTATGTACAGTTCCAAGTGGGCTCTTGCTCATCAGGACTAATGCAGCCACTGTCATTATTGAAGATCTGATGGATGAGTACTAGATGCCAAGGTTGAGCCCTCCATGGGTACCAGCTCCAAAGAACAGTGTGCCAGTGGGTTCTCCAGAAAGAAGATGTCAAGATGGAGTCAGCAATACAAAAGAATTGTTGGGGGTAATGCCTGTGAAAGATAGAGGGAAGAGGGGGTAGACTAGGAAGGGCAAGCCTGCCAGATGTAAGGCAAACTTTCCCAGGAGGAGTGAGAAGGGAGGAGGGCTGGGTAGGACAAAATTCCATCTGAGACATGAGAAATAAAAATAAAATTCTAAGCCTCCACCCAACTGAATAGTAAACCTCCTCTTGGTTAAAGGGACCCCAGAGTGACCTTGCAAACTGAATTCTCGACCATGACAGGAGGGAGGTCGGACACACCTCATTATGTCCCCTCCCTTGCTAACCACCACTACACCTTCTTCCCTAAGAACCAAACAGAAACCAGCCCTTTCAACAGACTCCACACTGGTATCAACCAACCACCTAATGCTGCCACTGTCTTTTGCAGTTTCAACACAACTGACCCGCATTTTTTTCCCAACAAGAGACCACTGATCATGGCATGGTTCTGGTGAGTCTATGGAGAATGCCCAGTTTTTGCGTCCTCTGCTTCACCTTTTAATGTCAGAGGGCTGAAAACTCCACCTTGGTTCATGCTAACACCATATTTTGTACATGGGACCCATGAAGGGGCATGAAGCTCCATTGAACATGTGCGCATTTCTCCTTTCATAAATATTCATGACTACTCCTATAGCTTATTAAATATGTATACTTAGCCATCCTGCTCAGCATAGATGTCTGTTCCTTTTTCTTCTCCCTCCAAGGGTTGGTTTTTCATTTCTGATCAGAGGCTATGCTTCCTGGCCCGTCAGAATGACCACCCTGCAGGCTGCAACCCTTTATAAGAAATAAAGCTCTCTTTTCCAAATTTATGAACCTCATCATTCTTCAGGTGGCAGGTGCAACTCTAAGAATGTCTCTGCCAGCCCAAAGGGAAGTTCTGGCAGAAGGACTGATGGCTAGGAATGGTGCCTGGTTCCACTGCATGAGGAATCTTTGGTTTAGCTTGAAACCAGAGGTAAATTCTGAAGGCACCCATAGCTGGAGGCTACTGTCAGTTAACTGAGCTTCTATGACTGCCACAGTTACCAGCTAGCCATATGGTGGCAAGTGGACTCTATTGGGCACATTGCCCCATGGAGGAAGCTGTGTTTCACCCTCACTTGGGACTGTTTCATATTCTTAAGAATAATTTGGCTTCTCTGCCGGAAGAGTCTCAGTGTCTGGTTGTTCAGAGAATCTCACATATCATTGGCTCCCACCAAGGGACCAAATTTACAATGAAAGAGTTTCCACAATGGCAGATAACCAAGGACTCCAATCCATGGTATGTGCATTGGAGCCAGTTTGTATTGGCTTAGGAGAGTTGGCTGTTAAATATTCAAGAATTTTGAGAGGCAGTTGTGAAATCTCTGGGTGATTGAAATTGGCAATAGCGAAAGCATTTACATAACAAAACTTGGGCAATCTTTACAAATCGGACATCCCTCCCCCTTCCCCTACACACAAACCAGTTTACAAACACACCACTGAGACCACTGGTGCTAATACACTACATCACCCAGAGCTGCCAGCAGCCTGAGAAAATGCTGAAATGGCCACTTCAAGGACATGAGCATCAGATTAGGAAGAGTCCTTTGTGGGTTTAGGGGTGGTATTTTTCAAAATGCAATCTCTATTTGGAACCAAAGACTATGTATGGTACTGTGTCCACAATAGATAGGGCACACTTGTCTGGGAACCAAGGAGTGAAAATAGGAGGAGACTCTGCTATTAAGTCAAATGGCCCACCTGGGGAATTTCTGCTGCCTGTCCCCAAAGCTTCAGGCTCTGCTGGGCTAGACACCCTGGAAGAAACACTGCCACCAGGGACACAGTATGGATTCCACTGAATCTGAAGCTGCAGCTGCTGGCTTGTCATTTGCAGTTCCTTACCTCAGTAAACCTGTAAGCAAAGAAAGGAGTTACCAGCCTGACAGGGTATTGGCCAAGCTTATCATGAATGACAGAGTTGCTGCTGTGTAGGGGAAGCCAGGAGGAGTTTTTGGAGCTCAGGGAACTTACTTGGGCAGCAAATCTTGATGATTCCTTGTTTGTTGATAACTGCTAATGGGTAACTTCAAAGCCATGGCTTGACAAAGGTATGAGAACCAAATGCCCAGATCCATCAGGCATGAAAGTCCAGGTGACCAGGCAAGCAGCCTATAGCATGCTGAATGCTGATAGATGGTGATAGGAGCATAGAAGTGGTGGCAAAGGAGTGAGATATTGAATAGGAAGCCCCAACCTCAGGAGCAACTGGCCCCAGCTATAGCTTGTCCCACAAAATTTCCTGTTGATGATTGACAAACTGTGATTGACCATGAAAAGAAGTTGTTATCAGGGTAAATTTAATGTGGGTCACAAGTGGACCTGAGGGGAAAAAGGATGGACCATGGTGAATGCTGTTGGTCTCCCATCCATATTCCTCCTAGCCATATCAGTGCAGTGAGCCAGCTGACTTCAAATTGCCAATACCTGTGTCTTTTTTCAGGAAGACTTTTTCCAAAGTCATATTGAAGCCAGTCTGCCTGCTTGTAGCACAGCCTAGAAATCCAAAAAATTAATATTCACCAGGACCAGCTCTCCATTGATGATATAGCCCCCATGCTAAAAGGATAACCCTAAGACATAGGTTCTATATCATTTTCTAGGGGGTTCCCACAGGATTCAGCTCTAGTTAGCCACAGTTGGATCTGGCTTAGTAATGACCCTGCCACAACCATGGAAATAGAAGGGGATTCCTTTGTTTTAAGGTCTTTCTTTTCTCTTTCCCTTTCCCTTCCTTTCCTTTCCTTTCCTTTCCTTTCCTTTCCTTTCCTTTCCTTTCCTTTCCTTTCCTTTCCTTTGTTTCTTTCTTTCTTTTCTTTTTTTTTTTTTTTTACAGAGTCTTTCTCTGTCGCCCAGGCTGCAGTGCAGTGGTGTGATCTCAGCTCACTGCAACCTCCGCCTCCCGGGTTCAAGCAGTTCTCCTACCTCAGCCTCCTGAGTAGCTGAGATTACAGGCATACACCACCACGCCTCGCTAATTTTTGTATTTTTAGTAGAGGAGGGGTTTCACTGTGTTGGTCAGTCTGGTCTCGAACTCCTGACCTCAGGTCATCCACCTGCCTTGGCCTCCCAAAATGCTGGGATTGCAGGCATGAGCCACTGCACCCAGCCAGGTTTTCTTTTAACCTTACAGTCACTGTCTCACCTGTCTCATTTTCCCACTCCCCTATCAGTGTTTCAGATACCACCCAGATAAATAATTTGCATTTTAATCCTTATAGCAGGATCCACTTCTAAGGGAAACCAAAACTAAGACAAGTGGATGCAATAAATATGGAGAAAGGCAGATTCCAAAACTATTTTTTGAATAAGATTTGCAGGTGGGCTGAATGTGGCAACTGAAAGAAAGAGAGAAAATTGGGAATGATGCCTGGATTTCTCACGTAAGCAAGTGGGTAGAGAAGGGTATCATTTACTGAGATGAGAGGTAATTAGAAGTATAGAAAATTAAGAGTCCCATTTTGTTAACATTACATTTGAGACTTTTTTTTTCTTTTAGTCAGGGTCTTGCTCTGTTGGCCAGGCTGGGGTACAGTGGTACGATCATGACTTACTGCAGTCTCTACCTCCCGGGCTCAAGCAATCCTCCCACCTCAGCCTTCCAAGTAGCTAGGACTACAGGCATGTGCCACCACACTCAGCTCATTTTTTACTTCTCGCTTTTATAGACATGAGGTCTTGCTAGGTTGCTCAGGCTGGTCTCAAATGCCTGGCTTCAAGTGATCCTCCCATTTCAGCCTCTGGTAGTGCTGGGATTACAGACAGGAGCCACTATGCCCAGCCATACATTTGAGATTACGATAAGACATCAAAGCAGAGATTCAATTAAAGTCAGAGCTAGAGATACAACTTTGGGAAGATGGTAGGGGTCAGAAAAAAATTGGGTGTCACCATGGGACTTTCTATGACCATTAACTGTGGTCAGAATAAGCTGCCCTCTGCCCCAGGCACTAACAATATTAAAGAGAGCGGCCGCTGCGTTGGCTTGGGCCCCAGAGGGAGGACACGTGGAGCAGTGCCCCGCCCTCCATGGACTTGGCCCACAGTGAAGAATAAGTCTTATTTTTGTAAGCCTCTGTGAATCTTAGATGTCGCTACAACGGCAGACACTGCATTACTCTTAACTGTTGCAGAAACCCCTGCTTATTAAAACAAGAGGGAAGAGGCAGGTGAGGAACATGATTTCAGTTAGGCTGAGGGGTCTGATGTTGAGAAAATAAATGAGTTCACATGTAGCATTAGTCCAGAGGAAAAAAAAAACAGTATAAACACCATTTCCATTCCCCAAATCAGAGCGCTGGAAAAAGTCATCTAGCACTGTTTTTCCAGCTAGTATAACAGGAGTGTGACCTTTACCTGGACTGACATCCCAGGGTGTGTGTAATCAAATGTAAAAAATTCATTATTGTGTCGACTCTTAATTGATTGTATAACAGAGAATGCAGGTCACACAGGAGCCCCAGAACCGTTTGGCTGGGATTTCCTCATGCGCTGGTTGTTTTGCTGCGGGTTTACTTTCTGCTTTCGTTTTTTTGTCTGCTCACATTAAAAGTCTTCATTACTCCTGACGGGCAGGTGGAGACAGGCAGGGAAGGAAGGTCTGGGTTAGGATTCTCCAGGCACGCCCACTGGCAGCTAATTGAAAGCCAGTTGCATCCTCTGAAAGACCTGAATGGCTGACTGCCTAGAGGGGTGGGATTCCCGCAACCCACTTCCCTATTCAGAGCATTCTTCCTGCACCTGCTCACTGAAGTCTGAAATTTGTTTACAGGAGACACAGACTTTTATTCCCAGATTAGAGCTTAGGCTTCCATTGCAAAAGTCCAGGGAGAAAGGTTGTGTCTCCTGTAAATGAGGAGGAGCAGCAGTGCGTATGGAGGAAGGAGGTGCACAAATCAGGCCGAAACAGGAAAACAACTAAGTTTTTACAACAGGAGGAGTTTAATGCAGCTAAATGGTTACAGAAATCATGTAAACCCAGAGATTAGTAAGAAAAGAAAGACACGACTTTCCCTGGGCCAGTGGGATCAAGGGAGGAGGCAGAGTTTGTGGGACCGAGGTCAGCCCTCTGAAACTCAGACCACAGGGACATCCCGTGCCAGAGCCAGAGCCACAGAAAAGACCAGCTGCTGCCAGAGAAGCTGCCCGAGACAGGGAGGAAGGGGAAGATACACCAGGCTTCTCGCATCCTGCAGTCTCCCCAGTGCATCTCATCGCTGTCCCCAACTGGAGGCAAAGGCGGAAGCCTGGGAAAAGCAGCCCATAGCAGTCAGATCCCTTGCTATGCAGAGCAGAGCAAAGGAAGGGCAACATATGAATCAGTGGGAAAACAGACACGGAAAGTGCAGCTCCCAGGACCTGGGGTGGCTGCCTAATGAAACACAATTCCTTCTGCCGCTGCACCCCTGCCATTCCCCATTTTTAGGAATGGCTGCTCCCTTCTGGCTTCCGCTCCTCAGCCCTGATCTAGCCATGAGCTCTGAAGAGGTATAAACGATCCTATTACAGGGCCGGGTGCGGTGGCACTTTGGGAGGCCGAGGTGGGTGGGTCACCTAAGGTAAGAAGTTGGAGACCAGTCTTGCCAACATGGTGAAACCTTGTCTCTACTAAAAATACAAAAATTAGCTGGTCATGGTGGTGCGTGCCTGTAATCCCAGTGACTTGAGAGGCTGTAACAGGAGAATCGCTTGAACCTGGGAGGCGGAGGTTGCAGTGAGCTGCGATCATACCACTGCACTCCAACCTGGAGTGCAAGACTCCGTCTCAAAAATAAAAATAAAAATAAAATCCTATTACAGCTGGGTGTGGTGGCTCATGCCTATAATCCCAGCACTTTGGAGGCTGAGGTGAGAGAATTGCTTGAGCCTAGAAGTTTGAGATTGGCCTGGCAACATAGTGAGACACCATCTCTATACACACACAAAAATTAGCTGGGTCATGTTGGCTTGTGCCTGTGGTCCCAGCTACTTTGGGGGCTGAGGTGGGAGGATCATCTCAGCCTGGGAGTTTGAGGCTGCAGTGAGCCATAATTACACCACTGAACTCCAGCCTGGGTGACAGTAAGACCCTGTCTACAAAAAATGGAAAAAAAAAAACAACTGATTCTATTGCATGATCTCATTCCCAGCCCTTTGTGATTGGACAAAAGATGGGCACATGACCTGGGTGGGCCAATCAGAGTCTTCTCTGGGATTTTTCACACTGGGGCGGGTGGAGAAGAGTCCTGTCTGCTCTGGTTGTGGAGTGGAAGGACAGGAGTCTGTACACCCCCATCCTTGACCTGTGATGGGAGGCAAAAGTGATTTAAGTAGATGGAACATAGCCAAAGTCCATGTGCAGAGGAAAGTGAAAGGAACGGGAGAAAGACAGAGAGGGGGACTAGAGACCCGATAGCTTCCTGTGCCCTGACTTTGGGAAGGGCCAAGGAGAGCTCCATCCTGCTCCTTCACAGTGTGGTTGCTGGAGCCTATAGATCACTCTTCTGGCTTAAAGTAGGATATCATTGTTCTGTCCCTGATAACTGCAACACAGAAACACTCAGAGCAAGTGGGAGAAAGAACACAGGGCCTGACATCATACTAAAACTTTCACTAAGAACAAACGGGGCTGAGAGGGCAAGGAAGGTCAGGCAGTCCAATTGCAAACAGGCACCAGCGAGCAGGTGGCTAGGATACCAATGTGCAGAGTCACAGTTTTCTCGAGGGTGTCAGAGGTTCAAATCCCAGCTTCCTTCCAGGCAGGGACGGCCAATGAGAAGTCAGCTGAAGTCATGGGACAGAACTTTCGGGAAAGTTCTGTCAAAGAGGAGAGGGGTTGATTGAGAGGACAGGCTCCTTTCTCTACACCCATCACTGCCAGACTCACCCCCCTCTCTCCCTTGCATCACACAGATTCATCGGAGAATCAGGAACCTGAGGGTCCTTGCCCAAGACAAGCAGAGCTGCCAGGAGGAGGGAGACAGGATCCTCCATGCCAGTGGAGCTGCATACAGCTCTGGCTGCTCACAGCTTTCATTACCTGAGGAAAAAATACGATGTTTTCATTCTTTTGTGTGTTTTTCTGTTATTTTGTTTTATTTAAGCCACTAATTTCCACGTCTTAACTATTCAGGGCTGATAGAATTCCTAATTGACAGAGGACCCACGTCTGCCTGCTGTGTTAGTCCGCTCATGTGGCTATGAAGGATGCCTGAGGCTGGGTGATTGATAAAGAAAAGAGGTTTAATTGGCTCATGATTCCGCGGGCTGTACAAGCAGCACAGCACCAGCTTCTGCCCAGCTCCTGGTGAGGCCTCAAGAAGCTTCTCCTCATGGCAGAAGGCAGAGGGGAGCAGGCCTCACATGGTGTGAGAGGGAGCAGAGAGAGAGGAGGAGTGTCAGGCTTTCTAACAACCAGCTCTCCCACAAACTAATCACCAGGAGGATGGCACCAAGCCATCCATGAGGGATCCACCCCCATGACCCAACGCCTCCCACCAGGCCCAACCTCCCACACTGGGGACCACATTTCAACATGAGATTTGGAGGGAACAAAGCATCCCAACCATGGCAGGTGACTTTTTGTGAGATGCCTTTTTCTCAAATGAAAATCTTTGCTTTCAGGATCTCCATAAGAGATCCTTCTCCTAGGAGAAGGCCACGTCTTCTTTATGCCAAGGGTGAGCCCAGTGAGGATGAAAACCCCACTTGAACTGTGGTTCATGGGCCAGGGCCACGAGCTAGCAAGGGACACCCAGCCGGAGAAGCCTGGAGGCCTGCAGGACCCGCAGAGGGGCTCATGCTGGGGAAGTGATGTGCACGGGATCCTCCAGCTCTGAGAGACAGAAAGCATCCAGAGGCACTCCTGCATGTTCACTGCAGTCCCAAATCAGCTCCCTTGCCTCTCTAATCCCAAACCTGGCCAAGGGACTATGGGGGGTTCTTTGACTAATCCACTGTATCATTAGCTCCTTCCTTTCTGCGCTGGTTAATTTTATGTGTCTGCTTGACTGCTGTGGGGTGCCAAGACATTTGGTTTTATTAAACATTATTCTGGGTGTGTCTATGAATGCATTAGTCTGTTTTCACACCACTGATAAAGACATACCCCACGCTGAGTAATTTCTAAAGAAAAAGAGGTTTAATGGACTCACAGTTCCACGTGGCTGGAGAGGCCTCACAATCATGGCAGAAGGCAAAAGGCATGTCTTACATGGTGGCAGAGAAGAAAGAATGAGAGCCAAGCGAAAGTGAAAACCCCTTATCAAACCGTCAGATCTCATGAGACTTAATCACTAGCACGAGAACAGTATGGGGTAAACTGCCCCAAAATTCAATTATCTCCCACTGGGTCCCTCCCACAACATGTGGGAATTCGGAGAGCTACAATTCAAGATGAGATTTGGGTGGGGACACAGCCAAACCATATCAATGAGGGTGTTTCTAGATGAGATTCACATCAAAATGGATAGACAGGATAAAGCAGAGTTACTCAATGCGGCGGCAGTGGTCAGACGTGGGGGGTGCGGTGGGGGCAGGGCTCATGCAATTTGTTAAAGGCCTAAATACAATAAAAGGCTGAGTGAGAAAATATTCTTTCTCTCTGTCTGACTGTCTTAGAGCTGGGATGTCTGTTGTATCCTGCCCTTGGACTTGCATTTGGACTGAAACTGATACCATCTGCTCTCCTAGTTCTCAGGCCCTTGGACTCACACTAGAGCTAAACCATTGGCTCTGTTGGGTCTCCAGCTTGATAGCTGTAGGACTTGGACTTCTCAGCCTTTATAATCTGAGCCAATTCCTTATAGTAAATCTGAGCCAATAGTAAACAGGAGCTGATTCCCTATAGTAAATCTCTTTGTATATCCACGTGTCTACACCTATATCTATATTTATTTCTATGCTACTGGTTCCATTACTCTGGAGAAGCCAGGCTAATACACTCCCCAAGACAAAGGCCCAGATCAAAGGAGAATGGGGGCAGCACTCCCAGCAGAGCTCAGGCTGCTGCTTTTTACCAAGACCCCTGCCTTCAAAGAATCTGATCTTCAAATCTCACTGAGGGCTGAGGGTGTCGGAATTATTCACACAAGGGCATATCTTTCCAGTCTCACAAGGATTCAGACTTCTTATGTTTATTAAGACAAAAATCCTTTAAAAATAATAGTCTGTTAAGATTTGCTTCCAGTGCTCTGTTCCCCAGTGATGGCCCTAAAGACGTGCAGTAGAGAGAGAGGATCCTACAGGAAGATTCAGGGAACCAAAGATTGTCGCTGAAAGACCAGGCCCAGCTGGGAGCAGTTTTAATGCTTCTGTTTACAAGAAGGAACGAAGTTCAGAAAAGTTGCTTTTCTGTGCAAAAATGTCAGTGACTGTGAGCTCAGATGCAGGGGAGTGCAAAGTGGTTAATCAGTGTCACATAAAAATAACAAAGACCCCTGGGGGCCCTTAACTCAAATTTTGCAAGTCATGCAGGATGAATGGAGAATTCTTCCTGGGCCTTTTTTAAAAAATCTGTTTTTAGTAGTGGGGAGGGGACAGTGGATGGGCAGGAAGAAGATTAATTATCTGTGATGAACAGATTGGCGAGGCCGGGATTCTTCCAACAGAACAAGCCTCATTCATGGGGTCCCTCGGAGGTCATCCTCCCAGTGCTCTCAGTGTGGGGGTGTGGGGTTTTCCACCTGCCCACCTCTAGGAGCTGAATGCTTCATGCAGAAAGCCAACACTTTAGCCCAGGGTCACCCCATGGCCGAGGACAGAGCCCCAGGCATCAGGGCTCTACATGAAGCAGACTGCCCCCCACCCCCACCATTTTCCCTTAGACATCTATGGTGTTGAATGTCACAGCATGAGCCTGTGCTGCTCCAGAAGATCACATGCCACCTGGGTGTCTGCCAGTGGACCTGGGCAGCCCACCCTCTGCTAGCACCTTGCCTGATCAGTCTTCCTGAGGGCTTTCTAGAAGGGGTCACATAGGAGCCAGACATGAAGCAAGGCTTGGTGGCAAGGCCCATTGTCCAGCAGCCCCTGCCTTGTCCCTCAGCTCCGAGGTGTCTGTAATATTGTGGGACTGCTCCAGGCATGGGTTCAACCTTATGGCACAAAGCCTATAAGCCTCAGGGCACTCCACGCAGGACTAGGTTTCCCAGGGAACAGGCTCTGAGATGGAGAGAAGCAGTCACGATGCTTACTAGAAGATGCTATTGGGATCAATATCTGTTGGATGCAGGGGAAAGAAGCAGGATTAGGCAGAGGGAGAGGGAGATATCCGGCTGGGATTGGGACCAACAAAGACTGCAGCCGCCTTGCAGGGAGCTTTGGAGCTTCAGTGGCCCTGCAGAGATGCTCCTGATGGGGGAGGGGCTGAAACTTTATAGCCTTCATTGACCAGTTATTGGGAAGCCTATGTCACCTTGGGTGTGGCTTTTTTTTTTCTTTTTCTGTAATTTTTATTTATTTATTTATTTAAGAGACAGAGTCTCGCTGTGTCACCTGGGCTGGAGTGCAGTGATGCGATCATAGCTCACTGCAGCCTCTACCTCCTGAGCTCAAGTCATCCTCCTGGCTCAGCTTCCTGAGTAGCTGGGACTACAGATGCACATCACTACACCTGGATAATTTATTTATCGATGTATTTTTTAGAGACGGGGTCTTGCTATGTTGCCTAGGCTGGTCTTGAACTCCTGAGCTCAAGCGATCCTTCTTCCTCAGGCTCCCAAAGTCCTAGGATTACAAGTGTGAGCCACTGCACCTGGCTGAGGCTGTTTTCTTCAGCAAAAATACTATACAAAGCACAGCTGAGGGCCATCTTCTGCTGTCCTCCAACAGCTTGGGAATAAATCCTTGGCTGTTGAAAGGGGTCTGGGTTGCATATACAGTGTCCCCTCACCCTCCCTAGGCCCTAGCTCCAGGAATTCTGTGAATGCTCTCTTGGGCTCCAGCTCTAGGCCCAGGAGTCCTCTGCCACAATGACCATACTCTAAGCTTGAGCTAAAACACGTAAGATAAACCATACTTTACCAAAGGTGGGATTGTGATGAAAGAAGGAGAAGAGGACACTAGCTGTGAAAGGAAAGCTGGATGTTCTAAAGGCAAACATTGTCCTGCCCAGGGGCCTTTCTACTTTTCATTTTTATTTTACTTTATTTTTCTCTTATTTTTATTTTATTTTATTTTATTTTGGGATGGAGTCTTGCGCTGTCGCCCAGGCTAGGGGTGCAGTGGCACGATCTCAGCTCACTGCAACCTCTGCTTCCCGGGTTCAAGCGATTCTCCTGCCTCAGCCTCCTGAGTAGCTGGGACTACAGGCTTGCACCACCACGCCTGGCTAATTTTTGTATTTTTCATAGAGACGGGGTTTTGCCATGTTGACCAGGCTGGTCTCGAACTCCTGATCTCAGGTGATCTGCCTGCCTCAGCCTCCCAAAATGTTAGGATTACAGGCACGAGCCACCGCACCCAACCTTATTTTACTTTATTTTTAATGCACCTAACTAACAGTGAAACAGATAAAGTCTTGAGTCCACGGGTCAGTCTGGGTGAGACTTGCCCACTCTCTCGACATTTCACCTTCTTTCATGGCAACATTCTGGTGGACAAACCTCACATTAGACATACGCTAAGGCTTCAACCCTGAGCATAGCCCATTCTCCAAAATCAGCCCCACCCACTGACCCCACTGGGTATGCGATCGCCTGTGTGACCTCCTAGCAATGAGTGATTGGATGAGAGGCGAGCGCTGGCCTCACAGGCATGTGAGCTGGGTTAGTCCATCCCCTCTGCTACAATCCACAAGGGGCTGGTGAAGACTGGGTCACTTGGCAGTGGGACCCGCAGCAGAACAGTAATGACCTAGAAAGGACCCAGCACAGGCCACCGCTTGGGGTACGAGTGAGCAGAGGAGCATCCCAGCAGAGAAAAGGAAGCTTAAGTTCACAGCCGGCTGGCAAGGCGGGAAAGCTGGGAGCAGCAGCTGCTGACCAGCCAGCTTCCTGGACACAGGTGCCTGGCACTGAGCTCTCCAAGAAACTTGCCCTCATGGGAGGTGGCCAGGGTGGGCAAAGGGTGAATTCTGGCTGACGGGACTTGAGGAATTGCCAGGGGCTTCAGATAATCATTTCTTCTTTGGTTAAAAAAGAAAGACAGCTGTGTCCTTTAGTCCTTCCTGCTTGTAGATACAGAATATTCAGATCTCCAGTAGCCATTCTGCAACCATGAGGCGAGATGGAGAGAACCCCAAGGAATGAATTTGGCAGACTCCGAGCTTCTAAAATCCCACAAACATCCTGCTTTTATATTTACCACCCTAATAGAAAAGCGCAGTCCTGTCACTGAAGTCACTGCCATCCCAGGAGCCTTGACTTACAACCAAATACTTCCTCGCAGAACAGGAGCAAGGATGGCTACCAGGGACAGCAATAAGCGCAGTTTCAGGAGCCCCATCCTCGAGTCGGTTTCATGGGGAGAATGTCAAAGAAGGGCTGGTGCAGAAGCATGTTCAGCAGTTTCCTCAGGCTGCCACGGCAGATACATACCACAAACCAGACACTTGGACAAATATATTCTCTTATAGCCCCAGAGACCAGGAGTCCAAAATCCACAGGTGTCAGCTGGGCCATGCTCCCTTTGAAGGTTCCAGGGGAGAATCCCTGGCCTCTTCCAGCTCCTGGGGGCCCCAGGCATTCCTTGGCCTGTGGAAACATCACTTGAGTCTGGGCCTCTGTCTTCACATGGCCTTCTCGTGTATGTGTGTGTGTTTGTGTGTGTGTGTGTGTGTGTGTGTGTGTGTCCTCTTCTTAGAAGGACACCAGCCATTGGATTTTGGGCCCACCCTAATCCAGTATGACCTCATCTTAATTAACGTGCAGACCCTATTTCTAAGTAAAGTCACATTCTGAGGTTCGTGGTGGATATGAATTTTGGGGGATACTATTCAACTCTCCAAACATGGATGACTATTTCCAGGTCAGTGTGAGGCCCACTGCTGGTATTTTCTAAATCACTCAGAGAAGAAAGTTTTCAGAGAACCGAGGTCCTGCCAGGAGCCAGTGAGGTCTGAATTACTGTTGTTTAGAAAACCAGAAAACCTGCTCTGACCAGAGTGCTCTGAGTCCTGGAGAAACGCAGGTGCCTGCAGCATTGAGCGCAACGCAGGTGTGTTTTCAGGACTAATGAATACCTGCAAATGCCACCAAGATCTTGGAGACATAATTTCTGCTCAGTCACACAAGAAAACCAGACTGCAAAAGGAACAGGGCCTCGAGGCATTAAGGGAGAGTTAATGGTACCAGGAGGTCTGCAAGGGTCGCTGTTGAATATCATTCTCAACGAGCTGGTGGGAATTCACATGTCTCAGGCACCGCACAGAACAGCCATGGGCTTGCCTCTCCTCTTTCCGAGCAGTGAAGAAGCAGAGGGGCCTTCAGGGAGACAGAGCTGCCTGGGGCCCATTGACATTAAATAGAAGAAAATTTGCATCTTGGCCGAAAGAAAACCACCATGCCTTAGGCTGTGAATAAAAGCACCCAGTCTGCACCCACACAATTTAGCAGCAGGTTGGAGACCCAAACGCCTAGAATTCCTTGGACTACTATGCAAGTGGCCCTGGCCAGAAGACATTGAAGAATGAGAGTTGGCTCAGGGCTTCAGAGGGTGTCAACCCATCATGACCATGCTCTTTTTACAAAAGGAAGACCCAAGACCAGCAGAGAGGAGGCGGTAGGCTGCGGTCATTGAGTCGGCCCACAGCAGAACCAAGTGGAGCTGGGACCATGTCTCTGCACTCGGGCCACAAGTTTCCCTTTGTGCATTTTTTTTTTTTTTGAGACAGAGTCTTGCTCTGTCCTCTAAACTGAAGTGCAGTGGTGCTCACCGTAGCCTCGGACTTTTGGGATCAAGCAATCTTCCCAAGGAGCTGGAAGTACAGGCACATGCCACCTTACACGGCTGATATGTTTATTTTCTGTAAAGACGGGGTCTTGCTATGTTGCCCAAGCTGGTCTGGAACTCCTGGCATCAAATGATCCTCCCGGCTCAGCCTCTCAAAATGCTGTGATTACAGACATGAGCCACCGCACCCAGCCTGTTTCCCTTCTGAAGGAAAGTGAGACATATCCAGCCCTGTAATATTCCTAGACTGGGTAACAGTCCTCACAGTCCTCTTTCTGTCCTGTAGAGATTTTCCCCAAAATAATGCCCAGGAGCTTCCTGACTATCTGCCAACTGTCACTCTTGTCATTTGAGGCCCGGGGATTTTGGGGACGTTTCTGAGGTTCACTGTCACTTTCCCATGGCCTGCACAGCCAAAATGCAAACATAGCCAAAGCCAGAAGCCAAGGATATAGTGACAGGACGTTCTCACCAGGGACGTACCTGAGCAAATGACGTCCATCAGCCCAGCTCACAGAGACGCCTGAGGCTCAATTTTGTCCGGAGCCCAGAGAAAGGCTGGGTCTTGAGGGGCAGTGCCTGTTGGGTGGGAGCGCCTCATCCAGCTTTCTCATTTCAGGTGGGTAATTCTGAGCCCAAGAGGAATCTGAAATTCAAGACAAAGCTTCCAAGAGCAATGCACTGTCTTCATTGTCTTCTTGACTCTTGATGGGATTATCTTATTTATTTTTGATGGGATTCACTGCCCAGAGTGTTAGAAATAGAAAATCAAAGACAGAGGTGTGAATCAGAGCCGTGCTGTGGTTTTCTTACTCGCCTGTGATCAGGTGTGTGCACCTAGATCACTAAATGGAACTGTGTCCCGCCCCACCGCTGCTGGCTCCCAGCCAGAAGCCTACATATCCCCAGGGCAGGACAGAGGTGGTACAGCTGGGGGCAACTGGCTAGATTCCTTACATATACCCTCACTGAGTATCAACCTCATAGGGAAACTGTGAGACTGAGTTTCCTTCTTTTAAAGTAAGGGAACAATGAGATCATACTTGCTCATAATTAACTCAACATTTGTTAATTAAGAAGCCAGACCTAAGCTACAGGGTGGGAAGAGACTGGGAAGTGAGAAACCAACTGGCCCTTGACTTTACAGAGCTTTGTTTTTTTTCAACTTTTATTTTAGATTCAAGGGGTATATGTGCAGGTTTGTTACATGAGTAAATTGGGTGTCACCGAGGTTTGGGGTACAAATGATCCCATCACCCAGGTATTAAGCATAGTACTCAATAGGTAGTTTTTCAATCCTCACCCTCCTCCCCTCCACACCCTCAAGTAGGCCCTGGTGTCTGATGCTGCCATCTCTGTGTCCACATGCGCTCACTGTGTAACTCCCACTTATAAGAGAAAACATGTGGTCTTGGGTTTTCTGTTTCTGTATTAATTTGCTGAGGATAATGACCTCCAGCTGCATCCATGTGTCTGGAAAGGACATGATTTCATGCTTTTATATGGTTGTGTAGTATTCCATGGTGATATGTACCATATTTTCTTCATCCAGCTCACTGCTGATTGGCACCTGGGTTGATTCCATGTCTTTGCTATTGTGAATAGTGCTATGATGAAGAAACTAGTGCATGTGTCTTTAGGGTGGAAGGATTTGTTTTCTTTTCAATTATATACCTAGTAATAGGATTGCTGGGAAGAATGGCAGTGCCAAGTTCCTTGAGAAATCTCCAAACAGCTCTTCACCATGGCTGAACTAATTTACATTCCCACCAGCAGTATATAAGCATTCCCTTTTCTCCATAGCCTCGCCAGCATCTGTTATTTTTTTACTTTGTTTACAGAGCTTTTGCATAAGAGAGAGATAGGATACAATCACAATAGCAAATGGGAAATTGCAACTGTGGTCAGGGCCATGACAGAGAGGAAGATTAGCAACTTCTTCTACAAGAGGCCCATGTGTGATGTGACCCAGTCAAGGAAGTCAAAGTGACCTTCAAGTTGAAGCAGGAATGGTGAGTTAGAGATTACTTGGCAAGGAAGGAAGGGAAGGACACTCCAAGCAAAGGAACAGCAAGGCTCGGGAGGATGCGGTAAGTGCAAAGATGGATGCAGGGCAGTGGGGCTGGGGGGCAGGGGTCGGTTGGTGGGCGAGATGGCCAAGGTGAGCGGCTCTGTCCATGCAGGCAGCAATGGAAAGCGATGGAAACCTCATGAGTAGATATTGATCCGATTGGCTCATGCTTCGAAATAAATAAAGCAAAAGAAATGTTGGGGGTGAGGGCAGCACACAGGGCCTGCAAGGAGGCTCTGTTGATGGTCCAGGTGACAGAGAACTTGAAATGCAGGATCACACAGGTAGTAGGAGCCAAAGCCTGGACTCAAGCTACAGCCTAGGACCACTTATCCACTGCTGATGGGAACGCACATCGGCTCAGCCAGCAGTTCACATATTTCTTAAAGAACTAAAAATCAAACTACCATCTGACCCAGCAATCTCATGACTGGTATAGACCTGAAGGAATATAAATCATCCTACCACAAAAGACACCTGCACTCATGTGTTTACCACAGCACCATTCACAACAGCAAAGGCATGGAATCAACCCATGTGCCTATCAATGGTGAGCTGGATAAAGAAATTGTGGTACATACACATCACGGAATACTATGCAGCCATAAAAAAAGAACAAAATCATGTCCTTTGCAGAAACATGGATGCAGCTGGAGGCCATTATCCTAAGAGGATTAACACAGAAATAGAAAAACAAACACTGCATGTTCTCACTGACAAGTGGGAGCTGAACATTGAACACACATGGACACAAAGATGGAAACAACAGACACTGGGGACACCCAGAGGAGAGAGAGAGAGAGAGGGAGAGGGCAGGGGCTGGAAAATCTACCTATTGGGTACTATGCTCACTAACTGGGTGATGGGATCAATCGTACCCCAAACCTCAGCATCACACAATACACTCATGTAACAAATGTACACAGGTACCCACCAAAGTTAAAATAAAAGTTGAAATAAAATTTAAATTAAAAACAAAGCCAAAGCTAGACCCACTGCACTCAGCCTCGTAGGTGAGTGTCTTAACCACATCAGGAACTCCTTGAGGCTTGCTTTGGAAAGAATCTCCAGGTGGGGCAGCTCATGCCTGTAATCCCAGCACTTCAGGAGGCTGAGGCAGGCGGATCATTTGAGGTCAGGAGTTTGCGACCACCCTGGCCAACATGGTGAAAGGCTGTCTCTACTAAAAATAAAAAAATTAGCCAGGTGTGGTGGTGCACGCCTGTAATTCCAGCTACTCGGGAGGCTGAGGCGGGAGAATCACTTGAACCCAGGAGGTGGAGGTTGCAATGAGCTGAGATCGCACCACTGCACTCCAGCCTGGGTGACGGAGTGAGACTCTGTTTCAAAAAAACAAGAAGAAAGAAAGAAAAAAAAGGAAAACAAATCTCCAGCACTGTGCCCTGGAAGGGCTGTCCAAAGAATGACGTGTTTGTGCATCTCCAGGGTAGATCTCTGAAAGAAAGCATCCAATATCCAGGGTTTGACATTTCCCAACAGATAGCCTCAAGCTCCCAGTAAGGGCCTCCAGGACAGGCCCTCTGGGGCGTCGGTGCTCCCCTGCTCTCCTGGGAAGATGATGCTGAAGTTCAGCCTCAATAGCCCACTGCTCCTTCAGTCCTGCGAGGTGAAGACACAACTTCCACATACCACATTGTCTAGAGAAACAACTAAATTACTAGTTTTAAGCAAAACTGGAAATCAACACCTATCCCTAGGTTTCTGGAGCTAAATGGGCTCAGAGATGTGGATGACAGAGTACAAGTCAAAACTCCATGCTGTAAAATACTGCACGCTTTTTATAAATGTTAATTGGTTAGAGTATCATAATTTTTACACACATGTAAATAAGGTTAATGAATTTTATTCCACACAGATGATTTAAACTATAAAACAATCAAATTACTTTTCAGGTAATACTTTGGGCCCAAATGAAATAAAATTTCAAGTCATTATAACTTTAGAAAAAGAAACTAATTTGAATATGTGATTTAGATCCATTAAAAGTCTTCTCAACTTTAAATAGTGATAATAGAAATCAGAAAAGCTCGAGAGTGGTTAAGATTAATTAAGAGTGAATGCATTTGGGAAAAGGAAATTATGAGGCTATGATTTTAGAATGCAAATGAGGTCAAGAAGTTTAAACTAATGTGCATCTATATAAACACAGCCTCAATAAAGGAAAAATATTTCATTACAAGGGTTTATAAGTACTGTATTCTCTACTTCTTGTTACATGAGTAGCAACAAATTGATAAACAGCAACCTGTTGTCAGCTAATTACAGCACCCTTGTGGCTGCCAATAGTTAAGCTGGTACGAAATTAGAAATCTTGATTTTCAAAGTTCTATGCAGCCTGGTTTCTTTCCTTATGATGTAGGCAGTGCTGGTGACCCACTCAATCCTTTGAATCCTTTTGTAGTAGCCCATCTTCTATTTCGTGGGCTTGGTTACAAAAGGCCCCCACCTGCAAGGGTCTTCAGGCGCTTTCTCTTGGGCTACCAGAGCCACCTCCTCCAAGCAGACAGCCAGGAACGCCTGGAAGCTATGCTCCCCACCTCCACTCCTCATCCTGGTTAATCACTGGTATGAGCTTGCAAAGCCCACCTTCCTTGCCTTGAGGTGGCAGAAACTCGGGTATATTTAGACTCCAGAGCACAGGATCAGGCTATGTGTAGGACCTTGCCCTGAAATTGCAACACTGCAGCTGGACCTGTGTTAGGGTCCCTCGAAGTAGACCCTGAGAGGAGGATTTTTATGAAACTCTTTTACAGAGAACACTTTCTGATGAAATGTGTGCAGAAGTGGGGAAAGCAAGGAGGAGCAGTGAAGAGGCAGGCAAAGATGTAGTTTCCTCTGAAGTCTGGCCTCAGCCTGATCACAGAGGGTGCTCTGGGAAGGGAGGGGAGACAGTACCGTCCAGTTGTCCCACTTGAGGGTACGGGGTGCTCTTTCATATTCCCATATCAGTTAGCCCTTGGCTATGGGCCAATCCTGGGAAATATAAACTTTGTTAACCCAAGGTGATTCTCTAGAGAATGGTGAGTCACCAGCAGCCCAGACTCAGCAACCGAGGGATCTGCTCCCAGCTCAGTGAAGACAAGCTGGGCGCTCACGGCCTCTGCTCAGTGTTCCCCATTCCCGATCCTGCTCCTCTCTAGCCTGCCCTTTCTCTTTCCTCTCTCCTTGAAAACTCACTTGTACCTGAATCCCAGGCACAGCTTCAGAAAAACCCAACCTAGGACACCCTCCTGCTCTAAGGATCAAGAACTGCACTGCGTTTGATGCCACAGCTTTCCTTAACCTGAAAGCTGCTGTTATTTTTTTTCCTTTTTTGAGTCAGGGCCTCAGCCCACGCTGGAGTACAGTGGGGCAGTCACAGCTCACTGCAGTCTCAACCTCCTGGGCTCAAAGTATCCTCCCATCTCAGCTTCTTGAGAAGCTGGGACCACAGGTGCACCCCCACACCCAACTAATATTTATATCTGTAGAGATGGGGTCTCACTATGTTGCCCAGGCTGGTCTTGAACTCCTGGCCTCTAGTGATTCTCCTGCCCTGGCCTCCCAGCTTTCTGAGTCCATGTGAGGGAACAGCATTTGTAGGACGGGGCTCCTGCAGCTCCTTCCAGCCTAATATCCAGGTTCCATTCTTCTAGTAACAGTGACCTGATTTTTCTCTGTGGAACCAGACTTCTGTCAATCTAAAAAGTTTGTGAGCATACAGACACACACACACACACACACACACACACACACACACACACACACACACACACTCTTCAGAAGGGCATTTGGCCTAGGCCTGGCCAATAAGAAGTGAGGGGTTGGCTCTGGGATAGGCGTGTGATCCAAGCTGAGCCTCTGCCCTGGGAATGCTGCTGGAATCCTTGAGGAGGTGGTGCTCGCACATCTCAAGAGGCAGCCGAGCGCCACCTGGCCACAAACAGGTAGACTCTGCCCAAGGTTGAGGCAATCACAGAAGAAAGCAAAGCCGAGTAGCAGAGTGTGAAGGTGCATGGCAGCCTCATGGGAGCCTGGAGCAGTCTCTAGCCCTCTGAGTTGTGGGAGCCAATTCAGTCCCTTCAGCTGTGGGAGCTGCTCAGGCCACCTGGAGATGAGTTTCAGTCACTCGCAACCAGGTGGCCCTCCCCTGACTAAGATCCCTGAGAAGGATCTGGTGAAAACCCGCTCTTAGGAAATTGTCTGTTCCTGAGATGTGTGCTGTAGCATTAGAAGTATGTGCTAGCATACTTCTGGAGTCCTGGCAACTCACATGACCTGGATCAAGGTCTTTTTTTCTTGGCCTCAGTTCTCCTGTCATATTACGGGAGTGTTTGGACTGTGTATATCCTAGGAGTCAAGTCCTCAGTCCAGGACTCTATCCTTTATGAGCACACGCCAGGTGCTGGGCTCTCCCGTCCAACCCTCCAGGCCCCCAACACTGTGAGCTCTGAGGCTGAGCTTTCTTCACAAGGGCAAAATCCTCCCCATACTTCTGGCCCCACCTCCAGGGACCTGTCTTGGGAGAGATTTGGGGCCCAGCCTAGATGAACAGATCCAAGAGCTGGGGCCACTCCTTGGCAGTCCTCTGTCTGCTGGAGTCACCCTTGTGCTTTTTGTGGGAGCACGACTCTCATTCATCATTTCACCCTCCACTTCATGAAGCCAGCCCAGGGGCTCTCCCAGGGCCGCGTAGCCCCGTGCATGGAAACAGTCCTGGCAGGGAGGGGCTGGGTTTGAATTCTGGCTTCTGTACAGAGATGTGCAATCGATTTCTTCAACTTTTCAAGCCTCGATTTCCTCATCTACTCAGTGAGAATAATGAACATTAGATGTGAGTGTCTTAGGTTGGGTTGGGTTGAACTTTCTCAGGGTTACATAACTTACTGTAGCGGATGCTGTCAGACTCTGCCCATAGTTCCTTGGGTCTCTTTACCAGACCCCTGTCCTCGCACTCACCCCGAGCCAGAAGGGGTGTGTCTTAGTTGGAAGGTTGACCTTAAACTTCCGGAATCTACTTTGTGTGCCTTTAAGGAAGAGCCAGAAATACCTGGACATGTGCACCCCCTCAACCCCACCCCAGCCAACACTTACCCAATGCCAGACGGTGTCTGCATATACAGGGGTATAAACACACCAGGCCTCTTGCCCTGGGTGTGGGCAGCCCTGAGATCCAATGCAGTCTCCAAAGTCATCCACTGTGAGACTTGGCTTCATACCACATCCTTGCTGGGTCTCCCTTTCTTCCCAGCCCCACTTTCTACTTCCCTCCTGGATATTCCTGCGGACAGCTCCCACTAGGGAATCCTCACAAGCACTGTCTTCTCTGGAATGGGGAAACAGTCTTAGGTGCTCCCATCTGATGTGTAATGGAGTGCCCTACCCATCACACCTGTTCAAGCAGTGGCTGCTGCCATGGCTGGTACAGTCCAGTGCTGGCATGCATACACACAGTGCACAAATCCCTGGGGGGGGTAGACACACACGCATGCCAACACACGCACACACACACACAGTGTTCATTCCTGGTGGAGACAAGATGGCGAGCACACCTGAGATGCAGTGTAGTGATCCTCCTCTAAGTCATGTCTGAGAGCCCCATGGAAACAACACGACCGTGAAGCTAATGCAAGAACCAAATCCCTCTCACTTTAAGAAACCTATCCTCAGCCAAGTGCGGTGGCTCACGCCTGTAATCCCAACACTTTGGGAGGCCGGGGCAGGTGGATCAGAAGGTCAGGAGTTCAAGACCAACCTGGTCAACATGGTGAAACCCCATCTCTACTAAAAAATACAAAAATTAGCCAGGTATGTTGGCAAGAGCCTGTCATCCCAGCTACTCGGGAGGCTGAGGCAGGATAATTGCTTGAACCCGGGAGGTGGAGGTTGCAGTGAGCCAGGATGGCACCACTGCACTCCAGCCTGGGCAGCAGAGCAAGACCCTGTCTGAAAAAAAAAGAAAAGAAGAGAAACCTATCCTCAGGCATGTAATGAAATGGCCTAGGGCAGTTCTTCACAGCACCTGGTAGCAGCAGCCCCTCCATGTGTCTATGAGATGCTTAATCAGACAGCACAGTCATCTGTCACATTTCTATTTCCCTTTATTTTCCAGAACCCTATTAGAAAGGTCAGGCAGGATAGAAACAGGGTTAAGGAGAGCCATGAGGAGGCCTGGAGGATATTCAGTGGAGACAAGGACCTCCCAAGGCTTGAAAGCATCAAGAGGCCACCAGGCAGGGGTCAGCAGGTGCTGGTTGCTTTGAGCACCCCAAGCCCCAGCCTGGATATGTGTGTCAGGGGCTGGTGGGGAAGCTGCCGTGCAGGCGGGACTCCCATGGGAAGGCACCTGGGGGAGTCACTCTGCCTCTCAACCCCTGGTCAAATGAAGGCTGGAGTGCAGAGATCCACTGTGTCTAGGACACCTGCTTCAGAGGGACACTAACGCCAAAGGAAACAGTTGAGAGAGAGTGAAATGGGAGGGAGGATTTACAATGTGATTTAAGCGCCTGGATTCAGTCACACCTGAAACCCAGAACTTCTTGATTTCTAGGCCAGTTCGTTCTCTTTGTAGCTTCAGCCAGTTGAAGCAAGACCTTGTCACTTTCAACAGTGATTGTGGGTGAATGATATAGTGATTGGAGGCCCAGAGCTTTGTGTGGGCACGAGTGGAGCCCTAGGCCCCCGATCACCACACCTAGGGCTTATGCTTTTGTGCCTTAGCCCATACCTGGTACCTATAACTTGAGATACCTGAAGATATGCCACTTCCTCCAGACCCACAGATACCCTTCAATATGCTGCCCCAAATCTCACCCCCAACTGAGGAGTACATCCTGACAGTAAACATTCTTTTTCTTTTCTTTTTCTCTCTTTCCTTCTTTCTTTCTTTCTTTTTTTTTTTTTTTTTTTTGAGACAGAGTCTTGCTCTTTTTGCCCAGGTTGGAGTGCAATGGCATGATCTCGGCTCAATGCAACCTCCGCCTCCTGGGTTCAAGTGATTCTCCTGCCTCAGCCTCCTGAGTAGCTGGGATTACAGGCACGTGCCACCACATCTGGCTAATTTTTTATTTTTAGTAGAAACAAGGTTTCACCATGTTGGCCAGGCTGGTTTTGAACCTGACAGTAAACATTCTAACCCAAGCTCCTGAGTCCTGCCCTTAGCGCACATTTGCAATGGGAGCAGGAGGCGAATTAGATTAGACCAGGCTGAGCTGGGAGAGTAAATAACTCTAAAATGCCATGGCTTCAACCACATTCATTTCTCATCCCTGCAAAGTCCACTGTGAATCTAGGTGACTCTCTGGCCATCCTCCTCCATGTAGTGACTCAGTGATCCAGGCTGCCCTCATCTGGTGACCCCACCATCTCAACGCCAGGCCTCCGCAGTTGCTGCAGCAGGAGAAACACTCGGGTGGGTCCCTCACAGCACTCTTCTAAGCTTCAGCTCAGGCCCTGCCCACATCGATTAGCCAAAAGTCATCCCGAGACCCTGCCCAACTGGGAAGGGGATTTAGAAGTGTGCCTTTCTTGAGAGAAACTAGCTGTGGGCAGCCAGGGTGATGTCCCCCCACAGCAGGTACAGGAATGCAGTGTGATGCTGAAGGGCCAGCCTGGCTGTTGAGAGGGTCAGCAAGAATGGGAGACTGGAGAAGGGAGGGGCACACTCTTCACTCCTGCTCAGAGCCCGTCACTGCACAGGCTAGGGACTGGTGCAGCCACGGCTGTGAGTTTGGGGTTTGCTGCTTGGATTTTAAAACTGCTCCAACCAGCTGCCATGTTTGTTAGAGATTGCCATTGCATGTATGAGAAACTCAAGCAGCTCAGCCTCATAGAGTTTGTTTGTTTGTTTTCTAGTGGGCCAGGAAATCTAGGGAGGCAGCTAGGGGCTGACATGGCGACTCTGAGATGCTACCCAGACCCCAGGCTTCTGGGCTGTCCAGCCCACCGTCTCTAGCTTGTGCTTTTGTTCTCAAGGCCACCTCATCATTACAGGTGTTCCCTGGCCACTCCACCTCAGACAAGAAGACAGAAGGACACAGAAGGACCTAGAAGGGAGGAATGCTACCTGGGTCGGGAAGTAAAACTTTCTCAGGTGTCCCCAGCAGGCCTCTGCCCATGTTCCGTTGGCCAGGGCACTGGGGGCCTGGGAAGCACCGTGTTTAGGTGAGCACGTTTCTGCCTTGATGAATTTGCAATTCTATTATCAAGCAAGACAGGAGAATCGATATTAGGTGGGTGAATGAACAAACTATTAAATAACAGGCAGCTTCCTACAAAACATTGAGTTTCTATTGGCTCTTTTGAAGATTGAATTCTTAGCATACAAGGCCTGCATTTCTTAATGGCAAAGTCTCAGGGGATGAGTTTGGACTTCTCCCCTTAGGAGGTTATGCCCCCAGCATTTTCTTGTCTGTTGGTGTCTACTTATATTA
Source organism: Homo sapiens (assembly GCF_000001405.40). Taxonomy (NCBI): domain Eukaryota; kingdom Metazoa; phylum Chordata; class Mammalia; order Primates; family Hominidae; genus Homo; species Homo sapiens. Next base: position 29,060,856 of record NC_000019.10, read on the forward strand.
CACTCAGTCCACCTTACCCAGGGCTGGCTTCACACAGTGTGACCTGTGTGATATCATAGTGTTCCACGCTTGGTTTGCCTCTGTGGCTCCTGGGGAACCAGAAAACACATGGACATGTAAGCAGACAGGGAGGGTCCCCCGGGATTACAGGAATTTAATCAACAGAGCCATCAGCCTGGTGCACAGCTTCCTGCCCTGCAGCCTGCTTCTCTTAATCCCTGTGAGAAATGTGGTCACCTACTTGGTTAAAACCAGCTCCTGACAGAGCTGGGCAACGTATAAATGAACCCAAGAGCTTTCCTCATGACTACTCCAGGAGGAGCCACAGTTTCATCACCATGACACGCGACCCATTTGCTGGCATGAACTCACTGCATCTGCACCAGGGGACACCCCCCCTCCATGCAATGGCGTGCCCTCTCCCCTCTCCATCATCCCACAAGACCCTGCTGTCCCTTTCCCTCAGGGACACACTGCTTGGGGAATACGCCCATGTCCTCCTTACTTGTGCCAAGTAATAAAACTCCTGTTGATCAACACCTGCCTTCTCATGGAGAGTCATTTGTTACTTGCCAGGTAAACTCCCGTTTCATCAGGGAATAGACTCAGGACCTGAGAGACCTGGATTCAGAATCCCAGCTTAGAGTCATTGGACAAGTTACTTAGAATCCTCTATTGGCCGGGCATGGTGGCTCACACCTATAATCCCAGCTCTTTGGGAGGCTGAGGTGGGATTACTCATCCCACCTCAGGAGGATTGCTTGAAGCCAGGAGTTTAAGATCAGCCTGGGCAACATAGTAAGACCCTGTCTCTACAAAATAAAAAATAATAATAAAAGGCTGAGTACATTGGCTCACACCTGTAATCCCAGCACTTTGGGAGACTGAGGTGGGCCGACTACCTGAGGTCAGGAGCTCGAGACCAGCCTGGCCAACATGCTGAAACCCCGTGTCTACTGAAAATACAAAAAATTAGCCGAGCATGGTGATGTGTGCCTGTAATCCCAGGTACTCAGGAGGCTGAAGCAGGAGAATCACTTGAACCCAGGAGGCGGAGGCCGCAGTGAGCCAAGACTGCACCACTGCACTCCAGCCTGGGTGACAGAGTAAGACTCCATCTCAAAAACAACAACAACGATGATAATAATTAATACAGAATCCTCTAATCTCAGTTTTCTCATCTGTTTAAAGAAATAAAACCACTTCTTCCTCAGGGGGCTATGGTGATCCTAGACAGAAAGGGCCCAGCCCAGCTATGTGTACCTGGAGTTTCCACGACAGTCCTGTCCATTATTAATGCAATTTCCATTTCTGTTGTAAAGACTGCTTCCACCACACCTGCCTAATGACAAAGCCTCACCTTCAAAGCTGGGGCATAAGGATGTCTGTGGCTGCTAGATCTGGAGTAGGGGCTCTCAGCCCCCTACTCTCATTTGAACAAGGCAGCAACCATGCTCACGGGATGCCAAGGAGAGAGACAAGTGAGGCTGGTGGCAGCTGGCCGAGAGGGTCCCCGTCCTACCTGGCCAGGCCAAGAAAGCTGTTGATGCATCCCAAGACCTAGCAAGACTTACTTTCTCAGTCACCTTGAAAGGAAGGACAAGCCTCCAAGTCGGCTCCTTGGGAGTGGAGAGAAGAAGTTTCCTCCACTCCACTGCTGAGAGTTACAAAAGGAGCCATTAGCACTTGCCAAGCAAGGCCACCTTCCATCTGAGGGAGAAAGTGCAAAAGACAGTTTAAAAGCCTCATTAACACAAGGCAACAAGTCACAGGTGAAAATTGAGCCTCTGAGGCCCTGCTGATTGCACGGGGGGGAAGGCATTTGCATCTCTTCTCACCACAGAGGGGTGGCAGCCAATTACCTCCAGGATTAGAAAAAAGTTGCAAACCTGAGTCTATCTTCACTGACGGGCTTGAATTCCCTGCCATGTGCCCCTCGCTAAAGCCTCCGCTTTGTGTATGAGAAAAAAAGCCTCTAAGACCTGTGGGAAAACATAAAATCTGGAAGCAAGTTCACCCGTGGCTGACCAGAAGCAGAAATGTTGCTTCCTTTGTGCAAGCCCTTCCTGGCTGGGCCAGAACATCAGCTAATGCAGCCTGGCACGTGGTCTGGCAGGATAGGCCCTGCCAATTAGAAATTCAAACACAATCAGTGTAATGCCTATGCTTTTGCTCCCTACAGGCCGTGCAGGAAACAGAAGCCCTGCGTGTCTGTGTCCCCTAAATAAATGACTCTGGTTCATTCACTGCCTCCTACCCACTCCCTTGCCAGCTGTTATGTGTGGGTTGTGGAGAAACCCCGCAGTGCCCTGCAGGGGCTTCTTCCTGCCCTTGGGGTCTATGGGAATGCTGGTTGCCTACATAGTGCACACTCAAATGTCTTCAGCGCCCAAGGCTGTCACTTTCTCAGCTCCCTGCCTACTCAGGTCTACGAAGTCAACTGCAAGGTTGTGGTCCATTCTTTCCACACCAACCCTGGCCACGGGACCTTAGCCCTTTCAGAACTCAGGGTGCTGAAATGTCTGAGAAGTTTCCCCAAGGAACGTCACCGAGCTGTCCCCTCCCCAACAACCTAGGGCAGCACAGGTCTCCATCCATTGCCCCTGAAGCCCCCAATGTCTCTTTCTCCCTCCCACCCTCAGGGAGGCTCACTGACCCCCGCTTAATTATGCCGTGTCCTCCGTTGAAGACCTCCTCAATGGGGAAGTGAGTACTGGCAGGGGAAGACCACAGTGGGGAATTTTAGGTGTGAAGTGTTCTATGAATACATCTTCATCTGGGCGGCGGCCACACAGACACAGGTGGGCATAAACATGAGGTACAATGGCTGGACACTCAGTATTCATGCACAGACATGTGTTACTGTGTGTGTGTGATACTTCAGTTTTAAAATTATGACACCCCACCCCAAAAAAATTAATTATCTTAGACCAAGCATGGCAAACAGCCAACATACAGTCCCTCAGAGTGGCAATTTCCTAAGTTCAACCAAGTATTTTTGGCCGGGTCTGAACTATGTGTGCTTTTAACAAAAATTTGTTTCCAACCTTTAAAATGGAAGATTTTACATAAAAATTTTGAATTTCTGGCTCCCACTAAAAGCCTAAGGGGCACTTGATCTCCAGTTGTAGCCATTTGGATTTGCAAGCTCTTTTTCAGTCATTAAAATACAAAATACAAAGACCCCAACCAGCTGCTGGAAAGGTATTGGGGCTACTTTCCAGGACTGCACTGGACAGGGGTGGGATGGGGAGGAGCTGGGCATAGGGAATGCTGTTGTAAATGCAGTTATTTTTTTAACCTTTTTTTCTGCTATATCAAGCAAAAACATTAAAGTAAAAAATACATATAATGTGTATACATATATATACATGCATACGTACCTATCTATCTATACATACATATTTTCCCCTTTCTTTCACTTAAATCTTCACTCACTAGTTCCTGTTTGATTATTTTTTTCTCCCTCTCATCCATTGCTATTAATTTCTGGCAGCAATTTATAAATGCCCCACTACTCTAAGAACCATTGAAATCACAGTTGGAAACCTCGATAATTTCACCAAGGCAGAAGCAATTAAATGCAAACATTGGCAAAAATTTTTAACGCTGCAGAAAATCACGAAAATGCCAAGGTAAGCTCATTGCTGCTGCAGATTTAATTCCTACTCTCCTTAAAAGCCAGAAATCACCTCTCTCCCCAGCAGGACCTGAACAAGCCTTAAACTAGGGCCATGTGAGGCCACATGAGGATGATTCTTCCCCCTCCCAAACCCAGCGTGGCAGAGAAGCAGGCAGCCCCGAGGGCATGAGAGATGGAAGCGTCCCCCTGATTTTTCTCATCCCATTCAAGTTCAGGACTGAAATGGACAGAACAATAGTTAACCCCACAGCCTGCAGCCTCTACCACTGATAACCAGGAAAACACAGCTACCTTATACACTTCTGCTCTGCGCTTTTCAAGGTCATTTTCTCACTAGGGCACTCACTGAAAGTCTAGAAGTTAGAAAAATGGGAAGGTTGAGGGACCCCTTTTTCATACACATAGAAAGACAGAGCTCAAGTTTAATCAGCAATTTGCCATTCAAAGTAGGATAAGAGCCAGGGTCTCCAGGCTTCTAATCTAACCCCACTGCTTCTTTCTTCTAGACCTACGACTCGTTCCAGCACCGTGGGGGCTGACACCCATCTCACTGCTGGATAAAAGAGAATGAGATCCTCTCTCCATCCTACGTTGGATTTGCTTGCTCACACAAACTGACCCTTAGGGACAGAATTGTTCAACTACAATTAGATTTAGTTAACTAATCCTGGAAGCGAAGCTTAGCATATCAGACAGGGTTCTGGCAGGAGACTCACTGCCCTCAGAAAGTTCACCCTCACAGGCTGCAACGCAGTGACTGTCTACAGCGATGGGGATGTGGCAGGGGCTAAGGAAGCCAACAAGAGATTGTCACCTTCTTAGAGGAGAAAGCCAAGATGGGGAGATATTAACCCCTATGCGTGAAAACATGAGGGGAGGAAGGAATGTTTAGCCCAGTGAGACTCAGAGGCACGAGTCAGCACCTATTACAGACGTGGTGCAGAAACATGGAGGACATGGAGAAGAAATATCCTGACCTTGTTCCACTTTCACCCTCCAATTCCCTGACAGTGGTTCCCATTGACTGAGCCCAGCTCGCAGTCACAGGCAGGGAGCAGGGGTCAATCTCCTGGTGCACAGGCAGGCTGAGGAGGGAATGAATGTAGGAAAGGGCTGGGGAGAGAAAATAAGTAGCATGCCTTACTTAAGAGCCTCAGGATCTTTATCTGTAAAATTGGATGATAACATCTACTTAATAGTGCAGTTCCGAGAATAAAAACTAAGATATCTAAGGCATGCAGCACTAAAAAGTATTGAAAATTGTAAACTTACTCTCCTCATCATCATGAGCTATGCTTCCCTTAAACAATGCTGTTCTGTTCCCAATATGAGGTATCCCGCAGATTAGAATGGCTGCATAATTGCTTATCCTCCAGGCCTCATTCCCCACAAAAGGACGGCATACTTTCTGGAGTATAGCATTCCTGAAAAGGGCCCCTCTAGACCATGTTTGATTAGTTTCAGTGATGGTGGACTAACTGCATCCCCATCTCTTCTGCCACCAAATCACTCAAAACTCAGAAAACTATTTCTGTATTATCAGGACAAAGCACTCCCTATGCATATTCTCCAAGGCTTCTGCACTCGGAGGTCACCAGGAAGAGATCTGCTCTGCTCTCTCATTCACTGGAGCCCTACAGATCTGGGAAAGCTTTGGGTTTTTTTTTGTTTTGTTTTGTTTTGTTTTGTTTGTTTGTTCGAGAGGGAGTCTCGCTCTGTTGCCCAGGCTGGAGTGCAATGGTGCAATCTTGGGTGACTGCAACCTCCGCCTCCCAGGTTCAAGCGATTTTCCTGCCTCAGCCTCCCATGTAGCTGGGATTACAGGCACCCACCACCACGCCCAACTAATTTTTGTATTTTTGGTAAAGACGGGGTTTCACCATGTTGGCCAGGCTGGTCGCGAACTCCGGACCTCAGCTGATCTGCCTGTCTTGGCCTCCCAAAGTGTTGGGATTACAAGTGTGAGCCACCAGGCCCATCCAGAAAGTTCTTAAGTTAGATCTATTCTTCACAAAAGAGAGGAAAGATTGGGGTTGGGGGTGGGAACCCAGCTCTTTATGCCAATTAATTAACGCACATTGAATGGACAGATTTCTTTTTCTTTTTCTTTCTTTCTTTTTTTTTTTTGAGATAGAGTCTTGCTCTGTCACCTGGGCTGGAGTGCAGTGGTGCAATCCCGGCTCACTGCTGCCTCCACCTCCCGGGTTCAAGCGATTGTCCTGCCTCAGCCTCCCAAGTAGCTGTGATTACAGGCACCTGCCACCATGCCCAGCTAATTTTTGAATTTTTTAGTAGAGATGGGGTTTCACCATGTTGGTCAGGCTGGACAGATTTCTAAAAGACACAACTACCAAACTACTACCACTACTAAAGCCCATTTTAGCAAGAAATAGATAACCTGAGATTAAATCCATAGTTAAAAACCTTTCTACAAGAGAAATACTGCAGGCCCTGATAGCTCCACTGCTTCAATGGTGAATTCTACCTAATTTTTGAGAAGAAAAGTGTATCAATTCTACAAAATTATTTCAGAAGATAGAAGTGAAAGGAATACTTTCTAACTAATTTTATGCGGCCAGAATTTCCCTGATACTAGAAGTAGAAAAGAATATGTCAGGAAAATAAAACTACAGATTAATATCTCTCATAAGCATGTATACGAATATCATTAGCATGATTTTAGAAACTGAATCTAGCAATATATTTTAAAAGACAATAAAATATGACTGTGATTTGTGATATAGTAAGAATATATACGTATGTATATACTTGGTATATTAGACACAGCAAAAGACAGCATTGTTAAATTAAGGCAAAAATACAAAAATAATAATCGAAACAGAGGCACAGAGAAAAATAATTGAAGGGAAATAAAAGCCAAATAAAGCATCTGTAACTAGCCACAAATAGCAAATGATATAAAATACTTGCAAGTAGAATTCCAGAAGGAAATAAAAGATAGAATGGGGAAGAAAGGGTGTTTGAAGAACTAATGGCTAAATTTTTGCAAATCTAGCCACTTACCTCAACCAAGAGATGCAAGCAGCTCAGCAAAACCCAAGAAAAGTAAAAGGGAAGAGAATCACACCTAGGCTCATCATTTTTAAACTCCTTACAACCAAATATATTCACACAAAAGTAGTCACATTAGATATATGGGGAAAATGATAAAAATGGTGGCTCACTTATCAGAAATAATGGAAGTCAGAAGATGTCTTTAAATTCTGAAGGAAAAAATAAACTCTTTCAACCAAAAATTCTATGCTCAGCAAAAATGTCCTTCAAAAATAAACAAAATATGTAATTACAGTTGCATAACAGCTGAGAAAATCCCTTGCCAATAAACCTGAACTGTAAGAAATGTAAAGGAAATTCTTCAGGCTGAAGGGAAATGATACCCGATGGAAACTGTTCTACAGGAAGGAATGACTGTGCCAGAGAAGGTGAGGAAGTGCACCTTGCTGTGAGGAGAAATCTGTGCTGTGCTCTGTGTGTGCATCATGGCTTAGCAGGACAGGGCAGCCACAGGCCTCCCTGCAGTGGACTTGGGACTTCTTCAAGGCCTGAGGACTGGCTCTCAGCTGGGTGCTGGGATCTTCCTGGAGAAGCTCTTCAAGGTGTAATGGCCTCCCCCAAAAGCAGAGTCCAGGTTCTGACAACTCTGGGTTTCTTTGGGAGATGAAGGCATGCGCAGAAAATGTTGTCACCATTACCTAGTTTTGAAGAACTTTATGCTCTTTTTTTCAAAAAAAAAAAAAAAACAGCTATAAAGAATAATAATACATAATTTGCTTTCAACTTACCAAATTAATTTAAAGTGACGTGATGGCCTAGCACCATCCTCAAGAGATACCAACCTTTACACAGAGCCATCATAAATAGCAAATATAGAGGCTGTTAGTAAAAAAAACTCAATGAGGCCAACTCTATGGCTCACCGTGAAATAAATTTCACAGAAATAGAACTTTAAAAATAGAAAACTAAACAAGCAAAACTGGATGAACTGATTGCTGATATTCAAGAAGCCAAAGTCATTGGACCCTAAATCATAATCCATCAAACATCGATGGTTTTTCCAAATAGATCATGTCACAGAGTCTTTCCCACATGGTCCTTCACCAGAGGATACCATTTGTCTTCAAGAAAATACTTTTACACCTCTCTACTCATATTCTCACTTTTGCTCCCAGACTTTGTCCCCCAAACTCTTCCTATAATTCTACATTTATTTTGCTGGAGAATTTCATGGCCAAGGTCTCTATGATTTTCTGCACTTCCAGAAAGCATTCATGGACACCCCCCACCCCCACTTGACAAAGGCATTTTTCTGGCCTGCCACATCTTTCATTGATAACAAGGACAACATCCTCCAAGAATTTATCACCATTTTCTTTTCCCATGTGCTAGACTTTGCCCCTCTCCCCTGCCATCATAAGAATAATACTGCATTATCTTCAGGGTTGAATTTCAGTGTTCAAATGACCTACTAGTGAACATCTAGAAAAGTAGAAAAAACAATTGACTTAAAAAAATATTTTGAATTATCTCTCATTTTAATTCAAGAAACTACTATTACTTAAGTGATTATACTTTTGCCCAGAGGAAGCTTTATAGAATTATTATTCTTAGCATAAAGGTTTGTAAGTAAAATTATTTAGAATATTTTTTGAGAGCATGCTCTTATTTCAGATGCCAGGTTCAGCATGCAGAGCTTGGAATTCATCACCCCATCCTAACAAGCAAAAAGCTGAACCCACGGAAAAATCCCTCTTCTCAGATCTTTCGGAAAAGTGAGGTCACAGGGCAAACACTGCTCTCAAAATTGGAGAGACAGACAGGTGAATACAGCAACTCACAACTTATCAGAGCAGAAACCCATCAGCAAACACCTCTGAGGGACCCCAAGCCAGGTTAGGAAAACCTCAAATGTCATTGACAAATTGCTGGAGGCTCCACATGGACAAGTTAAAAACTCCAGAAGGACCTGGTCATGGAGGGGTTGCACGGGACACGCTTCTGTGAGTTTTACCTTCAGGAGCTCAACCAGGTTCTCACAGTGAATATCAGAGAAAAATCTCCTAGGGCTTCTGGCAGGGGAAAGGAAAAGGAACCATTTTGAAATCTTTCTGAGTATTCTGTTATTAATAAGGCCTCACAAGAAACTATTTCATCAGAGCCTAAACCATTGGAGTTTTATCAGAGCCAACCTGGGAAAAGGAACATGCCCAATTCCAGCCCACCTTAGCTTTTCACACGAGAGAAAGGAAATACCCAGCTTTAGCCACCTCTAGCCTTCAACATGGAAACAGGGAATACCCGATGCCAGTCCACTCTGCCCACGCTGTCTCACCTGATGGGCAGGTACAAAACTGAGAAGCACTGGTGAAGTTCACAGTCCAGGGGCACGAGCTCACTAAAAGACTGAGAGCTAATTCTAGGACTATAGAAGGCACCCCCATATCTTATCACCACATTACTAAAGGCCTGGTAACCTCAGTGTCTGGCTATTACATGCACATGAAAAATTTATAAAGCAAACTAAAAGGCAAAAAAACAATTGAAAGAGACAGCAAACATCGTAAGAAGACTCAGATGTAGCAGAGATGCTGGGGTACTATCAGACCAGGAATTTAAAACGATTATTACTAACGCACTGAGGGCTCTATCTAATGGATGAAGTAGACAGCACACAAGAACAGAAGGGTGATGTAAGCAGAGAGGTGGAAACTCTAAGAAAACATTTTTTTAATGCCAGAGATCGATAACACAGTTACAGAAATGAAGAATGTCTTTGCTGGGCTCATTAGTAGACTGGACACAGCTGAGGAAAGAATCTTTGAGCTTGAGGATATGTCAGTAGAAATTTTCAAAATGAAAAAGCAAGGGAAAAGAAATCTACCCAAAACAGAACGGAATATCCAAGAACCATGGGGCAGCTAAGAAAGGTGTAACCTACATGTAATGGGAATACCAGAAGAAGAAAGAGTGAAAGAAGTGTTTGAAGCAATATTTGCTGAGAATTTCCCCCAAATTAATGTTACAAAAAACAAAACTACACATCCAGGGAGCTCAGAGAACACCCAGCAGGGTAAATTAAAAAAAAATAAAAAAAAAATATATATAAGCACATCATAGTCCAACTGCAAAAAATCAAAGATGCAGAAAAATATTAAAAGAAGCCGGGGTGAGTGGGGAACACCTTAGCTACAGAGGAGCGAAGATAACAGTTACATCAGACTTCCCAGAAGCCAATCTGAAGAGACCATATACCGTATGATCCCAGCTCTATGACATTCTGGGCAAGGCAAGTTATGCAGACAGTAAAACGATCAGTGGTTACTAAGGATTACAGGGAAGCACATGCAGGGCACAGGGGATTTTAGGGCAGCAAAACTACTCTGTGTGACTCTACAGTAGTGGATCCATGTCATTACGCATTTGTTCAAACCCACAGAATGCACAACACCAAGAGGGCCCCCTCATTTAGTTTATGGACCTGGGTGACAGCAAACGGTCCATGTAGTTTCAGCAATTATGACATATGTCCCATTCTGGTGCAGGATGTTGATAGTTGGGGAGGCTGTGCCTCTGTCAGGGCGTAAGTATATGAGAAACCTCTGTACTCTCTGCTCAATGTTGCTGTGAACCTAAAACTGCCCTAAAAATTAAAATCTATTCAAAAATACATGTTCTAGGCCAGATGCAGTGGCTCACGCCTGTAATCCCAGCACTTTGGGAGGCCAAGGTGAGCGGATCACTTGAGGTCAGGAGTTTGAGACCAGCCTGGCCAACATGGTTAAACCCCGTCTCTACTAAAAATACAAAAATTAGCTGGGCGTGGTGGTGTGTGCCTGTAGTCCCAGCTACTCGGGAGGCTGAGGGAAAAGAATTGCTTGAACCTAGGAGGCGGAGGTTGCAGTGAGCCGAGATTGGGCCACTGCACTCCAGTCTGGCAACAGAGGGAGACTCCATCTCAAACAAAACAAAACAAAACAAAAACATGTTCTAAAGACCACAATGAAATACCATACCACTACAATTCCACTAGAATGACCAAAATGAAATCAATGTTAGAGAGTCTGTGGAATAATTACATACTCCTATACCGCTGTTGAGTGTTTAGTACAATACTTAGAAAACTGTTCAGTAATTTCTTAAGATGCTAAGCATACATCTACCCTATGACCCAGCAAATATACTTCCATGTATTTATCCAAGAGAAATGAAAATATGTGCTCACACAAAGCCTTTTATAAGAATGTTCACAGCAGCTTGATTCACAATAATCCAATGTTTGAAAACTTTCCAAAGTCCACCAACAAGTGCATAAACTGTGATAAATTCACACAATGGAAATCACTTCAGCCATGACAAGGAATGAACTACTTATCATACAACATGAATTCTCAAAGTGCACTCAGCGAATGAAGCCAGACACAAAAAAGTGTATGCAATGTGATTCCATTTATATGAAGTTACAGTGTACGCCAAATGGTGGAGGGATAGATTGGGAAGGTGTGGAAGGACATATTCTGGGATATATGTAAATGTCCTGTCTTGCTATGCATGTGCCAAAATTGAGTAGACGGTACACTTGACTTGTGTGTAAATTAGGCCTCAATTTCAAAGGGCATGTTCTCTGGTAATTACCTCTTTCCACTAGAGTCCAGGGCACAAGGAATATGAAAGCAGGGTTTTGATGCAAACAGACAGGCTTTAGGGCAATAATCTTAAGAATACTGAGCTCACAACACAGCTCAACACTCAGAGCAAAGGGAGGGTAGCCTGTGTCCTGCCTGTGTAGCCACCTCTTCTCCTGCTATACCTGACTCTTCCCAGACCCCACCAGAGCTGTAGCAAAGACCAGGGAGTGGCCAGGCATGGTGGGTCACGCCTATAATCCCAGCAGGAGTAAAGCTTGAGTCTAGGAGTTTAAGACCAGCCTAGACAACACAGCAAGACCCCATCTCTAAAAATCATTTTTTTAATTAGCTGGGTGTGGTGGCGTGCACCTATAGTCCCAGCTACTTGGGAGGCTGAGGCAGGAGGATTGCTTGAGCCTAGGATTTTGGAGGCTGCAGTGAGCTATGATGGCACCACTGTACTGTACTCCAGCCTGGGTGACAGAGTGAGACTCTGTCTCAAAAAAGAAATAAATTAAAAAAAAAAAGAACTGTTGAAGGCAAAGTTTTTCCACAATATTTTGCCATTGTAGACAGTGAAGCATGCTTCTCCAGTCTTACTCTGAGGCTCTGAGTTCATCAGAATGATTGAAAGTTCTGCTTTCAAAATCAATGGGAAAAGTGTCATCTTTGATGACATAAGACAATGATGTAGAGGGAATATGGAATTATCCATCTTCTCACTGCTGGGGGAAGCCGCATGCACCACAGAAGTGGCATGAGGCTTTCATGATAGCTGCTCACCTCCTAAAGCTCATCCAAGTGACATGCTGCTTGACAGCCTGTTGCATATTCAAGCCAGAGGTTGCAACCAATGGGGGTTTGCTGATATGAATGGCTTGGCTTGCTGAGTTGCCAACACTGAAAAATTAGAGTTTTATGTGAAAGTCTGGGTTTCCATCTTCTCTAGAAAAATCAGAGCAAATCAGATAAATGTGGAATCATTATGAATATGAATAACACTGCTCCAGAATCCCATGATGGTGAGACCCACCAGCATTCTGTGGGGGCTGGTCTCCTGGACAGGGCTGTGCCACCTCCACTTGCCCGCGGTGATCACTTGGCCCATTTCCCCCCCCTTGTGAATTGTTGAACTCAAAGTTTAAGGTTTCCCTTAATTATAGTCATTTGACCTTCCTCACTTCCAAGAGCTCAGGAGAAACTTTCCCATCGGCGATAAAGCAACATTTTATATAAATTGCAAAAATTAAACCACAGAGCCAATTACTGCCTGAGCTGCTCACACAGTGTTTCAGGGGACGTTGAAGAAAGGGTTCTGACCTTGAGAAATCTTCTCAGCTCTGGTTCTCAATTTTCTGACCTATAAGATAAGAAAATGAACTCAACCATCTCCAGTGGCTCATTCCTCTATGATAAAATATCTAACCCTAATTGTCTTGGCAAAGACAGCCCCTTGGCATCAGGGAGGCTGTTGTACAAGGTCTGACCCACTTCTCATTCAATTTATTCAGAAAAGCATGTGTTCGTAAAACCTTCCTTCATGGCCAAGCTGGCGTGTAAACGGCTGCTCATCGCAGCCAGCACTTAAGAATACTGAGCTCTTGATATGGTTCAAAATGAAGAGAGACAGGCAGCCTGTGCTCTGCCTGAGTATCTCCTCCTGGGGCACCACAGTCTGTCCCCAGCCCCACCAAGGCAGCAATGGGGACCCTTGACATCAAGGGTAGATTTAAACATCAAAGTCCCGTTGAACCCAGGCATGAAATTTCCCCAGATGTGTTCACATTCAGGTTACAAATGAAGTGGAAAAGGCTTAAGACACATGCAAAAACCTCTTGACAAAAACATCAGGGAAATATTTGTGGATGAATTCGAGGAGGTTTCAGAAGGTCGATTCTTCCCTCAAATACGATAATCTAGCAATAATCTCACCAAGCAATCTGCATGCTTGAAGATGGTCACATTTGTTGTTAAGTTTATGTCAATTTAAGGTCAAATATATGTGACTGTAAATATATGACCTTATGTAAGGAAAGTATCTACACACATACGTAATAAATATGCAACTAACATTTAATTAACTGATTCTGTGCACTAAGTAATTTCCAAAGGTATACTATACTATCATCTTTGATTTTTTTTTCTTTTCTTTTCTTTTTTTTTGAGACGGTTTTACTCTTGTCATCCAGGCTGGAGTGCAATGGCACAATCTCGGCCTACTGCAACCTCTGCCTCCTGGGTTCAAGCGATTCTCCTGCATCAGACTCCTGAGTAGCCGGGATTAAAGGTGCCCACCACCATGCCCAGCTAATTTTTGTATTTTTAGTAGAGACGGGGTTTCACCATGTTGGCCAGGCTAGTCTCGAACTCCTGACCTCAGGTGATCTGCCCACCTCGGCCTCCTAAAATCCTGGGATTACAGGCATGAGCCACCGTGCCTGGCCCACCTTTGATTCTTTAAAGTTCCACTTTACACATCAGGAAAACTGAGGCTCGGGAAGGTGAAACAACCCGTCCAAGACCACACAGCTAGGATGGGCAGAAACCTAGCAGTGCTGGACTTTTCACTCGGCTAGCTGGGCACCAATGCTTTGAGTCTAATGCTTATGCTTTGGGTTATGACATCATCCTTCCTCTCATGCTGCATGGAAATTAAGAGTTCCCTGAACCTTGTTAAATCAACAGATAACCTTTCTGTCCACACGGTGAGGATGGCAGCATTCACAACCTCCTTTTATTTGACCAGAGGTGTTCAGACACATGCATGTCCTTGATAAGAGTCAGATACAATTAGAGAGAGTGCGAAGGAACTGGAAGGAGCTGTGGATTGAGAGCACTGTGTAATCTCGACCTCCCGTGCCTTCGGGGCTAATATGTCAAGGTTTCCACGGACCCCCTGGACACTTAAGGACTTGTGTGCATGCATGGAGTACTCTTCCTCTGTCTTTTGGAAAGCCATGGATAAAATAATGACAAGAGACAATGCTGGCCACCTACTGTGCATGAGGTTGTGCTCTCTCAGCCACCCTACAAGGCTGGAACTTGCCCCTACTTGACCTGGGCTGCAAATGAGAAATTTACAGCCAGGAGCTCTCAGGGTCTGAGGGAGAGCCCCGATCCCAGGGCAGGACCCAGAGGTCTGATTTGTCTGCTCTGACCTGATAGGTTCTCCTCACTCTCTGAAAGAAAGCCTGCGAGAGCAAACTGGCCTTTGCACCCCATCTGTCTGGAATGCCCTCTTTCCCAGGAGCCTCACCTCTCCCTGCCTGTACAACTCCTAAGGCTCCAGGGACCAGCTCTAACTTCCTCTCCTTGGTGCTGCAGCCTCTGCTGCTCTAGCAGAGGGAGGAGGGTCCTTGCTCTGAGCCCCTGCTACTCCTTTGAGGTGCCTTAGGCCCAGCAACAATGGGCTGTCCATTGCTGGCTGGTTTATCCCCATGTGTGACAGTCCATTTGCATTGCTGTAAAGGAACACCTGCGATTGGGTGATATATAAAGAAACGAGGTTTATTTAGCTCACAGTTCTGCAGCCGTGCAAGCAGCATGGTGCTGGCATCTGCTCCTGGTGAGGCCTCAGGAAACTTACAATCACGGTGGAAGGAGGAGAGGGAGCAGGCGAGTGTCACATGGAGAGAAAGGAAGCAAGAGAGAGAACCTTTAGACAACCAGCTCTTGTGTGAACTCATTACCTCAGAGAGCACACCAAGCCATTCATGAGGGATCCGCCCCCATGACCCAATCAGCTCCCACCAGGCCCCACCTCCAACACTGGGAATCACATTTCAACAGAGATTTGGAGGGGACACACACCCAAACCATCTAAGCGCTGGAGGCTGGAGCTCCGTGGCAAGCTTGTGCCTGGACTGCAGCGCTAACCACTAGCACCGACAGGCCTGTCCTCAGCTTCTCTCTGGCAGCAGCTGGCCTGTGGCCTCCTCTGCCTCTCCCTGCAACCAGCTAATGACCCCTTCCCTCTAGAGGCTTCAGGGTCCTTCAATCTGTGCCCTTCTCCCCCAAAGCCCCTCGCCTGAGCTCACAGCAGGCTGTCACATATGCTGGCCTTGTTCAGGCCCTAGAAATGGCTTTTGGATCAGTGTTTCTTTCCTGCACCTTCTTCAAGAGAGCTGAGGCTCAGCAGGGCCCAGGCCTGGCCACAGGGATTGTCAATGATTCTTCAGAGGCTATTGACAAGGCCCCACCTGGCAAGCTGGCATCCGAGGACCCAGGCAGGACCTGAGCCCTGCTGCCTCAGCAGCCAGCTTCCTGTAGGCCCCTGAACACACTTTCCAAACTGAGGACTGATTCTCATCATGGCCATACTCCTGTCTCCCAGCTCCTGCTCCCACAGAGCTTCCTGCTCTAGAACCAAGCTTTCTTAGAGTCTCCCCGCCCTGCCTCGACCCAGGCTGGCCTTTGCAGTGGAGGCAGCCCCACCCAGAGCCAGAGCTTCACCACCTCTGCCAACTGCAAGCAGCCCCCGCCTTGTGCTGGCAGGTATGGCGAAAATGGGAGAGACTGAGTTCCAGTTGGGAGGAGAGAGAGACAGGAGATGAGGAGAACATGAGCTCAGTAATTCAGCTTGAGTACCTAACACAGACATGGGGTGAGGGGGCTCCGTAGGACCATGGGAGCGTTCTGCACTGACCTGCATAGGATAGGGCTTGAATAAAGTTTTACTCGAATCACTTTTCCCACCATTGAACATGGACTGTATATTCAGCTCTGCAATTTGCACTTCCATTTAGTATTTTTAAAAAAGGTTTCCATGTCAATCCACACTGACCCATAATAGAGCTGCTTCGAGCATCATCAGATTGGGAGCTGCAGAGGGGCGGGGGACGGAGCTGCCCCTCGTGCTCCTTCCTCCTTTCCCCCACCACACACTCAGACACATACACAGAGAGACATACACAGACACGCACACACACACAAACACAGACATGCACAGAGACACACACAGGCACACACACACACAGACACATAAACACAGACACACACAGACACACACACAGAGACACACATAAACACACAGACACACACACAAACATACACATACACACACATACACAGAGGCATAAAAAGATACACACAAAGAGAAACACACACAGATACACACAGAGAGACATAGACATACACAGAAACACACAGACAAGTACAGACACACACAGAAAGATACTCACATAGACACACAGAGGGACATACACACAAAGACATACAGACACACACACAAAGACACACACATGGGCACACATACAGTGCAGAGTTTCTTTACAGCCAGAGTTCAGCCAGAGCTTGCAGAAAAGGGGGAGACACTGATGACCTTAGCGGTGCCACCCTGTCAGAGTATACAGGGTCATGTTTCTCTGCAGTGGGGTTGTCAGTAACAGCTAGGCCCTGTCCCTTTCCTGGAGAAGCAGGTGTGAAAAGTCAGAGTTACCGTGTACAGCCAGCTCTGCTGAGGCACTCAAGCCGGCACCTCCACCTGACCCGGCACAGCCCTGTGCCCCAGTGCCGGTACCATCACCTGCCCACACCACCCTTGGGCTGCCTCTCCCTGTGCCGAAGCTGAGTAATCTATACTCAGAACTTTCCTGGAGATGGGTTTACAGTCACAGGCATGCACAGGTCGTCTTTTCCAAGTAGCTGTGTGTGTGTGCTCCTGAAGACCTGTGCACTCTCAGCGACCCATTAGGCCAAGAGTACCAAGCCATGCACAGCCTGCCAGGAGCCGACTTGGTGCAAGGAGGGAGAGGTGGCTGTTTGCGTGTGAGCTGTTAGGGTTGGGCGCTGCCAGAAACTTAGAAGGTCATGAAGTTTCATGTTGGAGAAACCAGAGATCAGACCTTGTTCTACTGTGTGACTATGGCTCAGCTGGTCAACCTCTCTAAGCCTCAGTTTCCTCATCTTTTACAGATGGGGCTAACAAGAGTTGTCCCATAACAAATGATTGGCATTAAGGAATACAGTCAGTGTAAAACACGCAGCTTTCTCGTAGCATCACTAAATACTATTCATCGTGTTTTGGTCATGGAGAGCCACCATGGAGCTATAAGATTTTATACAGAGATGTGGAGTGTGTATGAGGGTACATGGCAGGCACATCACCCTGGAGTGAGATGTCTGTGGGATTTTGTCTTGACAGATGCCTCCATGGGCATTCCGAAGTCAGAAGAGTAAGCTTCTTCCCAGAAATGGAAGCTGTCATTTCCACCCAGGTTTCAGTAGCATGTGCGTCACTGGCTGCGCCTCCTCATCCCATTTTCCAAGGTTTGAATCCTACTGGGTGGCCCAGCAGGGGCCCCCTACAGGGCTCAGGGCTATAAGGCTCTTGAAATTAAGACGTGGAGGAAAGGGGGTGTTAACGAAGAGCGTATTTCATCCCAGCATGTATGGCTGGTTCTGAAAGTTCCTCTGACCCCACCCTTCAACCAGTGGCTGCGTTGCGGGTACCACTAAGCTGATAGTAAGTATGACAGGAAGATACACCATCTTTTGTTTCATATTTTATTTTCTCAATACTGCTATAAAAAGATAATTGTCACAAAAAAAATCCTTCATTCCTTTTTCCAGGGGCCCTCTTTATTTGTTGATTTTCAAATTATTCCTTTGTTAAGGGCCTTTTCTGTATCCTCCTTGTTAATTTTCTCTTCCATTGTTACTTTAATGCACCGGATCCTTGGTTATCAGCGGGTGTGCATAGGATGCAAACAGTTCTCTCTCATCACTTTCATTAACTTCATGAAATTCTTCTCTAAGATCTGTAATTTTACTTTAAGCAGTTTGCATTTTGTAGTCAGAGGTTTACAGCAGCCAACAAGGAGCAGGAAGTGGAGTGGAGAAAAACGTTAGTATGACAAAGTTGGAGACAGACAGACCAGCAGTAACACAGGAGGGATGTTTCAGAGGAGACTAGTTTTATAAGGCCCAGAATATCACTCTATTCTAGCTTCTCAAAAGATTAATTATCAGATAATAATGACCTGTCCCCCTACACCAGATGAGACTTGCTCCTAACAGAACATTTAAAGTTTCAGGTAAATTATCTTTCCAAGTGCTGTCTTTGTATTAGTTCCTGGAGTTGATGAAGGTGGTCAGACCAGAGACATTTATGAAGTACTTACATAATTCTTGGCATGCTTTCAATGTTTAAGACTTGTCATAGTCCCCATGTATTGATCTAAACTCAGGAATGCAAAAGCTATTCTCAAGGGAGCCTGGTAAGAGATTGTGTCTGCTGCACAGGTCCAGCCCCAGCCCCTAAATTAATCCCGCTCAATTCAAAGCCTCCTTTCTTCCAAGTTAGAAGTGACAGGCCAGGTCCTCTCTCATACAAGCAGCTCTCAGGAGGGCTCCAGCTGAGAAACTTGCTGTCTCATTTGTTTCTCGAACACACGCCCCATGGAATGCATGTGTCATTTCTGTAGCATAAGGAATGTGCCCGCACTTCATGCCTCCTGTCTGTTCGTTAGTTCGTAATTAAGTATGCACAGCTACAGATGTGTCGCGGAAAGACATCATCCGAGTCTTGACAAAGAACCAAAATTATTCATATAATTTATCATCCCAGCCATCTTGAATGCTAACGAGAACCGTCCTTGATTGGAATTGTCAAGAAACATTTGCACCCATGTCCTATCAGGGAGCATTTCCTCCGCCAGATGCTGCCTTTCATACCAACGACAAAGACTCTCTCGTGCTTTCTCCCTGGCCTTTACAGAAACCAAATGCAATAAAACAAGCAGTTCTCCCTTCCCCCTTTTCTCTGATGCACAGTTTTCCAAAGGGCTTGCAGTTTTCAGGTTTTCTGGTGAGGGGCATTGCAATTGTTAGCTTGTTCTTTAAAGCCTGTTGTGAGAGCAGTAACACAGATCTGTCTAACACATGTTCCTAGCATCAGAGTCCAGGGATAGGTACTTAGATGCAAGATTCTTTTCTGCTCTTAGATGCAAGATTCTCTTCTGCCCAGAAGGAAATTCAGGAGTGTGGAAACCACTGGCTGTTTGACCCAGGTCCACCCAAAAGTGACCCAGTTTTGGAGAACTGGCTTGCTTTGGGGTTTTGCTCAGATATGAGGACACACTCCCAAATGTCATTTTTAGAGGTGGTGGCACATTTAGGAGACTGAAGAGTCAGTGTTCTGTTACCGGGATGAAAAGGAAGAAGCAATGCATTTGGAACATATTGGAAGGAAGAGATATAGCTCCCTGGGAAGAGCCTTCAATTTCCAAGCCCTCTTTGCATCCTTAGGGACAGTATCAGTGCTTCTTTGGGAAAAAGGAGAGATCTGTCTACTTATTGTTTTGTGCACTCCCCAAGCCTGCTGTATGTCCATCTGCAACACTAACTTTTAATTCATCAAGATAAGTAGGTTTTGAATGTAGCATTTTGTCCTCATATTCAGTGTTCATAAGTTAATCTGCAAATTGTTGTTTTGATTGGAAAATGCATTAAGCACAAACCCATCTGATTATCCCTGGGCTAGAGGCTTGGTCAGACCCCCAGGAAGAGGGCTGGGGTCAGAGAGGTCTGACAATGAAATCTGTTGCAGAGAGCTCTGGTGGGCTCCAGTTCTCAGCACCAGAGTTGTGCAAGGCTTGGGGTGGTCTGGAAAAGCTTCAGAAAGGTTACCTTGTGAAGTGTTCTAGGAACTCTGAAAGAGACTGGATAGAACTGAATGTTCACACAGGAAGTGGTTATCTCCCTGTAAGTGTGTATTATTATAATTGGCCAACTTTTTCACTTCGTTACCCAGCAGGAGAAACAGCATACACCAACTTCACTAGACTTTTGCTTTCAAAGACTCCCTACTCACATAACCCGTCAATCCACCTGGCTGTTTCAGAGGTAACTTCATTGTAGAGATGGAGAGCCTGAGACTGGAAGGTAAGACCAAGATGCACAATTCTCTCTCAATTTCTTCTTTATCTTTCCCACTTTCCTACTTTCCTACATCAGCAGGCAGTGGCATCACAGCCTTATCCTCCCTCAGAACCTAAATCAGACTTATCAGATGATTCTGAGGGTTCAGTTAACCCTGAAATTTCCAGACAGACCACTGCTCCCCCATAGAGTATCTGGGGTCATGGGTAGCTCTGCTTTTAAGCATTCTATCCCTCATTCACTGAGGTCCAGATATTAAATCAGCACTCAAGATAGTAGAGAGAACAGGATCCCACCATACCCACAGCAATTTTAAGGGTGGCATGGAAATCTGCCTCATGGAGGTCTGAAGTGCAAAGTACATGTATGTGGGAGAGGCAGATGGAGACAGGAATGATATGTTTTATTAAGATAGGAAAATGTGGATAAATAAGTGAGCTCACTCATAATCCTTTCCCAAAGGAAAGTCATAAGGCTAGACAAATTCATGCATGTTTGGTATAAAGCAAAAATTAGAAACTTTCTTATCAAAAGACACCATAAAACACAAAGGTAGGAATATGAAGCCACCAACTGGGAAAAAATGTTTGCATATATATAATTGGCAGAGGATTAGTATATAATACAAATAAAGAACCCTTAAACAGGTGGGGCGTGGTGGCTCACGCCTGTAATCCCAGCACTTTGGGAGGCCAAGGTGAGTGGATAATGAGGTCCAGAGATGAGACCATCCTGGCCAATGTGGTGAAACCCTGTCTCTACTAAAAATACAAAAATTAGCTGGGCATGGTGGTGCGTGCCTGCAATCCCAGCTACTGGGGAGGCAGAAGAAGTGCTTCAACCAGGTAGTCCAAGGTTGCAGTGAGCCAAGATCGCACCACTGCACTCCAGCCTGGTGACAGAGCAAGACTCTGTCTCGGGGAAAAAAAAAAAAAAGTACCCTTAAACAAATGAGAAAATGTCGTGGGAAAATGGCATGAGCAGTCAATTTCATAGAAGATAAAACATGAATGGCCCAGAAACATGTAAAAAGTGCTTAACCAGGTGGGAAGTTAAGAAAATACAATAAAAGACAATTTTACTCCTACCAGACAGGGAAAACTGTGAAGTCTGACAACTTCAAGTGTAGGTAAGGAAGAAGAGCAACAGAAATTCTCATGCACTGATGATGGGATAGCATATTGATACAACCTCCTTGAAAAATCATTTGTTATTACCTAGTAAGTTAAATATGCACCTACTGTCTAACCAAGCAATTCCACTCTTTAAGTATATACTGTAGGAGTCGTTCTTAATGCAGGCATTACCACACCCTAGAGGGAGTCTTGGAAGCCTGCAAATGTCACAATGAGTAAAGAGTGCTACTGGCATTTAGTAAGTAGAGCAAGGAATGCTAAACATCATATGGTTTCTGGGGCATTTCCGCCTAAAGATGAATTAGCCTGCATTGCACATGACTACATGTGGGACCACATAATTTATGCAAGTGAATGTCTGTTGATACTTACCTGATCCTGCAATCTAACTCTAACTTTATTTTACATATAAACAGTTAAAAAAAAAACTCAAATGCATTGTTTTCCTGTCTTTAACATATTGAATTTTTCAGGAAGGCAACCACTTTTCTGAAAAATATTCCTTTTATTGAAGGGATATTGTGCTTTCTGTTGTTATTGTTGTTTAGAACTTTACCAAGAATTGATTAACATTATAGAAAATCATTTCTCTGCTGGGAATCTCGTACGTGGTATTTGGGCTATCAACCCAAAACACCTATGACTGTTTGCATTTGTAGCTGGAACAATCATGGTAATTCTACCCACAGGTGCAAACATCTGACATTGTTATTCTAGCTTCTGATGTAATTGTTCCTCAAATTTTACATACTGGTCCAACCACCTTTTATTATAAATTGCTTTGTCTTATTTCTTTTTTATATCACATTCAGAGCATTACATTGATTTCTTAAAATTCTGTGGGTAAGTGGGTTATAGTACATGATCTATAGTATAGATAGATAGCATTCTATCTATACTATAGATAAAATCTATACCATAGATAGCACTTACCCATAGAATTTCAAGAATTTTATTTCAAGATAGTAAAAAGAACATCACAAAATACTTGTCAGAAGGGTGGTGCTGGTGTTGAGAATAATAATTCTTTTGGGGTATATGTACCCCAAAGCCATGTACAAAAGGGTTAACAGCAGCATGACTAATAAAAGCAAAAAAAGGCAAAAAAAAAAAAAGAAAAAAAAGAAAACCCAAAACTCTGAAAACAACCAAAGTAACCATTAACAGCAAACTGGATAAATGCATGTTATGAAATACTATATAGCAGTGAAATAAATTAACAGTTATATTCATTATGATGGGTAAATTTCTGAAAGCATAATATGGAGCAAAAACAGCATATTGCAAAACACATATATAGAGTGGAAACATTTAAATTTCAGTTTCAGAAATGGGCATGACTAAATATCCTATTTAGGAACACACGCAGTTTGTGAAAGCTATGCAGAAAATTGAAGAACAGTGAACACAAACTCCAGGGTAATGGTTACCTGGAAGGGGAGGGATGAGTCTGGGAGGGGCACATGGGATGATGTTTTCTTTCTTAAACTGGATAGTAGGTTCACGACTGCTCATTTTATTATTTTAAACTATAAAAATATTACATACCTTTTAAGACAGAACATATTTCACAATTTAAAAACTTTTAAAAATCAGAACCTCCCAATCTATCCAAGCCTTTAGTTGACTGGACTTTTTAAAAATCCCATCTTAGCTTGTTCCAAGGATTGGCAGAAAGACAAATGAAACTGCCAGGTCTCTTCTGGGTTTAGTACGTACTCTTTGTAGCACTATGTCCTGGCACCTGTCTGGGGACGTCTGGCCAGGGGACACTGTTGATGCCGGAATGAATCATCATGTTGATGTTGGAATGGGTCTCAGCATCCCTGCAGCCTCCCAAAGGGGCTATCCAGCCTCTGGACACCATGGGGGCTAGCATCTGGGAGAATTCTTGCAGCAGAATCAGAGGAAGGGTTGCCGTTGCCATGAGAATGCAGTCGCATCTCAGGGGAGTTCTGACTGAGTTCCTTGGCCCTGAGTGATCCATTCTCTACCTCTAATGGGTCACCTGTCCTCCTCCATTGCTTCTAATGTCAACTGCACAGGTGCCCAGGCTTACAGAGGCTCCACCAACCCCTAAGGCTGCGGGGTGGAGACCAGGTTTGGCAAGGCAGATATCATTTTATTTGAGGGATTTTGACTAAACGGGAAGAGGGAGAAGCTGCATATTCAGAATGAAAATGAGAGCTGATAACAGTGCCTTCAGCGGGCTAGCCACTTGCTGGGTTCTAGAACACCGCAG
Organism: Homo sapiens; assembly: GCF_000001405.40. Lineage (NCBI taxonomy): Eukaryota > Metazoa > Chordata > Mammalia > Primates > Hominidae > Homo > Homo sapiens. Next base: position 29,084,400 of record NC_000019.10, read on the forward strand.
GGATGACAATTCTCAACCTGAAGAACTCAGGCTCCCCCGGGATCAAATCCCCATGCACTGCAAGCTTCTCGCCAGCAGGGGCTGTGTCTCCATGCCCTGGTCCCTGGCGCTGAGCTTGGCCAATTCTAGGTGGTTGCAGTCTTGAAGGAGGCACATTGAAGAAGTAGCTGAAAGAGGAAGGCAGAGCAGATCTAATAAATGACAAATCGGTGGTTCAGACACTGCGAGCAAAACAAAGACCTCACGTTGGGTTAGAGAGGCCTGAAAGGGTCTCCTGTAGAAGCAGAACTAGAAAGAAAGGTGGGTATGAGACGGGTGCAGAAGGAGGGGCTGGGGTCGGGGACATCGGGGTGTGGAAATAGAGAAGAAAGACTAGGAGGTGGGCAGACACGGGGAGCTGCCAGGCATGAGGGGCAGGCAGCTCTTGCAGTCGATGGGTGACATGTTGGCTACTGCCACATCTTGGGGGCCTTAGATGCTGCACTGAGGGTCCCCGGTGTAGTTTTGCAGGCAACAAGGAGTTGTAAACGATGTTTTTGTGTCCCGTCCCTGGCCCAGCTCAGACTTCAGCTGCAACTCTCCTGCCAGGGTCAGCTCCCACCTCAAGCACCTTCTGAATTTCTGTACTTTTCCTCCCTGGGCCCTTCCCCATCTCTGTGGAGCTCCCTCTGCTGCTTCCAGCAAAACCCAGAAGTGCAGCAGAGTTTTTGGCCTGGGTGGGAACACATGCCCAGGCCCCATGCTGCAGAGTGGGCATGTCCTAGGCACGGAGGAGCAGGTTTTCAGAGGCAGCTCACAGAACTGAGCCCCAGTGGCCGCAGGGGTGCTGGCTCCAGAAGGCACGCTGGTGGGACATTCTCCCCTTTCCAGTAGGCTGCCTGCTCCCTCACTCTGCCCCACCTCTCAGGTCCTGGCCTCTGGCCTAGGTTTCAGGGAAACCCGCAAGGGAGGAGGGGCCTTGGACATCCAGGGGAGGGAGGCTCCTGGAGATGTAGCCAACAGAGATGAAACTGTGAGGAGAGAAGGACAGTCAGAGGCCGCCAAGGGCTGTGATGCGGGCAGGGCAGGAGGCAGTTGAGGTTAGAGACAGACACAGCCAGACAGAGACAGGGAGACAGAGAGAGACAGAGACAAGATAGAGAAACAGAGAGAGACTGCCAGAGACAGGGCCAGACAGTGAGAAGACAGAGACAGACAGAGAGAGGGACAGATGGACAGAGAGAGGCAGAGACAGGGAAAGATAGATCCAAAGTGACAGAAACAGAGGAAGACAGAGACTGGGACAGACAAATAGAAGACAGAGAGACAGAGAGTAACAGACGGCCAGAGAGAGACAGAGACAGAGAGAGTGACAGAGGGCCAGAGAGAGGCAGACACAAGGAAAGATAGACCAAAAGAGATTGAAACAGAGAAACAGAGACTGGGACAGACAATGAGAAGACGAGAGACAGAGACACAGAGAGAAAGAAAGAGATGGAGAGACAGAGACAGAGAGTGACAGACAGACAGAGAGTGACAGAGAGACAGCCAGAAGAGAGACAGAGAAACAGACAGAAAGAGGCAGAGACGAGAAAGAGAAACATGGAGAGACAGAGAAACAGAGAGCAACAGAGACAAAGAGACAGACAGAGACAGGGACAGACAGTGAGGAGACAGGGAGAGACAAGCACACAGAGAGAGGTGCCAAGCAGGCTGGAGCTCTGGAGCTTCCAGAGGCCTGGGCAGGTTCAGCTCTGGAGAGACACTGCAGCTTCCCTGGCGAGGCAGGGCTGTGGGCACTGGGCTGTCCATTGTAGGGTGGCAGTGCTGGTTCTGCCTGTGGGGTGGCTCCAGCCTGGCTCCTGGGATGGTGGCAGCCCCAGGGGACTGCCTCATTCTGCCACCTGCCCATTCCCTGGCTCTCCTTCACCTTTGTCCCTCACCGGCAGCAGAAGCACAGATGGCTGTTCCGTCATCCAGCACGTGCTGCGGTGCATGTCACAGGGCAAGGTGCTGAGCAGCTGTCTGGTCCCCAACACCTGGTGACACCTTCACAAGCACATAAATCACACTCATCTTGACCAACACAAACACATTCACATGGGACAGATACTAATGTTAATGTTTAACCTGGAAAGAGCCATACCCAGCGCAATCGGTGGTGCTCAGGTCCTGGAATGAGGCAGCCACGGGGAACCCTGGTGCACAGGGACCTAAATGGAATCACTAGTGAGTGGTGACCACGGTCCACCCCGTCTCTCACTCCCCTGATTTCACACCCTAGGCAAGGCACTGAGCCTGGGTTTCCTCTTCTGTGGACTGGGAACAGCCCAGAAAATTGCTGTGGGCCTCTAGAGGGGTCATGCATGGGACACAGTGAGCCTGGGCCTGCCGCACAGACATGCCCCGTGGAAGGTGGCTTTTCTGGCGGCTCAGGCTCAACCATACCCCTGCTGCCTTGGCAGGCTTTCTCAGTTCTGCGTAGCTGTCCAACACTCCGACCACTGTATGCGGCTCAGTCTCCACTTCTGTGAGATGCTCTGTGACCTGGTAGGACCGGCCACCCCTCCGAGCCCCACACGCTGCCCTGTACCGAAGCTTTGTTGCATACAATTGCAAATCTGTAAATGTCACTGTGTCCAGTGGGCCTTCATTGACTGGCCCTGTGTGATATTTTATTTTGCCCTGGTTCATTTTCTTCAGAACCTTTATTACGACTTGCAATGAGCTACTTTTTTTTTTTCTCCATCTCTGGTACTAGATGCTGACTCCAGGGTGGTGGCCGGGAGGTTCTTTGTTTTAGTTCCAGATCTCCAGAAACAGACCTGAGACAAAAATCTGGGTGCACCCAAGACAGAAATCTTGGGTGGGAGGTGATCCCAGGAGGCCTGTGAGGGAGCAGGAAACCAGGTGGGAGGAGAGAGACCAGGGTCCCACCGTGGGTACCAGGACTCATCTGCTCAGGAGAGAGGCTGTGTGAGACACACCTCCAAGGTGTCCTACTCCAGAGGTGAGGAAGCCAGTATTTATTTACCAGGCCCCGGATTATCTCAGCATCTGGACATCTGTGCCAGGTGGGCACCTGCCCCTCCCCTGAGGGGATGCCTTCCCACCCCTCCTCACTCCGGCCTCCACGGATCTTCTCACTTCTCTTGGGGTGACGATACTATTGTGTCTGCCTTCCAGTCTCTTTTGGTCTCTGGGCACACAGCTCAGGAGTGGCTCCTGAGGACAGGCCCCGCACCCGGGGAGGGGAGGCAGATGCCGCACTCAAAGACCTGTCCCCAAGAAGTGCTCCATGAACAGGATTTGGGGAAAAAAATAAACTCCAGGGTGACAAGAGCTAGAAGAAGGATTGAGGACTATTCCATGGGGTCACCTAGATCTGGGGGTGGGAGAAGCAAGGAAGGCGTCTCCAAGGAGGGGCAAGGGCCTGGGTGTGAAATCACACAGGATCTGTCCCCACATGAAGGAGAAGGAGACAGGGAGATGCGGCTGGAGGAACAACATGGATGGAGTCTGTGGGGCCAGGGGGAACAAGGCATATCCAAGGACAGCTAGAGGGTGCAGTGGGGGGCCTGGAGGGAGGGAGGCAGCAGGAGCTCGGTGGGGCCTTGGCCACAGTCTAGGTACTTGGGATCAGGCCTGTGGTTGCCTGTGAGCTGCTGAGGAACCTTACCTGGTAGGTGATGTGATAGGAAATGCTTGATTTAAGACGTTGATCTGTTTGGCAGCCTTTGGAAGGAGGGCGGGAGGGCGCGTGAAGGGACACAGATGCCCCAGCCACGGGGTGGCAGGTAGATTTAGGTGAGAGGTGGGAGGTCCTTGTCTGAAGCCATCTTGGGGATGGAGAGGAGAGAGGCAAATGTGGACACTCAGCCCTGGGCCCAAGAAGATGTTCCACTCTACATGGAGAGACAGGGTAAGGAGAGGTAATTCCCGGCTGAGGGGGCACCGAGCAAGGGCATGGAGGTGGGAGAGCCCAGGAATGGCGGGAGCCTTCTGCTGTGCTGCCGAGTGTGGTCACGATGAAGACTGACATCCGGAGTGTTTAGAAACCACCGCAGCCATTTGACAGAGTCATGGAGTATGACTGTTCAATCCAATAACATGAAATTGGGGGCTTGTATTTTGTATGGCTTTTCTTTTAATTTCATTTTTCTCATAATTCAAGTTTTATTGAATTCTGCAAAAATATTGGCCCGTGACTGATGGGAAACAAAACACCTGGTCTTTCTCTGCAGCTGGTGGGGGTTGGGGTGGGAGGCGCGGGTTGAAGTGCCCTCCCCATCAGCTCCCATAACTCTGCCTCATCCCAGAGTTTTATTTTTTCTTCATGCCAGAAAAGTCCCTCCCCACACTGATGCCAGCAAGCCAAGCAGGATGTCCCCACCCCCAACGCTCTGTCCCCAGATTCTCCTAGCCCCAAAGACATATCTTAGCTCAGATGAGGTAGAGACCCCCTCACCCCAGCTCAGGCTGAAAGCGAATATTGTTCAGTCTCTTATCCCTGGGGCCAAGCCCGTGTAGGAGGATTGTGTGGTGACCGCAGCTGGCGGCTCCCAACCTCCAGTCCCTGCTGTCGGCGGCCAAGGCCTTGGAGGTCATTAATGTGGATCGGCACTAATGGATTCTCTGTGCTGGCTTTGTCCCCCAGCGCTATTTTTAACTCATTTTGGACTTTGAATTGTCCAAATGCATTTTGATGTGTTTGTGAGAAAGGACATAAATAAACCCTTGAGTGTTGTTTCTGTGCAGCTCCTCAGAAACCAACTTCTCATGGCTCTATTTGCTTTGCTGAGAGCTGAGCATTTCCTGCAACTTACCAAGATGGGCTGAGGCCTGCCCAGCTTCCAGAGTGGCACCTCCACATGTACTCATTTCAGTGCCACTAACCAAAGCAGTGCCCATTCTCCTGGTAGAGTTTCAGGGGGACCCCCTCTCACCCCTGATCAAAGAGCATGGCAGCCCAGTAGCTGAGTACCTCCTGTGTACAGGCACCTGGGAGCTTACGATGGGGCAGGCACTGTGGGAAAAGCAAAATCAGAGGCCGACAGTCCCGTCTCCAAGATCCTTCAGTGAACTGCGGTGACTGTGAACACACAGGAAACCAAGAGGTACACGCCCACAGGCCAACCCCTGGTTTGGGGACAGCCAGGCATTTATGAACACATTCTTCAGGCAGTGTTTGGCCTGAATACATGTGCTGAGTCCCTGCCTGTTATCTGAAGCCTGCTCAAAGGCAGCTAAGATGGAAGATGTGGCAGGTGGCTGTGCAGGCAGCATATGCCACAAGCCACAGCTGTCTCTTTGACAGTGGCCAGGGCTTCCTTATATGAGCAGTTCCCTAAGTCACTCAGGTCTGGAGGCCAGGGATTCTGGCCATGCTTCTCATCTTGGCCGGGCCCCCAGTGCAGCGTGGGCCTAAACCATGTTCTGGATTCCTTTAAACACCTCCTGAGCGCTTGGTGTGCTCAGGACTTGAGCCAGCCTTGGGGTCACTGAGGGAGTAGAGTCCAGCTTGTGTCTGGGAAGGTCTCCTGTTGGCAGAGGAGAAGGTCCTGAGCTGTGGACACCAGTACAGGGCCGTGGTCCAGCCTTTGGTGCTGCAAAGAACCCCACCTAAGTCACTCAGACATGACACTGTCTTGAAGACGGAGAATGAGGAATGGAGCCAGCCTCAAATGTAGGAGAGGCGCTAACTCAATATCTCCAATCAGAAGAAATCAGAAGGTTCCTTATTTCAAAAATCTCTACACATCAAATGCCGTGATTGGCCCAATGGCTCACCAGTCTTCAGATCAAGTGTAGCCTGAGTGTTCTTTTAAAGTGTGGCTTTCTAGTATAGAGAATCTCCATGTCCCATCACATTGGTTTGGATGTGTTTATCAGGCTCATTCATCTCTCATGAGAACGTGTAGAGTTTAAAAATCTCTAAAGAAATCCCTGGACGTAAGCTGGTGTCTTGGGCTTGGGTAGTACCAGATAAAACGAAAACACAGACAGATTTAACATGCTTAGGGGCAAGCATTTCCAGGACTTGGGGATTTATTGGGTTGGGAGTGAGAGGGAGGAAGACACTGACTATGATTCCTGGCTTCCATCCTGGGCCCCCTGCAAATGGTGATTATGAAGATGGTGGGTTGGATAGGAGGTTCTGAGTTCCACTTTCAGCATGCTCACTCTAAGTGGCTGAGACGATGGCCAGTGAAGAGTGTTGGGTCTAGAAGCCTGAAGCTACAGGTCCGGCTATGGAGCTGGATTTGGATGTGGTTGGCACAGAGAGGACACGAGGCCATGGGAGTAAAGAAAATCTGCAGAGTGCGACCAGTATAAACAGAGCCGCATGCATTTTGCCCTGGAAATTCTCCTTCTAAAAATGTATTCCAAGGAAATCATCAGAAATGTGCAGGAGGGGAGGCTTAAGGATAATCATGGCAGAGTTATTTGTGCTTATAAAAACTGGAAGTACCCAAAATTTCCAACAAGAAGGGCAAAGTTGGATTTTGTTCCAAAGCATGGAATACAACCTAGCCACAATTACATCGGTCCATCGTGGTGTGGAATGCTCAAGTGCTGGGAGGAGCAAGCCAGTTCCAGGAATGCACAGGAGGCAATGGGTTTGTGTAGGCATGTGTGCATACTCACACAGAAAACATCCTGGAAGGTTACACACTGAAATGTTAGTTCCGATGATCTGTGAGTGGTAAATTTCAAGATGAATTGGGATTTTCTCATTTTCTTCTTTCCTATATATTTTTTTCTTTACATTGATTCTGAGCCTCTTTTAATGAGGAAAAAAAATGTTTTGGGTAAAGCCTCCCTTTTGGTTCACTAGAGACAGCACCACAGCAGAGCTGGGAACAGTTGTTTAAACATCCCCCTCCCTGACTTTACCTTGGGTAAATGGGCCTCTGAAGAAATTCCACTGAGAGGCCCCCTGCCCTCACATTACATTGTCAATTTCATCCTGAGCACTCTGCGTAAATACCATTCCAGAGCATTAGGTCGCAGCCATTAGCATGGCAGTTATGTGCCAGCTTTTCCTCTCAGTTTACAGCCCTTATCATCTGCAACTCTGCTTTAAGAACTTAAAATTATGGTCCGACCGTAGCCTACATAAACATTCAAGAAAGTCTTACCATTTGGAGAGCTGTAAAATGAATCTGACAGTGTGACACTCACGTGCAGCTTCATAAAGTGCATGCTAACGAATCAGCTGTCCTGTCTTCCCAGAAGCCCCCAGAGCTTCCAGGAGCCAATGTCTCCTTGGAGCAATGCTCAGGAGCCATTGAGGCCAGGCACAAGCACAGCCTGCACAGCCACTCATGCTGCTTTTCTTGGGATGGAAAACCAGGGCCTTTTCTGGACTCTAACAGCATCGAGTTATAGCTCAAAAGTTGCTCAAAGTATCCTCTGCCTTAATGATCCCAGTATCTAAACTGAAGCTTCCTAAACTTCCCAAATTAAAGACCCTTCCCATTGCCACCTGCCACCAGCAGCACTGATGAAATGCCCTCTGGCACTGAAACCATCGGTGTTTGGCATAAACACAATGAAATTCTTGTTTGCCTCCAAAGTGTCTTATAAAAGCTTATCCCTCTTAGACCATGGTCCCATTCTCCTGACAATGTAGATGGTACAAAAAGCAGCCATCCATCCCGAGGGGCTGGCCCAGATCACACATCATGGATGGCCTGTGGTTCTGATCCAGCCTGCAGTGGCACCATTGCATATTTACATTTTGGATTTTTACTAATTTATTTATTTATCTGTTTTTTCGAGACAGGATCACCCTTGGTTGCCCAGGTTGGAGTGCAGTGGCATTATTATCACAGCTCATTGCAGCCTCCAACTCTTGAGCTCAAATGATCCTCCCACCTCAGGCTCCTAAGTAGCTGGGACTTACAAGCACGTGCCACCATGCCTGGCTAATTAAAAAAAAATTTTTTTTGTAGAGACAGGGTCTCACTATGTTGTCCAGGCTGGTCTTGAACTCCTGAGCAAAAGCAAAAGCAAAAGCAAATGCCTGGGCCTCCTAAAGCTCTGAAATTACAGGCGTGAGCCACCACACCTGACCCTTCACCAACATTTTTAAAACTTAGAGATTTCACAGAAAAACCACAACATTCATTCTCTTGAGAAAATTGAGAAGATGTGAAACACTGGGCACTTTCGCAGCTGCTGCACCTTTTAGACAAAGCATATGCTTCCCTTCGACTGCTGTGCAATGGACCAAATGCTTGTGCCACACCCACCCCCCCACCCAAAGTTCACATGCTGAAATCCTAACTCCCAAGGTGATGACATTGGAGCTGCGGCCTTCAGTAGATAAGCAGGTCATGGGGGTGTGAAACCTCATAAATGGGATTAGCGCCCTTACAAAAGAGACCCCCGCCCCCACCTAAAGAGCTCCCTCCCTGTCTTCCTGCCATGTGAAGATGCAACAAGAAATCAGCTGCCTGCAACCCGAAAGAGGGCCCTCACCAAAACCTGAGCACGCTGGCACCCTGACCTTGGACTTGTAGCCTCCAGAGCTGCGAGAAATAATGGTTGCTTGTTAGAGCCACTCAGGGTATGGCACTTTGCTGTAGCAGCCCGAACTGACCAGGATACCCTGCCTACCTGGCCCATTTCAGCCCTGAACTGACCAGGATGCCCCGCCTACGCGCCCGTTTCAGCCCGGAACTGACCAGGATGCCCCGCCTACGCGGCCCGTTTCAGCCCGGAACTGACCAGGATGCCCCGCCTACGTGGCCCGTTTCAGCCCTGAACTGACCAGGATGACCCGCCTACGCGGCCGTTTCAGCCCTGAACTGACGAGGATGCCCCGCCTACGCGGCCCATTTCAGCCCTGAACTGACCAGGATGACCCACCTACGCGGGCGGCCCGTTTCAGCCCTGAACTGACGAGGATGCCCCGCCTGCCCCGCATATTTCAACCCTGAACTGACCAGGATGCCCCGCCTACTCGGCCCGTTTCAGCCCTGAACTGACCAGGAGGCCCCGCCTGCCTGAACTGTTTCAGTCCTGAACTGCCTGGACTGTTTCAGCCCTGAACTGACCAGGACGCACCGCCTGCCTGGACTGTTTCAGTCCTGATTGATGCCTGTGCAGCTTTGGGAGGCATGACCGCACCTCCTCCTCCCTACACACCCCAGTGGGGGAAGAGGAGAGAAAATACGCCTCTTCCCTGGCTCTTCGCTGGAGTCTTAGTGATTTGGTGGAGATTTCCAAGGACAGGCCTCCGGGAGCTCAGCGCCGCCCTCCTGTTACTGGGCAGTTAGGTGTGGGAAGGAACATACTGACAACCCATTTTTCTTCAGGAAAATCCCATTCACCACCCTTGACCTTATATTGCTCAGCCCAGGGGTGTACATGGGGGAAGTGGTAGTCACAGGGACAGTAAGGCAAGCCCAGTCTGTGTCTAATGACTATTTCTTCTTCAGATAGTTGAGAATTTAAATGTGAATGCAAATGTTACGCAAATGAAATTACTCCTAAGACAATTTACACAGACCAACTATTAGATCAGAACCTCCTGTTTAACACAGCCTGCCCAAAATAACTGAGACTATTCCGATCTTTTGGGCAAGGATGTCGACACACTGCCAGTGCCTCTGGAGTTAAAGTGGAGCGCTGTCTTTGGGATTGGGAGCCAGCTCTGGATATGAACACGGCTATCTGGCAGGCTTTGGCCTGCCGGAGAGAAATGTGTCTTGTCCCATGAGAAAGACATCCCCAGGCTCACCTGAGGAGCCAGAATTGCTGGTGAGGGCCCAGGTGTCTCTAAATTGATTGCTGCCTCTGATAGACTATTCTAAGCCACGGCCATCTCGTGGAGAAATTAAACATTCTGTGTGAAGGACATGCATGTCCTTAACAGAACAGTGAAGTTGCTGATGCATTTTTATTCTCAGCCACCCTCACGGCACCCCAGTACCTACCCCATGTCCCAGCCTCATGGGGCCTTGCTCTCATCTGCCCATTAGCTAATCTGGGCTAAGAAGATGTACTGCACAAAAAGAAAGAAGGAATTCAGGCTTTTAAATGAAATGCCCAATTTGTAACTGTTGGCTACCAATGCAATTAGTTAGAAGGTAGTTCTCAGACAGGTGGGACAGTTCTTCTCCTAACAAGCATGTGTCAAAGCATGCTTGTTTCTTCTAACGTTTTGTTTTTCTAAAAAAGTGTGCTTTCTTCTTCTAAGAAAATCTGGCAAATAAAATGTTATTCTCCTCATGTTAACTGGAAGAGTCCCTTGCCTCCAAATCAATTCTATCCCCAAATGTTGAAAGACTTGAAATTCCACGAGTAGATCAAGGGCATCCCCCTGAGGCCTTTACTATGGGAACAGACCTCACCCCCGCTGCTGTGGTAACTGTAGGGACCCGCTTCACTCATGCTGTCCCTTGGCTTCTGTAGACACTTGAGTCTGCAGCCTCAGAACAGGGCTGATCTCAAACTGGGCCTCAGTTTGAGGGGTTTCACCCACGAGTGACTGGAGGCCAGCACTGAAGGCTACTGTGCAGGACTGCACTCTGTCACAGGATAGACCTGCTACATCCAGAGGCATCCCACCCCTGTTCATCTCATCCTGGGCACTGTTTCTGCTCAGTTCTCAATGGCAGGCTTTTGGCCCTCTGAAGTCAGAGAACCAAACCCACTGAGAATTTATTTCTTCTCATTAGAGATTTCTGGATTCCATAAATAATTAATTCAGAAGGAAGACACACACTCTTCTCAAATGGGAGGTTAAAATCAGGGAGGACTCCTTCCCAAGCTTCTAGGTCCATCTGTTGCCATCAGTGGAGATGATTTGGAAACTGCTTTCACCCTGATTCTGGGGACTTGAGCCATGCAGTCATCCCTCTAGAAAAGACTGCAGGGCAAGTTAGAGACCCCATATAGAGTGTGTGATGGTCAATTTTGTATGTCAATTTGACTAGGATAAGGGATGCCCAAAGAGCTGGTGGAAACTTATTTCTGGGTCCTTTCTTTCTTTCTTTTTTCTTTCTTTCTTTCTTTCTTTCTTTCTTTCTTTCTTTCTTTCTTTCCTTCCTTCCTTCCTTCCTTCCTTCCTTCCTTCCTTCCTTCCTTCCTTCCTTCTTTCTTTCTTTCTTTCTTTCTTTCTTTCTTTCTTTCTTTCTTTCTTTCTTTCTTTCTCTCCTTCTCTCCTTCTCTCCTTCTCTCCTTCTCTCTTTCTTTCGATGCAGTTTTGCTCCTATTGCCCAGGCTGGAGTGCAATGGCTCAATCTCAGCTCACTGCAACCTCCACCTCCCAGGTTCAAGTGATTCTCCTGCCTCAGCCTCCCGAGTAGCTGGGACTACAGGTATGCACCACCATGCCCGGCTAATCTTGTATTTTTAATAGAGATGGGGTTTCTCCATGTTGGTCAGGCTGGTCTTGAACTCCTGACCTCAGGTGATCTGCCCGTCTTGGCCTCCCAAAGTGCTGGGATTAGAGGCGTGAGCCACCGTGCCCGGCCATTTCTGGGTATCTCTATGCAGGTGTTTCCAGAAGAGATTAGCCTTAGAATCAGGAGACTGAGTAAAGATCTGCCCTCACCAAGGTGGGCTGACATCATCCAATCATTGAGGGCCCAGATAGAGCAAAAAAGCAAAGGAAGAGTGAATTCTCTCTCTTCTTGAGCTTAGGCCTCCATCTTTTCTTGCCCTTAGACATTGGAGCTTCAGGTTCTTGGGCCTTTGGATTCCAGGACTTACGACAGTGCCCCTTGGTTCTCAGGCCTTTGGTCTCAAAGTGGGAGTTGCACCATTGGCTCCCCCAGTTCTCAGGGCTTTGGACTCAGACTGAACTTTACCACCAGCCCTCCTGGTTCTGCTGTTTGCAGATGGCTTATGGTGGGACTTCCTGGCCTTCATAATCATGTCAGCAAATTCCCAACATAAATCTCTCCTTATATATATAACTCTAGCTATCCATCCATCCATCTATTCATTCATTCATCCATTCATCCACACATCTACCTACCTATCTGTCTACACATATTTATCTTACTTGTTCTGTTTCTCTGAGGAATTCTGACTGATATAGAGGAATTCACTGGGATCACAAGCCAGGCTTTTAAAGAACCACTGGGCCTGGGCTGCTTCTGACTCTGAATACTCCATGTTATAAGATAGCAATAATAATACCTACTTTAGTTTGACTCTGTGACCATTAGATGAGGTAACATCTTATAAAGCTCTGCTCTTAATAAACAACATCTGCAACTGTTGTTGTTGCTGCTGTTATTTTTATATCAGTCAAGGTTTTTTAATTGCAAGCAACAGAAATCAACTCTGGCTAGCTTAAGCAAAAGTGAAATTTAATGGGAAGATATTACAGAATGCATCAAATCAAAGGAACACCGAGACAGAGACATGCAAGAAACAGAAACAGGGGCCACTCCAGGGACCCAGGCAGGCGGGGCTAATTGGCAGCTCATCAACCCTAACCATTCTATTCATCCTTGCCTCATGTACCTTGAGAGTCGAAGTCCCAAGAAAGAAGCCAACTGGGCTGTCTTTTGTCACATTCCTATTCCTTGCCTAATGCAGTGAGAGTGGCAGGGTGCCCTGGTTGACAATTGCAGCCAGCCTGCATGCAACAGAGCAGAGGGAACCAAAGGGAACCAGGGATCCTTTTACCAGAAGAAGGTATGGCTGCCACACAAAATAAGCACATCTGATGCAAACCATCTTTGACATGTGCAGAAGCTTACTGTCCTCTGTTCTTGGTATGACTGGATGATGTAGGCAGAGCAGCCAGAGGCATGACCGTCAGCTTTCATTCCTCAAGAATGGGATTTTTCTTGTGCACTTCTCTTTTCTTATGCATAGTCCTCAATCACCTTGGCCCCAGAGCCTGCCCAGCCAGACTTAGCAGGACTGGGTCACCCAGTTCCCCGTGGCAGAAATGTCACAGTCATTCAGGAGCATCCACATTTGGGCTGGGATGACAACACAAATCCTGCAGTAATTTAACACCTGCTCTGCTTTTATGCTGTTATTAAAGAGTTTTAGCTTAAATATTTGAGGTGTGACTCTGCTCCCTCATGCAAATACGGGTGCAGAATTTCCCACCTGGCTCATTGATTGGTGGGATCTGAAATAGCCCCTTTATGGAAAATGGTAAATTTCTTATTACTGCCTAATGAATAAAGTGCATATGATCCAGCTGCAGCAGCTCCCCACTCCCCTCTCCTTCCCAGGGAAACTCATCCCATTGGTAATTGGGGGAATGTAAATGCTGCTTCATGGCTTAATTTTCAGATGTTTTGAAAGACAATATCTGCAGCAATAAAAGGCTCAAAGACATCTGAGATATGTTTTGTCTCTTGTCCTAATTATACTAATAAATAAATAGTATTTGTTTCCCTGCACTGTAAAATTAAATATCTTTCTGAATATCTCCCCTCCTATTTTAATGAGGAGAAAGATGCTCCCTTGATGAGAATGACACTGTAGATGAAAAACGAGAAAGAACAAAGAATGTTAACCATCTAAATACAATAACATGAGAAGAACTGTTTCCTAAGTTCTGAGTATGATCTCTGGGTGGGATATTCTCCTTCTCATCCTCTTTGTCTGGAGAAAATGTCTCTCAAATGTATGCTGTTTGGGATCTCTGTAAATTTGAGTCCTCAAGGGAATTACTGTTGCCTTACCTACAGATGGCACCTTGTGGGGTATCCTCGAACACTGCCAAGCCTTGGCACCCAGGAACCAAATCTCCTTGTAACTTCTGCGGAAATTGTGAGAACAGGGATCTTTCCATCTTACTTTCCACCGTCACCTGAGTGCCTAAAGCAGTGCTCAGCCTGTAACGGGTGCCCAGCTATGTCACATTTGTTTCAGGAGCACTCCTGTGGCCCTGCCAAGTCTCATGTTCAAGTTGGATCCCAGCGTTGGGAGTGGTGCCTGACGGGAGGTATCTGGGTCATGGCTGTGGATACCCCACGTGTGGCTTGGTGTGATTCTCACTCTTAGTTCCTGTGAGAAGTGGTCGCTGAAAAGAGCCTGGCACCTCTCCTTTCTTGCTCTCTTGCTCTGTGATCTCTGCAAATGTCGGCTCCCCCTTCACCTTCCCCTCTGAGTGGAAGCTTCCTAAGGCCACACCAGAAACAGATGCTGGCACCATGCTTCCTGTACAGCCTGCAGAACCATGAGCCAAATCAACCTCTTTTCTTTATAAATTACCCAGTTTCAGGTATTCCTTTATAGGAACATGGACTGAGACAAGCACAGATCCCAGGAACTGGGCAGATATCTGTTTTCCATAGGCTGATGGTTGAGGTCGCAGCTCTGCCCCTCACTGACCGGCAGGTTTGCAGCAAGCCTCATTCTCCATCTGTTAAATGGGGATAGTCCCAAAGAAAGACAGCTGTGACTGAATTATTTTTATTAAATTGTCTGCCCAGACCTCAGTCTCTCCAACCACGAAAGAGGGATGTAAGATGAGATAACCATGAAAGTCCATTGACCTCGGACACGGTGACACTAAATAAAATGTTCTTAGTACGCTGACTCAGAAACTCCTCAAACTAACTGCCAAAGTGCATGGGCTGATCCCCCTGCCCCCATGATGCTGCTGGCTGGAGGGCTGTCCTGAAGTCCAGTGGGCAGCCAAGGCCACGCCTGTGCCTGCACCACTGCCGGCCCTGCCCTACCACTCCTCTCTGGACTCATGTCCATATCACAGCTGATTGTGAAATCCAGCTCCAGCATGTTGTATTTGAGGAGCTTATTTCTCACTAACCACATTTGGCCCACAGGCAAGGCAATTAAGGGTGTTCATCCATTTACTAACCCCCCACCACCCCCTGCAGTGCCCCGAGAGTGGGAAGGTGGCAGAGCTGCTATGCTTCAGAGCAGGTTCCCTGTTTCCACTTCAGAGCCCACTTGGCACTGCTTGAAACGCCCTGGATGTTTGTTATGAAAGATTATTGGGAAGCAGTGTGACTGGGCATGCTGCACTGCTTACAACAGAATGGGAATGCACGCTGCCTGCCGCTGAGTGGGAGAGCCCCACCCAGCTCTGAGGCAAGTGTGACTCACAGCTCCCTGGCCTCTCCGATCCCATGGAGCTGAGGCCACTGGGCCTTGGTGAATGTTATATAATGTCTCACATGGAAGAACATGCCTACCGCCAAGGGCAGGGGTTCTAAGTCCCAGGGCCAGACAGGGACAGGGTGGTCCACACCCCTGCCTCCATGCTGCTGCTTTCTGAAAACATAGGCTGCAGAGGCTAGCATGTCTCTCAAGTCTGGAATCTTGGGTGGGCATCTCCAAATGTTCCTCTTCCTACTCAACAGGTCCAGAACTGGCCTTCAGATTCCCAGTAAGAGGATGTGTGAGGCTCTTGCAGGAGTTTGCAGCTACCTGTGAATTATCATGTCAAGAAGCAAATTTGTCATCCACTCTTGTGCTTTGCTGAGCCCTATCCTGGTGTTTGACTCAGATGCTGCTGTCCGCAGAAACTGGCCCATCTGTTGAAACTGGCCCAATTTTCCCATAGAACTGATGTTTGTGGGTTTTTTGAATAAATGTAGAAGTTGACCCTCCCAGTCTTCAAGCTTGAGAAATTTACATTTGTCCGATTTCCTTTTTCAGGAAGCTGACCATCAGGCTTTCCAGGTAGTGTCAGGGAGCTAAAGCTTTCCAGATAATTGTATCCAGGTGGTGAGGCCACCTGCTGCCTGTTATCAGCTCCTGTTTAAATGAACCCCTGACAATAGTCACTTAGGGAGATGGATTTGAGACTTGTCTCCCATCTTCTGGCTGGTGTCACCCACAACAAAGCCTTTCTTCCCTGGCAATACTGATTGTTTCAGTGATTGGCTTTCTGTGCAGCAAGTAACTGGATCTAGGCTGAATCCTAGGTGTGCAGCAACAATATGGGAGCCAAGAAAGCCCCCTTCAAGCCAGGTGTGACTTAGCAGCTCCTTCTCTTTGTGGCACTGTCTCTGCACTTCTCTGTCTTTCTCCATCCTTTTGAAGAAAAGGGGGAATAAATACCAAGAGAATCACAACCACTGCCTCCCTGCAGGAGATTCATCCCCCTACCTCCTACCTGAAGGTGTTTGCATGGAGCATGCGGTGGGGAGAGCTCTTTCCTGCCCATATGACCCCTTGTTCTTAGAATCCTGGAGATGATTCAATGAACTTTCTGTTTCCAGTGATAAAACTCAAAATAAACAGAATTAAGTGAAAAATTGGGCATTGGCCCCCAGTAAAAACACTGTATCTCCTTTCACTCCTGTCTCCCTGAAGGCCATCTTCTCTCAGCTTCTCCCTTTATGAAGTCTCCATCAGCCCTCTACCCTCGTTCCAGAATTGAGTTTCTTCTTGTCTGGTATGTTTACAGCCCCAGGCGTGGCTTACTTCCCCTGTCATTTTCCACTGTTGGCTAGAGAAGGGATAGCATGACCTTCTAGTCTGTGTTGCAGTCTGCCTTATTTCTTGTTTTCTTCAACTGTTCCAGAGCATCTAAAGTAAACGAGTCACATTTTATACTGCAAAAGACAATCTGCAGAAGCCCTCATTGGTGCATGGGAAGAAAATTATGTCATTGGGTTGACATAAAATATTCCTGTCCTTATGGGTCTTTCATGTTTCTGCATGTCTTGTGAGCAGAGGGACTGGCTGCCTTTGTTCAGAACAATCTTAAAAAGAATCACTGTATAGTGAACAGCCTTGGAAGGTAAAGAGAATGTCTCCCTCTAGAGCAAAGGCTAGGTTTGCTTACTGCCCAACATAAAAGATCCAGGTTCTCAAAGCTCAGAGCTCCTCTCCTGCAACACGTCCACTGAGTGTGCAGATGTCACCTGGCTTTTCCATCACCATGTGGGAGTCAGGGCTCAAGAAACTAGCACAAGAAAATGTTGATACTTGGGCTATTGCTATTTCTGTGAGTAATAAAGTTCTTTGTCTCTGACCTAGGAGTCTTTTGTCCTCTGCCAATGTCCATGAAATTGTGGCAGGCTAATTGTGATGTTGTAAAATATATATTTGGTCTTTGACACCATTTCCTGGCATACAACTCCTAAATTCCTTGGACTCTTCCAAGTGATGTCTTCTTGTATGCTAATGAATTGGCTGATGGCTGAGAGCTCCTATATAGCTTCAAGAGAGAAGCTGGTCATCAGAAAGACCAAGGCAGGATTAGAGTGTTGGGACTCCAGGAAGTGGGGAGGTGCTGAAGGTTAAGTTGATCACCAATGACCAGTGGTTTAGGCAATCATGCTTATGTAATGAAGCCCCTGTAAAAACCCATAAGAACAGAGTTCCTCTCCTAGTTCCTGGAAAACTTCCAGATAGACAAACACACAGAGGTTCCTGCAGGATGGTGCACCCCAGGTAGGGCATGGAAGCTCTCCATCCCTTTCCCCATACCTTACCCTACACATTTCTTCATCTGTATCCTTTGAAATATTCTTTATAATAAACTGGTAAATGTAAGTAAGTGTTCCTCTGAGTTCTGTGAACCATTCTAGCAGATTAATTGAACCCAAAGAGGAGGTCTTGGGAACCCCCAACTTGAAGCCAATTGGTCAGAAGTTGGGGTTTCCAAGGTCCCCTCTTTGGGTTCAATTAACCTGCTAGACTGGCTCACAGAATGCAGATAAACACTAATTTACATTTACCAGACTTTCTACTAGTGCCTGAAGTAGGGTGGGATGGTCTTTTGGGACTGAGCCCTCAACCTGTGGGATCTGATGTTATCTCCAGTTAGACAGTGTCAGAATTGAATTGGAAGACACCCAGCTGGTGTCTGATGCAGAATTGATTGCTTGCTTGGTGCATGGGAATAAAAAAATGCAACATTTTTCCACTGAATTCTTCTGTGTTGATTGTCATTGAGTGCAAGAATGTGAAAAACTTTGTGTTTTTTCTACTCACTAACTTATCTTGCAAGTAAGGTAAAATCTCATTACCTTCAGAGTTCCTGACAATTCTCTCTGCTAATGTAATTTTGGCTGTACAATGCTAAAAGCACATTTGTCCTCTGCCCAATCTTAGGTTATAGAATCTAACATAAATGATGACTTGCCCAACCAGTTCACCTAACTGGGTTCTGCTTCCAGGGTAATAAGTAAAGGGTAGTTCCTATACAGACATCTTACATTTCTTGTTAAAGTGAGTCTTTGTTTGGTCCTTCCAAATGGCTCCTGGAATGGTTTATATCTGTCCTTACCAAATCTCATGTTGAGCTGTGATCCTCAGTGTTGGAGGTGGGCCCTGGTGGCAGGTGATTAGATCATGGGGGTGGTTCTTCATAAATAGTTTAGCACCATCCTCTTGGTGCTGTTCTCGTGATAGTGAGTGAGTGATCGCAAGATCTGGTTGTTTAAAAGTGTGTGGCACCTTCCCCATCTCTCCCTTCCTGCTGCTCTGGCCATGTGAAGTGCTGGCTGTCCTTCACCTTCTGCCATGATTGTGAGCTTCCTGAGGCTCCCCTAGAAGCTGAGCAGATGCCAGCATCATGCTTCCTGTACAGCCTGCAGAACTGTGAGCCCATTGAACTTCTTTTCTCATAAATTACCCATTCTCAGGTATTTCTTTAGAGCAGGGTGAGAACAAACTAGTACAGTTCCTACCGTGAGACCTGCCAGTACTGAGGAGAGAAAGGTGTTCCATATGCATTTGCATCTGGCTTTGCCGTTAAACAGCACCCTTTCCAGATCTCCAGAGACCAGGTGGTAGGAAAAACAGAAGGTTGAGATAGAGGGTTCCAAACACTCTCTGATGGATGGCATTGCAACTTGTCCCCTGTGAGACCCTCACAAATAGCTGGCATGCCCATGGCCTCCCCCAACAGTTACCATTCCTCACTGCACTCCAAGTCTCTCCATAGCCACCCCCACAACCATTGCCAGGTAGGCTCACTGGGTGTATGCCCGAAGTTTCCATGTTTAAGATCAATTCCAGAAGGTCTCTCCATGAAAGAGTGGCCCCAGCCCCTCCACCACCAGGCATGGTCATCTCCCCAGGGCTCTGTCTGAAAGAGCTTTCTGGTAATGCAGTTGACTTACAGAACAGTAGGATGTGGGACAGTGAAGTTTCAATAGAATGAAAGGTCTTGAGTAAAAGCAATGCCCTGTCTGGAGCAGCAGGTCTGGAAACCAGGAGCAGGGATAGCTGAGATGCAGAAAAACCCAGAAGATGAAACGGGAGAACTTCTAAGCTGTCAGGTTCAAAAATGTCCCTAAGCCTTTTGTGTCCTGCTCTCCTCCCTGAAGACATGTGAAGACACAGGAATACACGTGTCTTCTCCTCCCCTCTTACGTGAAGACACGTAGGAACAGTATCTAACTGAGGCACTCACACGATGGTCATCTTCAAATAAGGAATGGACTTTTCTGGGCCCTCTCACAGCCGCCTCCAGCACTTGACTTCCCAACCCCGTTCTGAGCTCCTGTGCCGGAGAGTCTGGGCTAGGTCAGCGGGGTGGGAGAGGCATCAAAGCAGAGATGAGTACACAGGCACACTGCACGGAGCAAGAGGCGTTATAGTGTGATACAGCAAGAGGCTGTGGAAGGAGCAGAGAATGAGTCCTAGGAGGGAGGTAGAGAAATCAGGGAAGGCTGCACAAGGGATGTAGCACTTGAGCTGATCCTGAAGTAGAAGGAGAAGCCCCTGCTGGGTGAAGAGTACCCATCTTACAGAAGTGTGGGAGCCAAACTTTCACCTGCAGGAGAAGGCACTTCTCACCTGAGCTTAGGCCAGGGGACTCCCTGCTCTGAGGCCACACTCCTGACAGTGGTCACATCTCTGTCCGACAGCTATCTTTTGAATGTCCACTAAGTGCCAGCCACTGAGCCAGACACCGGGGATTTTATACATTATCAAGTCCCTGCTGCCACTGAGAAGATAGACAAACAAGTAAAAAAATCATAATTTTGGGTTGGAATCAGTTTGTGGAGGATATAATAAAACAGGGTGATGTGGCTAAGAGCCTTTGGGTCACAGAGAGGGCTTCTCTGAGGAGGAGGTCTCTGAACATAGACCTGAATCAATGTGAAGAAGCCAGCTGTGGCTCTGGGGAACAATGAGTCCTGGCCCAAATGTAGGCACAGCTGTCCCAAGACCGGCATGTCTGAAAAACAGTAAGCACACACGCACACACAAGCATGCACATGCACACATTCACATACATGCATGAACATGCACACACGTGTGCATGCATGCACACGTACACACATGCACATACTCATACAACGCACATATACACTTATGCATATACACATGCACACACATATGCACACACACATGCACATGCACACACATGCACATACACATACACATGCACACACGGACACGTACACACATGCACATGCACACACATGCACATACACATACACATGCACACACGGACACGTACACACATGCACATATACAATGCACAAACACATTTATGCAATACACATGTACACACACTTGCACACACACATGCACACACATGCATGTACACATACAATGCACATACACACTTATGCACACACACATGCACATGCATATGCAAAGCGCACACACATACATGCACACATGCACACACATGCACTACACGTGTACACACATGCACATACACACAATGCACATACACACTTATGCACACACACGCACTGTCCTATGGGGCTGGAGCAGATGGGGGAGAGGTGGGAGATGACGTCAGAGGTGCGTGTCTGACAGGGTCTGGAGAGCACTTTGAAAACATAAAGAGAGACAGGAAGGACTTGACTGTGAACCCACTGCTTTGGCTGCTCAGAGGGCAAACTGTAGGGTCTAGGGTATCCCTGTGCTCACAGAAGGAGGCCTTACCCAGTGGACTCTCCCCTTCTCTTCAGATTCATCCAAAGCTGGAACAGCCCTGGAATCTCAGAGAATCAGGATCTTCTGTCTCCAGAGAAGAGGGGAGCTCTGGCCCCCTTGTAGGGAAGCAGCTTCTGGACTCTCCTGTCTCCCTGCAGCCAACAACCTTCTTCCCAGCAACCCCCGACATACACCCCTGCCACCCTCAGTGGTTCCCGACATTGATGCTGGTGAGGGTGAGTGCTTCACCCAGTCCTCAGTGACCCGCAGGCTCCACTAAGAGGTCCAGAGGGGCCCTGATCCATAGGGAAGAAAGCAGAGGGGCCCCGACACAGCTCCACGGTGCTGCAGGCAGGGCTCTCAGTGCCTCTCAGTGCAGGCTTCTGGGAAACAGACTACCCCTCAACAATTCTAGTCACATTCCCTTCCTCCATAAATGGGGCCAGTGGGATATGGAGAAAATTTGTCTGGTTTAACTAGGATTACCCTGAATAAACCATTTTCCTCGTCTTGATTTACCATTGAGAAGCTGGGCCCTGATGAGGCTGTGTGAATTACGATTAGCGTCCTGCCCTGCCTGGGGTTTAATTAATTCGTGGGGCTGGATGCCTGGATAGCTCAGGGCACTCCCTGATGCTTGGGGCTAGCAGGCAGAGGCGCCCAGCGCAAGTGCAGCTCACTGAAGCTTCCGCACTGGGCTTGGCAACGGAGTGTTACCTTCTCATTAGGGAAATGGGGAGTGGAGCCCTCCAGAGGCTCCCACCCCCTGGACTCCTGGTTCCTAGCCCCCAGTCCATAGTCCAGCAGCTCTCCTGGTGTGGAGGACAGGGACTTCTCCATTCCATCCCTTTCAATCTCCTTCACAGCAGGAAGGATTCCTAAGTAGCATGATTAATTAGTCACTGGAGCAAGGGAGGGAACAGAGAGAGACCTGTAGAGGTCAGAATTTGAAGAGCCCGTGGAACCCAGAACCAATCACTGTTCATCCCCACCTCCCTGACCCCCTTGGTCCTCCTCCTCCTTCCCAGCCCTCCGCAGGCTCCCCTCACATTGACTGTCTCCACTCGACTTCAGGGTTCCCTGAGCCTCTTAGGGAAAGGACGTTGGAACATTAGAAGGGCCTTGGAGGATGGGAAGTGAGGTGAGTGACCCCAACTGTCTGGTGCATGCTGTTCACTAGCTACATGTATTTTGTTTGAACTCTAGAATTTTGCAATTTGTGCAACTTGAAAAAAGAAGAGTTCCCGTAGAAATCAGGATTTCTGGAAAATCTGAAAATGTTGCCACATTGGGCCCGCATTCCCTCCTGGTAGCAGACTGGATTAAACAGGGCTGCCTGACCTGTGTAGCCACTATGGCCTGCACGCCTTGCTCACCTGACCAGCTCCGCCCCTGAACACACCTGTGTCAGGGAAGCTCACCTTCTAGACAGGGGCTGGGCCTGAGAGGTACCCAGAAGCCAGGAACGCAGGAACAGAGCACAAGACCTGCTCAGGAAGCCACAAAGGCGCTCCCCACCTTGGGGAAGAGTCACTGCTAACCAACAGTGGGAGCGGTGTGTTGCTGGCTTTCTGCAACTGGGCTGAGAGGGAGGCATCCCAGGCAGGAGAAACAGCTGGAACCAAGGCCTAGGGGAGGAAAAGCTGGGGAATTTTAATGCCAGCTAAGTTGATGTTAAATCCTGGTGACAGGCCAAGCGTGGTAGCTTATGTCTATAATCCCAACAGTTTGGAAGGCTGAGGTAGGCAGATCACTTGAGCCCAGGAGTTCAAGACCAGCCCTGGCAACATAGCAAGTCCCCATCTCTACAAAACAAAAAAATTAGCCAGATGTGGTGGTGCAAGCCTGTAGTCCTAGCTGTTTGGGAGACTGAAGCGGGAGGACATCTTGAGCCCAAGAAGTCGAGACTACAGTGATTGCAACACTGCACTCCAGCCCGAATGACAAAGCAAAACTCTGTCTAAAAATAAACAAATACATACATACATACATACATACATACATACATACATAAGTCCTGGTGACAGAGAAGTTCTCAAAACTCCTTCTTGGACACATTTTACAATGTTTGTAACATCATAGACATCCTCCATTTGACATGGCTCAAGCAGCCTCTGCTGTGAAGTGGCATCTGGACCAGAAACAGCATCATATCACCACACATGGATGTCTGATGTCTTCTTTTGCCTTAAGAACCCTGGTTTCTGTCATGAGGTCAACCTGTCGAGGAAGGAGGCACCATCTGCCCTCAGCAATGCTGGGGGCTGCCAGGGGATGCGGGCAGTCAGCACAGTTCTTTTTTTTTTTTTTTTTAAAGTCTCGCTCTGTTACCCAGGCTGGAGCACAATGGCACAATCTCAGCTGACTGCAACCTTTGCCTCCTGGGTTCAAGTGATTCTCCTGCCTCAGCCTCCTAAGTAGCTGGGATTATAGGCGTGGGCCACCATGCCCAGCTAATTTTTGTATTTTTAGTAGAGATGGTGTTTGCCATGTTGGCCAGGCTGTTCTCGAACTCCTGACCTCAAGTGATCTGCCCACCTCGGCTTCCCAAAGTGCTGGGATTACAGGTGTGAGCCACTGTGCCCGGCAATGGCACAGTTAATTCTCCAGAAAGTTTCCCTTGCATATTCTGCATGTATTGGGGGTGCATATGTCCCAGAAGTAATAGTGACAAGCAGGTCTGTGCCTCCACGACCAAGCTGGGCTCACAGCCCAATGAGACCTTGGTTCTCTCTGCTCCCTCCTTGCTCGCGTGCCTATAGTTAGATGGAAACTCGACCTCCGTCTGCCAGGGAGGCCCAGCCAATGGCCAACCAGCAGGTCTGTGGCCCTGACACAGACATTTATGTCCCTGCAATCCTCAGAGGCTTCGTGCATTATTCAGCACAGTTCCCCCAGCCATGCCCTGGCCCTGTGCAGTCTCCAGAGGGTTTCCAGAGCAACATATTTTGGAGCTGAATTACAAGATCAGACAGTTGGGGAAATTCCTGCTTTAACACAACACCTCTGAGATAAAATTTAATGGTGGAAGAAATACGGTATTTTGAAAACATGAAAATAAACATTCTGCAGAACCGGGATACGAAGTCGCACAGTACAGCCTGTGAAAGCCTCTCTGTCACAGAAGAGGTCTAATAATTTTTAATAGTCCTGTAAATCTCCCTTATGAGATGCAGCTACTGTAAACACTTCTCCATAATTTTTTCAAGTATTTATGTAGTGCTGTTAGAAGTTATTAAACGCGAATGATTTTCATTGATAACTCTCATTCTGAAGGTGCTGCCAACCAGCTCAACCTAAAGATGGTAAAAGGGAAAGTGTCCCCCACAGGGTCAACTTGGGCTGCTCCTGGGATCTTCTTTCTGAACTAAAGGCAGTCTGGGACCATTCTGAACTTGCCTGGTGATCGGTGGCAAACTCATTCACTCCCCCACTGCCATCTCCCACGTTATGAAATGAGAAGAAATCATTCCTGCAGTTCATTTATCATTTTTGCATGTATTAGCGTGCTGGCAGGCATTTTACAAGGCCCTGGGAATAGAACGGCAAGAAAAAGAGACACCATTCCTACCTTCATGGAGCTTGTGGTTCCAAGGCAAACAGGCATGAATCAAGGGATTACAGAAGACGGTGTAAAATTGTAAATGTGGAATTATTGTAAAGGGAAGCTAACACAGGTCATGGGTTGGGGGAGCATCACAGGGAGATGCCCAGTCTTCAAGGTCTGAGAAAGCGTCCTCTTGGCAGAAACCCTTGTGTTGACACCTATGAGATCTGTAAGACTAGAAGAGGCCAAATAGGCCAAAAGGGGAGAAAAACAATGGAAGCAGGAGGAGCACCAGCAAGGCCAATGTGTGGGAAGAGGAGTAAGACATGTTGGAAGTGAGAAAAGGCTGGGTGGCTGGGAAAAACGTCTGATGGGAAACATGGTCGGAGAGGAGCCTGGGGAGGAAGAAAAGAGCCCCGCCAAGGAGGGCCTTGTAGGACAACTGGTGTGTCTTCATCCCACTGTCAGGGGAGGGCCTTTGGAGGGTTTGCAGCAGAGTAGGGAGGGGTGCTATAGATGAGTGTGCTTTTGAAGCGATCACTCCAGCTGCAATGTGATACAAAGACAAGGGGGTTCCGAGTATCAACAGATGGACCAGCAAGGATTCTGCTGCATGCCTGAGACAGCAGTGAATTGAGGAGGGATGAAGAGGGGTCAAGGGTGGGGCGGGGTGGTCCTCAGGCTTCTAGACTGTACCATTTAATGAAGTGTGGCACCATTCACTGAAATGGAAACATGGCAGAATATCAGGGTTGTGGGGTGAAGGTCATGAGCTTGTTTTTGGACCACTGAGTTTGGGATGTCTATGAGGGAGATACTAAGTTAGCTCCCTACTCAGGCATAGAGTGCAAAGGAAAGCCCTGGAATGAAGGTGTAAATTTGTAAGCCCTCTGTATGCAGATGGTGATTGAAGCTATGAGCATGCATGCAGCTTTCTTGAGAGATGATATAAGAGAACAGAAATGGATTCATCCCTGTGAAGGCCATCATTTGGTGAAATCATTCTCCATCTGGGTTGCACATGAGAGTCATGAGGACAGCTTTAGAAATGCTGATGCCTGGGTTCTAGCTACAGAGGTTATGATTTTATCGTTGTTTTGGTCTGGTATGTGACCCCCGCATCTGAAATTGTAACTGCTTCCCAAGTGACTCTAATGAGCAGCTAAGGTTGAAAACCCTCACTTCTTAGCTGGGAAGTGGAAAATAAACTGCAAAGGAAACAGAACATATCAGGTAGAGAAATAGAGGGAAATCAAGTAAGAAGGAGTGGTCAGAGTGCCTAGGGCTGCTGAGGTCCAGCAATACCAGAACTGAAAGTGCCGCTGGATTTAGCAAACTGAAGGTCGCTGGTGACATGAGTGAGGTCACTCATTATCATCTTCCGTGGCCTCTCAAAGGCTGAAATGATGTGGCCATCCACCCTGCTCAGGCTTTATAAAGATGACACAGGTGGCATCCAGGTGTGGGGTTTATGAGTGCAGTCAAGGGTGATGGGGACTTATTGCTGCTCTGGGTGTGTGGAGGGCAATTTGTCTATATCTATCAAAATTATAAATGTATGCATCATGTGTCTTGATAATCCTACTTCTAAGAATAACACAATGGCATATGCACAAGGTTATTCACTGAAACACTGCTTATATAATAGCAGCAACAGACTGGAAATGGTGCAAACACCCAACGTCAGGGCATACACAACCATCAAGAGAAATACAGACACCTGCTATGTCCTGCCAGGGAATAGTCTCCAAGATACGGTGTGTGAAGACAGACGAGTGCAAAAACAGGCAGAATAGCAGTGTTGGAACTCCTGTTACACGGAAGCGGCCCAAAGACACCCATTTGCATGCATATCTATTTTCTCTGCAAGGACACTTGAAACAGGTGAAATTGGTTACTTCCTGGGACAGACACTAAATGTGAGGTGACTAGGGAAGGGAAAGAGAGAGAGAGTTTTCACTGTATTTGTGACCTTTCACCCATATGGCTTTCAAACCATTGAAACCTATTGAAAATAAAAACTGATGAGAATGGTATTTCCCTGAGAACAGGGGAGGGGGAGGCTGTATTTTGGGGTGTAAGGAAAGCAGAGTTTTTCAGGGACCACACCTGTTACTTTGTATCCCAATTCATTTAAGTGTGCTGATAGTTTTCATTGTATTTGTTGTATTATTTGTTTGAAATCAACAAGATTGCAAGAACTGGGATGTGTTATTTAGAGTTTATGCTGGAAGACTGATTGTTCATCAATGTCAAAGATACACTTTAGAGATAATATCTCACTCCTGAAGTCCTTATTATTTCCAGTAGCCAAACTCAATTTCTGAAGTTGATATAAAGCTCACTGGGCTAGGAAGCAGGAGTCTGAGATTGGGTCTTAGTTTTATCAATAGCGTACTCGGTGGCCTTAGGTAAGTTGCTTCATCTCTCTTCACTTTAGTTTCCCGTCCATGAGGTGAGGTTGGTAATCCCTGGCTTAGCTGATTCCCCTAAACTCTAAGGAACAAAGGGGACCACAGATGTACTTGTACTTGGTAAAATATAGACACCTACAAATGTGATGGGTCTGCTATTTTTATCCTATTGCTGCTTGAACTTTGAAAATCTATTTGAATACATGCATACACACATGTATACACATGCATACATATATGCATATATATACACATACATGCATACCTGCATAGACATACATATATACACACAAACATATATGCATAAAATACATATATACACACACACATACATGCAAACACATACACATATATACATACACACATACACACAAGCATGCATGCACACACACACACCTCTCCAAGAAACTGAAGACATCCACATTTTATTACAGGACAAAGACTGAGCAATTTTCCAAACCTCCACTCACATGCCCAGGAAAAGGCAAATGGCTATCTTAGCTAAGCCAGAACTCTTGCCCGGAAAGCTAGCTTGGCTAATTTCCTGAGAAGCCCACAGGGAAGAGGCTTGAGGAACAGCACCTGTCCACCAGCCAACAAGATTGATCCCTGGCCTCCCTTGGCGGGGCTGGCAGGACAGTGTAGCAAGGCAGCTGGCCAAACTCTCCCCAAGGCTCGCCGAGCTTTTAGCTAGTGATCAGGTCTGTAAAGCCTGACCTTTATCGTAGGATAAAAGTAGGCTTTGTTCATTCATTTCATCTTCCCTAAAGGTACCATTAGCGATTTATTGATTTTTCTTTTTAGAGAAAATCTTAAAGTTTCTTTTTAAGACAGAGATTTGAGCCTGTGCATCTAACCCTCCCCAACTTCCACCTTCCTGCTGGCATACAAAACAGGGAAAGACTGTGTCAGTGCTGAAGCTCCGGAGGAAAGAGAGCCCCTTGGCAGAAACACTGTAGACTTCTGCTGGGCCAAGAGCTGGGGAAGGCAGACTGCAAGGAGGACCTACCTTACATAGGAGACCACGTTTGCCTGGAAGGCGAGTGGAGGAAAACCCAGGGGACGCCACTAGTGCCTCAGACTTAAAGGGAGAGCTGGACTGCAGATGACGATGGACAGAGGGGTTGCCTGGGGTGCACAGGAATCCCACCAATATGCACTTATGCAAAGTGGCTCCAAACTGCACCCAGTCAAGATCCAACAGCAGTTATTCCATTCCCCTCATTGTCAAAGTCCTCAGGACCATCCCAGTTGATGGGAGATGAAGGAACAGAGACCTCATACACTCTCCCCTACCCCCTTTCTTATTCCCACCAGTGGCACAAGAGGGTTCTAGGTCCCCCTCACTCCTTTATCCTGTCCCACTCCATCCTTGATGGAAGGAGTCTTTTAGCAGAAAAAAAGTGAATTAAATAAAGCCCAAATGTAGTGAGAGAAAGGTGTGTCTGTCTACAGGTATTTTACTATGAGAAAGGTGAAGATACAAGGAGGCAAGATTTGAGGTGGGAGCTGGGAGGAGGAAGGAAACCCAAGAGAAAGAGATGCTCAGCAGATCTGGGAGAGGAGCCCGGCACTGACTGAGGGAGTTGCTGAAGTGCCTCTTGATTCCAGGTGCTTTGCTGCTCCCTGACCCGCATGGTGGGACCCTTCTTGGTGACAGGGAAAGCCTGCAGCCCTCCCAGTCATTGTCACTGATGGAATAAATGCATAGTTCTGGAAATAAGTCCTCTAAAATTCTGCTCAATTGTGGCACCATCTACTTTTTACCTCTGTACTTTCATTTTTAATTCCCCAAAATGTTTTACTATAAATTCTTATTAGCCAAAACATGCTTTAAGGATTGAAACAAACAAAAACCTAAAATGACTTATCGTCTCCTGCAGACCAATATCCAGGGTCAGGCTGGGCACAGTGGCTCACCCCTGTAATCCCAGCACTTTGGGAGGCTGAGGTGGGAGGAATGCTTCAGGTCAGCAGCTTGAGACATGCTTGGGCAACATTGTGAGACCCTGCCTCTACAAAATTAAAAAAAAATTTCACGTGTGATGGCACACATCTGCAGTCCCAGCTACTTGGAAGGCTGAGGTGGAAGCATTGCTTGAGCCCAGGAGGTGGAGGCAGCAGTGAGCCCTGATTGCACTGCTGTGCTCCAGCCTGCTGTTTTTGAAAAAAAATCAAAAAACAAAAAACAAATCCAGGGTCATGGGCTGGACATGGCTGGACATGGGCTGGACATGGGCTGGACACATAGGAGCCCACTGATCGGCCTTCCTGTCGTGTCACTGCCCGTGACACCAAATGGACACTCATCTCCTTCAAGCTCTCCACACCCTTGCTCCCTCAGGCCCCTTCACAAATGCCAGCTCAGATGTCACAGCCTTGAAGGACCCTGCTCATCCCGACCCCAAGGGGCGGAACTCATCTCGCCCACCCACCTGCTGCTCATCACTGAGTCCTCACCAGTGTATGACCACTGCCCATTAGACTGCGTAGAGTCAGTGCTCATCACTGCCACCTCCACAGAGTCTTTCCCAGGACCCAGCTCAACGTTTATGGATGGAGGCTGTGTTTGAAAGGTTTCCAGGTTGAGTCCCCAGACAGCCAGGTATCACGGTAGCCAAGGACAGGATGTGCCAGAAACGGATGAAGTCCCGCCCCTGTGCCAACTCTTTCAATTCTGGATGCAGCTCTGCAACTGAAGCTCCCTTATCATCCCCATTGCACAGGGATGATGGGAACCATGCGGGGTCAGTTTCACTCTGGGAAGTGGTGGAGCTGGGGCTCGCTCTAAGGGGACAGCAGAGCTGGGGCTCGCTGTACGAGGCAGTGGGGCTGGGGCTGGCTGTAGGAGGTGGTGAGGCTGGAGTTCGCTCTAGGGGGCAGGGGGGCTGGGGCTCACTCTAGGAGGCTGTGGGGCTGGAGTTTACTCTAGGTGGCAGCAGGGCTGGGGCTCACTCTATGGGGCAGTAGGGTTGAGGCTGGTTCTAGGAGGTGGTGGGGCTGAAGTTCGCTCTAGGGGGTGGTGGGGCTGGGCCTGGCTCTAGGAGGTGATGGGGCTGGGGCTCGCTGTAGGGGGCGGCGGGGCTGGGGCTGGCTCTAGAAGGTGATGGGGCTGGGGCTCGCTCTAGGGGGCAGCAGGGCTGGGGCTCGCTGTAGGGGGCGGCGGGGCTGGGGCTCGCTCTAGGAGGTGATGGGGCTGGGGCTCGCTCTAGGAGGTGATGGGGCTGGGGCTTGCTCTAGGGGGCAGTGGGGTTGGGGCTCGCTCTAGGGGGCGGGGGGGCTGGGACTCACTCTAGGAGGTGATGAAGCTGGGGTGGACCCTGGCATTCTGACTCCAGCACTGTGTGTCTAATGATCATTAGAAAAGTTTCCATACTTTTTTCGCTTTAGAAAAATGGTGCTGTGTCACAGCTTCTTCAAGAGTCAACAGATAAGCTGTATGTGCCATCCCCTGTAAGGCTGGGAAAGAGCCATTGCTCTCCAGGTCACAATGGCCAGGGAGCCTTTGCCCAGACCCTGAACGCTGAGCAAAGGTCACGAGTAGGGAGTTCTCTCTGGATCAGATTTTTACTCCAAGTAATCTCTCCCAGCCTTGCAGTGTGGTGTTTCTAAGTACACTCCAAAGTATTGCCAAAGATGAGGCAGTCAAGGACCAGCACTCACACAGGGCCTTAATTACTCAAAGATCTGTGTGTTTACTGAATGAAGATATTTATGCCATTCTAAGAAGGTTTACACAGGAAAGGTTTACAAAAAAAAGAAAAGGAATAATAGTTTGCTTTATGCAAAATCTTAGGCTTAAAGTGGAATTGACTCCAAGATTCCCTAGGATATAGAACTCTAATGCCACCTTTAGAGCAAGCTTTCTCTACTATGGAGTTTTCGGGACCTGAGCTCACAGTCCTCTCCCTTCCTTCCTCTCCTGCTTCTTCACCCTCTCCCTCTCTCTGTTGCCTCCAGGGTCGTAGGGCCATTCTGCATTCTGCCCTAACATCTTTCTGCTATCTGGGAAAAGGGCCCATGCCCAGTGCTTCAGGGCAATTTCCAGCTACCTCCAAGCCCAGAGAGGTGCTCTCAGCATGGGGCCTCCACTCACCCTGTGGCATGACTCCACCCACCCACCCACTGGAGCATTCCTGCCCCCCATATTCTACCCCCTGGCTGTGAACCTTCATAAGAGGAGGGAGTGGGGGCACCTACTTTGTGCCCTGCCACAAGATTGGGCTGGATGAAGGCCATGCCATGAAGAAAACATCAGACAAGCCAAGGAGGGTGCAGGCTCTTGCATGGATCACAGAGTTCCCAGGGCAGTGGAGTGAGGCCGGTGGGCAGTGTGGACAGTATGTGCCCCAGAGTCCAGGAAGGCAGCCATCCCATTGGCCTGGGGCAGGGGGAGGAGGATCAAACCCCTTTGCCAAGAAGGGGATGATCATAGGCCCTTCCCCTGCCCCCTGCCCTCACTGCTGGCTCCCTGTCAGTCCTCGAGAGGGCACGGCACAGATGTGGGTGCTGCTTCTTTCCCGTGGGTGGTCTTCATTTTTTTTTTTTTTTTGGAGACCGAGTCTTGCTCTGTCGCCCAGGCTGGAGTGCAGTGGTGTGATCTCGGCTCACTGCAAGCTCCGCCTCCTGGGTTCACGCCATTCTCCTGCCTCAGCCTCCCGAGTAGCTGGGACTATAGGTGCCTGCCACCACGCCCCGCTACTTTTTTGTATTTTTAG